>NC_000002.12:67917625-68542625 GCF_000001405.40 Homo sapiens | reverse complement strand
CCACCCTAATAGGTGTGAGGTGATATCTCAATGTGGTTATGGTCTGCATTTCCCTAATGTTTAGTGATGTTGAGCATCTTTTAATATGCTTGTTGGTCATTTGTATATTATCTTTAGAGAAATATCTATTTAAGTTCTGTCCCCAATTTCAAATTGGGTAATTTGTTTTTTGGTTGTTTAGTTATAGTTCTTTATGTATTCTAGACATTAATCCTTATCAGATATATAATTTGCAAATATTTTATCCCATTCCATAGGTTGTCATTTCACTCTGTGTTAATTTTGTTCTTTCATGTACAGAAGTTTTTAACTTTAAAAAGTCCAATTTTTCTATTTTTGCTTTTGTTGTCTGTGCTTTGGTGTCATATCCAAGAAATCTTTGTCAAATCCAATGTCATGAAGCTTCTCCCCCATTTTCTTCTAAGAGTCTTGTAGTTTTAGATGTTTATAGTTTTATATGTTCAGATTATTTGATCCATTTTAAGTTATATTTTGAAAACAAGTGTAAGGCAAGCATCCAACTTCACTCTTTTGCATGTGAATATGCAGTTTTCTGAGCACTCTTTATTGAAAAAAATCTGTCCTTTCCTCTTTGATTTGTCTTGAGACCATTGTTGAAAATTATTTAACCATATATATGAGGATTTATTTATAGGCTCTCTAGTCTATTCCATTTGTCTATATGTCTATCTTTATGCCAGTACCACACTGTTTGGATTACTGTGGCTTTGTAATACATTTTAAAATCAGGAAGTGTGAGACCTCCAACTTTGATCATCTTCAAGATTGTTTTGGCTACTTGAGATCCCACATGATTTTAGAATAATTTTTTCTATTTCTGCCAAAAAAAACCATTAGGATTTTGATAGAGATTGCATTAATTCTGTAGATCACCTTGAATAGTATGAACATCTTCACTGCCTGTGCTGTCTATGGCTGCTTGCACACTGTGACAGCATAATTAAGCAGTGGCAACAAAGACTGTACGGCCCATGAAGCCAAAAATATTTACTGTCTGGCACTTTTAAAAGTTTGACAACCACTGATCTGTAGTATTATCTTTTAAAATGTGTTTCCCTACATGACTAACAAGCATTAAACCTTTCTTGTATGCTTATTGGCCATTTCACTGTTCTCTTTTGTGCAGTGCCTTTTGCTCATTTTTTTTTCTTAACTGAGTTGTCATTTTCTTATTGGTTGCTAGTTATTTATTTTTGATACAAGTTCTTTGACATATGTGTAACAAATATCCTCATCTACTTTGTGCCTTGCCTTTTCACCCTTCTAATATTATATTTAAATATAACATAAAGGGTAATTTTAATTTTAATTTTGTCCAACTGATCAACTGGATAACATGATTATGATTACTTCATTTTATAACATGCTTAAGAAATCTTTGCCCAATGTCATGAATATATTCTATGTTATCCTCTGCTACCTGTACTTTATATGTTTTACAAAAATCTATCTGAGATTTATTTTGTGATAGGTATAAGGCAGGAGTTAAGATTCATTATCTTTTCATATGAATATCCAATTACCAAACACCACTCATTGAAAGTTCATGCTTAACCCACAGATCTTCAGTGGTACCTTTGTCATAAACACAGACATGTAGGTTTGGTTTTGAACTCTTTAATCTCTTGCACTGATTACTGTTTATCTATCCTTGCACCAATATTAAACTGCATTATATATGGTAGCTTTATAATAAGGCTTTCTATCTGGTCATGTAAGTCTTTCAAGTTTGCACTTGAAGATTGTATTCAGAGTTCTACGTCCTTTGCTATTCCTCTATAAAGTCAGTTTGTCAACTTACACACATACACACACATACACACACACACACACGCATGCACATACACCCTATTGGGATTCTGATAAAGACTGCTTTAAACTTACAGAGCGATTTTGAGGAAATATATATCTTTACAATATTGATTCTTGCAACAGGTGCTAGAGAGGATGTGGAGAAATAGGAACACTTTTACACTGTTGGTGGGAATGTAAATTAGTTCAACCATTGTGGAAGATAGCGTGACAATTCCACAAGGACCTAGAACCAGAAATATCTTTTGACCCAGTAATCCCATTACTGGGTATATACCTAAAGGAATATAAATCATTCTACCATAAAGATACATGCTAATGTATGTTTATGGCAGCACTATTCACAATAGCAAAGACTTGGAACCAACCCAAATGCCCATCAATGATACATTGGATAAAGAAAATGTGGCACATATACACCATGGAATATTATGCAGCCATAAAAAACAATGACTTCATGTCCTTTGCAGGGACATGGATGAAGCTAGAAACCATCATTCTCAGCCAACTAACACAAGAACAGGAAACCAAACACTGCATGTTCTCACTCATAAGTGGGAGTTGAACAATGAGAACACATGGACACAGGGAGGGGAACATCACATACTGGTGCCTGTTGAGGGGTGGGGGCAAGGGGAGGGATAGCATTAGGAGAAATACCTAATGCATGTGGGGCTTAAAACCTAGATGATGGGTTGATGGGTACAGAAAACCATGGCACATGTATACCTATATAACAAACCTGCACGTTCTGCACATGTATTCCAGAACTCAGAGTATAATAAGAAAAAGATTCTGAATTTTCAAAATTATACAATCATGTCACCTGTAAATAATTACAGTTTTATTTTTTCCTTTCTACTCTACATGTTATTTCTTTTTTTTGCCTTAGTGTACTGGCTATGATCTCTACTGCAATGTTGAATAGGAGTGGTGATAGCAGACATACTGGTTAGTTCCCAACATCATGGGAGAAACTCTAATCTTTCACCATTAAGTATGAAGTTAGCTGTTGGTTTCTGTAGATATTCTTGATTAAACTGAAGAAGTCTTTTCTATTCTTATATAATTAAGAATTTTTTTCATAAATGGGATGTTGAATTTTATCATATGACTTTTCTCTATTGAGATGACCATTATGAATTTTCTCTTTTAAATTGTGTTATGAAGTGCATTGTTCCCCACCTCCCAAAATTCATATGTTGAAGCCCTAATTTCCAGTGTGACTAATTTGGAGATAGGGGCTTTAAAAAGATGATTAAGGTTAAACGAGGTCATAAGGGTGGGGCCCAACCTAATATAACTGGTGTCCTTACAAGATGTGGAAAAGAGACCAGGAAGGTACATGTACAGAGAACAGGCTATGTGAAGACACAGTGAGAAAGTGGCAGTCTGCAAGCCAAGAAAAGAGGTCTCAGGAGAAAACAAACTTGCTGACACCATGATCTAGGGCTTCCAGCCTCCAGAACTATGGGAAAATACATTTCTGTTTTTTAAGCACCCAATCTGGTATTTTGTTATGGCAGCCCTGGCAAACTAATACAATCCAAGGTAACAGAAGGTATATATACTTCCATTCTGCAAGTTTTTACATTATGGTCCAGATGTGGAACTAAAGCCATTGCATATATACAAAAATGTTTCAAAAAGCATAAATCAGAACTATTCAAATTTTAAAATATGAGTTATTCAAGTGCTAAAATGGCAATACCTTTTAAAGAGAATATGAATGTGAAATTAACAGAATATATTAAAATATACTATTGCAATAAAGATATCTATCTTCTAGAAAATCCTGCTATAGGCTTTTAAGATACAGTGGGGGGAACTGAATGTTTTATATGTATACATGCTGACTAGTGTCTTATTGACACAGAAGACAAACTACTGGAAAGGATTGCTAGGATATTTGGTTTGGCAAGTTGGAATGGCAAGAAATCTTTCTGAAATAGGGTTATGTAATTATAAACATGTTACTATAAACACTATGGATGAAAGTATAGCCTAAAACTAAGAGATTATAATTTGAATTCTCAAAATAAGAAATTAGAGTATATAGGGCAGTGTAAATAAATGAAGCAAGTATAGGAGCAACCCATCAATCCAGGATTATTATATTCAGTTGTTTTACAGGGTACCATGATGATTCAAAGCACCATTACAAAAATATAAAGAAAAGACACCTAAATACAACTTAAAATTATAGTTATATTGTAGACAACAACTCTGTAGGAAGCCATCTCTCTAATATTTAAGAAAAGACTAAATAACAGGTATTTAGATCTGGGGGATTCAGTCTTCATGTCTGGATTCCCCAGTATTCAGATCCTCACATTAGTCAGCATGTCTATATATAAAACATTTAATTCTCCCACTGTATCTTAAAAGCCTTAAAAGGATTTTCTAGAAAATATACTGAGGAAGTACAAATAGTAGAAACACGATAAAGCCCCTAACCTTTAGGCCAGTGGGTTTTATTAAGTTTTTAATATACTGTAGCATGTATCTACATAGCTACACGCTATCAAAATAATGGAATTAAATGTTACTGTAATTTCATTTTACCTATAGCAGTTTGCCCCATACATGCAGGATGTCCTCTTGACCTTGTTTCCTTCAGAACCTTGTAGAACTGAATCAGTTGCCTTTGCATGCAAAGTTTCAGGATTGGAGGGATTAGAGCTGGACTCAGAATGAGACCCTTGAGACTCATCCTGAAGTGAGTCGCCCTGGGCACTCGAACAATTTTCAGAACAGCTCATTGCCTCATCTTCTTTATGTGGTGTTCTTTTAGTGGCAATTTTATGTTTAGAAACTTTACCAAGTTCCTCTATTGGAAGTTTGTTTCTCTGTGCATTAGTCTTAATATTATTCATCTCTGTGTTACTTAATGTGATTGCAGAAAATGATTGTGGCATTTCCTGTAAAACAAATATGAAAAACATCAGAAATAAATGAAACATTTTTAAAAAGATATGAGCATAACAGCACAAAACTACAAGATCCATGCAAAATGTAAACTTAAAACTTCAAGATTCACATTTTAAAGTTCTTAAATGCCACTATTTTCTATGCGCTTAGTTTAATAACTTAAAACATTTTTAGTTTTTTGAAAAGAAATTTGGCCAGGCACGGTGGCTCAGGCCTGTAATCCCAACACTTTGGAAGGCTGAGGCGGGTGGATCACCTGAGGTCAGGAGTTTGAGACCAGCCTGGCCAACAAGGTGAAACCCCGTCTTTACTAAAAAATACAAAAAATTAGTTGAGCATGGTGGTGGGTGCCTGTAATCCCAGCTATTTGGGAGGCTGAGGCAGGAGAATCGCTTGAACCTGAGAGGCAGAGGTTGCAGTGAACTGAGATTGCACCATTGCACTCCAGCCTGGGCAACAAGAACAAGACTCCATCTCAAAGAAAAAAAAAAAAGGAAAGAAAAGAAATTTACAGTTGTATCAAACCTTTACAATCATGTCAAACATTCAGTGAAAAATAACCAGAAAATACAAATAAAATATAAGAGAAGACATTTGCTTTCATTTGAATCTTTAACTTCTCTTAAATGTCACTGTTCAACAATGAGTCATGTTCTTAACATGCACGGTCCTTATAATTTCTCTTTTTTTTTTTTTTGAGATGGAGTCTTGCTCTGTCTCCCAACCTGGAGTGTGGTGGCACGATATCTGCTCACTGCAACCTCCGCCTCCCAGGTTCAAGTGATTCTCCCACCTCAGGCTCCCGAGTAGCTGGGATTACAGGCACATGCTACCATGCCCAGCTAATTTTTGTATTTTTAGTAGAGACGGGGTTTCACTGTTGGCCAAGCTGGTCTCGAACTCCTGACCTCAGGTGATCTGCCTGCCCTGGCTTCTCAAAGTGTTGGGATTACAGGCATGAGACACCATGCCTAGCCCCTTATAATTTCTTCTAAGCTACTGCAATACTTTATTTCTGCCCTCTAAATGTAATCATGATTTTACCATAGCTGAATGACAAAACTGTTTTGCCCTCACGGAAAATTTTGCATAAAGCTATGTTCTGACCAACTTGGAAAAAGATAGGATTCCTTTAAATTTGTCTTAATAAAGTTTTGAGTTTAACCAAACTGAAGGTGCTTTGAACCAAATAAATACTCTCATTAGCACTGCAGAACCTTTATAATTTGTACTTACCAACAGCACAAACAATAAGCCTGGTCTTATTCTGTTAAAAATGACCCCTTAATTACTTATACTTCCCGTGGAGTAGAAACAATGCTCAGATATACCCCAGTTCTCCTGGTAACCATTTCTAGGATGTGATAACAACATACCAGATACACATCAATGTTTGCTTCCACTTATAACTAAAGACTCATGTATGCTGGATGCCATCTGAAAAAGAGCTGGTTTTACATGACCTAATATTCAATAGCTTAAATTTCTTAAGAAGATATTTCATTTTTTAAGAAACAGTACATTAAAATGCTACCCAAACTGACTAACTGCCTTGAAAAAAGGAACCTAGATCTTATCATGGTTCCTGTATAGTAACAGATAACCTATGGGGAAAGCAATCCTTTGGCTACACTGGCAACATTCATGTCATGTCTCTCTAAAACATACGCTCTTTGCTCCCACGCTGCACAAGTACACCCCAATCTCAACCCCCCAACTCCAGGACCAACTGGTCTGTACCAGCAACTGGAACTCTCGAGTGAGAATTGGGCAATCCTAACCCACCTCCCTACTAGGCAGTTCCCCCTGGGTCAGTTCTCCCCAGTTTTCTTTTTCCTTTTTCAGGTAGCAGTGGAGCAGATCAGCAAATCCACTGGCTAACAGATGTTCAATAAAATGTATCTCTTGTTCCTGCTGGTATTTCCAAGCTCCACAAGTAATTATCTTAGAATGCCCCTCTTCTCTTGATTTTAGAAAAGGAAGAAATAATTTCCCCCATAAACACTGCACTTCTCTTAACCTTAAAACCTTTTGGCCTCTCAATTCCCTTTGTATCAAGCCTAGGGGGTTGGGATGGCAATCGCTTTTCATACCTTTCAATAAACCATAAAGGGAAAGGGCTGTTTCTTACTGCTGAGGGCCCCTTAACATGGGATACTTTATTAGTACTTCTATTCCCAGCTTTGAGCCTTAGCAGCAGTTCTGGGACAAGGAAACAATCCCACTCAATATCTTATCACATTAAAAAAAAAAAAAAAGAGCACAGCTAGGGAAGTGGTTAAATAAATTAATTATATTCTTACTATGAAATACTATGCAGACATTAAAATAATAATGACACACCTAAAGATATTTTTTAACTGAACAAGAATAATATCCATACTTGGTACCATTTAGCTTTTAAAAAAAATTCCTTATATATCTATGTGTGCATTCATCTGTGTAAATCCAAATGAAAAGAGTTAGAAGGATACAAACCAAAAAATTAGTAACGCAATGAGGTCGAAGGATGAGGCAAATGGAGGTTTTCATTATTTACTTCAAATGCTTCTGATACTTCCATTTTTGACAATAAGCATCTATTATGTTGCCATTTAAAAATAAAAAATAAGCCAATGAAAATGAAATATAACAAAATCCATAGTATCATATTTCAACTCCATCTACTTCCATGAATTAGAGAAGAGTTTGTTTTATTTTTAAATCCTCACAAGGAATAGGTTTAACATGTTAACTTATTCTAAAAGAGAAAGGAATGTTAAAGTCCCAAATATCAATACTATGGATCAGGGGTTCTCGAATATATTTTAAGAGGCACAAAAGCTGGAAATCATAATGCTCTTTATGGAACTCCATGAAATATTGATTTATAGTACACCCTTGGCATTCAAGAATTTAACATTCATGGTTTAAATTATTTATAAATGACCCCAAAATCCATTACATGCAGTAATTTGTAAGTTTGCTGAGACATAAATTTGCACTGTGCCAATTAAAAAGCTCAGGAGCTAGAGTAAGTCACTGAACTGACGAGTGAGGGAACAGGAAACATGGAAGTTGCTCTGTACTTGGAAGAAGTAGGAGAAAGGCAGAGAGCTCTATATTTCCTAAGCATCCCACATTGCTTATTTCTTACATTAGATGAAAATGGGCAGGACTAAATGTGGAAGGCTGGCGACTCATGATAGAGTGGCCAAATCCCCTACAATGTAAATATACATGTTAGAGACCTGAGGGACGGAAGAGCATGGAGCTGGTAGAGGGTGACCTGGGTGTTTGGAGGTGGTGGGAATGTATTATTAAGGCTATTAAAATAGCCGGTTAACTTCTCAAACAAGCCATTCCCCTGCCCCTCAACCATCTGAGTGTTATGTACTAGAAGGGACAAGATAAAGAACTTCCACCTAGAACAATTTAAATCAAGTAATTTATTGCTGTTTCCAAACTGCTCCTGGCAAGAATGTCTGTGGTGACAAATTACCTTAAAAGTCCTGTCTCAATCCCATTAACACTGACTAACGCTAAAGACTAAAACTCCTAACCTCTAGCCCCAACTTCACTCCTGAGCTTCAAACTCATATAGCCAGACATTTCTTTCTCAATGTTCTATGCTCCTCAAACTCTAAATGTCAAAACTGACATTCTGCCTCTGAGTTCTCTGCCATAGTTTCTGCCAACATATTTCATCTATTCATGCTAGCCAGAAATTTAGAAGCTTTTTACTCCTTCTTGCCCTCTCTCCCCAGATCCAAGCAAGAAGTCCTACAATTTTATTCCTGAATACTTTTATAATCCAATACTTCTTACCATCCTTAAAGTCACTGCCCTAGTTTAGATTCTCTATTTCTTCACTTTGTTAATGCCACAATCTCTTCCCTTACCTCCAAGTCTTTTATCTTGTTCTTTTCCAATCTCTCCTCTAGTGAGCTGCCAGGATTACCTCTGTGACTGAAAACATTTCAAGGGCCCTTCTCTATGAACTGGTCACACTGCTGTCTTCACCCTATGAGACCTGGTAACTTGCTCTGACCAAAAGAATTCAGCAAAAATTACAATTCCAGTTCTAGGCCTTAAAAGATCTAACAGCTTTGACATCACTCTCTTGGGGCCCAGATGTCAGGTGAAGATGCTCAGTCTAGGCTACTTCATGGTACAGGGAGGGAGGTGGGCCCAGCCAGCCCCCAGCCATTCCATCAACCTTTGCTGAGGCACCATTCACACGAGTAAAGCTATCACAGATGCTTCATCTTCAGCTGAGTTCTCAGCTGAATGAAGCCCAGCTGACACCAAAAACATGTCATAAAAGAATTGCCCAGCTGACCCCAGCCAACCCACACAATTATAAGGCAGAATATAATCATAATCACTGACATGATCATGTTGTGTTAAGCCACTAAGAGTTGGAGTAGCTTGTTTCACAGCAATAGACAGTTAAAACACTTTACCATACTATTTTCGCTTATGTTGTTTCAGTTAGGCTTCCTTCTGTCATTTACAAGAGTTCTCATTAGATTATAATATAATATAGATTATAAAGGAAATACATAGTCTGTTTTGTAGCTGTGATAACAGAATATCACAAACTTGAAAATTTATAAAGAACAGAAATTTATTATCTCACAGTTGTGGGGTCTGGGAAGTCCAAGATCAAGGCACCAGCATCTGGTGTGAGGCTCCTTACTGCATTCTTACATGAGGGAAGGTGGAAGGGCATGAAAGGATGAATGCTGTGCCCTTATATGGCAGAAGAGTGAAAGAGTGTAAACCCACTTCTACAAGCCAAGCCCCCGACCTTTTTTTTAGAGATGAGGTCTCCTTACGTCACCCAGGCTGGCCTTAAACTCCTGGGCTTAAGCAGTCCTCCTGCTTCAGCCTCCCAAGTAGCTGGGACTACAGGTGCATGTCACTGCATCCAGCTTCACAATCCCTTTTTATAGCAGCATTATCCATTCATGAGCACAGAGCCCTCATAACCTAAACAGCCTCCCATTAGGCCCACCTCCCAATACTGTTGCTCTGAGGATTAAGTTTCAACATAAATCTTTAGAGGAGATAAAAACACTCAAACCATGGCAACCATCCTTTTCACTAAAGTTAATCAATTCAAGTACCCTCATTTTCACATCTAAATTAGAAAGTCACATAACTGGGAAGGAGTTGTAGAAAGACATACAAGAACTGATGAAAAATATAGACTATTTCTGACAACTGTCTTATGAAGAGAAGTTACTACAGTCACAAAACTCTTTACATAGTCTAATACGTATGGTAGAAAAATTCATTATACCCAAAATGAAAATACCTACATTTGAAGCCAAGTTTCCTAACAATGTGACCTTGGGCCTCAGTTTCCTCTGAGGTGTTCAATGATGATACAACAGTAGCTCTTAATTTTGAAGGGACACTAAAATTGGGAGAGTTTAAGATACCACTGATGCACAGGCTCCACACACCAAATGAATCAGAATCTCAGAAACAAGGTCTAGTTGGGCATAAGTGATTTTTGTCCCTTCTCTCCACTGATTCTCCTACTTTTCCCTAAGAGAATGTAATTCTTTCCAAGTAGATTGATCCAAATGTAGGCCTGGCCAAACTGTTGTTAGTTTTTTGTAGCTGGCAACCTCCTGCCATTAGAATAGATAGGTGAACCTAGCCTCTTGTTTTCTCTCTCACCTGCTCTGCACTACAGCTATCCCTTTAGGACTAGCTGTTCTAAAGGTTCAGTGTTCAGACTCAAACTGGGCAGGGATGGAGGGTGGGGTTTGGAAAGGCTCTGCTGGGATTTTCAGTCTAAGTCATATTCTCTGGCTCAGCTTTACCAGAGAGCCCTGCATAAAGGATCATGAAAATTTAAGCCTTATTTTTCCTGTGCTAGAAGAGGTAAATCTTCCTCACAAGGAAGGGAAGGAAAAGCAACTGGCCAAATAGAACTTGGGCATTCCTCGGACCTGGTTGTAATACTCCCTTGATGTCATCAAAACCTCACAAATAGCTTGAATATCTTGGATCTGCTCCTCTCTATAATCTATCAATTAAGATGTTTCTCAAAGTTTTTCTTGTGATTATCAAACCTTATGGGTTGGGATAAACAGAGGAAAACACGTATACTACAGATTTTCTTCTGAACACAATAATTTCTCTTGAAAAAAGGCAACGTCAATTGACATGTTCAGAGTTCAGAGAATAGAGTACATAAGGGCTCAAAGTTTATACAAAACAAATTTTGTTTTAATAAGTTTTATGGAAAATATATGTGAGCCAGAAAACATTTTGTTTTCATTTATTAAGCTTGCCTCCATAAGTAAAGCAAAGGAACTGAGTGTATAGCGACCAGGCCCCACTTCTGTAGCTGGAAGACAGGCTCCAGTGAGAAGCTGGTTCCTCTCTCTGGGAGAGAGGGTAGGAGTGAGGAGAATATATTCGAAGACTAACCTCTAAGGTAGATGTTGGCATTTCAATCATTTCGGTGCACAGTCTTCCATGACCAATCCTCTTCCTTTGGTTTTACCTGAGACTAAGACAGGGATCCACAGAGCTCAGCCATGGGACTACAAGGATCATGAAAACTGTCATCATAAGCTACCTCTCGCTAGAGAGGAAGCATGCCTGAACTTTCTGTCCTGGGGCCATCTCTATCTTTCTCTCTCTTTTTAAGTACTTCCAATAAATAGTCCTCATTTTCTTTAAGTACCCAGTGTTACAGAATGCGTATTTCAGCCAAACCATCCTAGTGAGTTAGCAAAAATTGAAAGAGGAAAGAAGGTCTAGAAATACTGTCAGCCCAGAAGTGATCCTACAATAGGCTCTTAAGAATTATCCCATCAATTTGTTTTTCTCATCACACTTAGCAAGAAAATGGTGGTTAAATGCAATCTGAGAACAACCAATGGAATAAGAGAAGTCAGGTTTTCAGAATGGAGGTGCCAAATTATGACCAGAGTCAAGTGGTCCTCCCTTTTTTTTCCAGTCTGAAAATTTTTTTTTAACTTCTTGCCTTTTAATAATATCTTTGAATATAGATGGTTTCAATTCTCCAATAACAAGATGTAGAGTGGCCAAATGGTTTTTCATACATGTTTCCCTAGTCCAGACACCCAAGAGTATGTCCCTCTCTTGGGCATAAGAAAACCTAGAGTTATATTTAGGGCATCATGTGTGTGGTGAATAGTTGACCAAGCTGGCATGCTCACAACAACCAAATTATGTTTATCATATTTTAATCCAATACATTGATCTACTATGAACTTGTAAATAATGTATTTGCTTTCTAGACACATTCCAGGAAGACCAGAGAAACTGACTTTTATCCATATGGAATAATCCACTGGCAAATTTCTTTTAGGACAGACCAAAGCTGATCTAGAACATAATCTTTACATACTTGGATCCTTCCCATCAGACGAGAAAGAACATCTGGGGTGAAAGGCTCCATTAGAAGAGCAATGTGGGATGGTGCTGTGCTGACAACTGGTAGTTCCTGCCCTACATCTTTGTAGAGGACTGGAGCCCAGAGCATGCCATGGTCAACTTGTATGTTGAAGTGAAGACCTCCTTCGAGGTGTGCATGTGCTTATTACAGATATGCCATGGTGCTAAGTACCCCAGGACTACAGGAAAAAATAAGAATAGATGCTGTATCCATGATCATGAGGCACACAGGCCAGAGCGCCAGCTGTGGAATCGCACAGCCCGGGTTCAAAGCCTGGCTGGGCCATGACCACCTGAATGACCTGAGGAATGGTCTCAGGCAAATTTGTAAAAAGTGGAGACCCTGCCTGCCAGGGAGGCATGTGGTAAGAGGTGCATCCAGTCAGGTCAGGGCACCGCGTCCTCTCTTTGGAAACCTGCGGAGCGAGGCTGGTGGCCCTTGAGGCCACAGCAGCCATGGAGAAGGCGGGCCTGGCTCCAGGCGGCACAGAGGCACTGGAGAGGCCCCGGGGGAGCCTGGCGGGATCTGGCTGGTCCTGCGCTCTGCTTCCAGGTTCTGGCCCTGTAACCCGGGGGACGGGGCCGGCCAAGACAGGGCCACTGGGTGCCAGCCAGCACCTGGGCCAGGCGCCAGGCAGAAGGGCTCTGGCGGATCAGCCCCACACCCCCAACAGCCCCACGGGGGGCCCATCCAGGGCCACACACCTGCCCCCAGGAGCAGGACGTCCCTGAGGCTAGAGTCCAGCTGGACCGGTGGAAGGGTCTCACCCTTTGCCCTCTGACTCCTCTTGCAGGCACCCTCGCTGGGCTCCTAAGCACTCCTCCACACCCTGGCTCTGTCACCAGCCCCATGGTGATGTCATAAACTCCCAGATGCCCAGTGTGCACCCAGCCACAGAGAAGTGGGTGACTTAGGAGTATCCTCTCCGCTTCTGACCCTTAGTTTCGTCTGTGCACAACTCGCTCAAAATGGACAACTCACTAAGCGTATTTTGTTCCTGGTTCCGCCGCAGGTCCTGGCCATGCCATCGGCAACCTGCTCGTCTTGTCCGTGAGGCCTTCCCAGCTGGCCGGGCTCACCCCGCGGCTCCTGCACCTGTGCCTGCCCCAGGACTCTTTGGCTGTTTCCCACTCCTCTTCAACCGTCAGCGACATCTTGGGCCTTCTTTTCCAGGCAGGTGGGACGGCACCCTTATGAGGCTGTGTCTTATCCCTTGGAACACGGGCACCCCACAGAGGGTCCTGCCTCCTGTTGTCTGGAGCCCCCCCTCAAGGAAGAAACCCGTGCTGTCTGCTCGCAACTCCAGGATGTTTGGATACCTCAGCCCCGTGAGGATCCCTCGTCTCAGAGGCAAGTTTAACCTTCAACTTCCTTCATTAGATGAGCAGGTGATCCCAGCCAGGCTCCCGAAAATGGAGGTGAGGGCAGAAGAGCCCAAAGAAGCAACGGAGGTGAAAGACCAGGTACAGACCCAGGAGCAGGAGGACAATAAAAGGGGCCCCTGTAGCAATGGGGAAGCAGCCTCCACCTCTAGGCCCCTGGAGACTCAGGGAAACCTCACTTCCTCCTGGTACAATCCCAGGCCCTTGGAGGGAAATGTCCACCTCAAGAGCTTGACAGAAAACAACCAGACTGACAAGGCCCAGGTGCATGCAGTGAGTTTCTACTCCAAGGGCCATGGAGTCGCCAGTTCACACAGCCCTGCTGGAGGCATCCTTCCCTTTGGGAAGCCTGACCCACTTCCAACAGTGCTCCCTGCCCCAGTTCCGGGCTGCTCCCTGTGGCCAGAGAAGGCGGCCTTGAAGGTGCTGGGTAAAGACCACCTGCCCAGCTCTCCAGGCTTGCTGACGGTGGGGGAGGACATGCAGCCCAAGGATCCTGCAGCTCTTGGATCAAGTAGGTCTTCTCCACCCAGAGCTGCCGGCCACAGGTCCCGCAAAAGAAAACTGTCGGGGCCACCACTGCAGCTGCAACCAACCCCTCCCCTGCAACTGAGGTGGGAGAGAGATGAGAGGCCCCCACCGGCTAAGCTTCCATGTCTATCTCCTGAGGCACTGTTGGTGGGTCAGGCTTCCCAAAGAGAAGGACGCCTCCAGCAGGGCAACATGCGTAAGAACATGAGGGTGTTAAGTAGAACATCAAAATTCAGGAGACTAAGACAGCTGCTTAGGAGGAGAAAGAAGAGACAGCAGGGCAGGCATGGTGGCCCACGCCTGTAATCCAGCACTTTGGGAGGCCCAGGTGGGCGGATCAGGAGGTCAAGAGATTGAGACCTGAGGAGCATCTCTGCCTGCACCATCTGGGAAGTGAGGAGCACCTCTGCCCGGCTGCTCCACCGTCTGGGAAGTGAGGAGCGCCTCTGCTTGGCCACCGCACTGTCTGGGCAGTGAGGAGCGCCTCTGCCTAGCCCCCGCCCTCTCTGGGAAGTGACGAGCGCCTCTGCCCAGCCGCCTCACAGTCTGAGAAGTGAAGGGCGCCTCTGCCCGGGCCCTGCCCCGTCTGGGCAGTGAGGAGTGCCTCTGAAAGGCCGCCACCCTGTCTGGGAAGTGAGAAGCGCCTCTGCCCGGCTACTCCACCGTCTGGGAAGTGAGGAGCGCCTCTGCCTGGCCACCGCACCATCTGGGCAGTGAGGAGCGCCTCTGCCCGGCCCCCGCCCTCTCTGGGAAGTGACGAGCACCTCTGCCCGGCTGCCTCACAGTCTGGGAAGTGAGGAGCGCCTCTGCCCGGGCCCTGCCCTGTCTGGGCAGTGAGAAGTGCCTCTGCCAGGCCGCCGCCCTGTCTGGGAAGTGAGGAGCGCCTCTGCCCGGCTGCCATCCTGTCTGCGAATCGAGGACTGCCTCTGCCCGGCCCCCTTACACTCTGGGAAGTGAGGAGCGCTTCTGCCTGGCCACTGCCCTGTCTGGGAAGTGAGGAGCGCCTCTGCCCAGCTGCCCACCATCTGGGAATTGAGGAGGAGCACCGCCTCTGCCCGGCCTCCACCCCATCTGGGAAGTGACGAGCACCTCTGCCCGGCCGCCTCACAGTATGGAAAGTGAGGAGCACCTTTGCCCAGCCACCATCCTGTCTGCGAAGTGAGGAGTGCCTCTGCCCCGCCTCCTCACCGTCTGGGAAATGAGGAGCGCCTCTGCCTGGCCACCATCCCATCTGGGAAGTGAGGAGTGCCTCTGCCCCGCCTCCTCACCGTCTGGGAAATGAGAAGCGCCTCTGCCTGGCCACCGTCCCATCTGGGAAGTGAGGAGCGCTTCTGCCCAGCCACTGCCCTGTCTGGAAAGTGAGGAGCACCTCTGCCCGGCCCCCTCACTGTTTGTAAGGGAGGAGCGCCTCTGCCCAGCCCCTGCACCGTCTGGGAAGTGAGGAGCGCCTCTACCCGGCCCCCTCACCATCTGGGAAGTGAGGAGCGTCTCTGCCCAGCTACTGCGCAACCTTCCAAGTGTGAAGTGACAGCCTTGTGTGTGATCTTTCTGCCTTCCCCAAGTTTGCATTTTCGACATTAAAGTTTACTTTTTAATTAAAAAAAAGGAGATCGAGATCGTTCCGGCCAACATGGTGAAACTCCGTCTCTACTGAAAACACAAAAATTAGGCGGGCATGGTAGCTTGTGCCTGTAGTCCCAGCTACTCGGGAGGCTGAGGCAGGAAAATGGCTTGAACCCAGGAGGTGGAGGTTGCAGTGAGCCGAGATCGCACCACTGCGCTCCAGCCTGGTGACACAGCAAGACTCCGTCCTGAAACGATGTTGTAGTTGAGAGCAGGATGGTCTTTTGGGACAGGAGGAACAAGAGGTTCTGGTTGCCACTCTTCAATCAGTTCTTCTTTTTCCTTGACTGTAAGATCAGATTGTTCTTGTAATTTGTAAGTCTTAGAGAAAAGAAGTCTGATTATCCAGAGTATCAGAATCCCTTCCAAAATAAGATGGTAAGCATGAGCCTCATAAAGCACCTGTACCATCTCCACCAGAACCCACTGCTCCGTGGCGGTCGCCATAGTTAGCCACTTCCTAAAATTTCTAACTTTTCAACAAATACTATATTAAAGATTAGTTTCAGTAAGTCTGAAAAAATTGGGCTAGTTTTGTCTTCATAAACTCAACAATAAAAGGCAGTTTTGATTTCTCTTTATATAGCATATGATTAATTTCTATCTAAAACACCTAACAAAAAAACAATCAAATAATGAATTTTTTAAAATCACCTTGGATGAAATGGTAGACTCTTCCTGATCAGTATTTTTGCACTCTTCTCCTGTGTCTTGTTCTGCTGATGTATTTTCTGAACTTCCTGATGAAATTAATTGCCTTCTTCCTTGCTGGGTTGTGTTTAGCTGGGATTTATCTTTGCAGATTTCTTCTTTTCCACTTCCCTGGATTACATTACCTTAAACACATAAAGAAAAAGAAGAAAATTATCTTCTGTATCTTCAAATGTCAATAATCCATATCAAAAAAAGAAAAAAGAAAAAGGATTCGAGACCAGCCTGGCCAACATGGTGAAACCCGGTCTCTACTGAAAATACAAAAGATAGGCAGGTGTGGTGGTGTGCACCTGCAGTCCCAGCTACTTAGGAAGCAGAGGCATAAGAATCACTTGAACCCAGGAGGTGGAGGTTGCAGTGAGCCGAGATCACACCACTGCACTCCAGTCTGGGTGACAGAGCGAGCCTCTGTGTTAAAAAAAAAAAAAAAAAAAAAAAAAGAAAGAAAGAAAATAAAAAGGATAAAAGGGCAAGTAAGATTAAAGGTCCATTTATAGTAATGCTAACTTGGAAACACTTATGTGCAAATCTCAGTAAGCATTAAGCAGCAAAATGGCCAAGAGCTCCAGCCGTGCATTCTACCAGGCTGAGATGCCAATGGAGGCTCCATCCCTTAACTATTTCATCGCACCTTTCTGAACTTTGGTTTCATCATCTGGATAATGGGAATTATAATTCATGGAATTATTAGGAAAAGTAAATGAAGTAAGATATGTAAACTATCTAGCAGAGTACCTGATACATGTTATTTTTTTAATTGTAGAATTGAATTTCTCTAACAGAAAATCTGACTTATAGCTATCCAATGAACTTTACATATACTACTTATTAAACCCTAACATCCACAGTGAGGAATTAAACTTAAGCTAATTTTTTTTTTTTTTAATGAGACAGAGTCTTGCTCTGTCACCCAGGCTGGAGTGCAGTGGCACAATCTCTGCTCACTGCAACCTTTGCCTCCCTGGTTCAAGCAGTTCTCCTGCCTCAGCCTCCCAAGTAGCTGAGATTACAGGTGTGCACTGTTCCATGCCTGGTTAAATTTTGTATTTTTAGTAGAGACAGAGTTTCACCATGTTGGCAAGGCTGGTCTCGAACTCCTCACCTCAGGTGATCCGCCTGTCTCAGCCTCCCAAAGTGCTGGGATTACAGGCAAACCCAAAATAACCCAAACAGGAGAGTGACTTCTACAGACTTTGCTGATAAAGTAAATAAATCTCAATAACAATGGACATTGTATCCCATAAAATACCCAAAGTTTAATGCAGTTGGCAAACCTAAGACACTATCATATTTTGTTAACAAATTCATAATTGTCCATGGCAAATTGTCCTTCTCCTCTACTCGAGAGTGATGTCTTCATGAAGGCAGAAACTTTACATGCCTTGTTCATTGTTCCTCCCTTGTCTCCAGTACCTTCAACTGTGCCTAGCACAAAACTGATGCTCAATAAATATTTCTGACTAAATGAAGTTTGAACATAAACAATTTGTCCAAAGATTCCCTTAAGAGCCAGGATATAGGTATATAAAGCAATCTGTAGTCATTATTCCATGTTCTAAAGCAGGGATTAGCAAACTTTTTCTGTAAAAAGCCAGAGAGTAAACAGATTAAACTCTGTGGGCCATACAGTGTCTGTCACTACTACTCAACTCTGCCTTTGTAACATGAAAGCAGTCACAGACAATGCATATATGGCTGACCATGGCCATGTTCCAATAAAACTTTCTTTACAAAACCAGGCAGTGGGCCTAATTTGGCCCATGGGCTGTAGTTTGCTTAGTCCAGTTCTAAAGGACATTCAAGTAGCCTGAAATAACATTCCCTCATTAAGTTCAGGAAAGAAATGCCAATGGAATACTGTCCATATTATCAAACTTAGGCATAAACTATTCTAATAACTAAATTTTAACTAAATTATTTAAATATTCATCATGAATCTAAATTAGAAAATAGTTCATATCATTTTTGGAAACTGTCATAAACAGGACTTAATAGGACTGAGTAGCTTGGTACAACAAATGACCAAATGCTGTAACAGTTATGAATTAAACCAAGTGACATACTGAACTAGTGGTATTGCTGATTATGCTAAGAACTACAGTAAATTAAACAAGACACAGCTTCTACACAAATGGTAGTTTATATATTCCAAGTGATACACATGTACTCAAAATTCTAAAATTAAAAAATATATATATTTAAAATACTCAAGTTTTTCAAAACTCCAAATTCCTTACTATCAACCACCTCTAGGGACTAGAGCTAATTTTTTTTTTCTGCATGAGAAGCCATTTTGATATTATTAAAATGCTCTTCACAAAGAGTATATAAAAAATGAATAGCTTAAAATGGCTGACAACAGTCTTTATATCTGGTATGGCAAATATTCTTCTGAAATCCAAAATAGGTTTGACCATTTTTATTTAAAGTTAAATGATAGAAATATAAAAGAAATTAACTATTAATACAAAACAGCTTGATTTTAACTATTACCAATGGCACTTATATGAGCTGTTATACTAATACTACATGAACAATAGCTCAATTATATATATATATGTATCATTAAAAATACATCCATCCAATCTTACCTTCTAGAGGAACTACTCCCAAACAGCTATATTAACTATTGCATGCGTATATTTCTCAATTTTTCCTATGTTTAAGCAAATATATCTACAAATACATATGCATAAACATATACAGGACTAAAAGTACAAATATTATTTCTGTGGTTTAAATACCTAGGATTGCAATTTCTGGATCAAAGTGTATTGTATATTTAAAAATTTAAAAGACACTACAAGTGACTTTGAAAGGCTATACTAATTTATACCTCCACAAGCAATGTTCGATAATACTCCTTTCTGCCAACAGTGGATATTATCAATTGCTTAAATGTTGATAAGTTAATGAACAAAAAATGGTAACTAGTTATTTTCAATTTACCTGATAGTAAAGTCGTAATATTTACTATGCGTATTTATTATTCTGTAGTATGTCACACATAATGCCCAAAATTTCTACTGAGTTTTATCTTTTTTGTTACTAAGTAGACAATTTTTTAAAAACCTTCTTTTATAAGTGTGGTAGATAATATATCTCAGTATATTGTTTGGCAGGCTATTATTTGCCTCTGACTTTATTTACAGTGTCTTTTGCATAGAAGTATTTTTCCTTTTTATTTAGGTAAATCTACCAGTTTTTCCCTTAGGATTCCAGGTTCCCTATCATCTTAAGAAAGTGTACAGGCATAATCAAAATATTTTTCCCATACTTTCTTCAAATGCCTTGTTTTAATTTTTATATTAAGACTTAATTCAATAGAAATTTGTTTCTGAATATGGCATAAAGTAGTACTTTAACATTATTTTCTTCAAAATGGAAAGCCAATTTTCTCAACATCATTTATTGAATAATATATCCTTTCTCCATCAGTTTGAACTGATATGTGTTTATAAATTAAACGTATTTTTCTTATCTGTTTCTGGGTGTTTCATTCTTCTTTTTTTTCCTGGCCTAACTTACCTATTCCTCTGCCAGAATTATCAACTACTAAAAGCAGGCATCAGGCCCAGATCAGGAGAGTTCCATGAAGAAACATAATTTTTCAATTATTCAAATTGTGCCTGACCGTATATGGAAATAATTCAGTGCTCTAACATTAAAATCTCACATAGAAGGCATACATAAAGAAAAATACGGACTAACCATAATATAGATAAGAGATGTCCTAAACCAAATATTAGCAAATTTAATCTAACAGAGTATAAAAATAAAAAGGTATCATAAGATTGAACTTATTCCAGGAACACAAGCATAGTATATTACATTAGGATATCTACCAATATCATTACTTACATTAACACATGAAAATGCAAAACTATTTCTATACCAAAACATTTTTAAATAATTCAAGTTATTCCTGAAAAAATAGTAAAAATAAAATGAACCATACTAAACATGATATGACTATTTATCAGAATCTAATATCAACCTTAAAATACTAAAATATTAAGAGAATTTCTATTAAAATCAGGAATAAGAACAGACCAATTTTAACCATTTTTATTTAAAGTTTATAGGGTTCAGCTAAAAAGACAAGAAAAGAAAGCAGTAGATAGGTCAGAAGAGCCAAAATTATCCTAATTCTATAGATAACATGATTCTACAGCTAGAAAATATAAGGTTCAAAAACTACTAAAATTAAATAACTTGGCAAAGTTGCTGGAAACAAAGTAAACAGAATAACTAGCACTTTACATAAATGTAAGTACATTTTGAACTGTAGTCCAATTACAATAATGTATAAATGCTCAATATTTATAATCTGCATCAAATTGCCATGGTGAAAATATTCACAGTACAAAATTAAATGCAAGCCAAACAGTATGGGGACTAGTTCAATCTTCATCAGCATGTGCCACTTTTTACAACTTCACGTTGGTAGCTTAGAAGATGCAGGAAGAAGAGCTCTATAGAATAGCATGATACCAGTGGAAATATAAAAGCTCCTTTTTCAATCTACCAGGAGTATCCTAACCTAAGAGTTATGATTAGTCTTGTGGCCTGGAAGGCTGAAAGAACAGAGATAACTGGAGATCAAGAAAGAGGAGACTCTGAAAGCCTTTGCCTAAATATATTTACTTCTCCATCACTAATGGACATTTAAAAAAATTTAGCCCAGGCCTAAGAAACTCATGACAACATCCAAGAACTAGTACCTGAGACATAAAAAATAAAATAAATTAGAACTATATTGACTGTCCACTTTCAACACTTCTATTCATCATAGCACTGGAATTCCTAGCCAGAGTAATCAGACAAGAGAAAAAATAAAGGGCATCCAAATCAGTAAAGAGTCAATGAGTCAAACTGTCACTGAGTCAAACTGTCACCATTTGCCAACGATATAATCATATACCTAGAAAACCCAAGAGATGCATCCAAACAACTCCTAGAACTGATAAATGAACTCAGCAAAGTTTCAGGACACAAAACCAGAGTACACAAATCTGTAGTACTGCTATACACCAACAGTTACCAAGCTGAGAATCAAATCAAGAACTCAACCCTTTACAATAGCTGCAAAAAAACAAACAAACAAAACAAAAACAAAAAACAAAACAGGAATATACCTAACCAAGGAGGTAAAAGACCTCTACAAGGAAAAGTACAAAACACTGCTGAAAGAAATCATAGATGACACAAACAAATGGGAACATATCACATGCTTATGGATCGGTAGAATCAACATTGTGAAAATGAACATACTGCCAAAAGTAATCTACAAATTCAATGAAATTCTCATCAAAATACCACCATCATTCTTCACAGGACTAGAAAAAACAATCCCAAAATTCATATGAAACCAAAAGACAGCCCAAAACAAGTCTAGCCAAAGCAATACTAAGCAAAAGAAACAAATCCGGAGGCATCACATTACCCGACTTCAAACTGTACTACAAGGCTACGGCCAGCAAAATAGCATGGTACTGGTATAAAAACAGGCACATAGACCAACAGAATAGAGAACCCAGAAATAAAGCCAAATACTTACAGCCAACTGAGCTTTGACACAGCAAACAGAAATATAAAGTAGGGAAAGGACACCCTATTCAACAAATGGTGCTGGGATAATTTGCAAGCCACATGTAAAAGAATGAAACTGGATCCTCATCTCTCACCTTATACAAAAATCAACTCAGTATGGATTAAAGACTTAAATCTAAGACCTGAAACCATAAAAATTCTAGAAGATAACATCAGAAAAACCCTTCTAGAAATTGGCTTAGGAAAAGACTTCATGACCAAGAACCCAAAAGCAAATGCAATAAAAACAAAGATAAATAGATGGGACTTAATTAAACTAAAAAGCTTCTGCACGCAAAAGAAATAATCAGCAGAGTAAACAGACAACTCACAGAGTGGGAGAAAATCTTCGCAAACTATGCATCTGACAAAGGACTAATATCCAGAATCTACAAGAAAAAACAAATCAGCAAGAAAAAAGCAAATAATCCCATCAAAAAGTGGGCTAAGGACATGAATAAACAATTCTCACAAGAAGATATACAAATGGACAACAAACATATGAAAAAATGATCAACATCACTGATTATTAGGGAAATGTAAATCAAAACCACAGTGCATTATCACCTTACTCTTGCAAGAATGGCCATAATTTAAAAATCAAAAACATAATAGATGTTGGTGTGGATGTGGTGAAAAGGGAACACTTTTACACTGCTGGTGGGAATGTAAAATAGAACAACCACTACAGAAAACCGTGTGGAGATTCCTTAAACAACTAAAAGTAGATCTACCATTTGATCTAGCAACCCACTACTGGCTGACTACCCAGAAGAAAAGAAGTCATTACATGAAAAAGACACCTACACATACATGTTTATAGCAGCACAATTCGCAATTGCAAAAACATGGAACCAGCCCAAATGCCCATCAGTCAATGAGTAGATAAAGAAACTAATATATATATATATACATATATTTATATATATTACTTCATGTGTAATTTTTTTTTGTCAATAACATCTCTGTATGTGTTGATCCTCAATTTGCAGGAAGGAAATGGGGAATCGTAGTGGGGAGGGGCAGACACTTTCCCTCAGTAGAATAATTTCTCTGATAAAAGAAAGACTTAACTTGACCAAAAATTGAACCAATGTGAACTGGTCCCTGCAAATAACTCCTTTTCTTTCAGAATTGTTTTGTACTGCAACTGCTTCTTTGCTACTGCTTATAATAGTTCAACATGTATTTCATTTCAAATACATTTTCTTTCACTTGGTAGATGTACCACTTAAAATATGAATCATGTTTTTGGGCACTTCACTTTGAAAATACAAATGAGAGTAATTTGACATTTTATATATACAATATACATATAATATATTATATTATATATAAATGATATATAATATATAATATATTATGTAATAAATATAGATAATATATATTTATATATTATAAATATATAGTCACATTGGTCCAATTTTTGGTCAAGTCTTTATATATATATAAAATGTCAAATTATATGTTTTATATATTATATATTATATTATTATATATTAATTATATATTATATTATTATTATATATTAATTATATATTATATTATTATATATTAATCATATATTATATATTATTATATATTAATAATATATTATCAGATATTGTATATTAATAGCATATTATTATGTATTATTAATAATATTATATAATATATTAATATTAATGATATATTATTATTTTATTATATATTAATGATATAATATTAATATTTTATTACATATTAATGACATAATATTAGTATTTTATTACATATTAATGATATATTACTAATATTTTATTATATGATAGATTATTAATATTTTATTATATAATGATATATTATTAATATTTTATTATATATTAATGATATATTCATGATATATTAATGATATATTATTGTATATTCATGATATATTAATGATATATATTCATGATATATTGATTTATTATATATTCATGATATATTAATGATATATTATTATATATTCATGATATATTAATGATATATTATATATTCATGATATATTATTGATATATTATATATTCATGATACATTATTGATATATTATTATATATTAATATATAATATAATAATATATTAACATTATTATATATTATTAATGTTATTATGTATTATTAATATGTTATATAATATATAATATATTATTATATATTATATAATAAATTATTATATAATATATAATATATTGTTATATATTAATAATATAATACAGTCATATATTAATATATTGCTATATTAATATATAATTATTTATTAATATATTATATATTATTAAATAATATATAATATATTAATATATTAATATTATATACTGATATATTATCTATTCATAATATATTAACATTATATATTAATGATCTATTATATATTAACGATATATTATTATATATTAGTAATATATATTGATAATATATTATATTACTATTATACATTAATAATATATTATTATATATTAATATATATTAATATTGTATATGATATATTATATATTAATATATATTAATATTATATACTAATGATATATTATATATTAATGATATATTACTGTTATATATTATTATATATTAGTGATATATTACTGTTATATATTAACACATATTAGTGATATATTACTGTTATATATTAACACATATTAGTGATATATTACGGTTATATATTAACACATATTAGTGATATAATACTGCTATATATTAACACATATTAGTGATATATTACTGCTATATATTAACACATATTAGTGATATATTACTGCTATATATTAACACATATTAGTGATATATTACTGTTATATATTAACATTATATTAGTGATATATTACTGTTATATATTAACAGTAGATATTAGTGATATATTAGTTATATATTAACATATATTAGTGATATATTATTGTTACATGTTAATAACATATTAGTGATATATTATTGTTACGTTAATAACATATATTAGTGATATATTGTTACATGTTAATAACATTAGTGATATACTGTTACATGTTAATTACATATATTAGTGATATATTGTTATATGTTATTAACATATATTGACATATGTTAATAACATATATTGATATATTAATATATAGTGATAACATATTGATATATTAATATATAGTAATAACATTGATATATTAATATATAGTAATAACATATATAGATATATTAATATATAGTAATATATAGATATATTAATATATAGTAATAACATATATTACTATATGAATATATTATATAGTAATGATATATTAATATATTATATAGTAATGACATATATTAATATATTATATAGTAATGACATATATTAATATATTATATAGTAATGACATATATTAATATATTATATAGTAATGACATATATTAATATATTTATATATATCAATAACATATATTAATATATTATGTATCAATAACATTATTATATATTGATATATTATATATCAATAACATATATTAATATGTTATAGATCAATAACGTATTATTATATATTAGTATATTATATATTAATAACATATTATATATTAACATGTTATATATTAATAACATGTTATTATATATTATATATTAATATATTATTATATATTATATATTAACATATATTATTATATATAATTATATTATATTATATTATTATATATTATATTATATATATTATATTATATATTATATATAATGTTATATAGGATATATAATATATTATTATATTATATATAACATTATATATAATTATATATATTATATATATAAAACGTGATGCCTCCAGATTTGTTCTCTCTATATATATACAAATACACCATGGAATACTACTCAGCCATAAAAAGGAATGAAATAATGGCACTCGCAGCAACCTGGATGTAATTGGAGAGCATTATTCTAAGTAAAGTAACTCAGGAATGAAAAACCAAACATTGTATTTTCTCATTTATAAGTGGGAGCTAAGGTATAAGGATGCAAAGGCATGAGAATGATGCCACAGACTTTGAGGGCTTGGGAGGAAGGGTCGGGGAGTGAGGGATAAAAGATTACAAACTGGGTACAGTGTACACTGCTCGGGTAATGGGTGCACCAAAATCTCAGAAATCATCACTAAATAACTTATCCATGTAACCAAACACCACCTGTTTCACAAAAACCTGTTGAAATAAAAAATATATATATAATAGTGATGATAATAATAATAATAAACTGTATTGGCTGAAAAATGAAAAAGCCTGACAACAGCAAAAATTCCCCTACATATAAAGGATTAAAGAGTTAAACTGAGAGATGATCCAGGAGAGATCGCAAGGGCAGATCAAAAAAGGCAAACAAAAACCAAACATATAAAGAGTAAATTTAGGCAGCTATACAGTGATATGCCTTAGTACATGGGCTTTAAAGTTAGTCAGAGCTAGGTCTCAGTTACAGCTCTGGCATTTATTATATGATCTTGGATAAGTCAAATAACATGAATTCATGTTATTTGTCCTGTTCCTAAGGATTCCAAAGGTTCCAAAATATCAAGTTAGTTTCAGATAATCTACATAAAGACCAATAACCACAGTTATGGTCCTAAAGCTGCAAAAGACATATGAAAGTTACTCATGTCTGAATAAACCAAAATGCATCCTGCGAATTAATTTTTAAAAATCTCTCATATTGGCCTATTGATCCCCATCATTTATTACTTAAACAAACAAAACAATTTTTTAAAAAATAACAGCACCACAGAATAAGTCTAATTGTTTTAACTTTTAATTAGCAGGATTCAGGTACTAAACTGTTCTAAAGTACTAAACTGTCTTTAAAGGAATTAAGTAACCTAATCTTGTTCTTATAAAGTACTTCTCCCACGGTCTTAGTTTATAAAAAGATTACCTGAATCCAAAGACTCTTCTATCTTATTTTGAAGCTTTAGCATTTTAAGTACATTGTACACATGCGATATTCCAGACCAATGTCAAATTACTCTCATTCGTATTTTCAAAGAGAAGTGCCCAAAAACGTGCTTCATATTTTATGTGGGACATCTACCAAGGGAAAGAAAACGTATTTGAAATGAAATACATGTTGAACTATTATTATAAGCAGTAGCACAGAAGCAGTTGCAGTACAAAACAATTCTGAAAGAAAAGGAGTTGTTTGCAGGGACCAGCTCACATTGGTCCAATTTTTGGTCAAGTTAAGTCTTTCTTTTATCAGAGAAATTATTCTACTGAGGGAAAGTGTCTGCCCCTCCCCACTACAATTCCCCATTTCCTTCCTACAAATTGAGGATCAACACATACACAGATGTTATTGCCTATATATATATATATATATTACACATGAAGTAACTGTGGGGGTGGGAAGAACTGAAAACAACTGTAGTAGAATAACTTACTGCAAAAGTCTTAGGCTTAGATTGGAAAATTCTCCAGATTAAACCACATGCCCCTTAACACATAAAGTATAGTGCACTTTTCCCATGAGAACACTTTGATCCTAGTATAATCCAAACTACCATTAAATAAGATATATTCTGTACATAATATATGTGATCCAAAACTTTAGAAGACTTCTATGACCACTGTGCAGAATACACAAAGCACTGAGTAGTAATTTTCTAACTAAAATGTGTATTCATTTGTGCTGTTAATTTTTAAAAAACAATGTTCAAGGTAAAATGGAAAAACAGCATAACTAAAGTAATTACTGCCAATAAAATCATTGTAAATTCAGGAAAAAAATATTTTTCAAACTATCTGTAGGCACTGGAGATTGACCAAAGAGGCAGAGTTGGAGAAGTGTCAAGGTTGAAAATTAACTATAATCTATAAAGTTTGTGAACTTGTGACTTTTTTCCTGAAGGCCTTCTCCAAGTCACACGTGGCAGAAAGCTGCAACCTTACTGGTTTAAATGGTCAGAGCAGAGAGTTTGAGGCTAGGAGAACAGGCAGAGGTGAGTGATAAAATCCTGGAGGGAAGGCAGCCACAGAAGGGGCAAGAGCAAAAACCTACATAAAAACTTGACCCAAATTCTTGGCTGACTCCTAAACTACATTTGTATGGGGCCCAAGGACCCAGAGAAAAACGCAGCAGCTGGAAAGTGAAGGAACTACCTAGACACTGCAGCTGCCATACATAACAGGGGAAACAGGGTAGGCTCTGAATCCAGCCAAATTAATTGCTATCAGAACAAAAATACTTCTTCAGAGGAACATAACAAAATCAAGAGCCTCTACAATGTATCATCCATAATATCCAGTATCAATAGAAAATCACTAGGCACAGAATACACAGGAAAATGTGACCCCATAAAAGAAAACAAGCAGTCAATAAAAACTAAGTCTGAAATGGCAAAGTTGTACGTAGATGCAGACTTTAACGCAGCTATTATAAATATGATCAAAGACTTATAGAAAAATACACCAAATGATTGAATAAATGGGGAATCTCATCGGAGAAACATAAACTTACACAAAAGAACCAAAGAGGAATTCCAGAACTGAAAAGTACAATAACTAAAATGAATAATTCACTAGATAGACTTAACAGCAAATTAGAGATGGCAGAAAAAAGAATCAGTAAACTTGAAAGTATATCAATTCGTCTGGCATTTTTAAAAATCAAATTAAACCCTCTTATTGTGCTGGCCTTTTATCCTAGACATAGCACCAAGAGGTTTGTTTGGAAGTCTTTATTAATATAATTCTAGCACATAATAGCACTTGTTAAATGAAAAAAAATTAGGGTGGTATTTGATAAATGGCATAAAGTAATAGCCTATGTTTTAGACTTCATGTTCACAACTAAAAAAACTAGGCTAGGCTATACACTTACACAACCTCTACTCTATCTCTATAGAACTAGTTTATAGTTTTTCTTCAGAAAAGCTTTCAAATTCTGTTTAATGTTTCCTTTAAAGTCAGCATTAGTAGAAACAAAAACCTACCTCCACTGATTGCTGGTACTGAAAGGTTTTGATCACTTAAATGTTCTGCTAACATCCAAGTTGGAAGGATTCTTTTCCTCTCGGCAAGGATTGGCTGCTGCTTATTGCAGTCTCTATTTTCACCTAGGAAAGACTAAAAAGACACCTATAAATTACTAAAAATAATCACACATCTTGAATGAATTTGCAAAATATCTGCTTTGCAGAATACTACCATTAAAATACCCATATGCAACTGTAGACTGAGTTCATAAAATTTCTTGAACAAAGAAATTATTTCTATTAGTTTAACTGTTGGATTACTGCCATATTCTCTAGAGCTTAACTTAAAATCAGCAAAAGTAGATAAATGCTGGCAATATTGTCATAATAGGCCTAATTTCAGTTGTCTTTTCTGCCTTCATAATAACTTGAAGAACATGTTATAAATGGATGAGATATCAAATTTCTCACCACACTATTTGTGGGAGTCATCTGGGTCTTGGCTATTTCTGTGCTTCCTTCCAGTTGTGAGGCACCAGTAGTCTCATGAGGTAAATTAATCACGGGGGATTTTGGTGTTTCATTCAATATATTATCTTCATCAAGCACTTGACTGTTTCTATAAGATAAAATAGAAACTGGTCTTTAATTTTAAATTTAACACACTTCTGCTGCCTTAGAACTACATCTAAGTTATGTCCCTTTACTCAGACTTAGCAAAACCAAAAAAAGCAGATTATAGTATACTAGAATATATAGACTAGAATATGTTCTTTATTTCCTACCTGCTGTATTGCCATAAAATACATCAATCTTTCCAAATCATGGGCCTAGAAACCACAATTATTTTTGAGATGTGTGGCAGCCATTTCTGTCAAGGCTTAAGAGCTCTTTATTTAATATTTGTCCAGATGGTCCACAGAAATTAAGATCACCACCCAGCCTCTAGAGAGATAATGTAAACTGCAAGGGCATCAGCTAAGCTAGTTAGACGTTTGGAGAAAAAATAAATAAAATCCTGAGTTTAAGTTGACACATAACTGCTACTGAAGTTCAGGGAAGTATTAAAGAGCTACTTATGAAATATCCCCAAACTTGTAGTATAGCTGCAAGCTAAATGTTCTGGAACAGGAACATCCATGGTCACATGTGGGACATGCCAGCAGAACCAATTACCTCATACTTCTGCAATATGCAGTAAGGTCATCCAAAGTTGTTGGGTTATTAATACTTATGTATGCATAGACATGATCCAACGAATTTGTCTTTTCGAAAATTTGAAACTATAGATGAAACACTACTCAGAAATAACAAGGAATGAACTACTGATGTGTGCAAGAATATAGATGAATCCCAAAGGCATTTTGCTAAGTGAAAGAAGCCAGACACAAAAGGTATATTGTATTACTCCATTTATATGACATCCTGAAAGGTAAAGTTACAGGGACAGAAATCATATTAATGGTTGCCAGGGATTGGGGGTGGAGTGAAGGGACAGACTACAAAGAGCCAGGAGAGAACATTTGGGGAAATGGAAATGTTCTATATCTCACTCTAGTAGTATTTTAAATGACTATATTATCATTTTTAGTGCATTGAATTGCACATTTAAAAGGGATGAACTCTACTGTGTGTAAATTGTCCTCATTAAATGTGAATTTTTAAAAACTAAAGATATAAGATTTTAGAAGTGTGTCTAGCTGAGAAAAGTCTAATTAACCGCTTGTTTTATTTGTTCGTTTTAGTATTTCTTATACAGGGAATAATCTCCTTCAAAGGCAGCCTTCAATGTCAATGGCAAGAATCAGCCAAAAGAGAAAATTTACTTAGAGTAAATTACTATGCAGCATCACATTTTTTGTTCATTCAATCAATATTTTTAAAACTTCTACTGTGTGTCAAACACTGTGCCAGGTGCTGGAGACATATCTTGGAAATGTCTGATTGTCCTAGCTATGAAAGTTCACTCCACTACAATACCCAGTCCTGTTTTACTCACAGGTTACAGGTGTACTTCCAAATTATAATTTTTTTCAAGTTTTCTTAATATTTAACATGAAAAATATTAAGAAACATTCAATAGTAGTTTGATGATTTTTCACAATTTATAGTATTAGGAATTAAGTAACATCATCAATTCCATTTCTAGTTTATTTTCTATTGTGGCATAAGTCTGAGATGAATTCATATACACTCTATAGTCCATATGTAATTTTTATTAATAGTTACCCACAATAAACGTAACAAAAAAAATTTCAGAACAAAATTCTATTTAACATTTTATTCAAAAAGTACAAGTACAAATTATTCTACTACACATTTATTTAAATATAAAACACTGTCACTGTGATATATATTTTTATTTTATCTTCAAATACATCTATGAGTAATCAACTATCACAGGATTTATAAAGCATCACTACAGAATATTTTAAATAAAAAATTAAAACTTGGAAAGTTAAATGTAGTCTAGTAAAGGTAATTGAGTTATCCTTTTTTATAACTGCTTTATTGAAAAATAATCCATATAGTCATAAGATTCATCCTGTTAAAGTGTACTATCCAGTGGTTATTAGTATGTTAACAGAGTTGTGCAACTATCACCAATATCTAATTTTAGAACATATTCAACACCTCAAAAAGAAATTCCATATGCATTAGCAATCTCTTCCTATTGCCTCTTCCTCCTGCTCCTCGCAACCATTAATCTACCTTCTGTCTCCAAAGATCACATTTTCTACATATTTCATATAAATGAAATACAGTATGTGGTCTTTCGTGTCTAGCTTTTTTACTTAGCATAATGTTTCAAGATTCACCTGTGTTGTAGCATATGTAAATATTTCATTCCTCTTTATGGCCAAATAATATTCTACTGTATGACTATACAATACTTGTTTATCTATTCAACAGTTGCTGGACAGCTGAGTTATTTCCACTTTTTGGCTATTATGAATAATGCTGCTGTGAACATCTATGTACAAGTTTTGATGTGGACATAGGTTTTCAATTCTTTTGGGTATATACATAGGAGTGGAAATGCTGAGCCACACAGTAATTCCATGTTTAAACTTTTGAGGAACTGCCAGAATATGTTCCAAAGAGGCTATACCATTTTATAATCCCACCACAATGTATAATAGTTCAGTTTCTTCACAACCTCACCAACACTTGTTATTATATTTTTGATTATAGCTTTCCTAGTAGATGTAAAGTGGTATCTCATTGCGGTGTTAATTTGCATTTCCCTGTGACTAGTGATGTTGAACATTTTTTCATGTTCTACTGACCACCTGTACACCTTCTTTGGAAAAATGTCTATTCAAATCAGTTATGCATTTTAAAATTGGGTTGTTTGCCTTTGCATTGTTGAGGATTCTTTAGATATTCTGAATATAAGTCTGTTATATGTGATTTACAAATATTTTCTCATTCTGTGGTTGTCTTTTCACTTTCTTTTTTTGTATATTATTATTTTTTTATTATACTTTAAGTTCTAGGGTACATGTGCGCAACATGCAGGTTTGTTACATATGTATACATGTGCCATGTTGGTGTGCTGCACCCATTAACTCGTCATTTACATTAGGTGTATCTCCTAATGCTATCCCTCCCCCCTCCCCCCACTCCACAACAGGCCCTGGTGTGTGATGTTCCCCTTCCTGTGTCCAAGTGTTCTCATTGTTCAATTCCCACCTATGAGTGAGAACATGCAGTGTTTGGTTTTTTGTCCTTGCGATAGTTTGCTGAGAATGATGGTTTCCAGCTTCATCCATGTCCCTACAAAGGACATGAACTCATCCTTTTTTATGGCTGCATAGTATTCCATGGTGTATACATGTCACATTTTCTTAACCCAGTCTATCATTGATGGACATTTGGGTTGGTTCCAAGTCTTTGCTATTGTGAATAGTGCTGCAATAAACATACGTGTGCATGTGTGTTTATAGCAGCATGAGTTATATTCCTTTGAGTATATACCCAGTAATGGGATGGCTGGGTCAAATGGTATTTCTAGTTCTAGATCCCTGAGGAATCGCCACATTGTCTTCCACAGTGGTTGAACTAGTTTACAGTCCCACCAACAGTGTAAAAGTGTTCCTATTTCTCCACACCCTCTCCAGCACCTGTTGTTTCCTGACTTTTTAATGATCACCATTCTAACTGGTGTGAGATGGTATCTCATTGTGGTTTTGACTTGCATTTCTCTGATGGCCAGTGATGATGAGCATTTTTTCATGTGTCTGTTGGCTGCATAAATGTCTTGTTTTGAGAAGTGTCTGTTCATATCTTTCACCCACTTTTTGATGGGGTTGTTTTTTTCTTATAAATTTGATTGAGTTCTTTGTAGATTCTGGATATTAGCCCTTTGTCAGATGAGCAGATTGCAAAAATTTTCTCCCATTCTGTAGGTTGCCTGTTCACTCTGATGGTAGTTTCTTTTGCTGTGCAGAAGCTCTTTAGTTTAATGAGATCCCATTTGTCAATTTTGGCTTTTGTTACCATTGCTTTTGGTGTTTTAGACATTAAGTCCTTGCTTATGCCTATGTCCTGAATGGTATTGCCTAGGTTTTCTTCTAGGGTTTTTATGGTTTTAGGTCTAACATTTAAGTCTTTAATCCATCTCGAATTAATTTTTGTATAAGGTGTAAGGAAGGGATCCAGTTTCAGCTTTCTACATATGGCTAGCCAGTTTTCCCAGCACCATTTATTAAATAGGGAATCCTTTCCCCATTTCTTGTTTTTGTCAGGTTTGTCAAAGATCAGATGGTTGTAGATGTGTGGTGTTATTTCTGAGGGCTCTGTTCTGTTCCATTGGTCTATACCTCTGTTTTGGTACCAGTACCATGCTGTTTTGGTTACTGTAGGCTTGTAGTATAGTTTGAAGTCAGGTAGAGTGATGCCTCCAGCTTTGTTCTTTTGGCTTAGGATTGTCTTGGCAATGTGGGCTCTTTTTTGTTTCCATATGAACTTTAAAGTAGTTTTTTCCAATTCTGTGAAGAAAGTCATTGGTAGCTTGATGGGGATGGCACTAAATCTTTTCACTTTCTTAACTGTGTCCTTAGAAGCACAGAACTTTTAAGTGTAATGAAGTCCCATTTATCTACTTTTCCTTTGTTTGCTTGTGTTTCTGGTGTTATAAACATTGCCTAATGCAAGGTCACAAAGATTTACACCTGTTTTTTTCTAAGAGTTTTGTAGTTTTAGTGCTTATATTTAGACTTCTGATCCATTGTAAGTTAATTTTTATATGGTGTGCAGCAGGAGACTAACTTCATTCTTTTGCATGTGGATATTCAATTGTCCCAGCATCATTTGTTGAAAAGACCATTCTTTCCCCCATTTAATTGTCTTGACACCTTTGTCAAAAACCAACTGACCCTAAATGTAGGGGTTTACTTCTGGACCCTCAATTCTATTTCCTTGATCTATATGTCTTTCTTTACACCAGGACTGTCCTGATTACTGTAGCTTCATAGTAGGTTTTGAAATCCAGAAGTGTGAACCCTCCAACTCTTTTCTTTTTTTCTAAGATTGTTTTGGCAATTAAGTTATTCTTAAGTCTTTCAAATATATTCCAAATTTTGTTTATGTTATGTATTTTCATATCTTTAATATAAAATATGCTACTATTATGAATGAGCTGGATCTAAAACTACATTTTAAATAATTATAAATGAATTTGAAACTTGCATATTATCATACTATCATGACATTTTCATCACCATTTTATTGTTTCTTCAATATCAATGATTAAAATTAGTAGTTATTTATATGGAATCTACATACTTAGATTTTCAACAATTTGAAAAAAAAGTAATTCAGTATAACAAAGGATTTACTTTACTTTCCTCATAAGTGTCTGAAAATAAATAATCTCCCTAGAGTGAAAATGTCATACTTCCTCATCAGCAATGAAATTCAGCTATGAAAACAAAATGTTATACTTATCACATTATCACTCAGTTTAATATCCTCAGATATTTCATTAATGCATTCAAAAAACCAACACTTATTAAGCACCCACTATTGGGGAGGAAGAATTAATATTAGTGCTTCTAAGTGAAATGTGCTATAATTTAATTTACTAAAATATAAAACCAAGTATTCTTCTCCTTATTTGGTTTTCTCTTTGACTTCTCAAAAAAGCATGAGTTTTGGTACTCCTGGCAGAATAATTTCATAGACACATATGTAGAGAAAAGAGTGAAAAATGAACAAACTAGAACTGACATCTATAGACTTAAATGTTCCTTCAAAGTAGGTAATGAGTAGGACTAATTATACAGAATCTAAATACTATATAAAAAACATTTTAATGTGAGTAAAAGGAAAACCTAAAGAAATGACAAGCTCTTCTATGGTTGGTTTGTGGTTCAGATCCCTTTCTTAAATTCAAACTGGCTGGAAGAAAAGAATTATGGCAAAGGAGTCCTAACAACTTCTACAAAGCATATAAGCTTTTTTCTATTCTTTTTTAATGTCTTAAATATTTCAACATGCAAAAATATATAGAGAATATATGTAGTCTATCTACATATCTATGAATATAAATACTTGTGTATCTACCACCCCGATAGAAACATTTTCTCATATTTGCTCCAGATTAATTACAAATACAATTCAAGCCCTCTCCATGCCCAGCCTCAATCTTGCTCCTTCCCTCCCATTCCTTCTCCAAAAGTAAACATTAGCCTGAATTTGATATTTATTATTCCTATGCATGTCTTTATACTTTCATTATTTGTATATATGCATCCATTATTTTATAGAAATTATGTATGTTTTATATGTTTATAACCTTTTTGGGTTTTTTCCCTCAACATTATGGTAGGGAGATTTATCCATGTTTTAACCTGAGCTCTCTCTTAGTTCATTCTCTTTCATATAGTTATAGGACTACACCAAATTTATTTAGCCTTTCTGCAGGTGTTTTCACAATTCAAATGAGTGCTATAGTAAACATTCTCATACAGCAGAGGGTAGTTAGTAAGAGCATCAACTCTGGAAACAGCTGGCTTGAGTTTGGATCCCACCTCTGCCATGTATTAAGCTGTGACCTTGGGCAAGTCTTAAACCTTCTGTGTCCCAATTTCTTCATCTGTCATATAGGGATATTAACAATACCTAGTCCTCATAGAGATTATTATGGAGAATAAAAAGTTCATACATGTAAAGCTTGTACAACAGTAAGCAGTGTTTTTATGTGGTTGACCCTGCAAAACAGAGCTAGTTCAAAAACAGGAAAACCCCAACGATATCAAGAAACGTCTAGAAGTGTATTTCAATGCTTCCTATCTAATACATAGTCCACTTCCCCTTGCTAGCAGACAGTGGACTCTCCCTCTCTGGAAATCAGGCAGCTGCCTCCCCCGGGTAGACATCTCTCATGATGATACTGCAATTCAAGATCTGCCCCCACCTCCCCTCATGGCTTCTAATCTAATAACTAGGGTTAACTCATCATTACCTGACTACAGAAGTACTGTCCTTGCTTCAATAGGAAACTAAATATTCACTAAGAAGCTACAGGACCTAGCTAATGGCAGAAACCACAAGAATGTGCCTGTGATGGTATGATATAGTAAGAAATACATATTTTGGTCTTCACTTCTGGTTCCTGGCTAGAGCTCTGAAACAGGTGAAAGGAGCGTCTTTTGTTATTCACAATATACCCCTTTCAACCACACCTGAATGTATGTTAATGAGGTGACTTTTGGAAAGCCTCTAAAGATGAAGGGCTGGTTGTTAGGAAAACCAATCATGATTAGAGGGTAGGAACTCCCAGCCTCACCACCAGGGAGGGAAAAGGGGCTGGAGATTGACTTAATCATACTGGTCAATGATTTACTCAATCATGCCTTTGTAATGAAGCCTCCATAAAAACCCAAAAAGACAAAGTTCAGAGGACTTCCAGGTTGGTGAACAAGAACATGTCCATGTGCTGGGAGAGTGGTGTACCCCAACACTCCACTGGAACAGAAGCTCCTGTGCTGGGGATCCTTCCAGACCTCACCCTATGTATCTTCTCATCTGGCTGTTAATTTGTATCCTGTAATATAGCACTTGTAATAAATCCGTAATCTAGTAAGTAAACTGTTCCTGAGTTCTGTGAGCCCTTCTAGCAAATGACAGAACCCAAGGTTTAAATAGCCTGAGAAAAGTACAGTGCTGTGAAAGTGGGTTTATTTTCAGTTTCATCAATACGAAAAAATTCAAAATTCACTAATCCCATAACCTGATAAATTTAAAGTGTGACACTTGCCCTAAAGACACTGGTCTTTCACACTAAGGGAATAAGCTAATTTGAATCAATATAAATGAAATTTAAATAGACATATAATAGCTTAAATAAGTTATCAGGTAATGACCATATTGTGTTTCATAAGGATGCACATTTTCCTAATTTTTGAAAAAAGTATGTAATTCTATTATGAAAGTTTATTGTAACAAAAAAATCAGTTCTTTACATGTCTCATTTCAACAGCTAGTTTAAATAGCACGCTTCATACATGTATGATAAGAGAAAAAGACATGTACTTTAAAGTAGTAAGCAATGATTAATGAATTTCATTTAACTAAAAAGCAACTTCCTGACATTTTTTTCCACTTACATTTAAGCATTTTTAGATATAATTTATATATGAAATGCACATATCTGAAGTGTGAAATTTGATTAGTTTTGACAAATGCGTACACCCACATAATCTGCACCCTTAACAAGACACAGAATATGTCCATATTTGTTTAAAAGCTGAAACAAAGCCAAACAAAAAGCTCCTTTGTAGCTTCTTACTAGTCAATCCCCTTGGAAACAACCATTGATTACATTTCTATTTAACAGATTAGTTTACTTATTACAGAACTTAATATAAATGTAATCATATAATAGACACTTTTGTGGCTTGCTTTTCTTTTTGGTAGATTACTAAGGATTTTCTAAATACAAATCATGTCATCTGCAAATAAACACAGTTTTACTTCTTCCTTTCAAATCTGATATATTTTATCTTTGTTGTATTCCCAATCTTAGGGGAAGAACTTTCAACATTTCACTAATAGGTTTTTTGTAGGAAAAAAGTTTCCTTCTTTTTCTTGTTTTCTCAAAACTTTTAAAAATCATGAAGAGGTGTTGAATTTTGTCAAAATTATTTTTGAGCATCTATTAAAATGATAGTTCTTTAGTCTGTTATGGTGAATTGCTTCGATTTTTATACGATAAACTAACCTTGTATCCCTTGGACAAGCCCCACTTGGTAATAGAGTATTATCCTTTTTACATATTGCTGGATTTGATTTGTAAATACTTTATTATGAGGAATATTGGTCTGTAGTTTTGAGGGTTTTTTGTAAAATCTTGTCTGATTTTAGTTTCTAAATTACAGAAGCTTCATAAAATGAGTTGGGAAGTATATCTTCTTTTATTTTTTGAGAAAAAAGAATAATATTGGCATTATTTCTTCCTTGTAAGTTTAATAGAATTCATTAGTGAAGATCCTTATGGGAAATACTTAAATTATGAATTCAATTTTTAAAATGAATATAGAATTCATCAGATTTCTATTTTTCCTGCATCAGTTTTGTTTTTTAAGAAATGTACCCATTCATTTTAACTGCCAAATTTATTGGCATAAAGTTTTACGTAATATTTCCTCATTATTCTTCTAAGGTCTGTAGTAGCAGTAATGATATCCCCTCTTCTACTGTTGATACTGATAATTTGTGTTTTCTCACTTTTTTCTCAGTAAGCCTTACTACAGTTTCACCAATTTTATTAATCTTTTCACCAAACCAGCCCATAGCTTTACTGATTTTATTTTGGCCATTTTCTATTTCACTGACTTCTAGTTCTTACTTTCTTTTTTTCTATTTTCTTTGGGATTAATTTGCTTTTTGTCTATCCTCCTAAAGTAGAAGCACAGATCACTGGTTTTACAGATTTCTTCTCTTCTAATACAGGCATTCGACTATAAACTTCCCCCTAAGGGCTAATTTAGCTGCATCTCACAAATTTTTATGCTGTTTTCAGTATCACTCTGTTCAAAATGTTTTCCAATTTCCCTATGACTTCTCTTTGACCCAAGGGTAATTTAGAAATGTGTTATTTAATTTCAAAGTATTTGTATATTTGTGTAGCTATTTTATTGTTAATGATTTCTGACTTAATACTATTGCTATCAGAGAACATACTCCGCATAATTCTGTCCATCTACTTCTATAAGTCTAGTTTATCCATTCTATAATTTAAAAGCTGAAATGAAGCCAAATAATCTTCTGACTAAAAAAACTAGTGTATGAATTTTAACTGTAAGCCAGACATCAGTATATTTATTCTAATACCTCATTTCCTCAGTTTCTCTGTTCTATATTTTCTGCTATTTTTATAAGAAAGAGGAGTTAGACAAGTGTAAGTCAGAAGTTAATACCTTAATAAAATTCAAAAAGCTAAAAAAATGAGGAAAAGGTAGTCAATTTCGAATTAACTATATTGAATACTGTTAGATGGAAAATACATTCTCAATACAATGGTAAAAGACACCACCTGTGGGAGCAACTGCTATCAACGCATAGTAAGTTTCCAAAGTCAAATGTTTTCTAGAAACAGATACACACATGCATGTGCACAAAACACACACACATGCAAAGGCATGCACACACACATGCGTACACACACATTACACACCTACTCTATCTCCAGTTTAATGGTTTCTACTGGTTCCTACCGAAGGATTTGTGATGGCTGAGGAATTAGATTAAAAATAACATTCTTACTCTCATTTCATCAGGCACTTACCTTAAGGTACATTGCATTTCCACTTCAGAGGGTATAGAGAGAATGCGGAAAATGTATTTGTCAACTAACAAAGAAAAGCTGTCTCCAGGATTCAAATAGCACCATAGATTTGGCTTCAATGGTAAGAGCTGACTCTTCTCTGAAGACTGGTAAAAACATGGATTTGTGTGTATCTAACAAATTAAAAAAGAATATAATTAAATTTAAAAAAGAATATAATACAATAATGTTGTAACTCAAAATTACAACAAAAATACAATTAAATATGAATTCATAATTTTGGTATCAAAAAAATTTAAGCATAAACTTAGACTTAAAAGTTTAATAAATCTAACTCTTATAAGTACCATAATTATTATTTATATATTAAAGAGAAAAGAAGCTATGGTATACCTCCCATTTCTCCAGGACTCAAAGGAAAAAAGCAAAGTTATCAACTAACTGGTTAAAAGAGTCTTCTATTTTGCTTAATAGAGACAACTAGACATCACAAGAAGAAATATGAAAAATAATTCTTAGTATGGAGAAACTGAGTCCCCCAACTTCCATATCCGAAATGCACTAATTTCCTGACAATGGCTAGTTTCTTTACCATTTATTTTCTCCTACTAATTTCTTATTACAATTAAAAAATAAGAAACTACAATGCTATGGTTTGAATGTGTCCCCCAAAGTCCATGTGTTGGAAACTCCAACCCTAAGGCAACAGTGTTGACAAGTAGGACCTTTAACATGTAGGTCATAAGGGAAATGTCCTCATGAATGGATTAATGACATTATCACAAGAGTGGATTCATTATCTCGGGAGCAACTTTGTTATCTCGCGAGTGGGTCTGTAATAAATGCAAATTTGGCCCTCTCTTGCTCACTCTCTCATGCATGCTCTCTCTCCATGTAATGCCTTCCACCACGTTATGATGCAGCAAAAAAGCTCTCACCAGATGCGGCCCCAGCATTTTAGACTTCCCAGCTTCCAGAATGGTGAGCCAAATAAATGTCTGTTCATTATAAATTACCTAGCCTCAGGTATTCTGTTATTGCAGCACAAAATGAACTAAGACATATAGGAAGGAAGATTCTAATCAAATCTCTCAAGCAAACAACACAGCTTTCTTTCTACCTCCTGAAAGAGGAATTGTCTTATTTGTTTAAATGAAACTCCCACTATGAAGACCATCCACATTCAAATCAAAGTAGTAAACAGATCTCAAAGTTAGAACTATTACAATATCCACTATTTTATATTATGTTTGCCACTATTTCCATGTTAGCAAAGATAACAAGAGTTGCTTCAAAAAACAAAAAGGACCTATTATGAGGTGCCTTAAAAATTCTAACTAGATTCAAGCTAAAATTGGCTCTTTCCATAAGTCAAATAGGCATTTTGTCATAATATCACTGGGTTTTTAAAACAAATAAGCTTTAGGATATGACAAAGCAATCTACATAATGCAGATCTTTGGTGTTTTTTTTTTTTAAGTACAATCTTATAGAGAGCACCGATCTCTATTACCCTTCCTTCTATCTATTTCATCAGTTTAAATGAGACTTCCTCTGGAGACATCACAGCAAAGTAATTACCACCCTGGGAATGGACATATGCTGAGCAATAACAACCACAAAAAAGACACATCTTTGAAGACAGAATGAATATAATCCACCTAGTTCTGACCATTCAATTTCATAAGAATCTGGCCATACATCATATTTCTATCCTTTAAATCTGTTACAAGAAAGCGGTAAAATAAAACTTGGAGATAAAGAGCAGAGGTAGAAATTTAAAACAGAGATGACACAAATTTGGTCGGCCATTATTTTATTAGTCAAACTATACACAAGATTGCATAAGAATGGAGATGCAGTGTGATTTATGCAATATTGTATTCCTAAAAAGAGTAGTGAATGTTTGATTTTTAAATTCAAGTTACAATTTAAACAATGTTTAGAAATCTTTCACCATGCTAACAGCCACTCCTAATTTCTCTCTCTCAAAGCTGTCCTCTGGCTCTTGGCAGGTTGAGCTTTTGAGTGCAACAAGCACATGACAAATTGACAGGCTCTGAGCTTGTGTCCGCTGCTGAACTTGGGAATCGTGCCCTGTATTCCTCATCCTTTTGGGCGAAGGCTCCCTTTCCTTGAGTATGTCATGGTCATCAGAGTCAGGAATGTTGAACTAACAGGAGAAGCAAGAGTCAGAACAGGAATCCACATAGCTTTGGTCTGAACTCTGAATATTCTTTAAGTGACGCTTGCTTCTGATTATAGGCTAAGACCATGTTCTTCTCATTCATGAGCATTTTAAAACTTCAGATGAGTCTCTAAACAACGTTAAATACTGACATGGTCCCAAACTTACAAAGGCTAGGATGTTAAATACAAAGGCATAACATTGTTTAAGACTGGAAAAGGTAACATACTTAAGGAAACTACATTTCTTTACAAAAGCATCACAAACCCAGAGATCACGCAATATTCTGTTTGAGTATGTTTTCCTCAGCGGAAAGCACTTAATATTTAAATTATACTTGGTTAAATATTGGCAGTCAGCAAATCCAGCCACAAAGAAAGTGAACCCATGAGTATGGTCCATGATCATCTTTTCCTTTTCCTAAAACTGTTAATACAGGAGATTCCAAAATGAAGAGTAAAAATGATACTCAAGTCTAATGTTTGATCCTCTAACGTAAACCTAAATTCATATTACTCACTGAATAAGTTAAAAAATCAATGTCAAACTACATATACTCCAACTAAAATGCTATACGTACATGAAGTCCAAAAAGTAGCTTTTAAAAAGTTACAAAGTATACAAAAACCTAACAATATTAATAAACAAAAAGGAAGATTACACACCAAAAAATTAGGAATGAAAACAATGGCATAATTACACAAAAAATAAAAGTTTTGAAAAATAACAGAATACTGTAAATACTTTATAGGAATACATTTGTAAATATGGCCAAAAGAGACAATTACCTAATAACACCAAATAGATTTTTTTAAAGTATGTTTACGTGTATGTATGTGCAGCCTGTTTGAAAGTATTTATTTATTTTTTCTTTTTTTGAGACAGAGTCTTGCTCTGTTACCCAGGCTGGAGTGCAGTGGCATGATCTCTACTCACTACAACCTCTGCCTCCAGGTTCAAGCAATTCTCATGCCACAGCCCCCTGAGTAGCTGGGACTACAGGCGCCCGCCACCACAACTGGCTAATTTTTGTGTTTTTAGTAGCAATGGGGTTTCACCACATTGGCCAGGCTGGTCTCAAACTCCTGGCCTCAAGTGATCCACCTGCCCTGGCCTCCCAAAGTGCTGGGATTACAAGTGTGAGCCACTGCACCTGGCTTGAGAGTATTTAATTATTAGAGAAAGGAGATTGAATTGGACCTGTAATATTTCAGAAGTACAATCAATAATTAAAAATCTTTTCAATCCCTCCCAAAACAAGACCCCAGTGGATTTAAAGATTTTTCTGAATATTCAAACTTTTCTTGATATCACAAAAGGGTTAAGGACTCCCAACTGCTTCAATGAGACAAGTTTAACTTTGATTCTAAAAGCAAACAAGAGCAGGCAAAATATTGGCAAACCCAACCTCACCATGATTAAAAGATATAACTACCTACATGAGAGACATTGTTGGTGTATGCCTTTTAACAAATTCATGAGATTATAAATTAAAACTTCAACAGATCATGCTATAACTTTAGAAGTGGTGCAAAGGATGCATTATCCCTGCAAAAAATGAAACTAAAATACAAATCAATTTCCTATAGCTTTCTCTTAGAGTTATCATTAAATACTAAAGAATGATAGATGTATACCCCCAAAAAGCACCTTATTTTCAGTGTTTTGTTTGTTTGTTTAATTTGGAAAGCTTTTTTTTTTAACAAAATAAGTTGAGGAAAGGCTATTATTATAGGATTTTCCAGATATTTCACAAGTACAATTTTAATTTCATGAGAAGAAAAACAATCTCAATTCGGGAACTTTGTGCAATAAAAAAACACAACCACCCAAAGACGTATATTTTGAGGGTCAATAATAAAAGGCAAAAAAGAAAAACTGCAACTTATAGAGCTACTGCCTCAATCATCCACGACCCCAAGTGAGTAAGATTTTATTAAAATGAAATAAAAGCACTGACAGCTATGAATTCGCCCTGAGGGCATAACCAATCACTGGTGATACAGTCATTTACAAAGAACATCATCATCAGTTTGCCTTTGTAATGTCTTTTCTCCCTGCTGATACTAGGCTGTAGATTAAATTTAGATGAAATATAAAAAAGCTAACATCATCTCCTCATGAGCTAGCATCATCTCCTCATGCACTATTTCCTAGAACTGCTGGAGAGCTACAGCATTTTTTGTAGGAGAAATATTAGAGGGAAAAAAGGCAGAAAGTCATCCAATTTAAAAGTACAAATTAGTAATTGCCCTAATTGCATTCAACTCTCCTTGTCAAAGCTATTTTTTTATTTGGTGGTAAGTTTGGATTTCCAAGTTAAAGAAAAGCAGAAAACCATTTAATCACTTAAATATAATTTGGGGCATGCAGTATACAGAAGGGATCATCATAACAAAACATTTGCCATATTCATTTATGTAATTTTACAAAGATTTTTAACTAAAATTTCCCTCTTGACATTTTATTACACTTGTATAGATAACTTGCTTTAGTAGATCAAAGAATTTGTGACTGATCAGGGAACAGAGAATAAGTGATATTTAACAAACATTAAGATAAAATGAATGAACTAGAAGTCACTTGTCCATCTCATTCTGATTTTCAAGATCTTTAAACTTCCATTAACAATTAAAATCAGTGTTAGAAATTCTCTAAATGTCTTTAAATTGCACCTTGTAGACAGTGCAGCTACAATAAGCTGCTGAATAAATACATCAATCTATTTCAAGATAATGGGCATTTTATTAAACTATATTAATATAAACATGGTTATTAGCTAGTCTGGTTTCTAATGTGCAACTCAAGTCTTCAGTCCATTTTTCTACTGGATTTTTTATTTTTTTCTCATTGATTAAAGGCATCTGTCATATGTTTTGGATAGCACTCCTGATATAGCTTGGATATTTGTCACTGCCCAAATCTCATGGTGAATTGCAATCCACAATGCTGGAAGTGGGGCCTGGCAGGAGGTGCTTGGATTATAGGGGCAGATGCTTCATGGCTTGGTGCCGTCTTAAAGATAATGAGTTCTCATGAGATCTGGTCATTTAACTAATACAGAGTGGGCACCTCCCACACTGTATTAGTCTGTTTTCACCTAAGACTGGGTAATTTATTTAAAAAAAAAAAAAGGTTTAATTGACCCACAGTTCTGTAGCCTGTACAGACAGCATGGCTGGGGAGGCCTCAGGAAACTTTCAATCATGGTGGAAGGCAAAGGGGAAGCAGGCAAATCCTATATTGCTGGAGCAGGAGAAAGAGAGAGAAGGGGGAGGTGCTACAAACTTTTAAACAACCAGATGTCGTGAGAACTCACTATCATGAGAACAGCAAGGGGGAAATCCAATACCACCATGATCCAATCACCTCCCACCAGGCCACTCCTCCAACACTGGAGATTACAGTTCGACATGAGATTTGGGCAGGGACACAAATCCAAACCATATCACCCTCCCATTCTCTCTCGCTTGCTCCTGCTTTCAACATGTGATGTACTGGTTTCCCTTTTGCCTTTTTCCATGATTGTAAGCTTCCTGAGGCCTCCCCAGAAACCAAGCAGATGCAGGCACCATGCTTCATGTAAAGCCTGCAAAACTGTGAGCCAATTAAACCTCTTTTTATAAATTACCCAGTCTCAGGTATTTCTTTATAGCAACACAAGAATGGCCTAATACAGAAAATTGGTACTGGAATTGGGACATTGCTATGAAGATATGTAAAAGTGTGGAAGTGACTTCAGAACTCCCTAACAGGCAGCAGTTAGAAAAGTTTGGAAGGCTGAGAAGAAGACAGGAAGATGAGAGAAAGTTTGGAATTTCTTAGAGATTGGTTAAATGACCAAACGATCAGCAAATTTGTGACCAAAATGCTGATAGTGATATGGACAATGACGTCCAGGCTAAGGAGGTCTCAGATGGAAATGAGGAACTTATCGGGAACTAGAGCAAAGGTCAAGTATGTTACGTCTTAGCAGAGAGCTTGGCTGCATTTGGTTCACACCCTAGGGATCTATGGAAGTCTGACCTAAAGAATGATGATTTAGGGAATCTGGTAGAGGAAACCTCTAAGCAGCAAAGTGTTCAAGAAGTGGCCTGGCTGCTTCTAACAACCTGCACTCAAACACATAAGCAAAGAAATGACTTAAAGTTGCAACACATATTCAAATAGGAAGCAGAGTGCAAAAGCTTGATAAATTTGTAGCCTAGCCACGTGGCAGAGAAATAAAAAGCTTTTTCAGGAGAAGGATTCAAGCAGGCTGTGAAGCAACCACTTGCTAGAGAGATATGTGCACAACTAAAAAAAAAGTCAGGCTGGGCACGGTGGCTCACACCTGTAATCCCAGTACTTTGGGAGGCTGAGGCTGGTGAATCACCTGAGGTCAGGAGCTTGAGACCAGGCTGGCTAACATGGCAAAACCCCATCTCCACTAAAAATACAAAAAAAATTAGCCGGGCGTGGTGACACGCGCCTGTAGTCCCAGCTACTTGGGAGGCTGAGGCAGGAGAACTGCTTGAACCCAGGAGGTGGAGGTTGCAGTGAGCTGAAATCACACCACTACACTCCAGCTTGGGTGACACAGCAAGACTCCATCTCAAAAAACAAAAAACAAACAAACAAAAAAACAAGTTCTAATATCCAAGACAATGGAGAAAAGGCCTCAAATGCATTTCAGAGACCTTCATGGCAGCCCCTCTTATCACAGGCCCAGAGGCCTAAGAGAGAAGAATGATCTCATGGGTTAGTCCCAGGGCCCTGCTGCCCTGCATGGCCTTGGGACAGTGCTATCCATATTCCCACTGCTCTGGCTCCAGCCATGGCTCAAAGGACCCCACATACAGCTTGAGCTGCCATTTTGGAGGATGCAAGCCATAAGCCTTGACAGCTCTCACACGGTGTTAAGCCTGTGGGTACACAGAGTGCAAGAGTGGTGGATTCTTGGCAGCCTCCACCTAGATTTCAGAGGATGCATGGAAAAGCCTGGGTATCCAGGCAGAAGCCTGCTGCAGCGGCAAATCCCTTACAAGAGAACTTCTACTAGGGCAGTGCAGAGAATAAATGTGGGATGGGAGGTCCCACACAGAGTCCCCACTTGGGACACTGCCTAGTAGAGCTGTGAGAAGAGGGCCACCATCCTCTAGACCCAAACATAGTATATCTACCAACTCCAGCCTGTGAGAGCAGCCTCAGAGAATGTACCCTCCAAAGCCAGAGGGGTGGAGCTGCCAAAGGTCTTGGGAGCCCACCCTTGGCATCAGTGTGCCCAGGATATGGACACAGAGTCAAAGATTACTTTGGAGCTTTGAGACTTACTGACTGCCCTAATGGGTTTTGAACTTGTGTTGGGCCTACAGACCCTTTGTTTTGAAACAGGGATGTCTACCCAATGCCTATACCCCCATTGTTTCTTAGAAGTAAATAACTTTTGATTTTACAGGCTCATAAATAGAAGAGACTTGCCTTGTCTCAGGTGAGACTTTGGACTTCTCAGGTAATGCTGGAATGAGTTAAGACTTTGGAGAATTATTGGGAAGGCATGATTGTATCTTGCAATGTGAAAAGGACATGAGATTTGGGACAGGTCAGGGGAAGAATTACACAGTTTGGGTATTTGTCCCCACCTGAAACTCATGTTGAATTGTAATCCACAAATGCTGGAGGTGGGGCCTGGTGGGAAGTATTTTAATCATGGGGGTGGGGATACCTCATGGCTTGGTGCTATCTTCCAAATAGTGCATGAGTTCTCGTGAGACTTAGTAATTTAAAAGTGTGTGGCTTAGCAAAGACATGGAGTCAACCTAAATGCCCATCAATGATAGACTGGAAAAAGAAAATGGGGTATATATATACCATGGAATACTCTGCAGCCATGAAAAGGAACAAGAACATGTCCTTTGAAGGGACATGGATGGAGTTGGAAGCCATTATCCTCAGCAAACTAATGCAGGAACAGAAAACCAAACACTGCATGTTCTCACTTATAAGTGGGAGGTGAATGATGAGAACACATGGACACAGGGTGGGAAACAACACACAATGGGGCCTACTAAAGAGTGGAGGGTGGGAGGAGGGAGAACATCAGGAAGAATAGCTAATGGATGCTGGGCTTAATAGCTGGATAATGGAATAATCTGTGCAGTAAACCACCATGGCACACATTCACCTAGGTAATAAACCTGCACACCCTGTACGTGTATCCCTGAGCTTAAAAGTCGAAGAAAAAAAAAAGTGTGTGGCACCTTCCCCTCACTCCCTCTCCCTTGCTCCTGCTTTCAACATGTGACATGCCTATTTCCCCTTTGCCTTCTGCCATGATTGAAAGTTCCCTAAGGCTTCACCAAAAACCTAGCAGATGATGGCACCATGCTTCCTGTAAAGCTTGCCCATGAGCCAATTAAATCTTTTTTCTTTTCTTTTTTTTTTTTTTTTTTTTTTTTTGAGACGGGGTCTCACTCTGTCTCCTAGGCTGGATTACAGTGGTGCGATCTCAGCTTACTGCTATCTCTGTCCCCCTGGGGTTCAAGCAATTCTCCTGCCTCAGCCTCCCGAGTAACTGAGATTACAGACACCCACCACCACGCCTGGCTAATTTTTTTTTTTTCTCTTTTGGGACGGAGTCTCACTCTGTCACCCAGGCTAGAGTGCAGTGGTGTGGTCTCAGCTCACTGCAAGCTCCGCCTCCTGGGTTCATGCCATTCTCCCGTCTCAGCCTCCTGAGTAGCTGGGACTACAGGCACCCGCCACCACGCCTGGATAATTTCTTGTATTTTTAGTAGAGACGGGGTTTCACCATGTTAGCCAGGATGGTCTCCATCTCCTGACCTCGTGATCCACCCGCCTCAGCCTCCCAAAGTGCTGGGATTACAGGCGTGAGCCACCGCGCCTGGCCACGCCTGGCTAATTTTTGTATTTTAAGTAGAGACAGGGTTTCACCATGTTGGCCAGGCTGGTCTTGAACTTCTGACCTTAAGTGATCTGCCCGCCTTCACCTCCCAAATTGTTGGGATTACAGGTGTGAGCCACAGCACACAGACTAAATCTTTTTTCTTTATAAATTACCCAGTCTCAGGTATTTCTTTATGTCAATGCATGAATGGCCTAATTACGTGTTCCAATTACATGTGTTTCAAATATCTTCTCCCTGTTGTAGTTATCATTTTCATTATAGTGTCTTTTGATAAACGAAGTTTCTTATTTTTATTTCATTGGCTTTTACCAACTGTTTTTATGGTTCATGCTTTTTATATCCTGTTTAAAAACCCTTCCCTACTCTAAAGTCATAAGGGTTTTTCCCTATATTATATTCTAAGAGTTTTATAGTTTGACTCTCACATTTAATCTACCTGGAGTAGATTTTTGGGTCTGCAGTAGGGATCTAATTTTTTTTTCCAAACAGATAACTGTCCCAGTACCATTTACTGATAAAAACTCCTCTTCCCCACTGATACGCAATGCTAGCCCTGGCCCAGTCAAATTTCCACATACATAAGTCCAAATCTAAGGTTGCTTTCAGTTCTAAAATATTATTCAACTGAAGGCACTAAAACTTCTTGTTAAGACAGATCATCAATTAGTTGTAACTTGAAGAAATTTTTTTAAAGAAAAGACACCCAATGCCAAGAGAATCCTGACTTCAGAAACATAACAACAACAAAAAAATACTACAGAGTTCAAAGAACCTGGGCTCTCATTCCCATTCTAGAATTTGCTGAGTATTTAAGATCAGACGTTCTCCAGAAGGCTATGACATTCTAAGTTGTCAAAAAAAGGTACTCGAAAAAGGATAAAAAAGAGCTACCTTTCTCCCATGTCTAAACATCACATTTATGGGAAAGTTTACAAAATTACACTAAATAATATTTAAAAGATCATAAACAGAGGTATAACTTAAATAAATCATTCCAAATTTTAGTTTTATATCTAGTGGTCATGAGGAATTTTTGCTCTAGCTTCTAGTATTATTTCTACTACAGTTTTGTGCTCAAAAGACACCTGTTAATGTCATACATAGTGGTTTTATGATCTGCGTACCATCTAATTAAAGACCCAGTAAAAGTGAAGAGTATTTTAAAAAGGAGCCTTTTTATAACTGAACACTGCTAAAATCTCACATAGAAATTTGGCTCAGTACATACTGGATAAAATTTAACTCAAGGTAAGATTTTCAACTAATAAAATCACCTTTAATTTGGGCATATTTATTTTACATTATTAGTACTCTTTTTTTGTTTGTTTTTTGAGGCGGAGTCTCGTTCTGTCGCCCAGGCTGGAGTGCAGTGGCACAATCTCGGCTCACTGCAAGCTCCGCCTCCCGGGTTCACGCCATTCTCCTGCCTCAGCCTCCAGAGTAGCTGGGACTACAGGCGCCCACCACCGTGCCCGGCTAATTTTTTGTATTTTTAGTAGAGACGGCGTTTCACCGTGTTAGCCAGGATGGTCTCGATCTCCTGACCTCGTGATCCACCCACCCCGGCCTCCCAAAGTGCTGGGATTACAGACGTGAGCCACCGCGCCCAGCCTTATTAGTACTCTTTTGAATAGCCACAAAAGTACAAAATATATCTGAATAATTTTCAGCCAAGTATAGACACAACTCCAACTAAGCACCTTTATTAAAGCCAATTTATAAAACATTTTAAAATATAAATGTCCTTGATTAACACTGAGAAAAAATGTAAATGTTTAAAATATTCATGCATTAGTAAATATGACGGTTTTCTAATCACCTATTTTTGATATAAAAAAATTTAATGCCATGTCAATTTTGTTATAAGAAGGGTTTCTTCTTATCATTGAGTAAACAAAGAGTGTAAAGAGAAAATCTGATATCTATTGAGTTGTCCACAATTCCACTGGTTAATTTGTTCACAAAATAAATGTGCTGACATGGACACAGTGGCAGAGCAGACACTGGAGACTCAGAAGGGTGGTAGTGTGAGAGGTGGGACAGGGTTGAGAAATTACCTAATGGGTACAATGTACACTATTCAGGTGACGGTTACACTAAAAGCTCAGATTTCACCATTTCACAATATAATCATGTAACAAAACTGCACTGCACTCCCTAAATCTATATAAATAAAAAATAATCATTTCTATATTTCAAGATCCCTCTATTCTTTCCTTTAATGTGCTTTAGTAACAACAAAAAAACTTATTTTAGGCCATGGTAGTTCATTGGCAGGGTATTAGAAATTGGGCACTAGAGAATAACATACTTTTGTAAAAATCTACCATGTTCCCACTCCTAGATATGCCATAGATAGTTCTCACCACAGCGTTTACTCATGCATTCAACAAATATTAATTAAATACCTACTATGTCTTAGGCACTATGCTAAACACTAGGGATACAAAGATTAGTCAGAGTTCCTACACTCAAGGGCCTTATGATCCAGTATGTCATCTCAGAAGAATAAGATAGCTGGAGAGGATACAGAGATGAATATCTAATGGTAAATACAGTGGCTCCTAAAGAAGTGTTGACTCCAGATATTAACACTTTTTCAAGACAATAAGATAATGCAGAATGAAGATGAGACATAAACTCTTTTAAAGATTATTTATTCAAGGTTGAGATAAGGTGAATACATTGAATAATTTTTTATTCAAAAAATTTCCAAGTACTAAAATTAAAAAGATGCTTTCCAAATTTGCAAACAGTTAAACATAGGATAATAAAAGCAAGTACTATCTGTGTAAAAGAAAGAACTAATGATTTAACAGGCAGTGGTATATAAAATATGAAAATACAAATTGGTTTTAAAAAGTTATAAATTAATGAATTCCATGAAATTTTACCACCATACGATCTAGTCTAAAATAAATGGACCCTTATGTACGTATTTCATTCTCTTACACAATAGACTCTGCAAATGAAAAGGAATAATCACATTGTATATTCTTGGAAACTGGCTGTCCCTGCATATCATCAGTGATTTCGCAGCAGTAAACTATAAAGCAAGCAATTAAAATTCGAGCCCTCAACAAAAACTTTCAAATTAAAATCATTTTTCAAACCTCGAAGTTGAACAAAGTCTAAGTTTTAGAAATATTCAACTCTATACAGAGTGATAGAGAATATGTTAAAATATAACCCTATAACATTTAAGTTACTTTGGTCACTACCCCAGCTCAAAAAACCAACCATTAATAGTTATGGGCTTTCTTATTATTTGGAGTATTCAATTTTAAACCAAATCATAATATATACATGAACTGGCAGTCATCTTTCATTGAAATTCTAATTAGGTAAATGTGGCATTGTCCTATGAGAAAATATGTAGTTTTCCTCACAGTTTAGATCTTTATCTCCTAATTATTTTCTGGCAATGAGAAGGGTATATTCTGACATTAATTCCCTATTCCCATAACCTTAGAAAATAGGCACCTCTGCTTGGGAACTGAAAGGGTAAGAGATGAAAGTTAAAATGAATCATTAATAACATATTTACCGGTTTGATTCGCAGCTGACCACCTGCCACCTCAAGAATGGCATGTCTTCTGGATACTCTCTTGTCTGTTATCTATACAGTAAAAAAATTAAAAGATTAAGAATAGCCACCTCCTTAAAAAGCAACAAAACAAAAAGGCAAACGAAACCCTTGGCGATGTTTCTGAAATCAGTAGACTAGATATGAAATATATCATTCATTCAACAACTGTATATTGAAATGATTGTCCTCATTTAACAAATAATGAGATTAAAAAAACCTGCCCAAAGTCATGGAAGAGTCAACAACAGAGCCTCAAGCCTAGAATCTAACGGATCCCAAAACCTTGCATGATAGTTTCCATTCATGACAGACATCTACTGGGGATTCTTACCAAGAAAATTCATAAAATACGAAAAGTCTGTATATAATATGTACTTACCAGAAAACATTTCAAATACAAGAAACATATAGTATGTCATGATGATAAAGGTTTTAAAAGGAAGAGATCCCATGCTCGAGGATCTGGTAAGTGTAAAAGGGTCTGACTATAGGCTTTGGGGTCAAAGAGACCCAGATCAGGCAGAACTGCATGCAAACTCTGGGGCCATCAGCAGCAGTTAAGAGTTCAGGAAGGCAAGAAGGGGAATAGTGAAAACCAAACATTTTCAGTAAGAAATAAATTAGCATTTTTTAAAAATATCTATTTGCTTCCTGTTTTGAGCCAACAGTGTTCTACTTAGGCTCACAATCATTTCCACATACCAAAGTTCAAAAATTGTTTGCATGTTAAATGCTGACAGTGCCAATCAAAGCTTTCCCTTTTCACTGTAAATACAATAGTTAAGATTGCCTTTTTTATTTGTGGTTGATTGATAGATAATGAAAACATGTTAAGCACCAACTTCAATAACACCATAACTACCTGACCCATCTCTTGGTAACCTTGATATTCAGCACTTGAATGTTGGCATTATCCGCATAAGGACCAAAATTATCAGTAAAAAATAGACCATACCAACACATAAACTCAATTAAACCTATTAGTTCCACAAAAAATGTGAAACTGCCAGGAGTCAGTACTCATTTTTTTAACCAGATAGCTGTTCCACACTTAAGGCTGTAACATATAGACAGTAATATCAAGCATCGGAATGAGTATCACATGAATGAATTTTTCACAATCTATTGTTAGCCACAATGGCTATCCAAGAAGTAAGTACAAACTAATAATCTATTGTTTCAGAAAAAAAGAGGCTAAAAATTTAAAGATTCCTTTCTTTTTCCCAGATTGTACCTTTTTTTTTATTATTATACTTTAAGTTTTAGGGTACATGTGCACAATGTGCAGGTTAGTTACATATGTATACATGTGCCATGCTGGTGTGCTGTACCCAATAACTCGTCATTTAGCATTAGGTATATCAGATTGTACCTTAGTAGGCTAAAAACAACAGCAGTTATCTGATGACTCATTGCATCATTTGCACAGAACTTTCACTTAAATGTTGTGATTCAACATAACATTGCCATAGCTATTATTAACACTTTACATAGAAATTGAAAGTCCAGAGAATTTAGGTAACTTGGGTAGGTCACTCTCCAAGTAGGCAGCACTCCAAATCCACACTCCTTTTAATAAAAATAGGTAATAGGCAGGGTGTGGTGGCTGCAATCCCAGCACTTTGGGAGGCTGAAGTGGGAAGACTCCTTGAGCCCAGGAATTCAAGACTAGCCTGGGCAACACAGTGAGACCCCCATCTCTACATAAAGTAAAAAATTAGCTGGACAGAGGGCATGTGCCTATAGTCCCAAATATTAATACTTGGGAGGCTGAGGTATGAAGATTGCTTGAACCCAGGAGGTCAAGGTTGCAATGAGCCATGATCGTGCCACTGCATGCCAGCCTGGGGGACACGGTGAGACCCTGCCTCAAAAAAAAAAAAAAAAAAAGATAATAAATGTAGAACACATTTATACATGACTGTACCTACATGTAATCATTCAAAAGTAATTTCAAAAAATGCGGCTGAGAGTAAGCAGTTCCTATTTCTGACTTGGGTACCAAAATCTCATTGTTACTTCCATACTACGAACCAATTTTCTAACCAACAGAGTAATAAGCTATCAAATATAAAACTATGGCATATAAAGCTGGTTCCTTTAACAGTCCATCTTAAATTTCTTTCTTTCCTTTTTTAAACTGTATTTTTTCAGGAAGCAATACATGAACTTTTCCTATCTCTGTCTTTCTTTGAAGTAAGCTTCACTGACACTACGAAGATAAAAGACATTTTAAGTAATATAAAAGTATAATGTGACCTCTAGTGGACACATAACTCCACAACAGTGTAATTTCATTACAAGCTATGTGTCTTTATAGAATACAAAAAGAATGCTATAAACAATCTTTGAAATTAACATCACTCAGACATTTATAGTGTTCCTTTTAAAGTAAAACCCTAAATAGTGAATACACAATAAAATAACCATTTGCACTTTCTCAATGGGAAGCATAAAGGTTTAATAAATTATCATTAAAACATTTTAATGTCACGATTGATATACGGAGAGGGGTGGGGAGCAAGTGACAAACAGATTATCCTAAAGATCTGATGATCTGCTTTATTTAACAGCCTATCACTGCTCCTTATACAGAGTGAATATCCAACACATTTTTATTATTTATTAATACATCAACTGTAATAACAATCAATTATCAACACCAAAGCACCATTCTAGACTTGTCATGTATCATCTTTTTCAGTCTTCACAAAATCTGTGAAGATACTATTATTATACTTCACTTCATAGGTGAGAAAATGGAAGTACAGAGAGTTTAAGCAACTACTCAGTTACACAACCAATAAGTAGTAGGGCCAGGATCTGAACCTAAGGAATCAGATTCCAGAACCATTCATGCTCTTAACGTTGTATTGCATCCCTCAATATCATTACATGAAACCTAAAGCAAAACCTGTTTTTAAGATGATTTACCCAGTTTAACTGTCAAACTAGAACACAGTAAAGAACTGGAAATAAGGCAGAAATGGCTATTTAATAACCAAATAGACATTCAGAGGAGATTCAGATCCTAAATAAAGCTCCAAGAGGCCCTCAGGCTTTCATTTGGTCCTGCTTATCTAATGGCATACCTAAGTCTAACAAGATATGTCATCCAAATTCTTAATTCTCTATTCATAAAGTGGATAGGATTTAGTAGACAGCACACTGACAACAGAAGAAAATGACTGATGTTGGTCTGCAAGTGGAAAGAGAAAGGCTACTAAAAAGCAAAGAAACCCAGGGACTCAAAAAGAATACACTGGTTAGAGGCCATTTAGGGTAGGACAAATGGCATAAATTACTTCAAAATATACTGAAGGCTTGCCCAAGTTTACTTACTGATTACCAAGAGTCACCAAGTTTAAATTAAAACTTCAACTGAAAGTCAGATATTTCACATCTTAGAAAGCCATAAAAAGTTAAATTGAAGAATTCCAATTTTTATAGAATAATTATAGTCACCTAAATTCTAATCACAACACACATTCTTCAAAGAAATCAACAAATAGAGCAAATAAAACTACCCATATCCCATCCCATATGTAATGTAAAACTAGGAGATGGAGATTACTAAAAACTTTAACTTACATGTAAGAGAGATGAGAAATGCCAGTTTCAGAAGATCAAGCCCCAGAACCTATGCTGGAGCAGAGAAAATCAGGTGGCAAATGACAGAAACAGAGGAGAGAGGGAGTGGGAATCTAGGGGTGCTGAAGCATAGGTATCACTCCCAAAAAAAATTAAGTCACACTTTTACTGGGAAATACTAAAAACACATTTCAGATCCAACATTGCAGAGGCCAAGCTAATAGAGAATCCAAAAGAGAGGCATAAAAATATGTGGAACCAGGTATAGCAAGCTCAGAAAAGGCACCACTTCTCAGGGAGAAGGAGGACACTTGGAAGAAAAAAATAAATCCAATAGTATAGATTTTGGCTTCAAAATACCATTCCCCACTGAAAGAAACCAGAGCTCTTTTGAGAAATGTCACATTCCAGGTCTGAAGCACAAAAAGTATAATGTGGACCTAGGATATCTTCTTGTGCCAGAGGACAAAGAAATGCTCAAAAATTGATGGGTGCATGTCAGAAGGACAGAGAAACCAGTGCAAAAAAACTCTGATTGACCAAATTTAGAACAATTCGAGCATCAAAATAGTGATAATACTGGAATACAGCAAATTGAATCCCAAAATAATCCATGATTCCATACAAATCTACGTAAAGTAAAAAATTAGTTGGACAGGGTGGCATGTGCCTATAGTCCCAAATATTAATACTTGGGAGGCTGAGGTAGGAAGATTGCTTGAGCCCAGGAGGTCAAGGTTGCAGTGAGCCATGATCGCGCCACTGCACTCCAGTCTGGGCGACAGGGTGAGACCCTGTCTCAAAAAAAAAAAAAAAAAAGAGATAATAAAAAAGATTCCATATGAATCATGGATTATTTTGTGATTCAGTGTGCTGTATTCCAGTATTATCAGAGGGTAAGGCTGGGAGAGATGCATTTCTTTATAAAAGAATGCCAGCTAAAGCAGAAAAAATGGTAGAACCAGAAAAATCACTATTTTCTAACTATCAATGTAAAAATTAAGTTAGGAACGGATAAAAGGATGTTTATTTCCCAACAAGAAAAAGGTCTGTTGGGAATAAATATTCATGAAGTCTCAGTATCACTCCACAGATTACTGACAAAGGAAATGGTAGATTAACTGCGAAATCTGGCAGATACCACCTTACCAAGGTGATTACACTTACCACATCACCACAGGAGGACAAACTGATAGATGTGCTTCCTAATGTGGTACTCTGAATAAACATCACCTACTTAATATTTTCAACAAAAATGTTTAATGTGAATCAAATTATGTGCAAACAATCGGAAAAACAAAAATTGTGGGACACTCTAGGAATAACTGGCCTGGACTCACAGAAGCACTGATGTCATTAAAGACAAAAGGCAAGAAAACCGTTCTAGATTAAATTAAAAAAAATTTAACTGGATCCTGATTTTTTTTAAAAAAATGCAAAAAGTGCATTATTGAAAACGATGTACAAAACCGAGTATGGGATATTAAAATTTATGGCACAGTTACACATTTCTAGAATATAATAACAGAATATAGCTATATAGAAATGTCCTTGTTCTTAGGTGACACATGTTGACATATTTAGTGAACTGCCATAATGCATGTATGTACTTTCAACTGTGTTCAGGAGAAAGAAAAAAATGTGCGCACACACACACACACACAGGCATATTACAGAAGAAAAATCAATACCTTATTTGATTAAATTGCTGTTTGTCAAATTTCTGTTACTTGTAGTCAAAAGCAACTGTGATTAATATACATTCCTCTAACAATTGTTGTATTTATTTTTTTTTTTAGAGATGGGATTTTGCCATTTTGGCCAGGCTGGTCTCAAACTCCTGGCTCCAAGTGATCTGCCCACCTGGGCCTCCCAAGGTGCTGGGATTACAGGCATGAGTCACTGTGCCTGGCCTTAAACTTTTTTTTTTTTTTTTTCAGACTAAGCTTCGCTCTGCTGCCCAGGCTGCAGTGCAATGGCACAATCTAGGCTCACTGTAAACTCTGCCTCCCAGGTTCAAGCTATTCTCCTGCCTCAGCCTCCCGGGTAGCTGGGATTACAGGCATGCGCCACCATGTCCGGCTAATTTTTTTTTTACATGTAGTAGAGACAGGGTTTCAACATGTTGGTCAGGCTGGTCTCGAATTCCTGACCTTGAATGATCCACCCACCTCTGCCTCCCAAAGTGCTGGGCTTACAGGTGTGAGCCACCGTGCCCAGCCCTAAACTGCATTCTTAATATTGTTTCTTGAATGTGAACAGGTCTCTCTATTCTTATACCACTTTTGTAGTGATACCATGTGGATCCCTTATATTTGACTTTCTGGTTTTAAATATTACTAGAATACTTCATCTACTATAATATACATACAGGTCCCTTCTCTAGTTTTAAGATATGAAGATTATACCAGAAGAAAAGATAAACACATGAAAACATAAAAGAACTCTTTATGATCTGTTACCAAATACTTATTTTTGGTATTTATTGAAGTCAAACAAAATGGAGATTTTCTTATGTGATGAGCAGAAATACTTAGATATTTTGTATCAAAGTCTGTGATCTGTTTGTTTGACTGCAATTCTCAAAATTCTAAAAACGAAAGAAACAACCCTGAATAAAGTAAAAGCAGAAAAGCTACTGGATCTTGAAATAGAATAGGGTGGTACCTTTCATTTCATTTTTTGTCTACATATAATATAGACAACACAAGTTAATTTTTTGTAAAATGCTTTTCTAGAGAAGTTTCTGAACATCATAGACAGGTATAATATATCGCATTAATTCAATGTTCTCATGTAACTTGGTTCCTGTACATATAAGAACAGAAAATAGTTCATTTTTCAGTATAAACTATATTACAAATTGTTTTTTAGTATAAACTGTATTACACAGGATATTATAGTACAAATATAGTACACAGGATGTATATTATAGTACAAATTATTTGTTTTTCAGTATAAACTATATTACACAGGAAAGGTTAAGATAATTATATAATACTTTATACTTTAATTTTATAAAAATTATCTTGTATGAATAAAATCAGAAAGATGGCTGACTAGAGGTGCCCAATGCGTGCCTTTGCCCCCCAAAAAGGGACCCAAACACAGAATCAACAACTACAATTCAACTGGATTGTCTGAGGGAAAGCACTGAAGTGCAGCAAGAGAGTGGCAAGATCCCTGTGGAGCACAAAAGCAGGATGAAAAGAGGTGCAAGGCACCCTGCCTCTGCTGTCCCATCTCCCCAGTGAGACTGGCTGGGAGCCAGGAGGGACTTCTTATGGGGTAATGGTAAGCACAGGGCCCCAGCCACAGAAACTTGCAGTCCTTACTACAGGAGAATCCCACAGTCCTTACAAGCCTTGAGCTGTTTGGAGAGCTACCTGGAATTTACAAAGCTACATTACTCCACAGTAGGAGCTCGTGTTATGCGCTCCCCACCCTTGCATGACCTAAGCTGCTACAGCATAGCATCTTCTTGAAACCAGAGCCACTGCTGGAGGGCGTCCTGCTCTGGGGGCCAATAGCCACTGTGTCTCTCTAGCTTTGAGGCTCTACCATCATTCCATAAAGACCACATGAAGGACTGTAATGCAATGACTCCAGTTACTGAGAGCCTGGGCCCAGGGACAGTCATGACTCTGGTACTGCATAGTGGGGAAGTCAACCCCAGGCTGGCCAAAACACCACATGCCTACACCTCCAGCTGCAGAAACAGCATAGCAGCCCACCCCTGGTACGCACTTCCCCAAGCTAGCCAAACCATTGTGAGCTCACACCCCAGCCAGAGAAACAGCAGACCACCCCCAGTGGGCATGCCACCAAACTGGCCTAATCATTGTGTGTCCATACCCCCAAATGAGGAAACAGTCTGGTGGAACCACCCTAGGCGGACATACTCCACAAGCCAGCCAAACTGTCCCACACCTGCACTCCTAGCTGGATAAACAGCCTGGTGGCTCTTTCCTCAGTAAGCCAGACCCTAAGCAGCCAAACCACAACATGTCTGCACCCTAAGTCTGATAAACAGCCCAGAGAGCCAGTCCCTGAGGTCTCTGCACACCAGCACCCTCAGCCTGAGAAGTAGCCTAGCAGCCCTGCCCTCAGTGACCCTGTCTCCAAGCCAGCTGACTCACTATGTGTACATGCATACCCCTGGCTCAACAACCAGCCTGGCGAGCCCATCTCTGGCAAAGTCACACCACCACTACCACCACACACTTCCACAGCCTAGGCCACTGAGGCACTTGCAAACATCACTAATATGGGTTACAGCTGAGGAAACTGCACAGAGACCATACAACTGTGCTCACTCAGAACCTAAGCCAATGTACTCTACCTGTCAGACACCATAAGACCCATCTAAAGGAATAGGTCTTTCCCTGTGAAAGCTACTGCATAAAATTAGAAGAGGCAACTATTCCACCAGATGAGCAGATATCAATATAGGGACATAAGAAACATGAAAAAAACATAACAACCCCAAAGGAACACATTAATTCTCCAATAGCAGACTCCACAAAAAAAAAAAGAAATTTATAAAATGCCAGAAAAAGAATTCAAAATAACTTTAAGAAAGTCAACAGGATAGAAGAGAATGCAGATAACCCAATTTACCAAAATCAGAAAAATAATTCATTATCTAAATGAGAAATTCAACAGAGAGAAACATCATAAAAAATAACCAAACAGAAATCTTACAGCTGAGGAATTCAGAGAATAAAATAAAAAATAAAATCAAGCCTTCACCAGACTATATCAAGCAGAAGAATTTCCGAACTTAAAGACAAGTCTTCTGAAATAACCCAAAGAAAAGAAAAAAGTATATACTAGAATGAAGAAAACCGATTGAATTTATGGGACAACATTAAGCGAACAAATATTCACATTATGAGAATTCCAGGAAAAGAAAATATGGAAAAGGCATAGAAAACCTATTTAATGAAATAATAGCTGAAAACCTCCCAAGCCTTGAGAGACAGAAGGATATCCAGATGCAGGAAGCGCAAAAGTTCTCAAATAAATTCAGCCCAAAAAGTTCCTCTCCAAGGCACTTATAGTCAAATTTTCAAAAGTCAAAGACAATGAGAAAATTCTACAAACAACAAGAAAAAATCATCAAGTCACATAAAAGGGAATGCCCATTAGACTAACAGCAGATTTCTCAGCAGAAACCTTACAGGCTGAGAAAATGGCATGATATGTTTAGTGCTGAAAGGAAAAAACAAACAAACAAACAAAAACAAAACAAAACAAAACAAAACTGCCAGCCCAGATGATACCCAGTAAAGCTATCCTTTAGAAATGAAGTTTTCCCAAACAAGCAAAAACTAAGGGAATTCCGTCACCACTCAACAAGCCCTACAAGAAATACTTAAAGGAATTACTACAAGGCTTCACTGCTGAATTCTACCAAACTTTTAAAAAAGACTAATACCAATTCTTCTCAACCTATTCCAAAAAATTAAAGGGAAAGGAACTATTACAAGTTCATTACATGAAGCCAGTATTACCCTGAAACCAAAACCAGACAAGGACACACAAACAAAAAGAAAATTACAAGTCAACATCCCTGATGAACATATAGATTCAAAAATCCTCAAAAAAATACTAGCAAACTGAATCCAAGAACACATTAAAAAGATTATACACCATGATCAAGTGAAATTTATCCCAGTGATGCAACAATGGTTCAAACATACACAAATCAATAAATGTGATATATCACATCAACAGAATTAAGGACAAAAACCATATGATCTCAAGAGATTCAGAAAAAATATTTGATATAATTCAGCATCCCTTCATGATAAACACTCAACAAATCAGGTATAGAAGAAACATACCTCAACACAATAAAGGGCATATGTGACAAACCCACAGCTAACATCATACAGAAAGGGGAAAAGATGAAACCTTTTCTTCTAAGAATTGGAACAAGCTAAGGATGCCCCACTATTACCACTCTTATTAAATATAGTACTATTAGTCCTAGCCAGAGCAATTAGGTAAGAAAAAAAAAACAGCCGGGCATGGTAGCTCACATCTGTAATCCCAGCACTTTGGGAGGCCAAGGTGGGTGGATCACAAGGTCAGGAGTTCAAGACCAGCCTGGCCAAGATGGTGAAACCTCATCTCCACAAAAAATACAAAAATTAGCTGCACATGGTGGTGGGCGCCTGTAATCCCAGCTACTCGGGAGGCTGAGGCAGAGAATTGCTTGAATCTGGGAGACGGAGGTTGCAGTGAGCCGAGATCATGCCACCGCACTCCAGCCTGGGTGGCAGAGTGAAACTCCGTCTCAAAAAACAAAAAAAAAAAAAGGAAAAAGAAAGGGCATCTAAATGGAAAGGAGGAAGTTGAATCATCCCTGCTTGTAGATAACATGATCTTACATCTAGAAAAACCTAAAGACTCCACCAAAAGAACACTTAAAACTGATAAACAAATTCAATAAACTTACAGGATACTTTAACAATATGGGGGTTAGGGGAACCAACCTTGACTCCCCCAAAACTTAACTACCAATAGCCTACTGTTGACTGGAAGCTTTAATCAATTATAAATGATTGATTAACACATATTTTGCATGTTATATGTATTTTACAGTATATTCTTATAATAAGCTAGAGAAAAGAGCATGTTATTCAGAAAATCGTAAGGAAGAGAAAATATATGTATTATTCATTAAATGGAAGTGGATCATCATATAGGTCTTCATCTTCATTGTCTTCACCTTGAGTAGGCTGAGGAGGAGGAGGAATAGGAAGAGCTGCTCATGCTATCTCAGGGTGGCAAAGGTGTAAAAGGTAAAGGAGGTAGAAGGGAAGGCAAGAAAGGCAGACATACTTGGTGTAACTTTATGAAAATACATGATAACTTGCCTAACTTTTTTGCTTTCCATTTCTTTAAAAAAAAAGTTTTTATACAGTTCCAATCTTATTCCACCATTTGTTTAGTTTCAGGGTCTGTATCATAGAAAGGTCCATGTTGTAAAAGAAAAGCAGTCTTGAATAAACGTAACCCTTCTGCCACAGTGTTTAGTGTTGGTTTGGTAACTGGCACTGCTGCTTCTACATGTCTTCCTCATTGCTGGCACTGGCTCAGAAGCATTCATCTCCATCAAGTTGTCTTGTGTTAATTAGTGTTTATTAGCTCTTGAATTTCTCCAATATCTATACCTTGAAATCCTTCACCCCTGACTTTTTGGCCATATCCACAATCTCTTCCATAATTTATTTGATTGGCTTTGTCATAAAACCTGTGAAGTCATGCATATCATCTGGACAGTTTCCTTCAGCAGGAATTTACTGCTTCAGGCTTGATGGCTTTCATGACTTTTTCCATAACAACAATGGTGTCTTCAATGGTGTAATCCTTCGGGACTCGTGATGTTCTCTCTAGGGAGGTTCTCTTCCATAACACTGACAATCTTTTCCATAGAGTACTGTGTATAATGAGCCTTAAAAGTCCTTATGATTCCCTCATCTAGTGGCTGAATTAGAGATGCTGTGTTTGGGGGAAAGTAGACCACTTCAGCACCTTCGTTACTCAACTCATGGGGCTCTGGGTGGCCAGAGGCATTGTTCAAAAGAATTCTAAAAGGCAGTCTCTTACTGGCAAGGTACTTCCTGACTTCAGGGACAAAGCATTGACAGAACCAATTCAGAAAAAGGATTTTCATGTCTACACCTTCTCTTTGTACAACCAAAAGAATGGCAGCTGGTGGTTATCTTTTCCCTCCAAGTCTCAGGGGTTAGCACCTTTGTAGATAAGGGCAGTACTAATCATAAACCCAACTGCATTTGCACAAAACAGTAGAACTGGCTATCCTTTCCTGCCTTAAATCCCAGTGCTCACTTCTCTTCCTTACTAATAACTGTCCTTTGTGGCATTTTTTTTTTCCAGAGTAGGGCACTTTGATCTACATTAAAAAACCTGTTCAGACAGACATCCTTTCTCCTCAATGATTATCTTAATGACATCTGGGAATTCATCTGCTGCTGCTTGGGCAGCAGACACTGCATTTTCTGTTACCTTGACATTTTAAAAGCCAAACATCTTTTTAAAATTATTAAACCATTCTTTGTTGGCATTAAATTCTCGAGCTTTAGATCTTTTACCCTCCCTTTGCTTTAAGTTGTCACATAATGGCTTTGCTTTTTCTTGAATCATATTAGAGTCTATAGGTATGTTTTTCTTATAGCAAGCCTCTATCCACATAAAAATTGCATTTTCAATACAAGATAAAAAGGTGTTTTACAAAAAGCACAAGGTTTTCCCACCTGCTGGCATAGCTGCAGTGAAAGCTTCATGAATTTCCTTTTCCTTTTTTTACAATCGTCCATATGCTGTATTCATTTATTTTGAAATGGCAGGCAACACAGCTGCAGACCTTAATCTACTGTATATATCAAGGAATTCAACTTTTTCTTGTAATTTTTCTTTTCTTTTTTTTTTCTGCCATTATTTTTCTCTGCTTTTTGGGAGAACTTCCAGTATCACTAGTGGTATTTCACATAGGTCCCATGGTCCCATGGTGTGTTAATCAAGGTTTACGGTATTGCACTAAACACAATAAAAAAATACAAGACTCATGAGACATCACCTTTTTTTTTTTTAAAGAGTGATATAGTATAGTTTGGCTGTGTCCCCACCCAAATCTCACCTTGTATTGTAACAATCCCACATGTCAAGGGTGGGACTAGGTGGAGATAACTGAATCATGGGGTGGTTTCTCCCATACTGTTCTCAGGGTAGTAAATAAGTCTCACGAGATCTGATGGTTTTATAAATGGGAGTTCCCCTGCACAAGCTCTCTTGCCTGATGCCATGTAAGACGTTTGACTTTGCGCCTCATTCGCCTTCCACCATGATTATGAGGCCTCCCCAGCCATGTGGAACTGTGAGTCTATTAAGCTTCTTTCCTTCATAAATTATCCAGTTTTGGTTATGTCTTTATTAGCAGTGTGAGAACAGACTAATACAGACAGGGTCTCACTCTGTCACTCAGGCTGGAGTAAAATGGTGCAGTCATGGCTCACTGCTGCCTCAATCTCCCAGGCTCAAGTGAGGTTCCCACCTCAGCCTCCGAGTAGCTGGGATTACAGGCATGTACCACCATGCCTAGCTAATTTTTTTTTTAATTTACTTTTTGTAGAGATGGAGTCCCATTATGTTGTCCAGGCTGATCTTGAATTCCAGGCTCAAGCTGTCCTCCCACCTCAGCCTCCCAAAGTGCTAGGATTACAGGCATGAGCCACCACACCCAGCTGAGATCTGTTTTTATTATGATATACAATTTACTGGAGAGTTGAACTGCTCATGCTGAGATGATTCACATCACACGTTGTCGTAAGCAGATACCTGCAACAGTAAAGCTCACCAAAACAGCAACAAGAAGTGGCTAGAAATTATTACAGAAGTACAGTATGTATTACAGTGAATTTTATGCTTTACATTTGTCTACATATCTCTCAACTGCAAATGGCACTATGTACACTCTGTGTTTGTGTGTGTATGTTTTGATAAATTTTACCTTTTTATAATAGATTTGAGTATATTTTATGGTAGTAAATGATAAAATAGACTACTACCTACATATATTTCATTTATTCATGACATATCTTTTTAATTTTTCAATGTTTTTTAAATATAGAGTTTGTGAGGTTTTTCAAATTGTCACAAATCTCCCAAAAACTTTTCCAATATACTTGTTGAATCTGCATAGAAGTGGACCTATGCCGTTCAAAACCCATGTTGTTCAGGGTTAACTGTATTCACAAAATTGTGCAACCATCACTTCTATTTCCAGGATGTATTCATCACTCCAAAAGGAAACCTCATACCCATTAGGACTTTGGGTTTTAAGTGTGACAGTAAGCCACTGGAAGGTTGTACTGAAAATACTATTCAGAATATTAATAATAAAATTTATAGTATAATATTAATTAAAAATCAGTGGTAACTATTGCACAATATATACACTGAATAAAATATATATACCTATGTACACAGATTAAATACATGAAAGAACTACATTGAATGTTTACAGTGCTTATCTCTTGGTAATTGACTTCGAAGTGCTTATTTTGTCTTCCTGCTTACTTGATTTTGGTGAAATTCCTACTTTTTTTTTTTTTTTTTTTTGAGTCTCACTCTGTTGCCCAGGCTGGAGTGCAATGGCACAATCTCAGCTCATTGCAATCTCTGCCTCCCAGGTTCAAACGATTTTCCTGCCTCCGCCTCCCAAGTAGCTGAGATTACAGGTGTGCACCACCACAGCCGGCTGTTTGTATTTTTGGTACAGACAGGGTTTCACCATGTTGATCAGGCTGGTCTCAAACTCCTGACCTCAGGTGATCTGCCCGTCTCGGCCTCCCAAAGTGCTGGGATTACAGGCGAAAGTCCTACATTTTCTACATTGAGTATATAATCTTGCAAAATTGGGAAAGAGCATAATACACACAAAAAACATTACTTTACACAATACTTCACAATTTACAGTGCTTTCCCAAAAGATTATCTAGTTTGCTGTATCAACAACAGACAAAAATAGACAAATTCAAATTTTCATGGTAGAGAAAAACAGAAAGTCATCTAGTATAGGATTTGAGCCAGTATTATGGTGAAATGCATAAACCTAAAAAAAAAAGCATGGGATCTATTTTAGACATAATTTCATTAGATTATTTCCTTCTACTTTTGTGGAGCAGAGGGTAAGTAAAATATATATATATATATAAAAGACTTAAACTGAATCCAGACTGGTTACTATAAAGAAATCTACAAATCATAAAATTGTCTTATCTAGATATCTTCCCAGTGCCAAGTCCAGCATGCATTCCAGAGCTCAGTCATCTATGCTGAGACTCTGCCATAATATTTGATAAGAGGTCGGTCTTATTCTTCAACAGAGCAAAAGTAGTTGATATAAGATGTTTGACATTATCGTATTTGGAATGTACAAAGTCCAACTTCTGATGTTAAGAAGGGGCAATTATGAAGAAATAGACTTGATTTTGCCCAGAGACTCCCCATAAACACTTCAATTCAGAAATCAAGTTCTCTTTAAAAGGTTAATATATTTGATGTGAAATGTTCTTTGGAACTTGTGAATATGCTTTCCCATAAGAATAATGGTGTAAATGGTAGGTTATCAGGCAACCTCACAAACACCTAATTCACAATACTGATTAATATGCATCACTTTAGATTTTAAAAAGCAAATCCAATGCTTTTTGAGCTCTAATTCAAGGCTGGTGAATTGTTAGCCAATATGATGAAATTGTGCTGACTATCATGATGTCACTGAAATTTCAACTCATCCAACCTGTTTGGCTTGCAATGCTGCTTACATAGTGAATGCTGCACAAGTGTGAGAACATCATCCTCATCATTAATATATGATGACAGAGGCAACATAGTAAGTAAAGACATAAGGAAAGCTTAAGAAGACAAAAGTGGGTTTAAAGCACCACTTGGGACTTTGGAAAATTAATGTGTCTAAGTAGTTATTTTGCTTATTCAGTTCGGTTCAGCAGACATTTCTTAAAGACCTATTCTGTGCCAAGTACTCTACTTAGTGTGTCTAGAAGTAGTTTTTAACTCTGGCTTTGCAATACAATCATCTTCAGAGCTTTTAAAAATACAGATACTACCCAGGCGCGGAGGCTCACGCCTGTAATCTCAACACTTTGGGAGGCTGAGGCAGGCAGATCACCTAAGGTCAGGAGTTCGAGACCAGCCTGATCAACATAGAGAAACCGTGTCTCTATTAAAAATACAAAATCAGCCGGTTGTGGTGGCACATGCCTATAATTCCAGCTACTCAGGAGGCTGAGGCAGGAGAATCTCTTGAACCCAGAAGGCAGAGGTTGTGGTGAGCCAAGATCGCACCATTGAACTCCAGCCTGGGCAACAAGAACAAAACTCCATCTCAAAAAAATACAGATACCCAGACACTACCTACAGAACCAAATTACCAAAGAAAGGAACTCATACAAAAGTATGAAGACATGTGAGAAGATAGCATATTCATGGTAAGTAGTAAATGGGGGATGAAAATTTGAAGGCATTAATTCAGGGGAAGATATATATAATTGTAAAATATAGTCTTTGTCCCTGTTGCCTGGCATAACCACTAAAATCCTCAGAATCTCCCAAGTGATGTCTTTTTGTATGCTAATGAGTTAAGTGACATCTAGCAGCCCCTAGATAGCTTCAGGGTGGGAGCTAGTCACTGGAAAGACCAAGGTATAGAGAATTGGGACTTTCAGCCCCAAGCCCCAGCCTCCTCTAGGGAGACGAGAGGGGCTAAAGGTTAGCTGATCACTAATGCCCAATGGTTTAATCAATCATGACTAAATAACGATGACTCCATAAAAACCCAAAGGGGACAGGGTTAGGAAAGCTTCCAAACAGGTGAACATGTAGAGGTTTCTGGAGGGTGGCACACTTGGTGAGAGCATGGAAGCTCAGTATCCCTTCCCATAGCTTACCCTATGCATCTCCTCATCTGTATCCTTTGTCATATCCCTTATAACAAACCAGTTCTAGGAGCTGCTCTAGCAAATTAATAGAGCCCAAGGAAAGGGCCATGGGATCCCTGGTTTACATCCAGTGGTTCAGAAGCACAGGTAAAACAACTTGGGGCTTGCAATTGCCATCAGAAGTGGGGGGAAATCTTGGGAACTGAGCCCTCAACATGTGGGAGCTGATGCTATCTCCAGATAGATGGTGTCAGAATTAAATTGAATTAGAGGACACCCAGTTGATGTCTGCTGTAAAAGTGACCGCTTGCTTGTTGGTAGGGAGAAATAACCACATATTCAATCACAGGAGTCTTCTGTGTTGACTGCTGTATTTTTGTCCACTCAAAATATACATATGAAAAGTGATTTACCTCACATCTATTAGAATGATCAAAATTTAAAACACTGATAACACCAAATGTTGATAAGGATGTCCAGTGACAAGAACTGTCACTCATTGCTGGTGGGAATGCAAATAGTACAGCCACTCTGGAAGACAGTTTGGCGGTTTCTTACAACACTAAACATACTATTACTATACAACTTTACTATCCAATCCAGCAACTGTGCTCCTTAGTATCTACCTAAATGAGTTGAAGACCTACGTTCACACAAAAATCTGCACCCAAATGTTTGTAGTTGTATTATCCATGATCACTAAAACTTGAAAGCAACCAAGATGACCTTTAGTAGGTGAATGGATAAACCGACAATGGAATATTATTCATCACTAAAAAGAAATGAGCTATCAAGCCATGAAAAGACTTGGAGGAACCTTAAATACATATTACTAAGTGAAACCTGAAAAGGTTATGTACTGTATGACTCCAACTCTATGACATTCTGAAAAAGGCAAAACCATGGAGAAAGTAAAAGAATTCAGTAGTTGCCAGGGGTCCTGGGGAGCCTCTGGGGGATGAATAGGCAGAGCACAGAAAATTTTAGGGCAGTGGAACAACTCTGTGTTATACTGCAATGGTAGATAAATGTCATTATACATTTGTCAAAACCCATAAGATGTACAATACCAAGAGTTAACCCCAGTGTAAACCATGAACTTTGGGTGATAATGACATGTCAATGTGGATTCATCAATTCCAACAAACATACCATACTGTGTAGAATGTTGATAGTCGGGGAAGCTGTACATGTAAGAGGGCAGAGAGTATATGGGAACTCTCTGTACTTTCCACTCAGTTTTGCTGTGAACCTAAAACTCCTCCATAAAATAAAGTCTATTTTAAAAACTAATATATTAAAAAACAATGTTTGTAAAAGTTAAACGGGATCATTGACATAATGTGATCATCCCACAAGCCTGGTCAACACCTACCCAATTATCCAACACACCATATCTTAGAGCCTTAAACCACGCAAGCCCTTCCTTACACCACCCACTCCACCTACCAAAATTCTAACTGTCCCAACACACCACAGTCAAACTCAACATGCTACCAAGTTCATGAAGCTTTCTTTCCCTGATCCCACCTCTTAACTTCAGGTTCCTTCTTATACCTCTCTGTACCCTGTGACATCATTCTGTCTAGCTTGAGGACTAAGCTCTGATTATTATTTTTTTTTATCTTGCCCAAATTCCTTTCTAAGGGGTCTGGGGAGTCATGCCCTACAAACCATAAATTCTCATCAGATGAGTTTTATTTAACCCTGTATAACGTGACTTACTTTCCAGTCTGACTCAGGCATAACAAGGAAGAAAATCAAAATGTTTTACCCTAAAATATATTTCTTTGCCATACCTTGGAACTGTCCTGCAAAGTCTCTTGTGGGAAAAACCCACATTCTATAGAGAATTCCCTTTCCCCTTTGTTTTCCTTCCTTCCTTTCCAGATCCAGGAGATAATCAATTAAGAGCCAGGCACTCTTTCAGGTCTCATAAGAAACATTTTACAACCTGCTATCTCTGAAGTCCGCTATCTGAGAGCTCTGCAAAATAAAACTTCGTCTCCACAATCCTTTATCTTAACCTGAACATTTCCTTTGATCTTAGGTCTTGAGATAAACTCAACTAATTGTCAACCAGAAAATGTTTAAATTTACCTATAGCCTGGAAGCCCCTGCTTTGGGTTGTCCTGCCTTTCTGAACCAAACCAATGTATTTCTTAAATGTATTTGATTGATGTCTCATGCCTCCCTAAAATATATAAAAACCAAGCTGTACCCTGACCATCTTGGGAACATGCTCTCAGGACCTCCTGAGGGCTGTGTCACGGGCCATGGTCACTCATATTTGGCTCAGAATAAATCTCTTGAAATATTTTATAGAATTTAACTCTTCATCAACAGACTCATGGTATTTAACCAAAACTTTTAATAAAAATGTGACCTTTTAAAAATCAGTGATTATATCTAAAAATTCAAATTTCTTACTATTCTTAAAAAAACAATATGACACTGTTACCAACTGGGAATAGGGGAAAGTAGCAGGGATTGCATAGAGACCCTCTCCTTGTGGCCTTCCCAACACTGAGGCAGAACTGTTGTCATTTATCACTGTCCCTGTGTTGTTTTTCTTCTTCCCTCCCACTTCGCTTACTCCAAGTGTCAGCCTGGCGCCAGTCCCCATGTGAGGTTGTAGCCTTATTTAGTTACTAATACTTGTTTATTTGTCTCTTAACCCTACAAAACTATAAGTTTCTTGAGAGCAAAGACTTGTTTCTCATTCACCTTTATTTCTCCTATACTCCCTCCCATCCAACCATAGTATATATTTATCAGCTATTTCCTGAATTTAGCGAATTATCAATCAACAAAACAGGAAAAATGTTAAAACTTAATTCATTATGAATGCTACTCAAGATTTAGCAGTTGGTAGGACTGCATCTTTACTATATTTAAATTCACTTCAAAACTCAATGATAACCCTTTTTCATATCTAAGTCACAATTAGGCTCTTTTTGAGGGTAGAGTGAATGAGAGGCTGAGATGCCGAAATGGAAGGAAGAAATCACGTGTTAAAGGCCTACTGTGTGCTAGGCACTGGTTGTAGGCTAAATAATAAAATGAGGGAAGGGCAAATCTAGAAATAAAAGAAACGTAAGGGAAGAAACCTATGTTGGAGCAGGTAGGAACAGCATTCCAGGACAGCCAGGATTCTGCAACAAGCAGTTAAAAGTATAGAGCTGCCAGGTCAGGGGATGGTTACTTTGTGTAAACTTTGTAGAACATTTACAACATTCTTAGAAGTGGTGAACTGATGCCACCTGAAGAGTCTATACTGAAGCCTATGACCTTCCCTGTTCCCCCAACTGAGGACTCTTCTCCTTTTAATCAAAGCAGTCAATTTAATTACATCTACATTGAGAAAGTATCACTAGATATCTTTTGCTATCTTGTTTCCTAGGAGGAAAATAGATCATAAAGAAATGTGTCATATAATCCCTGCTGTCAAAACAAAATAAGAAAAATCTGAAATCAGAAATAGTAGATTTCATTTAAGAGTGTAACAGCTTTAATTAAAACCCATAAAGCAAATACTTTGGCCTAACAGTGCTTGACATGTCGTACTGTAAAACCCTTTTAAATTAAATTTCTTAAGATAATGGTAGATTCACATGTAGTTGAAAGATATAATATAGAAATATCTCTTGTACCATTTATCCAGTTTCCCCTAATGGTAACGTCTTACAAAACTATAGTACAATATATCAACCTAAGATATTGATACTGACACAGTCCAGACAAAGCACATTTCTATCACCACAAATATCCCTCATGTTGCTATTTTATAGCCATATCCATTCCCTTCTGCCCTGCTGCCTAATTTTTTAACCTTTGGCAACCACTAATCTGTTCTCCATTTTTGAAATTTTGCAATTTCGCAATTTCAATGATGTTATATAAATGGAATCACACAATATGTAATCTTTTGGATTGGCTGTTTTAACTCAAGTTCTCTGAAGATTAATCCTGCTGTAAAACCTTCTAACTGATGCCAATCATGGAGCAGAATCAAAATCTAGTAAACAAAGACCTGGGGTTCTCTGATGACTCACATGAAAGCAAAGGGAACAAGAAAGATTAAATTTCATTGTCCTTTGTTCTCTGTGACAGGTTTCTCTGTTGTGTTTTCCTACCACCATAAAAATACAAAACCATTCTCATTGTCAAACTGTTTTACTACCAAGACTATTTTACACAGTCAGATTATAAACTTTTATGTTTGTGTGGCCATCAAGGTTTGTGAAGCTTGTCTCAGAAAAACATGCCCAATTAAGAAAGTTCAAAATCATCCTTATTTATATTAATCGTTTCCGATTCCAATTTACAATGAACTTACTGAGTTTTCCACTTAGAACTCAGTCTTCGCTCTCTCACAATACAAAAATAAATCTCACTGGAATTGCTGTTGTTGGAAACAGGAGCCCTTATGTTGTGTTTTAACCAGTGCAGAGAAGAATCGAGTGCATCTGTCAGCTCCAAAATCGAAAAAACTACAAGGCGATTTGTTTGTTCTCCAAATTTTTCCTTTAACACACTTAGGATGTCATTCATAACCACTTCTGATACACGCCAACCTTGGCAAAAGAATCTCATCCCTGAATGTTATTTCAAAAGGAAAAGCAAAATCTTGACCAGGTAATTGCCCAGCTTTCACTCCTTACCATTTTTAAAAACAGATACCAAATAGGCTCATCTCACATTAGCAAGTCGACAACACAAAGAACAAGCTACAAATAATGAAACGGTCTGCAATCTGTTGCCATGTTTCTAAACCACGGCCCTAAAATTCATCCACCTTTTAACCAGACCCACAGTACTCTACTGGTGACAATTTCTTAAGCAAGTCAAAACTCGTTAGTCACCAGACATATGATTACTAGATTAAGCACATACTCTTAAGTTTCAAACCTACGAATTTAAAAGAAAAATAAAGCCTCCAGACAGTTCCTTCCAGTGTTTGTATAGGCCAACAAACGATGAAAAAAATAGAAATGATGTTAAATATTTAAATAATCACTTGTCCAGTAAAAAAATGAACAGCAATTGAATATCTACTTCCTCAATAACCTTACCACATGCACATGTGCATGTACACAACACACAACACACAACACACACACACACACACACACACACACACACCCCTTTAGGACCAGCTTCCATAATACAATCTTAAACTACCACTCCTTTCCCTGCTCCCAGAAGGGACCTAAGGCAAGTACCAATGGTTCCATTTAGACTCTGGAAGTTAACCAGGACAACAGTACACACTCCTTACTCCTTGGTGTTAGCTCACTGACACAGGTGTCTCCCCGGTCCCAAGAGAAAACTCCTAAAGGGTAGGGACCCATGTTCCATTCATCTTTGTATGCCCCACAGTGCTAGAATCTGCAAAATGTTCTACACAGTGAGCACCAAACAAGAAATGTTGAATGTTAAAGAACAAAATAGAAAACTAGATGTACTTAAGAGATCTATAGAATTCCAGAATGCAATATGCAAATGTTCTTATTCCTAAACCTCTCCCAAAGAAGGTAGAGAATATTTAGCTTTGTGGCATTATGTGTCCAAAAGCTTATGTATGGACTTTAAATAATGTATGTATGGCTCAATTTTCTCATCTGAACAATGAGGATAATAAAAATAGCTAACTGATACGGTCTTGAGACAGTTAAAGATGTTGGTATAGGTAATGTCTCCTTAGACCAATGACACGAACGCTATACACATTACTTATGAAGGGTTAGCTACTCATTTTACTGGAAATAATAAATAATATAAATAAATAAGGTCCACACAGCTCTGCAAAGGAGACCAAAGGTTAAAAGAAATTAGCCTAGAAGACGTAATATCACAGTTTGGCAAACTTTTCTGTAAAGGACCAGACACTACTGTAAATATTTTAGGCTTTACAAGACAAGCCGCAATACCCTCAACCCTTGGAGCAACTATTCCCCCTGAAAAATTAGTAGATTTTTTGTTTACATTTTACATTTCAGAATTTAAGAATCATTCTTAGTTCATGGGGCCATACAAACATAGGCTGGATTTGGCCCCCAGGCACTAGTTTGCCAATCCCTGGATAAGATAATAATGGTAATACAGTCAGTGTTTTAAAAGCAACATAAAGAAATGTTTGTGAATTGGCTTAAAGGTAACTGAAAAACGTGCGGCCCCAAACTTCTAAAATCCGGACCGGCGGACCAGTGCGGTGGGGAAACCGGCCAGGACTAGGGCCGGTCTTCAGGAGCCGGCGCGGAACTCCACGGCTCTCGGGGTCCGCTAAGCCCCCGCCCACACTTACTCCCAGCAGCGGCCCGCGGCCGATCACCGTCTCCCCGGGCGCCAGGGCCACCCGGGGACCGCCGTCCCGCGGCTGCAGCTCGAAGCCCCCGGACATGGCGGGCAAGGATTAGGCCCCTTCGCCAGGAGACTGGCCCCTCCGCTGTTTCCGCCCTCCACAGACACGCGCGGGGCAAGCCCACGCCCTGGGAAAAAACACCGAGGGAGGGCCTCAAAGGCTCCCCGCGGCTGCGCCGGTCCTCTCAGAGCCCGGCCCCAGCGCAGCTTCACGAGTCCCGCCCCTCCACGCCTACTAATGACGCAACCGGGGATTCCCCAGTCTCGCCGCCTCAAAACTACTGTTTAAAAACCCCGGCTTATTCCCCAACACCCTTTTCACCTCCCTCCCATCTTGGAGGACGCCGGGCCTTGTAGTCCTGGTGGCTTTCTTCACTTCCTTTCCCGAGCGGAGACGCCCTGGAAAAAACTACCAATCCCCAAAGGCACTGCGCGCCCCTCTCGGCGCCTGCGCGAGTTCTGAGCAGGGCGGGACTCAGGTGGGCGGGATGCGAAGAGCTATGGGGAAGGATTCGAATTCCGGTGGATTTAAATCGCGGGAGGAGAAGCTACCGCGGCCTAGTAGGTAGAAGGGTCTTCCGTTCCCGTTGGCTTAGGTGTCTACGCTCCCGGGGACGCGGCCTGGACGCAAGCTCAGCCTTCCCTCCGCGGCCTGGAGCCGCAGTGACAGTCAACGCTGACGGTTGTTGTCACTTGTCAGTGCCCTGTGTTCTTGGGTTCCAGCAGCTGCAACCCGCGCGGGACACAAGGAGGGTGGCTCAGACGGGACGTGGGGTGATTAGCCCTGACCCGCGGGATTTGGACGGAGTGGGGCTCCCCGCCCCTCCGACTGCGCTGCCGCCGATCTATCCCTCCGAATGATAGTTGAAAGGGGGACGAGCTTTTACTTCACTTGAGAGAGAATTCAGGAAAGCTCAGTTCATAAAGGAGAAAGGGCAGAAGAGGGGTCGTTTCCAGGCATCCAGGCGAACCTGGACGTAGAAGAAAGATTCCTAGTGGGATTTTAGAAACTCGCAAAGGTATCCCCTGCTGTGAAATTCAAAAGCCTTCATTCCCGTTACAGGAATTCCACAAGGGGACGCATTTTATTCTCCCAGTAAGATCCTGGGAGAAGTGGATAAACACACTGTAACGTTTAAATGCACTGTAACGTTTTCCTAATGTGAGATTCTTTTCAAGAACGTTGTGGTTTGGCTTTGGTTTGTATTGGTGGTGGGAGGGGCCAAGGTGCATGGCAAAAACTTGCTCTTGACTCACCCGTTTTTACGTTTGCTTTCTTACTTCTCCTAACCCTCAAGAAGAAGACCTCTGTTGAACACAGACTGCAGTTCCAGCCACCACAGCTAATCTGGATCATGAATGGGAGCCACCGTGGTCTTGGCAAGTCCGAAAACATAGCTGAGTAGCTCGTCTAGAAAAGAGATTTGTGTTCAGCTGAGTTAAAAGAAGTATTTACCTCAAACCTCTCCTCTTGCACAACCAACCCCCGTTATAAAAGGAAGTGCAAAATGGAATAAACTGATTTTAAGTGAATACAAGCTGTCTTTATATACAAAAGTAACTCAAGGATGGTGATGTACCCAGTCATGCTTTCAACTGATTTGGGAAGCCTACACCATTCACCTTAGGTAAATTAGCTGAAACTGAGCTTTAAATCTGGGCTTCAAAGAGTCACATACTGTACCTAGCTGAGTTCTAAACATTGTTTACAGTTGTCACTCACTGTTGCTTGATGTCTTCAGTGACTATTATCCTTAGCTTGTAATTATGCATGTAGGATAGCTTCAAGGGGCCATTTCTAAAACACTACTCTTATGACTGAGTTGAATATTTGAGACTTTGTTTCATAATCCAGATCTCATCTTCTTGTCCATTTCAGATAGTAGTTGTGTCAAATGTAAGCACCTACCTACCTATAAGATACAAGTAGATAAAATTCTTATATAAACAACTAGAAGTCCAGCAAGTTTATGATTAAGTCACAAATTGCAAATTAATGATGAGGCATCAGTTCCCATGTACAACAAGTATTCAGGAGTTTAATAGGATTGACTCATATACATTTTCAAAGGTACAAAAGTACCGGGTATGGTGGCTCATACCTGTCATCCCAGCACTCTGGGAGGCTGAGGCAGAAGGATTGCTTGAGGACAAGAGTTCAAGACCAGCCTGGACAACATAGCAAGAACCATTTCTCCGTAAAACAGTTTTTGGTTTTCTGTTTTTTTTTTTTTCTTTTTTTTTTTTTTAAAGAGGGGCGGGGTACGCTGAGTCAAGAGAATCGCTTGAGGCTGGAGTTTGAGGCTGCAGTGAGCTATTATGACACATCTGCACTCCAGCCTGGGTGAGAGTGAAACTAACATGTTGGGTGCCTCCCATGTGCAATTCAGATGTAGCAAGACTAGATATTTTACCCACTATCACTGTTAATCCTTGCAAGAACTTTCAGGAGAGCGGCAGCATTGGCCCATTTTACAGATTGAGAAGCTAAAGTCAAGAAAGAGTTCTTAAATTATACCCAAAAAGCATCTGACTTAAAGTAGGATTTATACTCCTATTTGGAGACTGAGCATGTTTAAATTTTGCCTTTTAGGTTACATATGAGGATAACTTAAAACATTAAGCTATGCATAAAAACTCCAAGAGAAACAATAATTTAAGAGTTTCTCACACAGAAGCGAACTCTGTGGATGCTGAGAAGGAAAAAAATGAGAGTCAAAACAACTTTTTTGAACTGCTGCCTGCAGAAATCACTTTTAAAATTTTCAGTCAGCTGGACATTCGGAGTCTGTGCAGGGCTTCATTGACATGCAGGAGCTGGAATGACACAATAAGAAACAGTGACTCTTTATGGAAACCTCACTGCATGACTGTAAGAGCTGTGTGCCGAAGAGAAATAGATGATGATCTAGAAAGTGGTTATTCCTGGAGGGTAAGTTTAATCTTTGCGATCTGCAGTGTTGTTGACAGCGTTATGATAGCAGGTTTGCGCCAATTCTAACTTCTGCTTGGAGGAGTCAGAATTACATATGCAGAATAACACAGACAGTGTGTTGACTCTTGGAAATGAGTTAAAGTTATTAGTCTTTTCCTGCTAACCACACTGTTTCCACACTATCTTTCATTTATCCTTTTGCATTTTTAAAATTCTAAATTCGGGAATTTTCCTGCGTTAACCAGAAGGGAATTAGCTCCTTCTTTCCACTTCACCTTATGCCACTCAGTATAAATACACATATACATACACACACGTACACAGACACATACATTTATTAATGTACGTATATATAAATGTAAATACTCTTTTTTTCAGCCCTGTCAATCTGCTTCTCTTGCTTTAAACACATTCACTAACCAACCACCTACTACAGTCTTTTTTAACGGTGATTTACCTCTTTCAGGTGATACTGCTGAGGAATTACCAGAAGAGTAAAGTGAAACACGAATGGCTAAGTGGCAGATACAGCAACATTTGTTCTCCCATTAGCCTACCAGAAAAAATCATGTACCCAATGGATGCAGATACATGGGGGGAAATTCTAGAAGCAGAACTGGAAAGATAAGGGGAAAAAAAATCACAAATCTCAGGTCTTTGAAAGTTTAAAACTTAAATGACTCTTAGGTTGCAAAAGCGATATCTTTATTCGTTCATTTTGTTGTTCACCTTTTTAAAAGAAAATGAAATGGAACTATTATAAAAGTAAAGCTTTATTTTTGTTTTGCACTTTAGTAAAATTTTTCTGGTTTTATTGTAATGTGGAAAAATCATGAAATGTTATTTTTATAAGAAATAATATACTGATAGAGTGATTTCCAAATACAATGTTTCATGTATTTGTGTTAATATATTTGCAATACTAAATGTAAGAGTGATTTGTATGTTCAGCTTAATGATAATTCAAAATTTCAGGAAGCCACTTTAAACTGACTTAAAGATTCATTAAGTGGTGGTTATAACTAGGCTCATGGGAAGACTAGCTAAGTGAAATTAATAGCAATACATTTAAATTAATACATTGACATTTTAATGACTTTAACATTTCTATTTCAGTGGAATCAGATTGAAATGTCAAATAGTGAAACTATTTTTAATGTGTTAAGCCTGTGGTTTAGTTTTAAGTTAATGTCATCTCAGGGCTAAAGTTTGTCCAATTGAGATTCCCATTAATTTTATATAAACCTGGAACGGCTCTCAGGAGCTGAAAGTAAGTGGAAAGTTTCCAGAACACTTTACCATCAGAATGCCACACTAGCCTGGTAAAACTCTCTTTCTGACAGCCTTATAGCACCATCTAGTGTGCTATTCTTAGATAGCAAGACAAAGGACTTTCAGCTCCTTTTTGTTTTCTCCATATTAAAAAGAAAACTGTTATTCTAAAGAATCCTTAACACTTGTCTTTGTTAAAGTTTATAACTTTTTAGGAACCTTTATTTTAACTTTTAAAAACTTTTGTTTCTCTTTTTTCATAAAAACAGATTATATGCTACTCACTATAACAAATTGTTTATTCTGAATCTGTGGTTACCACCATAGTAAAAAAGTGTCTACAAACTGCTTTAGTTAGTGTGGGGTTTTCTTCTTAAAAACTGTTCTCTATAGCATTAAATATAAGAATCCAGGAAACCAATATTTAACAAATAGGCAAATATTAGAAAGATGCCCCACTATATGCAAATTCTGTATGTTGAATCAAGCAGTAGATAATTAATTGTCTCCTACTATCTTCTTAGAGTTGGAAGAGTCCTTGAAAATCAGGCAGTCAAGTGTCCAGGACTATTCAGTAATTTTCTCAATAGGAACACTGTCAGTCAGCCAGCCCAAGCTGAAATCCTGTACTTCTACTAATAGCATCTCTGTTATGTCACAGAACAGTCCAGTTGTAGTCTAGGCTTGCACTGAAGACCACCTCTCTGTAACGTTTGCCTTCTAGCCCCACTTCCACCCTCTAGAACCAGGCTGATTCAGTCCTTCCTGTCTATGATTGCCAGATATTTGAAGACTGATAGCCTGTCTCTTCCTATGTCTTCTCTCCAATTCCACTGATGATCATAGAGTATAATTTCTAGACCCAACAACATTCTCTTCTGCCCATTTACTCTTAACAAAAGAAAGGGGCTGTGCGCCATGGCTCACGCCTGTAATCCCAGCACTTTGGGAGACCAAGGTGGGTGGATCACCTCAGGTCAGAAGTTCAAGACCAGCCTGGTCAACATGGTGAAACCCTGTCTCTACTAAATATACAAAAATTAGCCGGGCGTGGTGGCAGGTGCCTGTAATCCCAGCTACTTGGGAGGCTGAGGCAGGAGAATCGCTTAAACCTGGCAGGCAGAGGTTGCAGTGAGCAGAGATCACGCCACTGCGCTCCAGCCTGGGCAACAAGAGTGAAACTTCGTCTCAAAAAAAAAGGAAGAAAGAAAGGTATCCTACTAATTTTATTTCATAAAAGATAAGAAAGCACTTGGAAATTTTCAAAGTATGGGAAAAATTAAAGCTATAAGCATTTTGCTGAATAGCATCTGTGTACAATAGTAAATGTACACATATATTTTTAGCTGTTTTTTTGTAATGGATGTTTATTATTTTTGTCCAGCCCCCTTACAATCTATCATCATCATCTGTTAATAGAAGTTATCCTAATTAGGGAGACTCACCCTTCTCACTTCCAACCAAGTGTGTGGTTTTTTTTGGCCGGGGTGGGGGGCAGTTTTTTGTTTTTGTTTTTTTGTTTTGTTTTTTGAGATGAAGTCTCACTCTGTCACCCAGGCTGGAGTGCAGTGGCATGATCTTGGCCCACTGCAACCTCCACCTCCCAGGTTCAAGCAACTCTCTGTGTCAGCCTCCCGAGCAGCCAGGATTATAGGCGCCCGCCACCATGCCCAGCTAATTTTTGTATTTTTAGTAGAAACGGGGTTTCACCATCTTGGCCTCCTGACCTTGTGATCTACCTGCCTCAGCCTCCTAAAGTGCTGGGATTATAGGCATGAGCCACCGCACCCAGCTGGGTTTTTTGTTTTCTTGTTTTTTTTTTTTTACATTATCCTGTTTTTCCCAGCCTCCGTGTTTAGTCCAAGGATGGAAACATGACCCAATCCCCCCTTTTCATAAGTTGGAAGAAAGAAGCCCTTTCCTCTTTGCTGATGAAACTGTTCCCTGCCACACAAAGAAAACGGATCTTGGCCGGGCGCGGTGGCTCACGCCTGTAATCCCAGCACTTTGGGAGGCCGAGGCGGGTGGATCATGAGGTCAGGAGATCGAGACCATCCTGGCTAACAAGGTGAAACCCCGTCTCTACTAAAAATACAAAAAATTAGCCGGGCGCGGTGGCGGGCGCCTGTAGTCCCAGCTACTCGGGAGGCTGAGGCAGGAGAATGGCGTGAACCCGGGAGGCGGAGCTTGCAGTGAGCCGAGATTGCGCCACTGCAGTCCGCAGTCCGGCCTGGGCGACAGAGCGAGACTCCGTCTCAAAAAAAAAAAAAAAAAAAAGAAAACGAAAACGGATCTTAAGTAAGAGAATGTGGAGCCACCAGGGGAAAGAACAATTGCAGGGAAAGAGGCCTGATTATATTCCAGACCCTGGTCCCAGCCATTCCTTATCTGCTTACCTAAATTAATTCAAATTGAGTTTCACCATCATACTGGGACCCCCACCTGATGTGGTTTCGTTGCCCATTTTTCAAATATGTATTATTTGTGGCTTACATTAACATCTTAGATTTCACTCTGACTTCCTCACCAGTCAGTCTTAATCTGCTATAATATGGCCATCACTCCATATGGTTGAAACTGTTGGTATCCAAATTACAAGTGACTTAATGTCTAAATCCACTGGATGCATTCTACTTGTTAATATATTTGACACACATAAACACTCACACTGACACACATAAGTACTTCTTAAAACTCTCTCCTCCATGGGTTGGAACTATAGTCTCTTGGACTTTTCTTTCCCTACTCTAACCCGTCTTCTCAGTTTCCTCCAAAGACTCGCTTTCCTTCACCTACTCATTACATGTTAGTGTTCCCCCAAAGTTCCACCTGTTGTCATCTCGTCTCTATACTCTAACATCCTTGGTGATCCCATCTACAACTCCTATGTCAGCTACCATTGTTGGTGCTAATGCCGTCTATGTCCGTGTCCCAACATCAGATCTCCATGAGATGTTCCAGAAATACATATGCTATTATCTTTTGGATTTTTATCCAAAGATAGTATAAGTATATATATATATATATAAAATATTTGATATATCCAAAGATAGTTTATATATAAGCACCTGAATCAAAACTTACCATCTCATAAAAGTAGTTCTTCCTCCAGTTCCTATCTCAGTGAATGGCATGTCCTGTTAGAAAATCACCATATTTTACTTTTCTCCATCATTCTCCAAGTCCAGCCGAGTCAATTCTTACTTGATTTTATCATCCAAATATCTAAGTAATTCACCTCTTCCCCATCTTTATCTCTGCCTCATTACTTAATTCTTGTCCTTATTTGACATTGGGATTTCTAAAATAACCTCTTACTGGTGTTCCTGCCTCCAGTTCCTTCCTTTTACTGTTAGCAGTGTAGTCTTTGTTAAACCCCAAATTTAGCACGTCACCCTAACTTAAACTCCTGACTGCATACAGGTAGAAATCAAAATTCCCCACTAAAGCCCATAGGGCCTTTAATGATGTGGTCTGGCCTACCTCTCCAGCCTGTTCTCTAACCACTGTCCCACCCTATATCTTTCTGTTCAGTCTTACAAAACTATTTCATAAAAATTTTCTCACTTCTCTGCCTTTGCACAGGCTGTTTGATATACCTGGAGTAATCCCCACCATTGATTCTTTTCTTGGCAAAAATCTATTGTAAAACTTATCATCTTGGCCTGGAAACAATCCATAACTTCTACTGTTCTGGATTAAGTGACTTTTTAGATGTTCTTGTAGTTCTTTGTATAGACCTCTCTCAAAACTGTCATATGACATTAAATTGTCTATTTTATTTGTGTGTTTGCCCCTTTACACTGTGAACTTCTTAATGGCAGGGACCATTTTTTATTTATTTTTGTGTCTTCAAAACCTGGCACACACTAGATGCTCTATAAAGATTTGTTAAATTATTTCTATAGTTATTTATTTTAATCCTACACAGAATGTATAAAAATAATTTACTATATTGTTAGTGAAGAAGATTGTATCAAAATGCAGTATACAATCCTTAAGGTATGTGGGATGCTTGATAGTAATACAAATGTATGAATAATTGTTCCAGTCTTCTCCAAACCTGTAAGAGGGAAATAGGAAAATAAAAATGTTTTGTTTTATTGTTTTGAACTCTTGAAAATAAACTTAACCTCAAAAATATCACTTATTATTTTGAATTATTGAATTACTTCCATCAGTTTTAAGTATTAGCTTTGCAAATTATGTGAATGAACATTAACTTCGATTTTTTTAGTGCTATTGCACTAAAATAACTAACAAATTATGTGCTATGATCAAGGTCTACACTGAAAGGAAACCTTTGGAACTTAGTGATAAATTTATGGTATGGGCTTAGAATGAACCATGCATTTATCAGGCCAAGCCATTAGCATCTGAAAACATGAGTGGGTGGAGCAGCATGGAAGGAAGGAATGTTCTTACTCATAGATAAAATAACATGTTAAGTGTGCACCCTGTGTACAAGAAGCAAGATTCTTGGGGAAGAGTATTAAGGAATTTTGAGTGTTTTAAATCAGTTTAAGATCTAGTATTTAGAAAAATAAATTTAGAAACCTTTTTTTTTTAGCTTCTTCTGGTTTATAACCCAATCTTAGACCAGAACATAATCATCAGTAAAATCTCTGTGAATATAAACTTTCGACCTGAGGCTACTTGCATATGTACAAACCTAATTTTAAAACTATGGCTGGGTGCGATGGCTCACACCTGTAATCCTAACACTTTGGGAGGCTGAGGCCGACAGATTGCTTTAGCTCAGGAGTTCGAGACCAGCCTGGGCAACATAGTGAGACCTTGTCTGTACTAAAAATTTTAAAAATCAGCCAGGTGTGGTGGCGCATACCTGTAGTCCAAGCTACTCAGGAGGCTAAGGTATGAGAATTGCTCGAGCTTGGGAGACTGAGGCTGCAGTGAGTTGTGATCGCACCACTGCACTCCAGCCTGGGTGACAGAGTGAGGCCCTGTGTCAAAAGAAAAGAAAAATGTAATATACCCCTGACCACTTTAACTTCATCTTTGCTTTGACTTTATATCATGTCTTCTCTCCAAGACTTCAAATGCCCTAGTAATATTAATGAAAGTAAGATGAGTAGCAACTTAAGGAAATGGGTTGGGAAGAATACATAAGATGGAAGATCACACATTTTTATTTAGAGTTTAAGACCAAAAACATCAAATTGATGAAATCAGATCAACAATGGACGAAGCTGATTAATTATAACAGCTGACATTAATTGAATGCCTTCTTGTACCAAGCATTGTTCTTACACGATGTATGCTTACTCTATATCCATTTTATGGATGAGGAAACTGAAAGAGAATGATGTTTTCCATCTATTTAATCACCACTTCCCAGCACTTACAAGAATGTGTCATACATAGTAGGTACTCAATAAATGTTTATCAAATGACTTCAGAAACTTAGAATGAATAACTTAGATGAAAGAGCCAAGAATGTCCCTCCAAGTTTTTCACTGGAAAAATTTCAAACCCACAGAAAAGTAAAAATATATGACAAATCACTATTTTGTACACCATCCACCTAGAAATACAAGTTGTTAACATGTTTCTATGTTTGTTTTGTTTATTTATTCATCTTTGCTGAAACATTGAAAAGAAGTTGCAGACATGATGATACTTCACCCCTAAATACTTCAGCATGTATCTCCTAAAAATACACTCCTACATGCAATATCATTATCACATCTAAAAATTCTTATATTAATTCAATAATATCATGTAATTTACAATCCATATTTAAATTCCCCAGTGGCCCCCAGAATATCTTTTATAGATTCTTTTTTTCAATTTAGGCTACAAGAAAATATTTATACATGCATCTGAGTTTTTTGTCGCTTTGCTCTCTTTTAACCAGAAGTGTCCCCTGGCTTTGGTTTTATTTTTTAGGATATTGACTAATTTTTTTTCTTTTGAGACAGAGTCTCGTTCTGTCACCCAGGCTGGAGTGCAGTAGCGCAATCTCAGCTCACTGCAACCTCCACCTCTCAGGTTCAAGCAATTCTCCTGCCTTAGCCTTCCTAGTAGCTGGGACTACAGGCACGCGCCACCACGCCTGACTAATTTTTGTATTTTTAGTAGAGACAGGGTTTCACCATGTTGGCCAGGCTGGTCTCAAACTCCTGACCTCAAAATCCACCCGCCTCGGCCTCCCAAAGTTCTGGGATTGCAGGCTTGAGACTGGTTATCTTATAGAATATTCTGTAGTTGATTTATCTGATTCTGTCTTCATAATTTGATTCAGAGGGCAGGCGTGGTGACTTACACCTATAATCCCAATACTTTGGGAGGCCGAGGTGGGAGGATCACTTGAGCCCAGGAGTTTAAGACCAGCCCAGGCAATGTAGCAAGATGCCATTTCTACAAAAAATTTTAAAAATAAATTGACTGGGCATGGTGGTGGGCGCCTGTAATACCAGCTACCTGGGAGGCTGAGGTGGGAGGATTGCTTGAGCCCAGGAGGCCAAGGCTGTAGTGAGCTGTGATTGCAACACTGCACTCTAGCCTGCAAGACAGAGTGAGACCCTGTCTCAAAAAAAAAAAAAAAAAGATTCAGTAAAACATATTTGGCAATTATACTACATAGTAATTATACTGCAAGTGATGAAATATTCTTCTCATTACATCACATAAGAAGCACATAATGTCTGATGGTTCTACTATACAAGATGGTTAAGTCTGATCATTTGGTTGAGGTGGTAATCACCAAGTCTCTTCACCAAAAGACCCATTTTTTCATATAGCCAATGTTTGTTTTTTTCAACAACCCATTTCTAGAGTACTCCCCTATGGCCAACTCTATGCTAAGTGCTTTATAGACATTATCGGACATATGGCTAGTTTTCTCCTCAAGACATTTACCAAATTCTGAAGCTCTGAGGGACTGTAAGCTAAGAAGCTAAGCAGAGAACCTCTTAGAAGCAAAGGAGATTTTGCCCAGTCTCACACTACTGAGGACACAATGATTACAGTTGAGGACCCAGTAGAGGGAAGGTAAACAACTCAGGTTCTCAGTTGAAATCTTTGGTGGGCTCTGTACAATGGGCTCCAGCCTAAATTCAGGTAAATCTCCGATTTGATTAAGGTGAGCAAACCCCACTGCCTAACGGAGGATAAGATGAATTCACTCTAGAGGAAGATGACGTCATCTGGAGCCTCTTCAGTTTTTCATATACAATGTCTGCACTTAAAACATTATCAAGCATCCTAAAAGACAGAACTAAATGATTGGAAATCACGGGTTGGGAGGGGTGGAAGAACATAGAAGCAAAGTCACAGGGATTTAGTTACTGGAGTTTGCAGGCAAGAATTTTTAAGTAGCTATGATTTTAAAATCCAGGCAGATGGATGAAAAGATGAGGAAAACAGATTAATATGAAGATGTTTACCAGAAAACTAGAGAACTAAATGGAAATTATAGAATTGAAAAATACAACAACAGAAATGTATGCATAGGCTTAATAGCAGTTTATAACACTGAAAAAGCATTTACGTACTGGAAAATAGAACAATAGAACAATGCCAACATTGAAGCACAAAAAGAAAAAAACAAAAAAAGGATTTAGAGATTGAAACAGCATACAAAGTTTCAATATGTTCATATGGGATGTCCAAAAGGGACGGACAGAGAAAGGTAGCTCTTAAATTTCCCTCCGCTTAGTGGGACATGGGATATCTGAGTGAGTTCCCCCCACCCCATGAGATAGCTGTAGAAGTAGCTGAGAACACAGCAAAGGAGCCTCACAGCCGAAGCCGTGGGATTGAGAGCCTAAACCAAGAGCCCAATAGAGGTTGCTGCAGTGTCTTTAGAGTAACAGTAGCCACAGTGCAAATTGAGGTGGGCCAGAGTCAGCTGAAGGAAGACTCCTATACCTCAATCCCCGATTGTGCTAAGAAAACTGACTGCAAATTACAGTAACCAAGAGTGCAGTGAGAGGAGAGGATTAGTGGAAAGTGGAAGGTTGTTAGGAATGGAAGGAAGCATGCAGGCCTAGGGCCTTGCCCCGATGCCTTGCTGTTACTTCAGCCGCCTTTCTGCATGGATGTCAGGAAAAAGGAAGAAGGGAAAAAAGAGGGAGCAACTCCAAGTAGAGTTGCCAGATTTAGCAAATAAAATACTTGAGTTTCAGATAAATAGCAAATTGTTTTTTGGTATATGTCCCCAATGTTTGCAAAGAACACACTTATACTAAAACAAATTCATTTTTATCTGAAATTTAAATTTAACTGAGCATCTTGTATTTTCTCTGGCATCTCTAACCCTGAAAGACTGAGTAACGTGCTGAGCCTGAGTTAATGTGGAAATGACTGGAGTATGGTTGTCCCTCTGAACCCGTGTGTTCTGCATCCACAGATGCAACCGCGGGTCAAAAATACTAGGAAAAATAAAAACAAATGGAAATACAACAATAAAAAATTATATAAAAAGCAACACAGTATAATAACTACATAGCATTTACATTGCATTAGTATTATAAGTAATTTAGAAATGATTTAAAGTATACGGAAAGATGTGCACAGGTTGTGTGTAAATATTGCACAATTTTATATAAGGGACTTGAGCATCTGCAAATTTTGGCAGATACCAAGGGATGACTGTACTTTTAATGGGCAAGATTAAATTTTACAGTGTGTCTCATTCCTCTCCCAATTCCACACTGCTCACGGAAAAGAAAATAGGAGTTGACCAAGTGGTGATATTGTAGGGTAACTCAATCTCCTCTCAGGCCCACTCTGCCTAAACACTCTACAGCATACCCCATTTCCACTCTACTGTGATTGGCACACACCTAAAACAAATAGCATGTCCTATTTGTCCCACCGTTTCCAGGTGGAACATACAGCAGAAGTCCGTTCTGTCACGAAATCATCAAATGTGTTTGTGGCTTTCAACACTGGAGGAAGGTGGAGGTAGGACCTCTTGGAAATGCCTCATGTAACCCTCCTTTACTCTTCTTGGATTCTCTTCTTCACGCCAACTGGCAAACTTCTCAATCCCTTTTGGGGTGGGAATGCTGTACTGCACTTCATTCATATCCTATCTTTTTCTTCCTTCCTATATCTGGTAGTTCATTTAATAAACACTGTTCTAGATTCTCTAAAGGGAATAATTTGGAATTAAAAAGACCTTTTTCTTCCTCAAGTGCCTCTATCATTTTGTTGTGCCAACTGAAGAATCACGAGGTTCATGAATGTGGAAAGGAGAGCTTTATTTCTTATAAAGGGTTGCAGCCTGCAGGCTGGCCATCCCACAGCCTGGGAAGGGTAGCTTCTGGCAGAAACCAGAAGCAGGTACTTCTAGGGAGGGAAGGGTAAGACAGGAATTTAGGCTGAAAGGGTCAGCTAAGTATATACATTTAACAGGCTATAGGAGGAGCTATGAATATTCACAAAAGGGGAGTGCACTCATGCACAGCAAGCTAACATGTATGTTACCTACATCCTATGTTCACTTTAGGATGGAAACTTAACATTTAAATGTATTAAAATTAGGCTCTATACGTCAAAAGCTGAAACAGAGGACACAGAAGCATCCTGTGTGCAGCTTCTGTAAACCGGCCAGAACCAGTCCATGGTTAGTGGCCTCTTATCAGGAAGGAATGATGGTCAGTTGTTGTGTCAAACTGCAAAAAGGAAGAAGAGTCCAGCAAGTCTTCAGAAAGGGCCTGTTTCTGTTTAACACTTAGGAGTGGAAGTATAATGGCAAGTAGCAAGGGAGGGAGTATAACAGGGCATGTCTGACCTCCCAATCCATCATGGCTGGGAATTCAGCTTTTAAGATTTCTCTAGGATCTCCTTAGCCAAGAGGGGAGTCCTTTTAGTCAGTTGCAGGGGGGACCTTTGGATTTTATTTTCGTTTCTCAGTTGAAAGCCTAGCAGTTAAGACTTCTGAGTCTTCTATGCTTGAAAAAAGTCTTTTGAAATTCAAAGCTGAGTTCTGACTTCTTTATTCTCGGCTGTACCTACCAGACCCACAAAGCACTGGATGCCTGTCTTTCCAGGCAGAGAGCTGCAGAGAAATAAGAATTACTGGGCATGGAAAATACAGCGGAATGTATTACAAAAAAAAAACAACCCATTCTAGTATTACTCTACACAATAAAATAATGCTGGAAAAGGAAGAAAGAGTAAAAACTATAAAGAACAGCTGAGACAGAAGAAGGTAATAAACAAGGCATGCGGGTTGGGTTTCTAATAAAAGCTTGACATCCTTATATTGAGTTCTACCACAAGTAAAACTGACTTTTTTCATGAACCTGTTTGCATTTTCCAATACCTCCTTGTCCTTACCCAGTCAGGGCCGGATGGAAATAAAAAAAGATAAAACTGCAGTTTTACAAGTACCACACCAATCATACTGTATTATCATAAACATTAACTGCTCAAGAAAAAATTTTTCTTAATTAATTAATTTAGTTATTTATTTTTAGAGACTGGGTCTCACTATGTTGCCCAGGCTGGCCTCGAACTCCTGAGCTCAAGCAATCCTCTCCCCTCAACCTCCCAAAGTGCTGGAATTACAAGCATGAACCACTGTTCTGGCCCAAAAGAAATTTTTAATAATCATTTTCTGAGGCCTACTTTTCTGCTATGGGTCTTCTGTGCCTTGTAGGGGAAAAAAACCCAGCTGCTGGTTTCCCAGTTTGCTCATTTTGATTTACTTTTAATATGACAAAATTATACAGTCCATTTGTCACACAATGAAATCCTGATAGAAAATATGTAAAACCATAAAAGAAGCTTTCTAAAAATCACACGTGAGAATCTCCCCCACTTATTGCTGTGGTTGTGTTTTTTTGTTGCCTAACAAGTAGATTGAGCACAATTTCCTGTCTTTATTCTCATTGGTTAGTGAAGAAAATAAAAAGGACTGCTTTTGCCATTGTTTTCCTGTGTATGGCCTACTTTTTTCATCAGTTCAACTTTTTTTTTTCTCTCTCAGACTTTTATTATATATTTTTAAACGTGCTTTCTCCCTAAATGTTTTATTTTGAAAGTTTTCACTCTTACAAAAAATTTCAAAGTCTAGAATATGGCATCATCACCTAGATTAACCAATTGTTAACTTTAACCATGTGTGCTTTATCTCTGTCTATACCAGGTCCCTAAACTTTATCACTATTAACATTCTGGGCTGGATAATTCTTTGTTTGGGGGAGGGGCAGGGGTGCTGTCGTATACACTGTAGAATGTTTAGCAGCACCGCTGGCCTCTATTCATTAGATGCCAGTAGCACCACTTCCCAAGTGCTGGCAACCAAAAATGTCGCCAGACATTGCCAAATGTCTCCTGGGGGAAAATCCCTCTTGTTAGGAACTACTGGTTTATACTACATTTTAAAAAAACACCTAAATGTCCATCAACCAAGAAGAGTGGATAAAGAATAGATATCTATAATATGTATATTTATATATAATATATATTATATATTTTATATATAATATATATAATTTATATATAATATATAATATATATTTTATATATTATATATTATATATATTATATATAAAATATATATTTAATATAATATATAATATAATATATATATATTTTATATAATATATAATATATATATTTTATATAATATATAATATATAATATATAAAATATATATTTAATATAATATATAATATATTATATATAATATGTAATATATAATATATAATATATTATATATAATATGTAATATATAATGTATATTATATATTATAATATATAATATATATTATATAATATACATTATATATAATATATATTATATATAATATACATTATATATAATATACATAATATACATTATATATAATATACATAATATACATTTTATATATAATATATATAATATACATTTTATATATAATATATATAATATACATTTTATATATAATATATATAATATACATTTTATATATAATATATATAATATACATTTTATATATAATATAAAATTATATATAATATACATTTTATATATAATATAAAATTATATATAATATACATATTATATATAATATAAAATTATATATAATATACATATTATATATAATATAAAATTATATATAATATACATTTTATATATAATATAAAATTATATATAATATACATATTATATATAATATAAAATTATATATAATATACATATTATATATAATATAAAATTATATATAATATACATATTATATATAATATAAAATTATATATAATATACATATTATATATAATATAAAATTATATATAATATACATATTATATATAATACAAAATTATATATAATATACATATTATATATAATATAAAATTATATATAATATACATATTATATATAATATAAAATTATATATAATATACATATTATATATAATATAAAATTATATATAATATACATATTATATATAATATAAAATTATATATAATATACATTTTTTATATAAAATAAAATTATATATAATATACATTTTATATATAAAATAAAATTATATATAATATACATTTTATATATAAAATAAAATTATATATAATATACATTTTATATATAAAATAAAATTATATATAATATACATTTTATATATAAAATAAAATTATATATAATATACATTTTATATATAATATAAAAGTATATATAATATACATTTTATATATAATATAAAAGTATATATAATATATATTATATAGATATAAAATTGTATATATAATATATATTATAGATAGATATAAAATTGTATATATAATATATAATATGTAGATATAAAATTATATATAATATATATTATATGATATAAAATTATATATCATATATTATATATGATATAAAATTATATATACCATATATATTATATATGATATAAAATTATATATACCATATATATTATATATGATATAAAATTATATATATCATATATATTATATATGATATAAAATTATACATATAATATTAAATATAATGTAAAATATATAATATATAGTATATATTTTATCTATTATAATATTATATATTATATATTATATATTTTATTTATAAATTATATATAAATATATATAAATTATATATAAATATATAAATATGTAAATAATTATATATAAATTATATATAAATATATAAATTATATATGAATATATAAATAATTATATGTAAATTATATAAATATATGAATAATTATATATAAATTATATAAATATATAAATTATAAATATATAAATTATATAAATATATAAATTATAAATATATAAATTATATAAATATATAAATTATAAATATATAAATTATATAAAAATTATATATATAATTTATATATATAAATTATATAAATTATATATATAAATTATATAAATCATATATATAAATTATATAAATTATATATATAAATTATATATATAAATTATATAAATTATATATATAAATTATATAAATTATGTATAAATTATATATATAAATTATATAAATTATATATAAATTATATATATAAATTATATAAATTATATATAAATTATATATATAAATTATATAAATTATATATAAATTATATATATAAATTATATAAATTATATATAAATTATATATATATATTATATAAATTATATATAAAAATTATATAAATTATATATAAATTATATATAAAAATTATATAAATTATATATAAATTATATATAAAAATCATATAAATTATATATAAATTATATATATAATTTATATAAATTATATATAAATTATATATAAATTATATATATAATTTATATAAATTATATATAAATTATATGTATAAATTATATAAATTATATATAAATATATAAATAATATAAATATATAAAAATATATAAATAATATATATTATAAAATATATATTCTATATAATATATAGAATATATTTTATATATTCTATATATTACATAGAATATAATATATTTTATATATATTCTATATAATATATAAAATACTAGGGTGTATATATATTACATGGTATATATATATTACATGATATATATATATCCACACCATGGAATACTACTCAGCCATACAAAGGAACAAAATAATGGCATTCGGAGCATCCTGGATCCTGGATGGAGTTGGAGACCATTATTCTAGGTGAAATAACTCAAGAATGGAAAACCAAACATTGTATGTTCTATCTTATGAGGGAGAGCTTAAGCTATGAAGACTCAAAGAATAATATAATGGACTTTGGGGACCCGAGGGGAATGGGAAAGTGTGGGCAAGGGATAAAAGGCTACACATTGGGTTCACCATACACTGCTCAGATGATTGGGTGCTCCAAAATCTCAGTAATTACCACTGAATAACTTATCCATGTAACCAAAACCCACCTGTTCCCCCAAAACTATTGAAATAAGTTAAAAATGTGCTGGGTGGGGAAATATGCATGGCGGCGAGGCGGGTAGGCACAAGGCAGACTCTGCGGGGCTGGCGTTGTGCGGGCAGAAGCTGGTGGTGCAGGGGAGCAGCCGGTTCCAGACCACCTCCACTGCAAGCAGTGACGATGACAGCCTCTTCATCTATGACTGCAGTGCTTGAAAACAAGTCACAAGAAAATAAAGGGGACGACGAGCCGCCCTTGGTTCAGGGGAGCGGTGCAATTGTCGGTCCACCTTCTCCAAGTCTGGCAGCTGTTTTCTTTAACCGATGGCAGTAAGTGTCTGATTCTTTTCTGTACATAACCATGGCAATGTCTGAGTGTCAGGACCATGACAAGGAGGTGTACGGACCTGACCTTCACAGCCTCCGAAGAGAAGGTCTTGGTGGCTGACAAGTCTGGAGGCGTCTCCTCTTCGGTGCTGGAGCCACACGGATGCGGCCGACTGGAGCTGCAGCACCTTTCTGTCCATGCTATTAGACGTGGCTGTGCATCCTGATGACCACTTCGTCCTCACTGCGGACCGGGACGAGAAGATCCAGGTCAGCAGGGCCGCCATGCCCCGCAGCATTGAGTCCTCCTGCCTCGGGCACACAGTTTGTGAACTACATCTCCATGTTGCCCACTCAGCCTGAGCTGCTTCCATCCTCCTCCGGGGCCTGCACCCTGAGGCTCTGGGAGTACAGAAGCGGCCGCCAACTTCACTTCTGTCACCTCCACAGTCTCCAAGAGTCCGCGGACCTCCAGGTCCCCCCAGAGGTTTGCCGCGTCCAGGATTGCGTTCTGGTGCCAGGAGAACCGGGTGGTGCTTCTGAGCACCTGCATTGCTGTGGGATACATCTTCCAGTTTCACGCCGGTAGACAGAAGCTGGTGTACAGGCAGCAGCTGTCATTCCAGCATCGAGTGTGGGATGTAGCTTTTGAGGAAACCCAGGGGCTGTCGGTGCTCCAGGACTGCCTGGAAGCCCCCCTCCCCTGGTGCTCTGCAGGCCTGTGGGTGGCCAGTGGCAGTCTGTTCCTGAAAGTGCCATGTTAAAGAAAGTCTCCAGTGTTCTTTGTGGGAACCGGGCCATGCTGGAAGGCTCTGCCTGCGTGAACCCCAGCTTTAGCAGTCTCTACAAGGCCAACTTTGACAACATAACCTTCTACCTGAAGAAGAAAGAGGAGAGACTGCAGCAGCAGCTGAAGAAGCAGCAGCGCAGTTGAGTCCCCCACCTGGGCCAATGGGCAGGCCAAGAAGATAAGGCCGGGGGAGTCAGCCTGGCGTTGCTGATCTTGGCTGTCGGTGGTGCCCCACACCCTCGAAACAGGAAAAGTAGTTTTCACTTGTTCCCCCTGCATCCTGGCATCTCCCTTCAAAAAGGAAAAGGTGGCCGGGCGTTTTGGCTCACGCCTGTAATCCCAGCACTTTGGGAGGCCGAGGCGGGCAGATCACGAGGTCAGGACATTGAGACCATCCTGGCTAACACGGTTAAACCCCGTCTCTACTTAAAAAAATACAAAAAATTAGCCGGGCGTGGTGGCGGGCGCCTGTAGTCAGTCCCAGCTGCTCAAGAGGCTGAGGCAGGAGAATGGCGTGAACCCGGGAGGCAGAGCTTGCAGCGAGCCGAGATCGCGCCACTGCACTCCAGCCTGGGTGACAGAGCCAGACTCCGTCTCAAAAAAAAAAAAAGGAAAAGGTGACATCAGGTGCGACCAGCTCAGCTCAGAGAACGGGACTGTCTCCTGGGCTCTAGAACATTCTGTGTTGCTGGGCACAGGCTCTTGCCTGGTGCCTGTGCTCCTTTCTGGTTGAAGGGAAGCCAGACGGGTGGAGTGGAAGCACTTTACCTTCACGTTGAAGGCAGCGTGTGAACCTGCAGTGGTGGCAGCTGTCAGTTTTCTGCTATTCTGGAGCCTGGCGCGCTTCCTCTAGGAGGATCTATCGCCGACGCTGTGGACGCTTTCCTGTTGTTCCCACCATCTCACGGTCCAGGTGATGCGCTGCCCCGCAGTAGCTGCTCGCCATACGAGGCTGTTGAAACTTAGTGTTCCATATTTTTGCATATCTACAACTATCTGATCTTTGACAAACCTGAGAAAAACAAGCAATGGGGGAAGGATTCCCTATTTAATAAAAGGTGCTGGGAAAACTGGCTAGCCATATGTAGAAAGCTGAAACTGGATCCCTTCCTTACACCTTATACAAAAATCAATTCAAGATGGATTAAAGACTTAAACGTTAGACCTAAAACCATAAAAACCCTAGAAGAAAACCTACGCTTTACCATTCAGGACATAGGCATGGGCAAGGACTTCATGTCTAAAAACACCAAAAGCAATGGCAACAAAAGCCAAAATTGACAAATGGGATCTCATTAAACTAAAGAGCTTCTGCACAGCAAAACAAACTACCATCAGAGTGAACAGGCAACCTACAAAATGGGAGAAAATTTTCGCAACCTACTCATCTGACAAAGGGCTAATATCCAGAATCGACAATGAACTCAAACAAATTTACAAGAAAAAAACAAACAACCCCATCAAAAAGTGGGCAAAGAACATGAACAGACACTTCTCAAAAGAAGACATTTATGCAGCCAAAAAACACATGAAAAAATGCTCACCATCACTGGCCGTCAGAGAAATGCAAATCAAAACCACAATGAGATACCATCTCACACCAGTTAGAATGGCAATCATTAAAATGTCAGGAAACAACAGGTGCTGGAGAGGATGTGGAGAAATAGGAACACTTTTACACTGTTGATGGGACTGTAAACTAGTTCAACCATTGTGCAAGTCAGTGTGGCAATTCCTCAGGGATCTAGAACTAGAAATACCATTTGACCCAGCCATCCCATTACTGGGTATATACCCAAAGACTATAAATCATGCTGCTATAAAGACACATGCACAAGTATGTTTATTGTGGCATTATTCACAATAGCAAAGACTTGGAACCAACCCAAATGTCCAACAATGATAGACTGGATTAAGAAAATGTGGCACATATACACCATGGAATACTATTCAGCCATAAAAAACGATGAGTTCATGTCCTTTGTAGGGACATGGATGAAACTGGAAATCATCATTCTCAGTAAACTATCGCAAGAACAAAAAACCAAACACCTCATATTCTCACTCATAGGTGGGAATTGAACAATGAGAACACATGGACACAGGAAGGGGAACATCACACTCTGGGGCCTGTTGTGGGGTGGGGGGAGGGGGGAGGGATAGCATTAGGAGATATACCTAATGCTAGATAACGAGTTAGTGGGTGCAGCGCACCAGCATGGCACATGTATACATATGTAACTAACCTGCACATTGTGCACATGTACCCTAAAACTTAAAGTATAATAATAATAATAATAATAATAATAAAGAAACTTAGAACGAACGCTTCAGCCTGCCCCAGCCCCAGCACTGCACCTTGTACTCAGGAGGTGCCCGTGGCGAGTGGTTCCCACGTGGGAAGTGCCCAAACGCGTTTCAGTGTCGCAGGGAGCTCTGTCAGGTGGCGCTTGCACAGACGGTGAACTTGATTCAGGAACTGTGAGGACATGGGTCCGGCTAGAAACCCGGTTTTACAGGAAGGTGATCGAAGACGTCGTGCGTGTTTGTTATTTTGATTTGACCTTTGCGCACACTGCAGAGCAGCAGGGATGTCACTGTATTTCAATCACCGATCCATAAGGATTAACTTTTGCAACTCCCTGGAAACGTTTAGCAGCAACACGTGAAACTAGTCTCAAAATACATCAAGCAAAACCTTTGGGTGCGTGCTCTGTTTATGAGTGAGGTGATCACTGCTTGATTTGGGAAGAGGCTTCTAGGTACATGGGGTAATTCGTTCAGGACGGCTTCCACCTGCTCTTCAGTGATTAAATCTCAACAAGGGAACAGATGTGCACGCTGGTGATGATTTTGGTGTGGGTTTTCGCTGGGGACTTAGAATCCTTAGTTTTCCTTTTAACAGTGATCTGGAAACAGTGCTGTCTGCAAAGCTGAGGCCCACTCCCCTGTGCTGGGGACCAGGGGTTTCAGAACAGAGGGGCCATGCCAGACCATTGTCCTCCTGTACCAGCAGCCTCACCTCCTTCACAATTCTGGGGAATCTGGAGCGGGGCATGCTCTTGTTAATAGTCTGCTTTGAAAATTTTGGTTTTAGGAGAAGTTAAGGTTGGTCTTGTCGGTATCTTCACGTAAGATAGGGTTGGCAAACTGGCATGTGGGCTGAATCCTGCCCACTGCCTGATATATGGCCTGCGAATGTTTTTTACATTTTAAAAATCGTTGAAAACAAGTTAAAAATATATTTCATGACATGAAAATCGTGAAATTCAAATTTCAATGTCTGTGAATAAACTTTTATTGACACAGTAAAAAAAAAAAAAGAAATAAGAGAGATAAATATAAAACCACACACACACTTTTGTTGAGCTGATGTATTTGAAAGTAGGTTTGCATACTTCATGACATTTTGCCCCAGAATATCATAGCATGTATTTCTTTCTTTTTTTTTTTCTTTTGAGGTGGAGTCTCGCTCTGTCACCAGGCTGGAGTGCAGTGGCGTGATCCTCTGACTCCATGGTTAAAGTGATTCTCCAGCCTCAGCCTCCCAAGTAGCTGGGATTAAGGCACATGCCACCACGCCCAGCTAATTTTTGTATTTTTAGTAGAGATGGGGTTTCACCATATTGGCCAGGATGGTCTCAATATCCTGACTTCGTAATCCGCCCACCTCAGCCTCCCAAAATTCTGTGATTACAGGCATGAGCCACCGCGCCCTGACATAGCATGTATTTCTTAAGGAAATGCACACATGCCTGCATAACCATAATCACACCCAAGAAATTTAACTTTCATCCAATAATCATATCATCTAATACCCAGCTCAGATTGAAATTTCCCTCAGCTGATCACAGAAAAATGTGTTTTCAAGCTTCTGAATGTGTGCCAACCTGAAAATGAGAAATATATTAATTTTTTCTCAGTAATTTACTATGAGCTTTTCCAAATATACACTAAAGTTGAGAGAACTTCCTCATTGTAAATTTAATTCAAATTTCTCTGCCATAAACATGAGGTTTATATGTTTAAGGGCATGGGTGGGTTTTGGTGTGTATGAATCTTTGTGTTTCTCAATTTTTGAGTGTTTTGTAAATTGAGGAGTTTAGTTCTTTATCTATGACATATGTTGCAATTATATTACTCCCAGTTTGTCACTTGTCTTTTGACTTTGCTTGTGATGCTTTTTTTTTTAAACAAATATTCTTTACATTTTATTTTATTTATATTTTTAGAGTTAGGGTCTTTCTCTGTTGCCCAGACTGAAGTGCAGTGGTACAATCATGGCTCCCTGCAGCTTTGACCTCCTAGGCTCAAGTGATCCTCCCACCTCAGCTTTCCAGCTCGCTGGGACTACAGAGATGCACCACCATATCCAAATAATTGTGTGTGTGTGTGTGTGTGTGTGTGTGTGTGTGTGTGTGTGTAGACAGCCTCCCCTTGTTGCCCAGACTGGTCTCAAACTTCTGGGCTCAAGAGATCCTCCTGTCTCAGCCTCCCAACGTACTGGAACCACGCCTGACCAGTCCTTTTTATTGATGTCAAAATTATTGCTTTTTTTCTGCTATTATATCTGGATGATGAACATGGTTTAAAATTTTTCCCACCACAAGATTACAAACAAATTCACTTATGTTTTCTTCAAGTACTTATGTGGCTCATTCTTTCTATATAAGTTTTTCCTGGAGTATAATGTATGTTAAGGATCCAAAGCTATCTGTTTTCAAGTGACTGTTCAGTTGTCCTAACACCATTTATTAATAAGTCTGTCTGTAATTTGAGATGCCACCTTATTTATATGAAAATTTTCTTTTTAGTTGGTTCTATTTCTGAACTTTCCATTATGTTCCAGATCTGTCTATCCATTCATACCACACTGTTTTAATTATACAAAATATTTATTGTGCATTGATATTTAATAGGGTTCTCTCTCTTCACTGACCTTTTTTACTGGTTTTCCTATTTAAGCATATATGTTTGTTTATCCACATGAACTTTGGAATCAATTTCTGTAGTCCCAGGAAAACTACATATTGCAATTTTATTAGGGTGGTATTAAATTAGAGATAATTTATTTCATCATAATGTCAAGTTATCTTATCCAAGACCAAGAAATATTTCCATTTGTCTTTTAGGAATGTTTTAAACTTTTCCTCATATGGATTTTACACATTACCTCTTAAGTTTACTTTCAAGTATTTTATATTTTTGTCATTATTGCAAATTGAATTTTTTCTTCTTTTATCTTCTAACTAGCTATCATTTACATACACACACATTTACACTCACACACACGTGTGATTTTTGTACACTCATTTTGTAGCCTGCTAACTTACTGAGGTCTTTTGTTCATTTAGAGTCATCATTTATTCTATTGGGTTTTCCAGATATACTGTCATATCAACTGCAAATGGAGAGAGTTTAACTACTTTTCCAAGTCTTATGCCCCAATTTTTTAACTAGTATACTAATGTCTCCAATATGATGTTAAATAGTAATGGAGATGGCAGACATTTTTACCTTGTTTCTTGCCTTAGTGGGAATGTTTCCAGTATTCTAGTATTACTCCATTATAATATTCTCTTTCTCTTTCTCTCTCTCTCCCTCCCTCTCTCCTGTGTCTCTGTCTCTCATACATATATAAAATCATGTTAAAGGAAAACCCATTAATGTCTATTTTATCTAATACTTCTACTGGAAATGTATATTAAATTTTATAAAGGGACTTTTTGGCATATCTGATTTGTTATACATTTCTCACCTGAAAATTTCTAAGAACTTTACTAATATTAGTACTCTACATTCTATAACAATAGTTTCTTCAGTTGATACAATGTATGTATGTTTTCTCAGCTCCAGAGAACCAATAACATTGAATATCATATTTTAGAACCATGAAAAAACTTGATAAACAGTCTGACTTTCTTCGCCAAAACTGTCTTATAATAGTATCTTTCAACGATTAAGTACTTTTCACATGGCCATTTATGTACTCATCAAAGAGTCTTGAAAGGTAGTTTCTGACATTAATATTTTTAAGATACAAAAATGCAGACTTATAGAAGTAACATTACTTAAGCAAAGCAAAACAGCTTGCATATGGAGGAGAAAGACCTTGACTCCAGGACTGGCTCTAAAATGCTTTCTGTCACATCGTCCTTGAGATCTGGTCAATGCTAATCCTCTGCCAGCAGAGGGCGCAATACTTCTATTAAAGCCCAGTCAAAGCGCTTGAGTGGGAGCAGCTAGTTCCCCATTGCAGCCCTGTTGGCTGATTGCAAAACCTCAAAAGTCAGAATTTGTCTGTACCCTTTTAGTTGCAAATGACAGAACTGAAACTAGTCCTGCCCAAACCAGGTGGGAGGGTTGGACTGAAAATGGAGTAGGGTGTTTCCCCAGAGAGAACATAGAGTATAGCCCCAAAATGACAAAAAGCCTCTTCTGCTAGAAATATAAGATATCAGGGAACATAATACTCCAATGAAGAGACTTCTCTTCCCACTCCACCCTTCAGACCTGGCCTGGCCAACAGGCCACCCCCTAGGTTTCTATCTGAACCTTCAAAGATCCAATTAAGAACACTTAAATTCAGCTTTTGCGTATTTTATCCACAAAGGCCCAAGTCATTATTCTGTATTTTGCCACAGGGATATTATTTCATACGGATTTGTTCTCCAAAACTTCAGCCTGGCATTTCCACTGACTCTGTAGCTCTGTGAAACCAAGCTGTAGGTGTGAGTATATTCTGTTGACATAGCAGATATGAGCTCTGAGGTTGGGTTAAGTGTAAAGAAATTTCTCACCCTTTTACTAACATTGTGAATAAATTCTAGTCTCTTGTGTGAAAAGACTGTAAAAGGAGTTCACCTGGGGATGAGAACATTTCTAAGATTATGTTTTTATTCTTTCCCTCTGAAAACTCGCATAGGCAGAAAGAATGAGCCAGAGGCCTTGGGGAGTTGAGCAAAGTAACCAAAATTCACATCCAAAATTTCATTTCATTTAAAAATAAACCTATCACATGGAAATTTTGAAATTCATCTCCTGGATTATGTGCTTTAGTACACACACACACACACACACACACACACACACACACACACACAGTATCCACACCTCAAAATGGAAAGTAAAATGTACCCAAGTATGGTGTATAATTTTATCTCAATATGACTTACTTTTGGATTCTACTTTCCTGACCCTGCCCAAAGTACAATGTATTTTTGATTCAAAAGTCAACACTCAAGATTAATGTCCATAGATAACAATAATAGTTGAGTGCTTACTATACAGAAGCTATCCTGCCAACAACCTTTGGAGGAATTCCCTTCCTTGGAATTGCTGTTGACATAGCAGATATGAGCTCTGCTTGCTGTTGACCAGCAGGCTTGCTGTTGGCATTAAACAGATACATGAGAGGTCACGCGCTGATCTGGTTTGGCTCTGTATCCCCACCTGAATCTCATCTTGTAGCTCCCATAATTCCCACATGTTGTCGGAGGGACACAGTGACAGATGATTGAATTATGGGGGCAGGTCTTTCCCATGCTGTTCTCATAATAGTGAACAGGCCTTACGAGAGCTGATAGTTTTTAAAATGGGAGTTGCCCTGCACAAGCTCTCTTTTTATCTGCCGCCATCCACATAAGATGTGACTTGCTCCTCCTTGCCTTCCACCAGGTCTGTGAGGCCTCCCCAACCATGTGGAACTATAAGTCCATTACATGCATTTTCCTGTATAAATTACCCAGTCTAGGGTATGTCTTTATCAGCAGCATGAGAACAGACTAATACACATACCCTGGCAATTCAGGCCCCCCTGCACTGCCCTCAAGAAACCCGACTGGAGCCCCCAACCCATGAGGGTTGTGTAGGCTCAGAGGCTGCTCTTAGTAAGTCATGTGGCTTGTCAGCTTTGTTTCTTCTTAAGTAATGGGAGCTTATTTTTCCAGACCTTTATTCCATAAATGCTTGGGGATTTAGAGTTAAATTTTAGCAAGTTTTAACATTTTGATTGTATGTAATTCCTCCTTTAGTCTTTTGTCACCTCTCTATTTTTGTTCTCTCTGTTTATCCTTCAGCTTATTTTAGGTTTGTCGTGATTTTACCTTTCTAAATCTTATGGGTCTAGCATTTTTACTTTTCACGTGGTCTATTCTTGACTTTACACTGTATATTTTATCCTTTTAATCTTTTTCTAAATTTTACCATAATTTTCTACCTTAATCTGTTACTTTAATTTTTTAGTTATAGCTCTTTTGATCTTTTTTATTTTTAACCAAATCTATTACTTTAATTTCTGAATAATTCTTGCCTCAATCTTTTTACTTATAGTTCCTTTTTTATTCTTTTAACTTAAATTTTTGTTCACGTTTTTCTTTTTAAATGTGTTCTCTTTTGCCCAGAGTACCTTTAAAAATATTTTATTCTTTTTTTTTTTTTAACTCTCAAGCTATAGCGCTGGGCAGAGTTTATGATCTAGAATTAACACAGCTGTGGTGAATGTACACACATGGAACATTGGATACTTTTTCCTTCTAGCCATCTCTGCATTTATCTTTCTGACTGCTTAGAAAATCATTCATCATATTCAGTGTTTTTCTCCAAAAATAAGTAACTGGGCTGTGTCAGAGACTGAGGAATGACAACCCCTTCCCAGGGCCCGAAGCTTCCTACTTATGCAGGCAGCAATTTGAAATACTAGAATGAATGTCTCTTTGTAAAGAATTACATCTTCTAAAAACCTGTGGTCTCCGATGTATAACTCATCTATAGAAGGGGTGGAGATTGGGAAGAAATTACCTCTTCTTCCTCCAATTTTCTCCATTGCTTTAAACTGTGAATTCCACTGCTTGAACCAGAAACCCATGAGACATCCACGCAAGTTCTGTGCATTCTACCTCATCAATTTCACTTCTCACCTGGACTACTACCATATCATCCCAACATTGCTTCTAATCTTGATTCCTTCTATCTATTCTCCAAATAGCATCCAATGTGATCATGTCACTCCCTACATGAAAACTGTCAATGGTTTCTCAATGTGTCTCAAATAAAACCAGAGATATTTACTGGAGCCTCCACATGTGGCATGGTCCCCACCTGTCTCTTCCACCTCAGCACGTTCCTTTAGCCTCCTCCCTTACACCAATCCTTTGGTTCCTTGGCCATGCCAAGCTATCTCTCACCCCTAAACCTTCGTACATATGAGTCCCTCTTTCTGGGGTACTTGCTCCCCTACTCTGTGTAATGTTGGTTCTTTCTCATCTTTCAAGTAGGGTGACCAACCATCCTGGTTTGCCTGGGACTAAAGGGACTCCGGGGATGCAGGACTTTTCATTTTAAAACCAAGAAAGTCTTGATCAAACTGGGACAAGTTGATCACCTACGTTCAAGTCTCAGCTCCTGTATCAGTTCCTCAGCAAGACTTTCTTTGCCTGCTATATCCAAAGCAGACTCCTCCCCTGACCGCCCTCCCAAGCTCCCGTTATGTTTCATTTCAACATCCTGTTTCCCTTGTAGGGAGGACTTAGTGCACTTTGAAATTATTTTACTTTATGTATGTCTTTACTGGCTTTTCTCTGTTTCTCCTTCCCTAATGACTAAATACTGTGAGGTGCCATCACTCCTGTCTCATTCCTTGTGAAATCCCAGTGTCTAGCACTGAACCCAGCACACATTTATTGACGGAAGCAAGGATGGAAAATAAGAGAAAGGAAAGATAAAGAAGCCCCCCTAATGTAGCTCAGGCTTTCTTTTATGAGGAACTATATGGTGTTTTTCTGTCCTACAAACTGCCATAGAATGTGGCAGACCCATTCTTTACAAGCCTACTTCTATGCATTTTTTTTTTACTGGATTCATGTCCATTTTCTTTGAAATTACTAACAAATCATTTTGTTGGGTGAGTTTTGTGTGTGAATTTTCTTTGCTCTCCTCCCTTCTTATTCCCTTCACAATGTCAAGGAGTTCCTGACGAGGTATTTGATTTCCTTAAATGCAGAAATGCATAAACCCCAAATGCCTCCAGAGGCCAAGGCAGTGACAAACAGGAATAAAACAGACTCGATGAAAGAAAAATCACCTGACGAAAGGCATAACCAGACTTGCCTTATTTTTATGGAACTATGGCACGAGCACATAATCTCACACATATTTATATAACATAGCAAATTTTATTTTGCCAGTGAAATGGAACACAGATTGAAAAATTAAATATTTAGTTATCCTGAATGCTGTGAGAGGTTGTGGTTTTTTTGTTTTGTTTGTTTTGACGCAGTTTTGCTCTTGTTGCCCAGGCTGGAGTGCAATGGCGTGATCTCGGCTCACTGCAACCTCCATCTCCTGGGTTCAAGTGATTGATTCTCCTGCCACAACCTCCCAAGTAGCTGGGATTACAGTTATGCACCACCATGCCCTGCTAATTTTTTTTTTTCTTTTTTTTTTTCTTTTTTTTTTTTTTTTAGTAGAGACAGGATTTCACCATGTTGGTCAGGCTGGTCTCGAACTTCTGACCTCAGGTGATCTGCCCACCTCGGCCCCACAAAGTGCTGGGATTACAGGTGTGAGCCACCGCACCCAGCCAAGGATTATTTTTTTTACACAACCTATATACATACAGAAAAGTGTCATTTCTTTTTAAAACTGATATAAGAGAGCAGGTGTTTCCCCCAAGACTCCAACCTTTGGGTTTCAGCAAGGGAAAAATATTTAATATTCAATCCATTTCAAACCTTAGGCCAATCCAATAACAATGATTAAATATCAGATTTTTGAGGAAAATGCTCAAGTGACTTTGAGCCAGGAGAAGTCATATAACATCCATTCTTCCATCATTGCTATCCCAAGCAGCACAGTATCTGGTGTTACGTCTGCTGGAGTATAATTGGCTGATGGTGTCCCTGGGCTTTCTGCTGGCATCTACTCCTGCCTTTCAGGTGATGCACGCATGGCCTCTTCTCTACAAAACAGTAAGTGTTGGGGGAGGGGGACAGGGTGTGGGAGAGACTGGCATCTCATGCTAATCAGGCCTACCCTTAGCTATTGCCTGGCTATTGACCAAAATCTCTTCCAAGTCCATGTAGTCCCACAGAGCCAGTCGGTCTCCCTCCAATGTCTGCTGTGGGGCAACCCACTCCTCCCAATGGCAGGGGCAATGATAAACCCTCTGCCTTTCAATCTGAAACAAAGAGGCTTGGAGTTTAAATCAGAGCTACTCTCTTCCTGGTCACACCCAGCAGCTGTCTTGGCTGGGCTGGTTCACCCTACATTGACATGGAGCCTCGTCTCCTCCAGAATCTCAAACTGTAAGCAGGGAAAGCCACTCTGTCTCCAAGTTATCTAGCTTCCCACTCTCCACACCATGGCTCAGAGGCTCGAGCACGACACATTGTTATTGGATTGGCCTAGGGTTTTTTCTGTCCCTCCTGATTCTCTCTCCCTGATTTTCCCATAGCACCAGAACAAGGAGGGGCAGGTTTCTGTCACCACCACCCCCTTCTGGCCTCATCACCTGGCATCCCAGCTGGAGCATCTTCTTTACATGAGCTCCACCATCTGAATTTCCAGGTCTGAAAACAGGAAACCCTTTCCCTCCCACCAGTGACTGGATTGTAAGCCTTGCTGTCAAGCTTAAAGAATGTCAGAGTTGGAATATTATCTTCCTCTCACTCTCACGTGGCTTCTGTAACAGATCCGAATCTCTCCCAAGGCTAAGAGTGATTGTCGTTATCTGGAAAGACACAGAAATGCTTCCCTGTTAAACGACATTGTCTTTTTTAAACTTGTTATTTCTTCTATTTGAAGCTAAAACCTCACACATTTTCTTCCTCACCAAGCTATCACTGTCAGGTCTTGTGTTTCTTATTCAGTTTACAACACAGAGTTGAGCCTTCAATCCTTTACGTAGGAGAGAGATTTATTTTTATACATAGTGAAAACAGCTGATAATAAGTATAGGTACTTCCAAATATGGATACAATCTTTGCACAATGATTTTCATATCTAGGCTAACCACTCTTAAGATATTTATAAAATTCTGCTCTTCTAAAATAACTTTGTTTCTTTTTTGTGATCTCCTTTAACAACTGTTTAGTAACTTCTTGTAGCAATTTTTCCACACTGTCAGTATTAAGTTAGATGGTAAAAAGAATAGTCTTAACTCATTTTCATAAAGTTTGAAATCAGATAATTTTTTGAAATTTAGTCCTCAGCCTCACAAATGTACTTCATACCATGATTTCTATTTTTGGAAACTGACTTCAGTGTAGCAAAATGGGTCAAATTATTTGCCAGTTGATTTCCCTCAAGAAACAATTTCACTAGGAATGAGTGGATTACACAATGTGTTTATATAACCACTTATGAATACCCATGAAAGGGTATGGTCAAAATGTGATGAGTTACAATGTCAATCAAAAAACCAAGTCTTTCATCCAATCTTCCTGGTTGTCCAAGGGAGGTTTTAAAAAAATTGGATGTTTTTAAAATTGACATTTCAAAAAATCCTTTCAACATTTGGCAGGACTAAGTCAACTGCTGCTACAACTTGTTTAGCCAATTGATTAAGGAGTGCATAGAACTGTGTAGGGATTAAGCAATGGGGCCATATTTTGTTTATACTGATACATTCATAGTGCTCTTCATGTTTTATTTTAAGGAGAGATCATTCCTGGTAACTGTAACACTCAGATGCATTATATTCTTACAAAATATTTTGGTTTTGAATTTAAATTTTATAACATGTCCAGCAATAACACCAATCATTGCAGGAGAATCATCATTTTCATTGGTTTATATTAAAAAGTTTGAGACTTCTTGAAACACAGGATTAAGTAGATAAAAAGAGGTCCAAGGACTGAGCTCTGAGTCACTCTATCTCCAGAGATGAAGCCAGCAAAGGGACAGACAAGTGAGACAGAGGGAAACTAGGAAGTAAAGTGAAATGCTGCAAGGAGGAAGGGAGGGACTATTGACATCAAGTGCTGCTCATAGGTCAAATGATGGAACCAGTAGGCCAATTGGCTCTGATGGCTCACTACTCCACCACTCCACTGCTACTTTCATCTCACCCTCAGGCCCTTTTTCTCCCCATCTCCCATGCCCACTGTGCTTTTGCCATACTGATCTTGATGCTCCTCAGGCAGACTCATGCCTCAGGGCCGTGCACTTGCAGTTTCCTCTGTCTAGCATGCTTTTTCCCCAGATGTCAACATGGCTCATTCTCTTCCTTTAGGTTTCTGCTCCAGTGCCATTTTATTAGCAAGGACTTCCCTGTCTAGCCTTGCCAAGAGAACACCACTGGCCACTGACCCTTGACTCTATTCCTATTATCTCACATATTAATGTCATAATATCATTATGACATATTTATAATGTGATAAACATCATAAATAGATAAAGCTATTTGGTAAGAATATCAGCTCAAGGAGGTCAGCAACTAAAATATTGCCTGGCATGTAGTGATTAATTGATAAGTATTTTGAATGCATATCAATTAATTGAATGCAATGAATAAAAACAGCTGATCAGAATATTTTTATGGTAACTAGGTACAGCCTAATTATTAATCTTCCAAGAAGAGTGAATACCCCAACCTTGACTAAAGGACATATTTTTAGAATCTGAAGAACAAACGTCTTGCAAACACTCTCCCCAGCCCTTTTATCTAACAGGAGGTAAATGGCTACCTGAGAGCATTCTTTTCAAAGTTGTAGGTTAGGCCAGGCATGGTGGCTCATGTAATCCCAGCACTTTGGGAGGCTGACGTGGGAGAATGGCTTGAGCCCAGGAGTTTGAGACCAGCCTGAGCAACATGGTGAAACCCTGTCTCTACTCTTGAAAAAAAAAGTAAAAAAACAAAGTTCTAGGGTAGATACTTTCCCATTTTTGAATACCCTGTAGTAACAACTCTTTCTAACGTGTTTAACTTCATTTTGAATGAATTAAAAAGTAAATGCTATATAAGCATTTGTTTGCACACAGATTAATACAAGAATCACACAGTACTAATGCCTACATATTACTTTAAATTTTATTCCATTTTAAATCTTAATTTGCCTATATTAACTATTTAATAAACTATGTGTATATGTAATTTTGAGACTTCGCTTTTCAACTAACACTTTTATTGATTTTAGAAATTTCAGCTTTTAAAAACCTGGCTTTGTAAGAGAAAGTATGCAAGGCAGTCAACCAATTGATGGTGGCGGTGGGACTTCTGGAGGGGTTGCTGCCATCATGCTGCCTGCAGTGGGGAGATGCCAGTGGTGGCATCAGGAGTGGCTTCAGGGGCAGCAGTGGCAGCAGTGGGCCCTTGTGCCCTGTGTCCCCAAGACGGCCAACTGTACCAACCCCACTCTCATACAGCTGGGCAGGACCCACTCCCAGGCCTGTAGTCTCCACCAGGGCCTCAGCCTTGCTCCCTGCTGCATCCCAGGAACCCATGAGCACCCAGCCACAGGCACAGCTGGGACTCACAGGGCTGCCCCTGGAGCATCAGGTTCATTTGTGCAGGAGTTGGCTGGGGTCGCTGCCCAACCTGCACCTCATCCACTGCTGCTACAGGGAAAATGTAGGAAGGAGGTGTGGCCAGGACTGTGCACTCCATGGAGCACACAGGAGCTGGGAACAAGCAAGAGCCCCGCCCTTTCCGAGTTGGCAGGGCAGAGCACCCCAGAGGCAACTGCAGCCACCCAAGCTGCAGCAGCAACCAGGGCACCCCTGTGCTCTCAGGAGCCAGAAGCAGGCAGGAGCCCCACCATCCCAGGCACAGCGGCAGCTGCCCAAGCTGTGGCTGCAGATCCAAGCATCTCTGCACTCTCAGAGGCCTGAGAAGGCATGCCCCCTTCCCCTGCAGGACAGGAAATGCCTGCTTCCACTGCCTGGCTTCTCCCTGCTGCCAGCACCTGCTCCAATCTTGGAGCAAAGGCGGGGCCAAGCTCAGGTGCTGTCACAGCCCAGCCAGGTGTGCACACACTCGGGGAAGCACTGACACGCCAGCCCCCTGCTGCCTCGGCCCCGTCTGGACTTAGGGCATTGACAAACACAGGAGGGAGGCTGAGTTGGGGGGCTGGAGAAAGCCCAGTGCTGGCCTAAAGGTGCCCCTTGGCATGAAAAGCCTGAGCGCCACGAACAGTGACAGGAGGCAGACAGGCTCCTGAGTAGAAGTGGGTGGGTACCTGGTGAAGCCGCACTTTCAAGCCGGGGAGGGCCTGAAGCCTGGGGGCTGGGCCGCCAGTCCTGAGGACCCAAGGGAGAACTTGTGGTGCTTTTTCTTGGGCCTGCCAATGGCTGCCCATGGACCAATCAGCACACACTTCCTCCTCTCTGAGACCTATAAAAACACCAGACTCAGCCAGAGTCAAAGAGAGGATGGAGAGATGATGGGGAGAAGACAGAGAGATGAAGGGATGACCTGCCTGCAGAGAGGATCCATCTACTCCAGGGCCTCCTCTCTGCTGAGAGCTGCAGAGATGACAGGACAACCTGCCTGCAGAGAGACACTACCTCTGTGCTGAGAGCTGAAGAGATGACAAGATGACCTGCCTGAAGAGAGGATTCACCCACTCCAGGGCCTCCTCTCTGCTGACAGCTGCAGAGACAACAGGATGACCTGCCTGCAGAGAGGTGCTACCTCTGTGCTGAGAACTGAAGAGGTGACAGGATGACCTGCCTGCAGAGAGGACCTACCCTCTCTGCTGAGAGCTGAACACTCCTCGGATTTACCTGACTACAGAGGGGAGCTACCCTCTCTGCGAGAGCTGACCACTCATTGTGACACCTTGGCTACAGAGAGGAGCTACCTACTGTGGTTCTCCTCTGAGCTGTTCTATTGCTTAATAAAACTCCTCTTCATCTCGCTCACCCTCCACTTGCCTGCATACCTCATTCTTCCTGGACATAGGACAAGAACTCAGGACCCACTGAATGGCAGGGCTAAAAGAGCTGTAACACAAACAGGGCTGAAACATGCCCCTGCTCGCCACATTGCAGGCAAAAAGAGGGAGAGAAGAGCTGCGGCCCTTTGGGGATCCCAGGCCTGGGTGTTCCCTGAGCCAGGGCTGTGACTCCCTCTTTGGAGCCCTGCAGCTTCTGGAGTCTGCAAGCTTCCAGGCCCCAGAGCATTTGCCAGTGCCAGCTATGGAAGCTGCTTGTGGTGCACCTAGTCCAGATGCAGCCTTGCAGGGAGCCAGCACCCACACCAGCACCTGGAGTTGCTTGCCCCACAGCAGCAGCTGGCATGCCCAGCTATGTGCGGTGGCTAGACCCCACGCTCACTCACATACCCTTCATTACTCCACGCCTGGCTTGCCCTTGGCAGGCATGGGATCCAGGCCAGTAGCATGAGCTGAGTGCAGCCTGCTGGGCCAACTGGGTGGAACAAGCCCAGCAGGCCAGAACAAAACTTGGGCAAAGGCACCACTGGCCACAGAGGTTTCCAGCAGGCGAAGCGACACCACAAGGATCCCGTAACACAATGAGCATTTGTAGCCATCATCCCAGTGTGTGGATTGAGTAGAAAGAGAAATAGCGTGCCCTCACTAGTGCTTCCATACACATAGAGACCACAGACTTTGGAACAGCATCCCTGGCATCTTTGTTTTGGAATGACATTGAAACACTGAACCAAGTCAAATAAGGGGACATTTGCAACTTTGCTGACTCATTTGTCAAGAATAAAAAAATACACAGGCAAATTTGAATGAAGGCCAGGCACAGTGGCTCACACCTGTAATCTCAAGACTTTGGGAGGACGAAATGGGAGAATCACTTGAGCCCAGGAGTTCAAGACCAGCCTGGACAATATATCGAGAGGCCTGTAATTCCAGATATTTGGGAGGCTGAGATGAGAGAATTGTTTGAACCCAGAAGGTTGAGGCTGCAGTGAGACTTGATCACGCCACTGAATTCCAGACTGGGTAACATTGTAAGACCCTGTCTCAAAAAATATATTAAAAAAGCAAATGGAGAGAATGTGAGGAGAATCATCTGTGAAGGAAACTGGAAGGTCTTTTCCAATTTCTAACCATACAGTGGGCCCTGAGAAAACACCTTTATAGAGAGAGAATGATTAGAACATTCTCTCTAATAATAATGATAGTCACATGAATGTCTGTAAATGTATAGGCAACAGGATAGTATCAATAAGTTGAATATGCCTTTAACAAGCTGAATGTACCTTATTCTTTAGCCTTCTTGAAAATAAAAGCCTAACCTAGTCATCTACCTGCATGGGGAGAATAGGGTGGAATTAGAAGTGCAGATAGGTTGTAATTAGAGGCTTTTAGTGGCTGACAATCACTGAGCATCTGTTGAAAGATAAGTGAATAGTAAAATTAGAAAATTACAGCCTCCATCAAGGAATGCAGCCCTCCCAACATCTCGAGACCCATTTCAGACTTATAACCTCCAGAGCTGTGAGATAATAAATTTGTGTTGTTTTAAGCTTCTAAATTTGTGGTTACTTGTTACAACAATAGGAAACTCATACAATAATTTTTATAGAAAGAATATACAATTAAATGCAAAAAGTACACTCATCTTAAGTGTACAGCTTGAAGAGTTGTCTTCCACATATTAATTGAGTGTAGCTAATTCATAGACCAAGTCATAGCACATCCCAGCAGCAGCCTATGATTCCCTCCTGCAACTGCCCAATTTGTACACTGCACCCCTAAAAGGAAAGAAAAATTCATACATTCAAAATACTTCTCACACCAAATGTGTGGAGTTTACCTCACATTAAGCAATTCTCCAACTCTCCAGATACCAAGTGGGTGTACTACAATTTACTCATGACACTAACTACCCAGAGTTAGTGCAGACCCCATAGGTTGAGGACTCAGCCTCGCAAGGCTGAAACCAAATTTAGACACCAGTCAGTAGTCCCAAACTGTGACCTGTCCATCTGGCTAACTAGCTATCCATTGGGGGTTGCCATGACCTTCTCTTTAGGTTTGATAATTTGCTAGAATGGCTCACAGGACTCAAGAAAGTGCTTTACTTACAATTAGCAGTTTATTTTAAAGGATACCACTTAAGATCAGCCAGATGAAGAGATACACAGGACAAAGTATGAGGGTGGAGCTGAGAGGTTCCGTCCTGCTCCACATGCTGCACCCTCCCAGCAGGTCTGTGTTTCCACCAACCTGAAGTCCTCCAAGTCCTGTCAGTTAGGGGGTTTATGGAGTTTCTATTCGGTAGGCATGATTGACTAATTAGTGGTCCCCAACCTTTTTGGCACCAGGGACCAGTTTCATGGAAGACAATTTTTCCACAGATGGGGGGTGTGGTTTCAGGACGATTCAAGCACATTACATTTATCATTCAATTCTCATAAGGATGACGCAACCTAGATCCCTTGCATACTCGGTTCACAATAGGATTCACACTCCTACGAGAATCTAATGCTGCTGCTGATCTGACAGGAGGCGGAGCTCAGGCGGGAATCCTTGCTCACCCACTGCTCGCCTCCTGCTTTGCAGTCCAGTTCCTAACAGGCCATAGACTGGTACTGGTCCACAGCCTGGGGGTTGGGGAACCCTGGACTAAATCATGGGCCATTGGTGACTGAGCTCAATCTCCAGCCCTTCTCCCCTCTCCAGAGGTTGGGGGAGGGAGGGAGTGCTGAAAGTTCCAACCCTGTAATCAACCATGTGATTCCTCTGATAACCACCAGCCTCCAAGAGTCACTTCATGAAAACAAACTCACATATGATGAAATAATATACAATAATTAATATAGATAACAAAAGACATTCCTCTTGCCTTTATCATCCAGGATTTTACAAGTGTTTAGGAGCTATGTGCCAGGAAATGGGGATGAAGACCTAATATATGTTTCTTATATTCTTAATGTATCACAATACCACAGCCTCCAAAAGTAATCTCTATTCTGACTTTTATAAATGTTGATTAATATTGCCTGAATTTAAACTTCACATAATTAAAATCATATAATTAATTCCTGCAAGATAGTGATTTAAAATAAGTCAGAAGTACTTTTTATTCCTGGCAATCTTTCTTACTCCCTTAGCCCCTTCAGAGAATAGTGAAGAACTCAGCTGCAAAAAAATTGATGTCAACTTTAGAGATAATAGTTATGAAAGCCAATGTTTTTCTTATCAAGTGCCAGGTTTTATTGCGAGAAGAAAGGAATTTTGAGTTTAGTTGAGCCAGAGCTAGAGGAGTATACCAAGCTTGTCTGACCCATGGCCTGTGGGCTGTATATGACCCAGGATTGCTTTGAATGTGACCCAACACAAATTCATAAGCTTTCTTAGAACACTGAGAGTTTTTTGTGATTTTTTTTTAGCTCATCAGCTATTGTTAGTGTTCTTGTATTTTATGTGTGGTCCAGGACAATTCTTGATCTTCCATTATGGCCCAGGGAAGCCAAAAGATTGGATATCCCTGGAATTTAGCATAGAATTCGTTTTAAAAGTTAACTAGACTTCCTGTCTCTGAACTTACAGTTTTTTCCTTAAAGGCCCCTGAACAACTGCACAGGCCATTCATCACTGTGTATGAGTCCATACACATATTATCACCAGGTGTCCCACTCAAATTCTGTCTGTAGGAAAGACTGCCCTTTGCTTTCAAGGCCAACCCTGGTGTCAGATTTGCATTGCAGTCCGAAGGATTTTCCTGCCCAAATTCTGCTTCCTTCCTTTTTTATCTCTCATGGGATTACTCCTTCCCCTTCTCATCAAACCTCCTCCACTTACTTCTGTCTCAGCTGCTTTCCAGAGAAACCAGCTGACCACTTCATACCTTTGGAGGAGTGATGTTTAGAAGAACGGAAGAAGAGCTATGTGCAAGTGCAGGGTGAGGCTGTATGCAGAGAATTACAGTAACTGCTTTATGTCATCGGGTAGGTGATGAGAACTAATACAAGAGGAAGAATTTAGAATGAGAACAGATAAAATAATATAAGTTCTCTCCTCTACTCTCGAGAATTTGGGGGAAAATTGGTGAGGTCATCAGCTTTCCCACAGAAAGTTGTACAAGACTGGAGTTACTTTATTTGGATGCCAAAGCAAAGGGCAACCCAGAAGGCTGGAGAATTCCTGGTACCGTGCATGCTAAATGCAGCAATAGGTTAGAATGATACTCCTGGGAAGAGTATGAGTAGGAAGGACAGAAAACAGCACTGATTAAAAGTGCAAACTCTGGGTTTGAATCCCATCTCTGCTATCCTACCTAGTTGTGTCACCCTGGCCAATTTACTTCACCTTTTTGAGCCTCAGTGTCATCATCTGTAAAATGGTGATAACAAAAGGAACTATCTCAAAGGGATAGGGTGAGGGTGAAATAAAACAATTCTTGAAAAGTACTTAACCGAGTTCCTGACCTAGACTACATATTCTGTAAACGGTTGTTTTCTTATTAAATTCTAGGAAACATCTGCCAGGGAAGGCAGATGATATTAAAGAAACAAGACCAGACCAGGGAATGTTATTATTCTCTCACACATAGATATAGTATTGCTATTGTTCAAGCAGAGCCTGTAGTTACAAGAACTTTCAAAAAGGACTTAGTTACTAAATGCATTAGAAATAATGTACAATTTCTACCCTACAGGTGCCACGTGACCTATTAAACATTTTATATAACCTTACTCATGGTTATGCTGAACTCTTAACATAGTGTTTCATCAATGTTTATTTAAACTTGCGGATATGCTGCAACCAGAAGCGGGGATTTCCAAATTGGTTAACCCCTATTCAAGGACAGTTGGGGGAAGCTCAGATGTTTTTTCTGGGTTTTTATGGTTTTTATTTGCAGCTGTGTTATTGCAACAGCAATCATATTGGTGCTGTGAACTTATGTAACAGAGAGAAAAGGTATAACACCAAGTAAAATGTATGAGACGCCCCTCGGAGAACCCTGCATTCCATTCCAGTACCCCGGCTTTAACTCTGTTGCTTCTCATCTCAAATCACAGTCTCCACATCTTGTCACCCTTTGCCTAGGCCTCAGCTTCCTTTCCTGATGAGCAACTTCAGATGAGGGGTGCATCTTGTTTCCTCAGTCCTCCAGGGTTCTCCTCCCGAACTGTCGTGAATGGTGAGACCCTGAAGACAATAGTCTATACCTGAAGCGGCCCAAAGACCTCCAAGCGGGAGCAATCCTTACACTGTGTTAAAAGTTTGCTTAACTTAGTGATTTCTCACCCTGGTACAGTCCTAATATGCAATTTTAACATTTTTTGAGCTTTCATTATGAACCAGGAACTGCCCTAAGGTATTTACATAATTGAAATATGTAAATTTTCTCATAGGATTTTGAATATGTAAATTTTCATAAGGATTGAATGTAATGTAATCCTTATATTAACCCTATGTACTATTATTCACATGCCCATTTTACTGATAAAAAATGAAGGCTGTGTTAAGTAACTGGCTGAAGGTCACCTAACCAGGAAGGAGCTGCTCTGCTATTAAACTGCCTCTCAGTGATAACTCCCTGGAAGAGATGAGACCTCTGGGAGACACCCACAGCCATTATTCTGCTCCTTCTAGTATCATAACAGACCCTAAGAATGGGACTGAACGTTAGTCTCTTTTTTATACATGTTCTTAGTTTCTACTTCTAAAACAAGTGTGCAAGGTTTTTTAAAATCAGAAAAAGATAAAGATATATTAAAAAGTAAAATATATCAAATTAATCTACAAGAAAGATCTTCTGGTCAGTTTTTTACTTCAAAAAGCATTTAAGGCCGGGTGTAGTGGCTCATGCCTATAATCCCAGCACTTTGGGAGGCTGAGGCAGGAGGATAGCTTGAACTCAGAAATTTGAGACTAGCCTGGCCAACATGGCAAAATCCCTGTCTCTGCAAAAAACACAAAAATTAGCTGGGCGTGATGGTACGCACTTGTAGTCCCAGCTACTCAGGAAGCTGAGGTGGGAAGATCGGTTGAGCCTGGGACATGGAGGCTGCAGTGAGCCAAGATCACACCACTGCACTCCAGCCTGGGTGACAAAGTGAGACACTGCCTCAAAACAGATGAAATAAAAAGCATTTAACCTTTTAAAGCCTCATTCCTTAGAGCAGCATATCCTAAACTATATACATATGACATCATCCAGGAATCTGGCTAAAATGCCCTCTTTGTTTCAGCTCCTGCATTACTAGTAGACTCCCAGGGGATGCTGCTGGTGGTGGTCTGTGGGTGATGCTTTTAGCAGCACTTTCACACCCCTGTGTTACGGCAAGGATACCCAGCATTTTGCCTATGCCAGAAGTCCAACCCCTCAACCCCACTCCGTATGCTAAAGCCCCCTGGCTCCTCCAGACTCTGGAGGGTATCCCACACTCCCTGGAGGGTATCCCAAACATATCCTTAACCTAATCTACCGACACACCCTTAACCTGCTGCTAGAGACTCCACACTGGCCCCTGGCACCGAGGCCATTCCCACTGACTTCCTCATTCTTGTCTTCAGATCACTAAGGACTTCTGATGGTCAAGGGCTTTTCTACCTCTGCACTGCATAGAGATAAATGCTCTCAATTCTCAGCTGAGGGGCCCCACATGTCTGTTCCAAATCTCCTCTCTTCTCAAGCTCCCAACAAGTCTTGTCACCCAAATCTCCCTCAACATATGACCTCATTTTTTATTTTAATTTAGAGCCATGTCAGGGGCCATTTGACACAAGCTGTGTCCTCTTTCTTCCTCTCAACCTCTATGGAACTCTATTTCTACATCCATCTCTACTTCCTTGTTCACATCAATGTGTCCTCCCTGCTTTCCACAGTCAATCCACTGTCTGGGCCATTGGCTCAATCCTTCTTCACCTCCTCCACCTCCTCTACCTCCTCCCAAATGCTCCTTCCTCATTTTCTTCTTCTCTTCCCATCTTTAGCAAACTCCTGTCCTCTATCTGCAACCTACAAATGTTCAGTTCTCCACTAAGAGAAACACCTTTCACCTGGTTCTTCCCATTTCTCTGATCCCCACCATTACTTAGATGACTCAGGCACATCATACACAAGCAAAATGAAGCCCCTGATTCTTCTCACCCTGCCACGCCACACCCCTGCACCTCCCCCCATCTTCCCAGCTCAGGAAATGGTCCTAGCTTTCACTCAGACCAAAAACCTAGGAGTCATCCTTCATTTGGCTTTCTTCTTAGACCCTACCCCTTCAACATCATTTTGCACATCCTGTTGATGTTTCTACCACCACAATATAGTCCAAAGCTGACCCCTTGTCACTATTTGCGGTGTACCAACTGGATCTAAACCACATTTATTCCTTGAATGAATTATTCAGCATCTTCCCGTCATATTTCCAACTTCAACTCTTGCCCTATACAGTCCATTCTTCACAAAGCAGCCTAAGCGAGTTTAGAAGTTGTAAATCTAATCAAGTTACTTCTCTGTTTAAAATCTACTTATAGCATCCCCTTGCACTTAGAGTAAAACACAAACTCCTTCTCTGCTTCTCTGATGTCTTCTACCACTTTCCCCATAGTTTATCAAGCACCAGATATACTGTGCTCAATCTATGCACTTTCTCTTTGTATAGACTGGAATGTGCTCATTGTGTGCCATGTTTCATTTTCATCATAGCACTTTTAATATCTGCAATTGTCTTCATCATTTACAGACTATCTCTCTCACACTAGAATGCAAACTCCATAACAGTGGTGATCTTGCCTGCCTTACTCACCTAGCAGTGAACAAGCACCTAGTGGGATCTAATAAATACAGGCCTCTTGAACAAGTAAATTAATGAGTTAACCTATTACTCCTGGTAGCTACAAGCCAGTTCTCCACTAGGTAATTCACTGTAGCAAACTTCTGAAATGAATAATCTATGACCATTGCTTTCTTTTTTTCACCATTGTTCCCCATTTTCTCTGTAGTGTAACTTCTCCCTTCACCATTCTTTTGAAACTTCTGCCCTGAAGGTCACCACGGCACTTTAATGACCAAAACAAACCGTCTTTTTTAAGATCTCAGCCACCTTAACCTTTGTGAATTTGACATTGTTAACCACTTCCCTTTTCTTGAAGAATCTCTCCTCTCCCTAGGCTTCTGAGTCACTTCTTCTGCAGACCAAATCTTTACCAACCCTTTTGCTGGCTCATCTTTCTACTCCTGATCTCCACTCATGAGTCTTCTCAGGTGACCTATATCAATTTCTCAATTCTACATATTCGTTTTTGGTGAACGCATCTCCTAGGACTTCAGCTGTTACTTCTTTGCTCATGAGTCTAAGTCAGTCTCTGCATCCTGACTCTCTCCCCTTACCTTCAAACTCATGTTCCAAATCCATCCTCATGCTATGACTTTCCTTTTTCTCTTAAGGAACTGCTCTTCCCAAAGAATGGAAAACACCTCTTAACTCTCACCATCTTACTCATTGCAATCTGTAGATTCTTCCTTTGAAATGGTTCTGTTCATCATTCTTTCTGCTACTGACACTCTTCTCACCTCCCATAGAGATATACTACAGTAGTCCACTAATTAATTTCCCCATCTCTGGAGTCACCTTCTGATATGGTTTGGCTGGGTCCCCACCCAAATCTCATCTTGAATTGTAGTTCCCATAATCCTCACATGTCATAGGAGGGACCTGGTGAGAGGTAATTGAATCATGGGGGCAGTTTCCCCCTTGCTGCTCTCATGATAGTAAGTTCTCATGAGATCTAATGGTTTTATAAGGGGCTTCCCCCTTTGCTTGGCTCTCACTCTTCACCTTCCTGCTACCAGGTGAAGAAGGATGTGTTTTCCACCCCCCTGCCCCCACCCCCACTACTGCCATGATTGTAAGTTTCCTGAGGCCTATCTAGTCTTGCAGAACTTTTAAACTTCTTTTCTTTATAAATTACCCAGTCTTGGGAAGTTCTTTATAGCAGCATGAGAATGAACTAATACACCTTCCTCCAAGCTAGCTACATCCAGGCCCCCTTTAATAAATGGCTCCCCATTGCCTACAAGGAAAAAAGGCAACACTCAGGTTCTTTAGTTATTCATTCAACACAAATAGTACCTAAAGCCAGTTTTCTGGACTTTCCTCAACATTTCCACTTTCTTACTTTTTAGGGTATTTTCTAGAAGTGAAGATATAATTCCATCACAGTGATCATCTATGTGGTTCAGTGGCATTAATCTTTCTCAACAGATGCTAAGCCCCAGAGGGCAGGATTGAGTCTTCACTTTTCTGCACCTGTGTAACACATCCAGCTCAGGAGATGTTCAATTAACATTTGTTCTATCAATTTCTTTTGACACATAAATCTTCTAAATCCATTTGCAGAGAAGAAGAATCAGATAATAGATAGAAGTGAACAATTACAATAATAAATATGATGGGCCGGGCACAGTGGCTCATGCCTGTAATCCCAGTGCTTTGGGAGGCCAAGGAGGGCAGATCATGTGGTCGAGAGATCAAGACCATCCTGGCCAACGTGGTGAAACCCCATCTCTCTAAAAACACAAAAATTAGCTGGGCATGGTTGCAGGTGCCTATAGTCCCAGCTGCTCGGGAGGCTGAGGCAGGAGAATCACTTGAACCTGGGAGACGGAGGTTGCAGTGAGCCGAGATCGTGCCACTGCACTCCAGCCTGGCGACAAAGCAAGACTCCATCTTAAAAAATAAATATATAAAGAAATAAATATGATTAAATCACTGTAAATTTTAACAATATTAACAGTTATGTGTATGATCAACTGAAAATGTTTAAGTTATTTTTTCTCTCATTGACAGAAAAGTTTTTCTCAAGTGTAGATTAAAAATTCAATGAAATTTTCAACTCCAGAATGTTTCTTACTTTTTAGGGTATTTTCTAGATGTGAAGGTATAATTCCATCACAGTGATCATCTATGCGGTTCTCCCTTGGTCTCCTTTTCCAACTAATTATCACTTTATTTGATTCTTTCCCTGCACAATCAGGTTTCTTGAAAGAAGAGTCTACACTCCTGCTTGTCTTTAAGGAATGCACTCTACCAGGTTGCTCTCACATTTCTTCAATCACCACACAGTGGACTCTTAATATATACTGAACGCATGAGAGAATGAATGCATGGGCTCTTGTTCTCCCTGGGCATTTTCACCCATTCTTACCACTTCATACCCACAGAAATGACTCGTTAGTGTAAAACTCCATTGTGACCTTTCTCCTTTGCTCCAGTCCTGTAGATCTCTAACTGCTACTGGGCATTCACTCCTGGATTCCTAACTGGAACTTTCAATTCCATATTTCCCTATCTAAATGCATCATTCTTTCCCCTAACAAAGTTGTTCATTTGTATTTGCTATACTCATCAGTGAAATGACCATCATCCAGGTCACTAAGTCCTAAACTGGCAATCATCTTAGAATCTTTCCTGTCTTGCTGGTTCTTCCTCTTAGGTGGCTTTCGAATCTCTTAGCTTTTTCATCCTGTTTGTCCTTTAAAGCTGTGCTCTGTTACTATCATTTCTAGGAACCCCTCTCTGAACAGTCCATTTGTCCCCACTTATCTGCCCATCATAGCACTGAGCAACCAGGGGATGCCGAAATCATTAACTTAGGAGCTCTTCTCTCTCCAAGAAGGAGGGGTTCTTGAGGGCAAGAGAGTAAGTCTCGGTTACCTCCCATCTTAGCACAGTTCCGACATAGGGTGGAACCTCTAAATATTTGTGGAGCTGCCAATTGAACTTAACTCCCACCTGCCTTACCTTCCCTGCTGTGATTCAAACCTAGTCACCTCTCACCTGGATTATGATAACATGTGTGACTGCCATTATTCTCCCAGTGATGCCTAGCTCCAAACAGCCTCCACAATGTGGTCAGAATGAGCTTAGAAAACTCTAATGTGAATATGCCATGGAGAGGCCCAAAGGGCAAAAGACTTGCCCAAGAGCACACAACTGGTTAATAACAGTAGGAAACTCTACTGATTGCCAATCACCAAGTCTTAAATGCAACCAAGGACTCCAATCCAGCCAATTCTATCCATAACCATTCACCAAAGATTTTTCAGAGTCAGAAGACTGCAAAAGTGACTGTTTATACTAAATTCCTTAAGCAGCAAGATAGAGGTTAGATGCTGCCATCCCTAGTATCTTCAAATGTGCATTATTCCCCTATTGAAACACTGTTTGCTTAAGAATCAAAGGAAAACTCCCTATGAATGTTGTCAAGAAAATATGAACAAGTTCAAATCTCCTCAAATGAAGTTACATCTGCTGTGGCAATCCCAGCCCCTTACAACTTTGCAGGAAATGGGAAAGGAGGCACAACAGAAAGAGTGTGTCTGCTTTATCCAACTGCATCACTCACTGCAACAGGAAACACATGGCCAAACTAAGGCAGTGAGTCTTCTGGCCTTACAATGGCCTCATTGGTACCCAAAAACAAGACAAGCAGAAAGTTATCTCCCTTGTGTGTCCAGACATTGATGACAAAGGAAAACCCACACGGTGATATTAGATTTGCCATTCTCCTGAATTACTACTCAACCAGAGTCCAATACAGAGGATGAGGAAAATTCTAAAAAGATTCTGATGTTTCCAGTTGTTGGGCATGGAGATGAGGGGTCTAAAGAAGAAAAATAGACATTTGTGGAGATTTCAGAGGATAGGATGGTGAGTGAGTTCACTTCTGCTGCCTTTCTCCTCCCTGCTAAATCAGCTGAGATAGCTAGGGTATGCATGATGCAATAACAAGCAACCTCAAGCCCCAGTGCTTTAAAACAGCAAACACTTATTCTTGCTCCATTATGCATCCATTGTCGGTTGTCTGTGGTATCTACCCATGTTTTTGACAGCCTCACTTTAGGAACCATGCAGACTGAAAAGGGAACAACTGTCAGGAACCATATCGTCCAATAAAAACATAATGCAAGCCACAAATGTGAGCCACCTGTGTGACTCTAAATTTTCTAATAGCCATATTTTAAACTGTAAAAAGAAGCACATAAAATTAATTTCAATAATATTTTTAATTTAACCCATTATATTCAAAATAGCATCTTGTCAACAAGTTATAAAATACAAAAATTATTGATGAGATATTTTACATGCATTTTTTTGTACTAAGTCTTCGAAATCCGGTATGTCCTTTTCACTTATAGCACATCTCAATTTGGACTAGCCACTTACAAGTGCTCAGTGGCTACATGTGGCTACACAGTGGCTGTAGGGTGGGTCTGTACATCGACAGAGAAAAGAGAGCTCCAGAGGATCTTACACCACAATGAAATGCTCAACAATGAACTGACTGTACTTCCCAAACCCAGGGGCTGGGAAGTACAGCCCTACCATGTCCCTGGAAGACAGAGAGCTGGGATTATACAGTGAGCAAACCTTCAAGACTACCACGTTTGTCTTTGTGAATAATATCTCCCTATAACAATAGCTACTGTAACAATTATGTTGAATAAGCCAGGCTCCTAGGAGGCCATCAGAATAAGCCTTTAATTTTTTTCCTTCCATAACCCATTCAAATCAGTTCTTTCCCCACCCCAGCACGGACTCTCAGGCAGGTTCTATCATATTCCCCATCTCTCTTAGAGAATAAAAAGACTTCCAGCCACTTTGAGTCACAAAACCATCTCGACTCAGTAATTAAAATATAACATTCCATCCAATACTCTGAATCTCATTTAGGGTTGAGGAGTCTGCCTTTTTCAAGTCGGGACTGCGAGGCTGGAGAAGCCTGTAGTGGGCAGGGTGGCTGATGTGGCGAGGTCTTCTCTATTTCCCTGTCCTGTGCCTGTCCCTGCTTCCTTCAGCTCTTCTAGAAATAAGGTAGGGTGGGGGCAAATGGGAGCCAGGGGCAGGAAAACTCATCCTTTCTTGGTGCCAATCTAACCTGGTATTGGTCTCCTGTCAGCTTGTAGATGTTCAAACCTGCCTTTTGGAGGAGGGCTTAGAAACATTTCTTCTACCCCTCACCCCCACCCTCACCCCAGCAGCATTCAGATGCGCTTCCCATGAGGCAGGCCACCTGTGTTCCTGTGGCTGGCTGCCTACATTTTCTCTTTCAGCCTCTGAGAATCGGGTGGTCATCCCCTTTGTTGAGATCATACCCCTGCTGTTCCGGCAGTCCTCTTTGGCAGGATTTTCACCAGACCCACAGGGCCTTATCCTGCTTGTCTGCAATGGGAAGCCCTCACTCAGGCATCCTTTACCCTGGCAATGCAGGAGCACAGGCTGATTCCAGTGCAGCCATTTCCTCTGCCACCAGGGCACCAGTCAGCCACAGCCTCTGGCCTTTAGGCTGTTTCCAGGCATGATCTGCCACCAGCCTCTGGGCTACACAGATTCTAACTGACACAGGTCAAGGTCAGAGCCTTCTTGAACCACCTCACAGTCTGTTTGGGGTAAAGGGAAACACCCTCCCACCACCCCCATGGAGGGGAAAGAAAAATTCCATTGCAATGCAACTGTTTTCCCCAAAGGAACTATTTCTCTAATTTCCAGCTAGCCTCCCGAGGTTCTTCAGCCTTTTTAGATCTTCCAGATGGGAGAAGAGCTAAGAGTTGCAGAACTGGCTTTTGGCCATCCCTTTGCAAGTCCCACATTGCTTTGATGTGGGAGTACTTGCCACCTACTATTTGGTTCTGGTTCTTTTGAGAGCTTCAGCTGAATACAGACAAAAAGAATCTCATTTTAACATCTTGTTAAACTACCATATATTGAATATCCACATTAGTGTCATTTTATTTACATTATCTTATTTAATCCTCACATCAACAGTGCAAGCTAAGTATCAATATGCTCATATCACACATGCATATACAAGGCTCAGAAAGGTTAGTTAGGAACTAATGAAGCAGGCCTGGTATTTAACCTGTCTACAGATTATGAGATATTATACCCTTCTGTAGAAGTGGTAGAAAAATTCAGAATCATTTAAAATTATTCAACTCCAGCAGATGATCCTCTGTTAGTGTCTTCTACACGCTCCTTGTCTGAACACAAAGCAAACAGTGCTTCTGTCTCAGTGTGAGTGCTCCACTTCTAGGTTCACCACCTCTGTGTCACTCTGGCCTTGTTTGGGAAGCTGCTTGGCTTTATGGGTTTGCACACTTCAGAAACTCTATTTCCTCTGAGCTGTCATTCAGAGAGAACTTCTCCAATTACAAGAAACTTTTAACCAAGCAAAACCCCACTGATCAGAACTCCAAAATAATAGGAATTTTCATCTATGTTTCATTTTTAAAAGAAAAGAGGCAAGTTACAACAAAGCAGGTCAATGTGAGAGATTTGGGGTTGGGGGTGTTTAGGAAAACAACTTCCTGGTGATGTCTTGACTCTGCTCAGACACACCTCACTCCCTTCCACATTCCCCCATTTCCTCCTCCTTCCCTGCACAAGTGAAATTTGGATACACCACAACGCTTTGGGGATGCGAAGTTCAGGCTGAGAGTTCTCACTCTTTGAGTATTAATCAGGCACCCTCCTAATATTAAGTCTTTAGCTTGACAACCTTTCTAAAGCTGTAAGGCCAGCCTCCTGCCGTCATAAGAACTGGAGTGAAGCTGCCTGAGATTCCCTCTGCTGACAGAGGATCTTGCTGCCCTCAGATGCTGCTCCCCTCACCAGAAATGAGGGATGGTGCTTTAAATCCTGTTGACTTCTCCTGGGCCAGCCCCTGAAGAGTGCTGAGATCAGGGGAACTCAGCAAAGAAAGTCCTGGGCAGCTATTCACACTTCAGGGTGCTGTGTCTGCCAAACTCTGGATTCACAGCCTTCTATGTGCAAAGCATGGCCTTATTGGGATATAACTGACATACAGTAAACTGTGTATATTTAAAGTATAAAATTTGGCAAGTTTTGATATATGTATCTACCTGTAAAAACCATTACTGCAATCAAGATATATGGACAAATCCATTCCTCTCAAAAATTTTATTTTCCCTTTGTAATTCCTTCCACCAATTATTCCTCTTTGCCCTCCCCTTATCCTCATGATAGCAATAGGAGACAGACAAATTCCTAGGCAAACAGGGACAGGTCCCCAGTGAAACCCAACCATCAAGCCAAAGACGGCCTAAAGTCTGAAAAACCGAGCTGCCTGTTCCAGATAGAGTCCATGACCGGAGTGAGGAGTGAGACCTGCTATCCCCATCTTACCCTATCTCTCTTGATTGGTTCCTTCTGGATGATGCTTTTTAACCAATCAAATGGTGCTTTTTCCGAAGACCACCCATGGACCAATCAGCTTGCATTCTCCCATTCTAAGGCCATAAAAACCCCGGACTCAGCCACACAGACAGCTACCCACTCAGGATCTCCTCTCAACTGAGAGCTTTCCTTCTGTCACTCGATAAAATTCTTCTCCGCCTTACTCACTCTCCAGTGTCCATGTACCACATTCTTCTTGGTTGTGCGACAAGAACCCAGAACCTGCTGAATGGCAGGAGTGAAAAAAGCTGCTGGTGCTGCACCCTCCCATTCCTCAAGCTGCAGGTAGTGGGAACAAATGGGCTCTAACCCTCCTGTTCACCTAGCTGCAGGTGACAGGAATGAATGAGCTGTAACCCGCCCTTCTGCCCACTGAGCTGCAGGCAGTGGGAATAAAAGGGTTTGTTAACACACACACCTGCTCGCCAGACTATAGGAGAAAGAGAGCTGTGACATGCTCCCACTTGCCAAGCTAGGGGAGTGAAGAGCTGCAACAACGCTTAGGGGTTCAGACCTTGGGACTCCCCGAGCAAGAGCTGTAACACCGTTTGGGGCTCCACGATTGCTGCCATCTCCAAGTTTTCGGGCACCACCACATTCCCCTTGTCTAGATTCTAGTGTCCAAGGTGGAAGTCACTTGTGGCACACCCTATTCAGCCACAGGCTGAGCGCAGAGTCACAGTGGGTGCAGGATCCCAGCCAGGGCATGAGCTGAGCCCAGCCTGCCAGGCTAAGCAGGCAGAGCGAGCCCAGTGGGCCCAAGCAAGGCCTGGGCAGAGGCAAAAGCAGCCACAGAGATTTCTGGCTGGCAAAGCAGCACCAAAGGAATCCTGTAACACCCAGGCAACCACTGATCTGTTTTCTGTTATTATAGACTATTTGCATTTTCTAGAAACTTTTATCAAAGATACACAGAATGTACTCATTTTTATCTGGCCTTTTTCACTTAGCATACTTATTTTGAGATTCATCCATGTTGCACATAGCAATAGTTCATTTATTTTTATTGCTGAGAAGTATACCATTGTATGAATATACATAATTTGTTTCTCTGTTAACCTTTTGTTTGATATTTAGGTTGTTTCCTGTTTTGACAATCACAAAGAAAGCTGCAATGAACATTAATGTACAAGTTTTGTGTGGACATAGGCATTCATTTCTCTTGGATATATATCTAGAAGTGGAGTAAATACTGTGTCTTTAGCTTTTTAAGAAACTGTCAAGCTGTTCTCCAAAGTGGTTGTACCATTTTACTTTTCCACCAGCAGTGTATGAGAGTTTCAATTCCTCCACACTCTTGTCAACACTTGGAGTTGTCAGTCCTTATAATTTTGGACATTCTAATAAATATGCAGTAGTATCTCATTATAGGTTTAATCTGCATTTCCCTAAAGACTAATGACAATGAACATCTTTTCATATATTTATTTGCCACTCATATATATTTGGTAAAGCACCCCTCTTTTTTATTATGTTCTTTGTTTTCATATTATTGACAAAACATGGCTTTTGATCACACAGCAGTTTTTTCTCTTGGATGTATATCTACGAGTGGAGTGAATGGTGTGTGTTTAGCTTTTCAAGAAACTATCAAGCTGTTCTTCAAAGGGCATAAACCCAGTGCTTATCATCGTAGACTTAGGCTTAAAGTTTTTAAGTACATTCACACATGCACAAGTATGTATATATAAATAGACACATGCATGCTATCAGGAAAATGTTTTGTGACATGATGTTAGAGAATAAAATCCCCAGAAGCCTCAAAACCAATATCAGCAGGGCAGAGCTACTTGCATGGCTGTATCTGACCATAGAGGTTTTCCTTTAAACAAAGAAAAGCCTAGGACACAATGTCATGGCTGGCTGTGGCCTAACGGGAAATGTTGCTGCAGCTGATAGGACATGAGTGGTGGGCACAATAAGCCAGGGGTTCCCATGGCAACAAGATAGCTAGCCAAAAGTTGGTAGGAACTAAATAGACCCACAACAGAGCCAAGTGCTTAAGTGCATGGATTCAGAAGCCAGGTGGACCTGGATTTGAATCTCTTTTCACTACTGGCCTAGGGCTTTTGAGCAAGCTGATGAACCTCATTTTCTTCACGTGTAAAACGGGAATGAAGCTGCCTCACGTGATTGTTGTGCAAATTAAGTGAGAAATTTCTATGCCATAGAGCAAGGCCCTGGCACTCACAGTGAGCACTAACTAAACTCTAGCTGATATAATGAAGGGGAATTTTAAAATGGGAATTAAAAGCATGAACTCTGGGATCAGCCAGAATGGGCTAGAACACTGACTCTGTCAATTCCTAGCTGTGTGACCTTGGACAAGTCACTTCACCTCTCTGTGCCACAATATCCTCATCTGTAAAATGGGAATAATATGGTAAAACCTGAGGTTGTTATGAAAGTTAACTGAGTTAACATAAAGTATGTAGGCTGGTGGTAGCAGACAGGACAGATTTGCTATTACAGCTGCAGTGATCTTCCTAAACTCACATCAATACACAGGATACCTTGGAGATATCACAGATTCAGTTCCAACCACCGAAATATCACAATAAAGGGAGTCACACAATTTTTTTGGTTTCCCAGTGCATATAAAAGTTATGTTTACACTACACTGTAGTCTATGAAGTATGCAATAGCATTATGTCTAGGAAAACAATGTACGAACCTTCATTTAAAAGTGCTTTATTGCTAAAAAATACTAACAATCATCTGAGCCTTCAGTGAGTCACAATCTTTTTGCTGGTGGAGAGTCTTGCCCCAGTGTTGAGGGCCTTGCTCTGGATTAGGCTTTAGCTTAAGGGAATATCATGACTGGTTTGATTTTCTTTTTTGAGACAGGGTCTCCCTCTGTCACCCAGGCTGGAGTGCAGTGGCACAAGCTTGGCTCACTGCAGCTTTGACCTCCCAGGCTGAAGAGATCCTCCCACCTCAGCCTTCCAAGCAGCTAGGACCACAGGCTAATGCCACCACAGCCGGCTAATTTTTTGTATTTTTTTTATTTGGGTTTCACCATGTTGCCCAGACTGGTCTCAAACTCCTGAGCTCAGGCGATCTGCCCACCTAGGCCTCCCAAAATGCTGGGATTACAGGTGCGAGCCACCATGCCAGGCCTGATTTTCTATCCAGGCCACTAAAACTTTCTCCATAGCAGCAATAAGGCTGCTTCACTTTCTTACCATTAATGTGCTCACTAAAGTTACACTTTTAATTTCCTCCAGATACTTCTCCTCTGAATTCACAACTTGGCTAACTGTCTGGCACACAAGTCCTAGCTTTCAGCCTGTCTCAGCTGTCAGCACGCCTTCCTCACTAAGAGTAATCATCTCTAGCTTTTGACTTTAAGTGACAGATGTGCGACTCTTCCTTTCACTTGAACACTTAGAGGCCATTGTAGAGTTATTAATTGGCCTAATTTCAATATTGTTGTGTTTCAGAGAATAGTGAGGCCTAAGGAAAGGGAGAGAGATGGGGAAACAGCCAATCAGTGGAGCAGTCAACAGATATTTACTAAGTTTGTGGACTTAGATGGGCATGGTTCATAGTGTCCCAAAACAATAACAATAGTAACCTCAAAGATTACTGATCACAGATCACCATAACAGATATAATAAGCATGAAAAAGTTTGAAATATTGCAGGAATTACCAAAATGTGCCACAGAGACACAAAGTGAGTGCATGCTGTTGGAAAAATGGTGCTGATAGACTTACTCCATGCAGGGTCGCCAGAAACCTATAATTTGTAAAAAAAAAAAAAAAAAAAAAAAAACAAACAAAAAAACAAAAAACAAACAAACAAAAAAGCAATATCTGAGGAGCACAATAAAGCAACATGCAGTAAAACAAGGTATTCCTGTATAAGGAGCCTCCTCATGATAACAGTAATTACTTCATTCCATCAGCTATTGATAATGTACCCACTATGCACAAGCACCATGTTAAGCATCAGAAAGGATTGAAAAAATTATGAAGCACGAATACTTTTCTGACCCCAAAAAACACCAACCCTAAAACATCCAACACGATATGTGACTATTTGTAAATGCCTGGTGCAAATAGATGGTAGAGATATTCTGTGGCAGACGGTCTATCATGGAAGTGGGGAAAAGTACAATGAATAACAGGGAGGGCTAAGCCTTCAAGAAAAAAGAAGAATAAGAGAAACAGAGAGCTGGAGCAGAGAATGTTCTAGGCCATGGGGTTATATAGGCAAGTCAAGGTTGCAAAAGCTGACAATCCTCCAAGGACCAACAAGAGGCCAGTATGTCTGTAGTGAAGGAGAGCAGAGGGGAAATCCTTCTGGAAAGGGAAGTCAGGGCCAGTTTGTGAAGGCCCTTAAATGCTAGGCTATTGCATCAGTGTCTGAACTGTAAGCAGTGGAGAGTCAAGCAATTTATCGGTAGTTTTTAACTTTAATTTTGGTAGAAATTACCGATCATTTTTTTAAAAAGCAGCAGTGCAAGTATATAGACCCTACCGCATGCTTAGGAAATCAGAATTCCTAAAGTTGGGCCTCAGGCATAAGTTCCATGAAAAAAATTCCACAGGCAATTCTGACATAGACCAAAAGTTGAAAGCCACTACTACAGAGTGTAGATTGCCATGAGTACCTTCTACAGCAGAGGGGTCAGAGGAAAGGAAACTAGAACTTGTGGAGTGCCACCCATTTCAGGTGACTTACAGGTATTATTTCATTTAGTCCTAACAACAAGCCTATGAGAAGAATACTATTTTCGTTTTAGAGACAAAGAAACTGATACTCAAGATATGTCACAAATGCAGTAAAACCAGGAATTCAAACTGAGGCTCCAGGCTCCAAGACCACTGCCTTTCCCACTCTACCACTTGACCTCCCATTAACAGCCTTGTGCATTTTCCCCTTGAAACTTACTGCAGCTCAAATTAAATAGCAAATGTGGTGTTAGAAAAACTCTCCTCCCATCCTCTTTTTTCTCCCTCAGTGACAGCTAAATTTTACCTTCCCTTTACCCTGAAACTGAGCCAAAACCACTGAGGGCTATAATTTCACACTAGGTTTATTTTTTTAAAGAAGCTAAATTAACTTCCTCATAACTTTCTTTCTCTTTCTTCTACGCTTTCCTCTATGACATCTCCCAATACACCTTGCAGTTCTGAAATTCCTTATTTAAAGCAGAACCCAAAATGGAATCCAAAATATTAAGTAATTACTTTAGTGATTTTCTTTTTACCCTAAGGCTGATGAGGATTGTCTATATCAGGTTTCACACAACATCCAAAAGAAATGATGATGACCCTCTGTTTAGCTTGCTACAAACAAACACGAAGAGACTAGGGTTTTCTTTGTCTGTTTGTTTTTTAGAGATGAGGTCTCACCATGTTCCACAGGCTGGAGTGCAGTAACTATTCATAGGCATGATGATTGCATACTACAGCCTTGAACTTCTGGTCTCAAGGGATCCTCCTATCTCAGTCTCTCAAGTAGCTGACAAGCATATACCACCTTGCCTGGCTCACTGTTGCTATTTTAACCCAAGGAAGTTCCTCATTCTGCTTTTGGAAACCGTTCTCTACGGGTAGAATTTTAGCCACTGTATGTGTGTATATTTCTGTGTGTATCTACAAGAGAAGCTTAATATCTCTCCTTAAATCAGTAATATATTTTCTTTTTTTTATTATTATACTTTAAGTTCTGGGATACATGTGCAGAACGTGCAGGTTTGTTACATAGGTATACAAGTGATACAAGTGCCACGGTGGTTTGCTGCACCCATCAGCCCGTCAACTACATTAGGTATTTCTCCTAATGCTGTCCCTCCCCTAGCCCCCAACCCCCCAACAGGCTCTGGTGTGTGATGTTCCCCTCCCTGTGTCCATGTGTTCTCATTGTTCAACTCCCACTTATGAGTGAGAACATGTGGTGTTTGGTTTTCTCTTTCTGTGTTTGCTGAGAATGATGGTTTCCAGCTTCATCCATGTCCCTGCAAAGGACATGAACTCATCCTTTTTTAAAGGTTGCATAGTATTCCATGATGCATATGTGCCACATTTTCTTTATCCAGTCTATCATTGATGGGGATTTGGGTTGGTTCCAAGTCTTTGCTATTGTGAATAGTGCTGCAATAAACATACATTAGCATGTGTCTTTATAGTAGAATTATTTATAATCCTTTGAGTATATGCACAGTAATAAGATTGCTGGGTCAAATGGTATTTCTAGTTCTAGATCCTTGAGGAATTGCCACACTGTCTTCCACAATGGTTGAACTAATTTATACTCCCACCAACAGTGTAAAAGCATTCCTATTTCTCCACATCCTCTCCAGCATCTGCTGTTTCCTGACTTTTTAATGATTGCCACTCTAACTGGTGTGAGATGGTATCTCATTGTGGTTTTGATTTGTGTTTCTCTAATGACCAGTGATAATGAGCTTTTTTTCATATGTTTGTTGGCCACGTAAATGTCTTCTTTTGAGAAGTGTCTTTTCATATCTTTCACCCACTTTCGATAAAGTTGTTGGGTTTTTTCTTCCAAATTTAAGTGCTTTGTAGATTCTGGATATTAGCCCTTTGTCAGATTGATAGATTGCAAAAATTTTCTCCCATTCTGTAGGTTTCCTGTTCACTCTGTTGATAGTTTCTTTTGCTGTGTAGAAGTTCTTTAGTTTAACTAGATCCCATTTGTCTATTTTGGCTTTCGTTGCCATTGCTTTTGGTGTTTTAGTCATGAAGTCTTTGCCTATGTCCTGAATGATATTGCCTAGGCTTTCTTCTAGGGTTTTTATGTTTTTATGTCTTACGTTTAAGTCTTTAATCCATCTTGAGTTAATTTTTGTATAAGGTGTAAGGAAGGGATCCAGTTTCAGCTTCCTGCATATGGCTAGTCAGTTTTCCCAACACCATTTATTAAACAGGGAATCGTTTCCCCATTGCTTGTTTTAATCAGGTTTGTCAAAGATCAGATGGCTGTAGATGTGTGGTGTTATTTCTGAGGCCTCTATTCTGTTGCATTGGTATATATATATATCTGTTTAGTACCAGTACCAGGGTGTTTTGGTTACTGTAGCCTTGTAGCATAGTTTGAAGTCAGGTAGCATGATGCCTCCAGCTTTGTTCTTTTTGCTTAGGGTTCTCTTGGCTATACAGGCTCTTTTTTGGTTCCATATGAAATTTAAAGTAGGTGTTTCTAATTCTGTGAAGAAAGTCGATATTTGCTTGATGGGCATAGCATTGAATCTATAAATTACTTTGGGCAGTATGGTCATTTTTCACAATATTGATTCTTCCTATCCATGAGCATGGAATGTTTTTCCATTTGTTTGTGTCCTCTGTTATTTTCTTGAGCAGGGGTTTGTAGTTCTCTTTGAAGAGGTCCTTCCCATCCCTTGTAAGTTGTATTCCTAGGTATTTTATTCTCTTTGTAGACATTGTGAATGGGAGTTCACTCAAGATTTGACTCTCTGTCTACTATTGGTATATAGGAATGCTTGTGATTTTTGCACACTGATTTTGTATCCTGAGACTTTGCTGAAGTCGCTTATCAGCTTAAGGAGATTTTGGACTGAGACTATGGGGTTTTCTAAATATACAATCATGTCATCTGCTAACAGAGACAATTTGACTTCCTCTCTTCCTATTTGAATACCTTTATTTCTTTCTCTGGCCTGATTTCCCTGGCCAGATCTTCCAATACTATGTTGAATCAGAGTGGTGAGAGAGCGCATCCTTGTCTTTGCTGGTTTTCAAAGGCAATGCTTCCATCTTTTGCTCATTTAGTATGATATGGGCTGTGGGTTTGTCATAAATGGCTCTTACTATTTTGAGATACGTTCCTTCAATACCTAGTTTATTGAGAGTTTTTAGCATGAAGGGCTGTTGAATTTTATCAAAGGCCTTTTCTGCATCTATTGAGATAATTATGTGGTTTTTGTCATTGGTTCTGTTTATGTGATGGATTACATTTATTTATTTGCATATGTTGAACCAGCCTTGCATCGCAGGGATAAAGCCAACTTGATCATGGTGGATAAGATTTTTGATGTGCTGCTGGATTCAGTTTGCCAGTATTTTTTTTGAGGATTTTCAAATTGATGTTCATCAGGGATACTGGCCTAAAATTTTCATTTTTTGTTGTGTCTTTGCCAGGTTTTGGTATCAGGATGATGCTGGCTTCATGAAATGAGTTAGGGAGGATTCCCTCTTTTTCTATTTATTGGAATAGTTTCAGAAGGAATGGTACCAGCTCCTCTTTGTACCTCTGGTAGAATTCAGCTGTGAATCCATCTGGTCCTAGACTTTTTTTGGTTGGTAGGCTATTAATTATTGCCTCAATTACACAACGTGTTATTGGTCTATTCAGAGATTTGACTTCTTCCTGGTTTAGTCTTGGGAGGGTGTATTGGTCCAGGAATTTATCCATTTCTTCCAGATTTTCTAGTTTATTTGCATAGAGGTGTGTACAGTATTCTCTGATTGTAGTTTGTATTTCTGTGGGACCAGTGGTGATATCCCCTTTATCATTTTTTATTGCATCTATTTGAGTCTTCTCTCTTTTCTTCTTTACTAGTCTGGCTAGTTGTCTATCTATTTTGTTGATCTTTTCAAAAAATCACGTCCTGGATTCACTGTCTCTATCTCCTTCAGTTCTGCTCTGATCTTAGTTATTTCTTGCCTTCTGCTAGCTTTTAAATTTGTTTGCTGTTGCTTCTCTAGTTCTTTTAATTGTGATGTTAGGGTGTCAATTTTAGATCTTTCCTGATTTCTCTTGTGGGCATTTAGTGCTATCAATTTTCCTCTAAACACTGCTTTAGCTGTGTCCCAGAGATGTTGATACATTGTGACTTTGTTCTCATTGGTTTCAAATAACTTATTTCTGCCTTCATTTTGTTATTTACCCAGTAGTCATGCAGGAGCAGATTGCTCAGTTTCCATGTAGTTGTGTGGTTTTGAGTGAGTTTCTTAATCCTGAGTTCTAATTTGATTGCACTGTGGTCTGAGCAACTGTTTGTTATCATTTCCATTCTTTTGCATTTGCTGAGGAGTGTTTTCCTTCCAATTATGTGGTCAATTTTAGAATAAGTGTGATGTAGTGCTGACAAGAATGTATATTCTGCTAATTTGGGGTGGAGAGTTCTGTAGATGTCTATTAGGTCTGCTTGGTCCAAAGCTGAGTTCAAGTCCTGGATATCCTTAGTAATTTTCTGTCTCAATATTCTTTCTAATATTGACAGTGGGGTGTTAAAGTCTCCCACTATTATTGTGTGGGAGTCTAAGTCTCTTTGTAGGTCTCTAAGAACTTGCTTTATGAATCTGGGTGCTCCTGTATTGGGTGCATATATATTTAGGACAGTTAGCTCTTCTTGTTGCATTGATCCCTTTACCATTATATAATGCCCTTCTTTTTCTCTTTTGATCTTTGTTGGTTTAAAGTCTGTTTTATCAGGGACTAGGATTGCAACCACTGCTTTTTATTTTTTCTTTCCATTTGCTTGGTAAATTTTCCTGCATCTCTTTCTTTTGAGCCTATATGTGTCTTTGCAGGTGAGATGGGTCTCCTGAATACAGCACATTGATGGGTCTTGACTCTTTATCCAATTTGCCAGTCTGTGTCTTTAAATTGGGAGCATTTAGCCCATTTACATTTAAGGTTAATATTGTTATGTGTGAATTTGATCCTGTCATTATGATGCTAGCTGATTATTTTCCCATTAGTTATGCACTTTCTTCATAGCATTGATAGTCTTTACAATTTGGCATGTTTTTGCAGTGGCTGGTACCGGTTGTTCCTTTCCATGTTTACATAGTGCTTCCTTCAGGAGCTCTTGTAAGGCAGTCCTGATGGTGACAAAATCTCTAAGCATTTGCTTGTCTGTAAAGGATTTTATTTCTTCTTCTCTTATGAAACTTAGTTTGGCTGGACATGAAATTCTGGGTTGAAAATTCTTTTATTTAAGAATGTCGAATATTGGCCCCCACTCTCTTCTGGCTTGCAGGGTTTCTGCAGAGAGATCAGCTGTTAGTTTGATGGGCTTCCATTTGTGGGTAACCTGACCTTTCTCTCTGGCTGCCCTTAACATTTTTTCCTTCATTTCAACCTTGGTCAATCTGATGATTATATGTCTTGGGGTTGCTCTTCTCAAGGAGTATCTTTGTGGAGGTCTCTGTATTTCCTGAATTTGAATGTTGGCCTGTCTTGCTAGGTTGGGGAAGTTGTCCTGGATAATATCCTGAAGAGTGTTTTCCAATCTGGTTCCATTCTCCCTGTCACTTCCAGGTACACCAATCAAACATAGGTTTGGTCTTTTCACATAGTCCCATATTTCTTGGAGGCTTTGTTCATTCCTTTTCATTCTTTTCTCCCTAATCTTGTCTTCACACTTTATTTCATTAATTTTATCTTTAATCTCTGCTATCCTTTCTTCTGCTTGATCGATTTGGCTATTGATACTTGTGTATGCTTCACAAAGTTCTTGTGCTGTGTTTTTCAGCTCCATCATGTCATTTATTTCTTCTCTAAACTGGTTATTCTAGCTAGCAATTCATCTAACCTTTTTTCAAGGTTCTTAGCTTCCTTGCATTGGGTTAGAACATGCTCCTTTAGCTCGGATGAGTTTGTTATTACCCACCTTCTGAAGCTTGCCTCTGTCAATTCATCAAACTCATTCTCCATCCTGTTTTTTTCCCTTGCTGGTGAGGATTTGTGATCCTTTGGAGGAGAAGAGGCATTCTGATTTTTGGAATTTTCAGCCTTTTGTGCTGGTTTTTCCTCATCTTCATGGATTTATCTACCTTTGGCCTTTGATGTTGGTGACCTTCGGATGGGGTTTCTGTGTGGACGTCCTTTTTATTTGATGTTGATGCTATTCCTTTCTGTTTGTTAGTTTTCCTTCTAACAGTCAGGCCCCTCTGCTGCAGGTCTGCTGGAGTTCGCTGGAGGTCCACTCCAGACCCTCTTTGCCTGGGTCTCACCAGCAGAGGCTGCAGAACAAGAAAGATTGCTGCCTGTTTCTTCCTCTGGAAGCATTGCCCTAGAGGGGCACCTGCCAGATGCCAGCTGGAGTTGTCCCATATGAAGTCTGTCAACCCCTGATGGAAGGTGTCTCCCAGTCAGGAGGCACAGGGGGGCAGGGACCCACTTGAGGAGGCAGTCTGTCCCTTAGCAGAGCTTGAGCACTGTGCTGGGAGATCTGCTGCTCTCTTCAGCGCTTGCAGGCAGGAACGTTTCAGTTTGCTGAAACTGTGCCCACAGCCACCTCTTCACCCAGGTGCTCTTTCCCATGGAGATGGGAGTTTTATCTATAAGCCCCTGACTGGGGCTGCTACCTTTCTTTCAGAGGTGCCCTGCCCAGAGCGGAGGCATCTCGAGAGGCAGTCTCGCTACAGTGGCTTTGCAGAGCTGCAGAGGGCTCTGCCCAGTCCGAACTTCCCAGAGGCTTTGTTTAAAGTGAGGGGAAAACTGCCTACTCAAGCCTTTGTACTGGCAGACGCCCCTTTCCCCACCCAGCTTGAGCATCCCAGGTCAACTTCAGACTGCTGTGCTGGCAGTGAGAATTTCAAGCCAGTACGTCTTAGCTTGTGGGGCTCTGTGGAGGTGGGATCCGCTGAGCTACATCACTTGGCTCCCTGGCTTCAGCCCCCTTTCCAGGGGAGTGAAGGGTTCTCACTGACATTCCAGGTGCCACTGGTGTATGAGAAAAAACTCCTTGCAGCTAGCTCGGTGTCTGTCCAAATGGCTACCCAGTTTTGTACTTGAAACCCACGGACCTGGTGGCATAGGCACTCGAGGGAATCTCCTGGTCTGCGGGTTGCAAAGACTGTTGGAAAAGCATAGTATCTGGCAGGAGTGCACCGTCCCTCACGGCACAGTCTCTCACGGCTTCCCTTGGTTAGGGGAGGGAGTTCCCCAACCCCTTGCGCTTCCCAGGTGAGGCCACACCCCACACTGCTTCGGCTTGCCTTCTGTGGGCTGCACCCACTGTCTAACCAGTCCCAGTGAGATAAGCAGAATACCTCAGTGGAAATCCAGAAATCACCTGCCTTCTGCGTTGATCTCTCTGTGAGCTGCAGATGGAAGCTGTTCCTATTCGGCCATCTTGCCAGTCACTTCTAGTACTATATTTTCAGCCATCTGTAAGATTCTCACCTTACATTCCTACTTCTATTTTTCCCAAAGCATGTTAAATTTTTCAGATTGAAATCTTTATTTTTCTGACTTATTATCAGTCACATGATGCAAAAGACATTTTCCTCTTTTACATAAACTTTCTTAATACCTCCACAATTGATTATTTTATAATTTGTTTTTCCCCTGCTTTAAACTGGAATCCTGAGTAAATGCTAACCATCCTTTCTTTTCAGCTTTAAGTCTTCTTCTAATGCATTTGACAGTTTGTATACGGCTTCCTTCACATCACTGGGGATAAAGTCTGTCACTCTGGGGTTCAGACCCATGTGGATTATCCTAGTACTATGTATGGGAGGGCCTAAGCTTGATTTCTCAGCCAAAGAGGCTCAGACAAAAACATCTATACCTATCCTTTAAATATCCACTTTGACAAGTGACACTTTCATTCTACCAGGAAGAATCAATTGCCCATGTTAGGAAGCCTTAATGATTCTTTGATTACTTGTCAGGCTACTGTGTACAGATATGCAAACTGTGTAATGCAAGCCCCAAGGGACAACAGTTACCTAGGTTACAATGTGAATAGTGCCCTCTGGACTTACACAGTGGTGTACATTCTGCTCAAACATACATGGCAGCCGTTCAGTAGGAAACTTCTTTTCCCCTAATGTAAGTAGTTTTTATATCTTTATTGGATTTTTTTTTGCCTAATCGTTGTAATCAAGATCTTGTAAATTAAAAATCAGTGATGAAGACTGTCCATAAATCTTCCTATTTCTTAAGCCTACTTTCTTAAGAAAGTAAAGATATGCTTTTCCTATATTTTTATTATCCCTTAGAATAGATTTTGTTTTAAAAAGCGGGGATTTCTGGCAAGATGGCTGAATAGGAACAGCTCCGGTCTGCAGCTCCCAGCGAGATCGACACAGAAGACTAGTGATTCCTGTATTTCCAACTGAGGTAACTTGTTCATCTCAATGGGACTGGTTGGACAGTGGGTGCAGCCCATGGAGGGTGAGCTGAAGCTGGGTGGGGCATCGCCTCACCCAGGAAATGCAAGGAGTTGGGAGATTTCTCTTTCCTAGCTAAGGGAAGCCATGAGAGATTGTACTGGGAGGAATGGTACACTCCTGCCCAGTTATTGCACTTTTCCCAAGGTCTTCACAACCGTAGATTGAACAGGAGATTCCCTCCAGTGCCTGGCTCTGTGGGTCCCATGCCCATGGAGCCAGCAAGCTAAGATCCATTGGCTTGAAATTCTCGCTGCTAGCGCAGCAGTCTGAGACCAACCTAGGAAGCTGGAGCTTGGCAGGGAGAGGGGTGTCAGCCATTGCTGAGGCTTGAGTAGGTGGTTTTATGCTCACAGTGTAAACAAAGCCTCTGGGAAGTTTGAACTGGGTGGAGTTCACCACAGCTCAGCAAGGCTGACTGCCTCTCTAGGTTCCACCTCTGTGGGCAGCATATCTCTGAGCAAAAGCCAGAGGCCCCAGTCAGGGACTTACAGATAAAACCCCCATCTCCCTGGGACAGAGCAGCTGAGGGAAGGGGCAGCTGTGGGCACTGCTTCAGCAGACCTAAACGTCCCTGCCTGACACCTCTGAAGAGAGCAGTTGTTCTCCCAGCACAGCATTTGAGCTCTGATAACGGGCAGACTGCCTCTTCAAGTGGATCCCTGACACTCGTGTAGCCTGACTGGGAGACACCTTCCACAGGGGCCAACAGACACCTCATACAGGAGAGCTCTGGCTGGCATCTGGTGGGTGCCCCTCTGGGGCAAACTTCCAGAGGAAGGATCAGACAGCAATATTTGCAGTTCTGCAGCTTCCGCTGGTGGTACTCAGGCAAAAAAGGTCAGGAGTGGACCTCCAGCAAACACCAACAGACCTGCAGCTGAGAGGCCTGACTGTTAGAAGGAAAACTAACAAACAGAAAGGAATAGCATCAACATCAACAAAAAGGACATCCACACCATCTGTAGGTCACCATCAAAAACCAAAGGTAGATAAAACCACAAAGATGGGGAGAAACAAGCACAGAAAGGTGAAAATTCCAAAAACCAGAATGTCTCTTCTCCTCCAAAGGATCACAAATCCTCGCCAGCAAGGGGAAAAAAATTGGATGCATAATGAGTTTGACGAATTGACAGAAGTGGGCTTCACAAGGTGGATAATAACAAACTCATCTGAGCTACAGGAGCATGTTCTAACCTAATGCAAGGAAGCTAAGAACCTTGAAAAAAGGTTAGACAAATTGCTAACTAGAATAACCAGTTTAGAGAAGAACATAAATGAACTGATAAGGCTGAAAAACACAGCACAAGAACTTTGTGAAGCATACACAAATATCAATAGCTGAATCGATCAAGAGGAAGAAAGGATATCAGTGATTGAAAACCAACTTAATGAAATAAAGTGAGAAGACAAAATTAGAGAAGAAAGAGTGAAAAAGAATGACCAAAGCCTCCAAGAAATATGGGACTATGTGAAAAGACCAAATCAGCGTTTGATTGGTGTACCTGAAACTGATGGGGAAAATGGAACCAAGTTGGAAAAACATTCTCCAGGATATTATTCAGGAGAACTTCCCTAACCTAGCAAGGCAGGCCAACATTCAAATTCAGGAAATACAGAGAACACCACAAAGATATTCCTTGAGAAGAGCAACCCCAAGAAACATAATCATCAGATTCACAAAGGTTGAAATGAAGGAATAAATGTTAAGGGCAGCCAGAGAGAAAGGTTGGGTTACCCACAAGGGGAGGCCCATCAGACTAACAGCTGATCTCTCTGCAGAAACCCTGCAAGCCAGAAGAGAGTGGGGGCCAATATTCAACATTCTTAAAGAAAAGAATTTTCAACCCAGAATTTCATGTCCAGCCAAACTAAGTTTCATAAGAGAAGAAGAAATAAAAGCCTTTACAGACAAGCAAATGCTGAGAGATTTTGTCACCACCAGGTTTGCCTTACATGAGCTCCTGAAGGAAGCACTAAACATGGAAAGGAACAACCGGTACCAGCCACTGCAAAAACATGCCAAATTGTAAAGACCATCAATGCTATGAAGAAACTGCATCAACTAACAGGCAAAATAATCAGCTAGCATCATAATGACAGGATCAAATTCACACATAACAATATTAACCTTAAATGTAAATGGGCTAAATGCCCCCAATTAAAAGACACAGACTGGCAAATTGGATAAAGAGTCAAGACCCATCAATGTGCTGTATTCAGGAGACCCATCTCACCTGCAAAGACACACATAGGCTCAAAAGAAAGAGATGCAGGAAGATTTACCAAGCAAATGGAAAGAAAAGAAAAAGCAGAGGTTGCAATCCTAGTCTCTAATAAAACAGACTTTAAACCAACAAAGATCAAAAGAGAAAAAGAAGGGCATCATATAATGGTAAAGGGATCAATGCAACAAGAAGAGCTAACTATCCTAAATATATATGCACCCAATACAGGAGCACCCAGATTCATAAAGCAAGTTCTTAGAGACCTATAAAGAGACTTAGACTCCCACACAATAATGGTGGGAGACCTTAACACCCCATTGTCAGTATTAGACAGATCAATGAGACAGAAAATTACTAAGGATATCCAGGACTTGAACTCAGCTTTGGACCAAGCAGACCTAATAGACATCTACAGAACTCTCCACCCCAAATTAGCAGAATATACGTTCTTCTCAGCACCACATCACACTTATTCTAAAATTGACCACATAGTTGAAGTAAAACACTCCTCAGCAAATGCAAAAGAATGGAAATGATAACAAACAGTTGCTCAGACCACAGTGCAATCAAATTAGAACTCAGGATTAAGAAACTCACTCAAAACCACACAACTACATGGAAACTGAGCAATCTGCTCCTGCATGACTACTGGGTAAATAACAAAATGAAGGCAGAAATAAGTTATTTGAAACCAATGAGAACAAAGTCACAATGTATCAACATCTCTGGGACACAGCTAAAGCAGTGTTTAGAGGAAAATTGATAGCACTAAATGCCCACAAGAGAAATCAGGAAAGATCTAAAATTGACACCCTAACATCACAATTAAAAGAACTAGAGAAGCAACAACAAACAAATTTAAAAGCTAGCAGGAGGCAAAAAATAACTAAGATCAGAGCAGAACTGAAGGAGATAGAGACACAAAGAACCCTTCAAAAAATCAGTGAATCCAGGACCTGATTTTTTGAAAAGATCAACAAAATAGATAGACCACTAGCCAGACTAATAAAGAAGAAAAGAGAGAAGAATCAAATAGACGCAATAAAAATGGTAAAGGGGATATCACCACTGATCCCACAGAAATACAAACTACAATCAGAGAATACTGTACACAACTCTATGCAAATAAACTAGAAAATCTGGAAGAAATGGATAAATTCCTGGACAAATACACCCTCCCAAGACTAAACCAGGAAGAAGTCAAATCTCTGAATAGACCAATAACAGGTTGTGTAATTGAGGCAATAACTAATAGCCTACCAACCAAAAAAAGTCTAGGACCAGATGGATTCACAGCTGAATTCTACCAGAGGTACAAAGAGGAGCTGGTACTATTCCTTCTGAAACTATTCCAATCAATAGAAAAAGAGGGAATCCTCCTTAACTCATTTCATGAGGCCAGCATCATCCTGATACCAAAACCTGGCAGAGACACACAAAAAAAACGAAAATTTTAGGCCAATGTTCCTGATGAACATCAATTCGAAAATCCTCAAAAAAAATACCGGCAAACTGAATCCAGCAGCACATCAAAAAGCTTATCCAACACGATCAGGTTGGCTTTATCCCTGAGATGCAAGGCTGGTTCAATATACGCAAATCAATTAACATAATCCATCACATAAACAGAACCAATGACAAAAACCACATAATTATCTCAATAGATGCAGAAAAGGCTTTTGATAAAATTCAACAGCCTTCATGCTAAAAACCCTCAATAAACTAGGTATTGAAGGAACACATCTCAAAATAACAAGAGCTATTTGTGACAAACTCACAGCCAGTATCTTACTGAATGGACAAAAGCTGGAAGATTTCCCTTTGAAAACCAGCAAAGACAAGGATGCCCTCTCTCACCACTCTGATTCAACATAGTGTTGGAAGATCTGGCCAGGGCAATCGGGCAAGAGAAAGAAATAAAGGGTATTCAAATAGGAAGAGAGGAAGTCAAATTGTCTCTGTTAGCAGATGACATGATTGTATATTTAGAAAACCCCATAGTCTCAGCCCAAAATCTCCTTAAGCTGATAAGCAACTTCAGCAAAGTCTCAGGATACAAAATCAATGTGCAAATGTCACAAGCATTCCTATACACCAATAACAGACAAACGGAGAGTCAAATCATGAGTGAACTCCCATTCAAAAAGTCTACAAAGTGAATGAAACACCTAGGAATACAACTTACAAGGGATGTAAAGGACCTCTTCAAGGAGAACTACAAACCACTGCTCAAGGAAATAACAGAGGACACAAACAAATGGAAGAACATTCCATGCTCATGGATAGGAAGAATTGATATCATGAAAATGGCCATACTGCCCAAAGTAATTTATAGATTCAATGCTATCCCCATCAAGCTACCACCGACTTTCTTCACAGAATTGGAAAAACTACTTTAAATTTCATATGGAACCAAAAAAGAGCCTGCATAGCCAAGACAATCCTAAGCAAAAAGAACAAAGCTGGAGGCATCACACTACCTGACTTCAAACTGTGCTACAAGGCTACAGTAACCAAAACAGCATGGTACTGTTACTGAAGCAGATATATAGACCAACGGAACAGAATAGAGGCCTCAGAAATAATGCCACACATCTACAACCATCTGATCTTTGACAAACCTGACAAAAACAAGCAATGGGAAAAGGATTCCCTATTTTATAAATGGTGCTGGGCAAACTGACTAGCCATAGGCAAAAAGCTGAAACTGGATCCCTTCCTTACATCTTATACAAAAATTAACTCAAGATGGATTAAACACTTAAACATAAGACATAAAACCATAGAAACCCTAGAAGAAAACCTAGGCAATACCATTCAGGACATAGGCATGGGCTAAGACTTCATGACTAAAACACCAAAAGCAATGGCAACAGAAGCCAAAATAGACAAATGGGATCTAATTAAACTAAGGAGCTTCTGCACAGCAAAAGAAACTATCATCAGAGTGAACAGGCAACCTACAGATGGGGAGAAAATTTTTGCAATCTATCTATCTGACAAAGGGCTAATATCCAAAATCTACAAAGAACGTAAACAAATTTACAAGAAAAAAAACAACAACCCCATCAAAAAATGGGTGAAGGACATGAACAGACACTTCTCAAAAGAAGACATTTATGCAGCCAACAAACTTATGAAAAAATGCGCATCATCACTGGTTATTAGAGAAACACAAATCAAAACCACAATGTGATACCATCTCACCCCAGTTAGAATGTTGATCATTAAAAAGTCAGGAAACAACAGATGCTGGAGAGGATGTGGAGAAATAGGAATGCTTTTACACTGTTGGTGGGAGTATAAATTAGTTCAACCACTGTGGAAGACAGTGTGGTGATTCCTCATGGATGTAGAACTAGAAATACCATTTGACAAAGCAATCTTATGACTGGGTATATACCCAAGGAATTATAAATAATTCTACTATAAAGACACATGCACACATATGTTTATTGCAGCACTCTTCACAATAGCAAAGTGTTGGAACCAACCCAAATCCCCATCAATGATAGACTGGATAAAGAAAATGTGGCACATATACACCATAGAATACTATGCAGCCATAAAAAAGGATGAGTTCATGTCCTTTGCAGGAACATGGATTAAGCTGCAAACCATCATTCTCAGCAAACTAACACAAGAAGAGAAAACCAAACGCCTCATGTTCTCACTCATAAGTGGGAGTTAAACAATGAGAACACATGGACACGGGGAGGAGAAAATCACACACTGGAGCCTGTTAGGGGGTGGCGGACTGGGGGAGGGATAGCATCAGGAGAAATACCTAATGTAAATGACAAGTTGATGGGTGCAGCAAACCAACAATTCACATGTGTACCTATGTAACAAACCTGCATGTTGTGCACATGTACCCCAGAACTTAACATAAAATAAATTTTAAAAATCATAAAGCTATTGAGATGATGAAAAATAAAAGATAGTGTTACCCTTAGTAAATAAAACTGAGTTGTAAGAAAGGAGAGTTATTTGTTTGTTTGTTTGTTTTGTTTTTTTTTAGTAGAGACAGTGTTTCACCATGTTGGCCAGGCTGATCTCGAACTCCTGACCTCAAGTGATCCACCCGCCTTGGCCTCTCAAATATTGGGATTACAGGCATGAGCCACCGTGCCCGGCCAGAGGGGAGAGTTATCAATAGGAGGCAAAACAGAGTCATCACACCAAAAATGCATTAAACAGAGTCATATATTTATTTCAAAACATTAAGTTGACTTCCCATTAATAAATACTTTAACACTGAGTGTAGAAAAACTTGTGCATATTCTATAAAGATAATTTATTAAAGAATCAGAGAAAAAGACAGTTCTTTACCTCTAGGCTATTGATAAAACCATCTGGGAGTGGGAACAGCTTCAGGAATGTTACAGGGGAATTGAGGGAGGGCAAGAGAGGATTTGATAAAATGAGGAAAAATGTTCTACTCTCCTTTCTTTCCTGGAGCCTTAAAATTAAAAATCTGGAATTGAAAAATATACTTTCACACACATATCTGCTTCAATGGGTGCTGTCTTTCTCAATTTTGGAGAAGAATCACTAGTTAGTGGTCAGGGTCAAAAATTGCAAATAAGTTCCCAATTTTAGTCTAGGTTAGATCACTCTGGTTAATCATAGGGCCATGATGCCCTCAGAACTCAAGCAGGAGCTGCTGCTACTTGTGCTTAAAGCTGAGGCACGAACGCAATATCATTTACTGGAGAACTGAAGATGCTGCGCAATGCTAACAGCCCCTCTCAGAAGTTCTGTGTGGCTCTGAGTCCTTACAGTGCAGTTGTTGTATTAACCCATCATCCAGTGAGCTGGCCAGTAGTTCAGCCCCTCCACTTGCTGCAGCTGCCGCAAGACACATTCACCAGGCAGTTGCCCAGGCCTCTCACCCATGGGGGGAACACATCTGGCCACTTTTTTTTTTCTGTAAACCTCAAATGAAACAGAATCTCACAGATGTGGGGTCCCCCTCCTAATTGTAATAAACGTTAGAGAAATGCTCCAGAAAGGAACAAAGGGAGACCCTCTCAGATCAGCCTAAAACCAGAGTGGAATAGGGCTCCTCTGGGCGGTTTAAGGGCACAGAAAGGACCCTCAGCTACTCCTGGCCTCCCCAGGTCTCTTTCCCAGAAGACACAACTTTCCAGGCTGCCAAAAGTAATAGAAGTCAAAACCCTCAAAACCACCACTGCTCTCGGGAAGTTTTTGAGTAGGATGAGGAAGAAAGAAGAGAGCCCTCCTTCATTTTGTTACACGATCTCAAGGCCAAGAGCAAGTAGAAGATGTCTAAAGAGAACAAAAGAGGTTTCTTCCTGGTACTGTACTACAGATCAGCAACAGTTTCACAGGGAGGCGTTGGCTCAGGTTCTGGTACATTTGAAGATAACTGAAGGCCAAGACTTAGCCAAGGAAGGACACCAGCAGAACAACTAGATACACTATCACTACTGCGAGTGTTAGAATCATGGGGCAGATTTTTTTTTTTTTTAAGCTAGGGGGACCTCAGGAATCTACTAGTTGAATTTCTTCATTTTCCAGAAGAGGCCCTGAGGCCTGGAGAGGGCAAGCAGCCTACTGAGGCTGCACAGCTTGTTATATCTGCTTGGGGGTCATGGATAGGGGCAGAGGGGCTGCAGTGAGCAATACAATGCAGGGGAACCTTGCACACCACATGGTGAGTTACATTCAGACCCCCCTGCAAATGAAAACTTCCCACCCCTGGGCTGTTTCCCGTTGATTTGTCACAGAAGTGGACAGGTCCTGGACTGAGCTTGTCCATGGGCTTCCCTCAGGAGGGGAGGAGGAATGCAGGAGTCTCTTTACTTCCCAGTTCGGGAGGCCATCTGGATGGCTCTGATCCACTCTGTGCGCTCCTTGGGGGTGGCTGCTTGCAAGAAATAGTGCACTTCATCTGCTGTGATGATCTCAAAAAGGTTCTCTTCCTCACTCTTCCTGCCTGGGGAAAGAGAAGGCAAATGGCAGCACGCACAGGCATCAGAAAGACCACTTGCTCCACCCTCCTCTGCAAGCCATGAAATCTCTGTTTTCTTCGTGTTCTAAGGAAATTGACTATGTGGCTTTCAAACATACAAACAAGGTATGATTATAGGATAATTCATTGCACAGTTATATACATAGTATTGATAGAGTAGATACATAGTATGACTGTGTGTATATATATATTTTTAAGAAATAGGTAAAACACTTAAGGAGAAACATTTTCTTTCATAGTTTACAGGCAAACTAAATTTCTCACCTTTGTATAGCAACAGCGTTTAATGAGTAACCTCTAATAGTTTCTAATGGGTACCTTCCCTCTGCTCATAATATAAATCAAGGGTTGCTCCTGATATCTACCTATCTATCTGTCTTTCTGTTAATATAGATTTGTATTTATAATATATATTTATATATTTATATTTATAATACAGATGTGTGTGTGTATATATATATATGTTTATATACATACACAAAGCCAGACCTACCAACAGTACCACAAGTTATAGCCTGAACTGTTTTTCATCAAGCACTAAGTCAGAGTTCTGCTGAAGACTAAAAGGCAATAACCTGGCCAATACTGTGACAAGATTTAAAACATCACAAATCAAATAAAGAACCAGCATGCTCCCTGCCCTAAAACCAAAGTATAATTCTAGGTGGTGGGAGTGGAGGTGGGCAAATTCAGGCACAGTAAAACTCTAGGCATTTGCAGTTATGATGTTTTCCTGTCAGCCTTTATCATACTACAAACCAAAATGTCAGGACAAAACCAGGGTTTGGGATGTCAAAACCACATCACCCCAGAGATACAATTTGTCCTCAGCACCTGAGAAGTCAAACTACACCCACGTGGTTATTCCATGCACCAAATCATAGCCTTGTGGTCTGGGGTCCTCTAGTGCAACCCCCTCACTGCTCTTCTTCTCAGCCATTGTGAAGTGATAGAGTTTTCCCAGCATTGCTCAGGGACTTGCTTGAGGCATCCACAAAGCCATCCAACTCCCCAAGGCCTGGAGAGCCTGGACAGCAGTTGGGAGACAAAAAATAACTCTGGTTTCTCCAAGGTTTTCAGACAGTAAATTCATTCCTGCTTTTTTTTTTGAGACAGAGTATTGCTCTGTCACCCAGGCTGGAGTGCAGTAGCACAATCTCAGCTCATTGCAACTTGCCAAGCTCAAACAATTCACAGGCATGTGCCACCATGCCCAGCTAATTTTTGTATTTTTAGTAGAGATGGGGTTTCACCACGTTAGCCAGGCTGGTCTCGAAATCCTGATCACAAGTGATCTGCCCTCCTCGGCCTCCCAAAGTGCCGGGATTACAGGTGGGAGCCACCATGCCTGCCCCATTCCTGCTTATCCTGATTAATTGATTGATTGATTAATGTTGGCCCAGGATGTCCAGGTGTGGGAGGGGAGTCTGAGCAGACCCACCTCTCTCACACAGAAATTCATCTTACCATTTGAGTTGCTCTCCACTGAAGTCACCACACAGCCTCTCAAGTGAATTGCTCCCAGGGGATCTTCTGCCTAAAGAAGAAAGGAGTTGTTCATTATGTTTCCAAAATGCAGAGTATAGATAGACCTCATCCTCTTGGTGAAAAAGCCAGACTCACTCTAATATAGATCAGGGCCCCCCAAAATAAGTAAGAGCAGAAGGAGATTAAAGAAAAACTGCTGACAGATCTAAGGTCCTTCCAGATCCTCCACACCCTGCTTCAGTGGGGCCAGGAGGCTCAATGAGAAAATGCAAGACGATCTGGACTTCAATCTGGAGAAAAGTGACAGGAGAGGTGGAGACACTGAGGTCACTGTATCCCACTAAAAAAGAGCTACATGTTTCCAGAGCTCTTTGGTCCCATGCACCTGATGCAGCAATATAACCACCCAGGGGAAGTCAAATAGCCCAGTGCTGCAAGCGGAGGGTGAGCACCCTACCCAGAGTTGTCTTCATGCTTTAAAAGTGGTTCATTTTATGGTGGAAAAAGTCCTCTTCGACAATCAACAGCCCAAATTGCTGGACTTAAACAATACCCTCATCCAAGTTGACCTGGATGAGGAATTATCACCTTTATGCATATTAAACCATGGACTGATTTAATTCCCCTGAAAATATCAGATTGGGGAAAAATATGTTGAGTTGACCAAATAAATTATAATATAGTGATATTTTGTTCCATCCCTAAGCTTATACTGACCTCAGAGGCCCAAGATCTCAGATCTTTGCATTGAAAGGGGATAGAAAAAGGTAGAGGAGAATGGGAGAAAAAAAAGTGGGCCAGTAAAGAGAAAAAGGGGATATCAACAGAGTAGAGAGGGGAATAGGAAGCCCAGATTATAAATGCAGTGGATTTATTTATTTGAATGGATTTATGAACCACAGGACCTTACCCCAGCAGGGTCATAGTAGTGCAGGTAGGCAGGGTCTTCTCTCAAGATGAACTTCCTCACTTTCCAGTTTTTCCTTCTATGCCCCTGTATCCAGGATCAACATTAAAAGAAGGGATGGTGAATTCCCAGCATCACTCTGTACAAACAATACCTACAGAATAATTATTTGCTGAATTGAGAAAAGAAAGAGAAAATGAAATACTAACTCCAGGATAACAATATCCCGGCCTAGGTCTTTGTCAGGGAGATAGTGCTACAGCCAATAAATAATATGGATGTTATTAGATCGAAGAGGTGGATTAAATTATTTCTAATTATTGTCTTCCAGTTTTAGTATGATATAAGGCAGTACTAGGTACAATGTGCTGTGTTAGGTAATGTAGGGGGAATAAAGAGGTTTAAGATGCCCTGATCTTTAAAGAGTTTATGACCTATGTTGAAATATAAAGTAGCAAATGCCCAAATCAAATAATTGGTATAGATAATGGATTCCAAAGGCATTAAGTAGGGAATATGTAATTGTGGGCTTTGGATATCAAAGAAAGCCTCATAAAGACCTGCACTTATCCATGTGGGACACAGGATTTAGATGGGCAAGACAAAGGTGGGTAGGAGGACAACTGACAACACAAGAGCAGAAGTGGGAATGCAAGAGACATACTCAGGTGTTGATGAATAAGACCAGTCTGGCTAGAATGTAGGGTTCATGAAGAGTAGCAGAGGCAAGGTGGGAAAAGTGGACAGAGATTTAGTGGAAATAAAAGGCAGGGTTTGTTGTTGATGGCTTTTGAGTAGGAAGTGAAAGAATTACAATTACATTTTAAGAAGATTAATATGGTGACAAAGTGCAGGATGGACCAGCTGGCTAGATTAAAGGAAAGCCCAGGAAAAGATGGTAAGTAAAAAAGAATTCATTAGGGAAGGATCACAATAATCCAGGCATAAAATCATTAGGAACTAAACCTTAGGTAGCTGCAGTAGGAATGGAAATGCCTGTTGCTGTAACAGACATGATGAAGGAAGAAGAAGAGGCGGAAGAGGAGGAGGAGGAGAAAGAAGAAGAAGAAGAAGGAGGAGGAGGAGAAAAGGGGGAGGAAGGTAGGAGGAAGGAAAGAGGAAGGAAGAAAGAAAGAAGAAGAAGAAAGAAGGTGACGACTTGGCCTTTCCCAACAGAATTAAACACTGACATTGTCTAGACTGAGTTTTAAGGGCAGGATTTGTGTCTTGCTTATCTTTGTTTCCCAGGGCCACAGTGCCTGGCATATAGCAGCTGCTTCATATCTGTTTGTACTTGCTGTGAGTTACCAAGTTATTTCCATTAGTGTGTAGCAGATTTTAAACTGTCATGGTAAACCTGACTCTATGATTTCCCACAGGAAATTCAAATGACTTAACTCCAGAAGCCAAAAATAGTATTATATTAAAAGATACGGAGTTTCTATCTTGCCAATACAAGAAATATTATTTGTAATTTCTAAAGCACCACATATTGGCAAGCATGTATACAAATTTTCCAACATTTTTCATTTTACTTGTGCTGAAAGCAATAAAACATGTGTGGTCTTAGCAAACAGTGCCTCCTTCATAAATCCAGAGGTGCTTCAAGGAAGCTTTCAGAAATGGGCCTAAGTTTTTTGGCAAAACATTTGGTGAAGGAACTCACTTCCAAAGAACTTTCTACTTCCTGAAGGATGGAGCTGGAACCCCTGCAGAGTCATATGCAAGGACAGAAAATATTCCTACCTGCTATATCATGTCCAAAATGGCTTTTGCAAAGCATAGACTTCCAAAAGTATACATTGCTGCTCTTTGCCTTAACTAATGTTGCCCTTCAGAATAACGACACTAAAGTTGCCACCCCATACCATTTCCTCTTCACTGACAGACACACATGTCATGCTGTATTATGCAATTGCTGGACAATCACCAACTTATTATGAGCCAATGGAAGAGGAAGGTAACAGGAGGATGTGAAATCAGCCAACCACCATATTCCCTTTAAGCCCTCACTGACATCACAATGTGACGTGTTGAAGAGTTGGAAGTTAGCAGGTACATTTCTGGTCATCTTTCACTTAATGAGCATTTTCTAAGGAGTATTAAGAAATGCATGTATGCCTCAGGTTTCCAAGAATTGTTACTGAACTGTCAAAGCCATCTACTTATATTTGACTTAATTAGCTCCCCAAGTGTTCATTGCCTATGATAAATCAAGAAGGATGCTGAACTCTGCAGCAGATACAAGAGAAGCATATATAACACATTGTTCCTCTCCCTCAAGGAATCTAAATGTGGTTGAGAATTAAACAAGCAGATGCTTTATTCATTGTCATAACAGAAACAATTATGTAAAAAGGGATTATACTGAATATAATCTAAGATCATTCATCCTCAAACTTGCTGCCAAGTAGGATTATTTATCCTGGGATGAGAAAATAATGGGGCAGGGATAATGGCCTCCAGTTAGCCACAGCTACTTCCCATCTGTGAGGCTTCCCATTATAACAAGCCTTCTATGAAGTTAATCCTGGCTAACTCCCAGCAGTAAACACAAGGGAGGCTTACTTTTGGAATTTTAAGAAAAAGTTTTTAAAATTCTGAAAATCCCTTGGGTGATTTTGATGTAAACTATGGTTACTAACCACTGAGCTAAGAGATTAGAAACATTAAGGGGAAGTGTCAATTCAAATCGAAGAGGTTTTTGCTCCCCAACCTCTGAAAAAAAATTCAGAGGAAAGAATATTGTAAAAGAACAAAATTCCTGAATGCACGTAGATTTCTGTTTTCTTCACATAAAAAGGAAGCTTCTAAGAAAGACTATTTAACTTGTATACTGATAATAGAATAAATTAGCTTTTAAGAAAAAGGCTGGCTCAGTGGTTCTCAGCTTTGGCTGCACATCAGAATCACTTGGGAGCTGTAAAAATCCAGAGGCTCTGATTAAATTGGCCTGGCATGCAGTTTTAACAGTTCCCTGGGAGATCCAAATGTGCACCAACCGAGCTAGCTAAGGCTAAATTGTACCTATCAAAGGCCAGACAAAGGAAGGCAAAGGAAAACACATAAGTTCAATCCTTGTCCCTATTGTCTTCAAAATACATCCAGACACTCATTACCCACACACAATTTTTGACCATCCCAGGTCTCCTACTGGGCTGCTTCACTGAGACGTGGCTCCAGTCCAGTCCCAACTTTATCTACTGTTAGCCTTCATCCTTGGCTTTCCAAGAGCCCCATTCTAGATTAGGGTTTGCCCAATCAACTAATTCAAGAAATAACTGATAACAATATAGAATTATGGAAGAAATCAACAAAATAAAGAAATTTCCTCCCAAGTTACTCTTCTTGTCTTAACAGCCACATTCCAGCACCTGCAATCAAAGAGCCAGGAACATAGGAATATTTGGCAAAACCAACGAGAAAGCAGCAGCGGGCAAACTGTCCGTAGGCAACTGCCCGAGCCTTCCCGGCATAAGGCTGGCTCTGCCCCATGCCTTTCTTTTAATCTAGCCAGCTGGTCACCCTGTCATAAAAAAATACTATAATAGTCCATGAATTCTTTATAAATTCTTGCCATATATTTCTTAGGACACTGTTCTCTTAAAACCTGATATGAAGGTAATTTTTCCATTCGAATGTCCCACTTCCCCCTGTGAAACTCAAAATCCATACCTATACCTCCTTTCAGCTATCCCAGCCCAGAGTCCCTCTTTATAAATGTAAATATGGGCTCTTCTCTGGTTCTTCCCTCCTTGCCCATTCCATTAATCACTAAGATGGACATTCAGGGTCCTAACATGAAATAAATCAGATCCCCCAGTCCCGTGGAGCCTATAGACAGTACATGGAAATCTCCTGATGGCAACAGATTCTCTCCATTATATACTGAGCAGCACTTTTAAGGCAGCTCACAGTGCAGCCAGGAAGGCAAGACCTTGGTCCTGCAAAGCAGCCTTGGCCTCTAAGATGCCTTGTGCAAGTATCAACTAGCTTCCCCCTGAATATTCTCATGTCTTCCTGCGACTTCCTCCACCAGGTACTGGTCCTGGCTTCCTCAGTCATCTTGGCCCCTGTCCATCTCTTACCTCTTGGCATCATATGCCTTGGCACCTGGTAACCGACTAGAGCTCCTCAGCACTCTCCAGCCCTTGCCTCCAAGACTGATGGTGGCCTGTACCTGTGGACACCTGGACATCCCCCCAGGACTCTGTCCATGCCCTCAATCTGCATTTGACTTTTGCCTGCTGTTCCTGTGAACTGGCCTCTGCATGCCCAGGTTTTGGTCTTGTCATGCCCTAAGCACAGACTGGAATGACTCTTCTTTGCTCTCAGTGGTGTACTCTGTTCCTCTTCTGGGTGTAGCCTGTTCCTGTTTTCCTGGTTGCTTTGAAGGGAGGAGGGACAGGTAAAATGGAAGTACTTTTACCATGAGACAGCTTTGTCTTTTGGATGGCATCTCTTAGACAATTTATCTCCTCCGGCCATATTTTTCTTGAAACACCTTTTTTTTTCCTATGATATTGATAAAAGAGGCATTTTCCTACTTTTAGGGACATCTTCTGCCCTGTCAAACTCAATCTTCCTGATCTAAAGCCACTTTGATATCTAAAGAGCTACTCATCTATCTTTCACTTTGTGGGTTTCATTTTCTGCTTGACTATTAACCAAACAAACCAAAAGTCACTGGGTAACTTAGAAACAAAAAGGACCTTGTAAAGGGAAAAGGCTAGATGGGAGCAGTTGTGGCCACTCACCTGCTTCAGTAAACATCCCTGCTTGATAATGACCCCTCTGAATTCTTCTTTCAGAATCACATCATCATCACTGGAATTCTCTTCACAGAAGAACCCACTGTCTGGCTGTTGGAAAATCAAACAGCAAGCTAACATCACCAGTCTTAGGCACATTGCAACTTGTGCCATCTCCATTCCCCCTCCCCTCCAGCCATGAGGGCAGCCTCCTCCTTTTTCCTCCATTCCTGTGTACATCCCAATCTGAACTTCAAAGGTCCTTGATGAGCGAGTTTCTCCTCCTCCTTTTACTTGCTTCCGGGGCTGTTCCTTTCTTGTCTCCACTCAGGTGTGATCTTGTCAATATCCTTTTATTCTGGAGGGTCTCCCAAGCTGTATCCTAACTTTAGCTCCATCTTCCTAACCAGGCACATGTCTGCCTTCAAAGCCTTCCTTCTCTTGGGATATCATGGTCACATCCTTGAAAGCAGGGCAGGCTAATTTCTCATTGGCAATACTATCACCAGCTCAACATTTGCCACTGAGCCCCCTCTTGGAGAAAAGTGACAGCATGTGTCCAGCCTCTTCCCCTGAGGTTATGAGGGAAGTGGGACTTGCTCAGCAAAAGTAGATGATGAATCAGACCGAGGAAGAGGAGCCACTGTGATGGGTATTTTTAGAATCCTGCATTGAAATGGCTATAAACGACCAGATCAAAGGACTGAAGAAAAAAAAAAAACAGACTGTGGAACTTCCCCTAAAGTGAAATGAAACCCTCTAGGGTGTTCACTTCATGTTTATAAGAAGAATGGTTCTCTTAGGTAACTTCCTAAATTCTGTGCTCTGATCCAAGATAGAAACAAAACTGCCAAAATCCCCCAAGAAATCCACCATTGCTCACATGGCCTAAGAACAGGTTCACATTGTATAATATAGTGTTTCCCAATCGTGGGTAAGCATACTGTGGGAGGTACACAAGATGACTGCAGGAAGTGACATCTGTGGACACATTTTGTATTAAGAGTCATGTGTTTTAACATACATTTGGAATAATGCACTTAATACATCAAACCTGTGATTTATAGACTCCTGTCTGGAAAGGAAGCTGCAGTAGGGCAGGATTTTTGCCTGTCCCTCCAGTACGCTTGTCTACGTGGCTGTATCTTCTTGTCTTAGAGAATGCTTGCCATGGACTAGGGTCTAAGACAGTTTTATAAATGAATTATTGCTTAGAATAAGAATAGATAGTTGGGAGGCAGAGGCAGGTGGATCACTTGAGGTCAGGAGTTCGAGACCAGCCTGGCCAACATGGTGAAACGCTGTCTTTACTAAAAATACGAAAATTAGCTGAGTGTGGTGGCGCATGCCTGTAATCCTAGCTACTCGGGAAGCTGAGACAGGAAAATCGCTTGAACCCGGGAGGCGGAGGTTGCAGTGAGCCGAGATGACACCACTGCACTCCAGCCTGGGTGACAGAGCAAGACTACATCTAAATAAATAAAAAATAATAATAAGTAAATAGGAAACAATAAACTTTAAAATGTCCTTTAAAAATTTTTTTTCAAGTAAACAGTAGTATCCTTTTATAATAACAAATTCACTTGGACAGGGCGAGTGTTGTAGAGAGGGCAGCTGTTGAGTTGGGAAATGCTGGTATAACAGAAGCTCTAAATGGGCCTGGGAGCTTCAGGTATTCCCTTGTTCTTCCTGGCTGACCTCCCTACCCGCTGCCTAACAGCGCTCTATAGATGTCTATGAACTGAAATCAATCTAGAATCTGCTCAGGGCAGCCTCCCTTACAGGAAGAAGAGATGGGGAGCTTTTCTTACAAAGTAGTAGAAGGCATCAGGGTTGTCCAGGAAAGGGTTTTCAGCAGTTCCATCCACTGCACTCTTGGACATGTCTCCAGCAGGCTGCAGATACCCCTCATTGAGCAGCGATGAAGCAATCATGAGGCCTTCCTGGCGATTCCTAACAGACTGGTTGGATACCAGCCAATCAATGACGCAGTTACCTAGATGGGACCAGCACAGGGAAGGTTAACTCTCCTTACCGAAGAACAAGCCCCTGACAATCACCCCTGAACTGACTCCAGCTCACCCACAGGTCTGACTTGTCTCGTCTCCCCTGTTATTTCAAGAAAGAGAAAACAAAATAAGTGGGATAGATACCCACTAGAAACAAACAAACAAACAAAAAACTATGTAAAGGGTTTTTAAGAACATCTACATGCTGCTTAAGAAGAAACACATGACCAGGTATGGTGGCACACCTGTTGTCCCAGCTACTCTGGAAGCTGAGGCAGTAGGATAGTTGAGCCCAGGAGTTCAAGACCAGCCCAGGCAACATAACAAGACTCCATCTCAAAAAATATGTACCCTAAAACTTAAAGTATAATAAAAAATAAATAAATAAAAACAAAAATAAAATAAAAAAATAATAACTTTAAAAATAAAAAAATAAAGTCTTTGTCTTAAAAAAAAGCAACACATGCATCAAAGAAATAGGTTTTACTAACCCACTCACTTATCCCATTGATGAACAAACATTTACTGAGCACCTACTCGATGCTAGGTACTCTACTGGGTGTTGGAGAAATTCCCTCAAGGAGTGTAAAAGGGCATGATGGGTGTAATAAATAAGTCTTGTAACAAGTGCTCTGCTATAAGTCAGTTGCGAGACTACTGGGTCAAATCTGAAGGTGTGAAAGAGGTGAAGGAGGTGAGAGAAGAGGGCTGTGCATCACCATCAGGAAAAGATTCATAGAGGAAGTGACACTGGGCAGAGGCTTAAAATATGAGTAGGCGTTTGCCAAGCATATGAAGCAGGATGCAGAGGAACCAGCACAAGCTGAGGGGGCAGCAGTGTGAACAGATGCACTCAGGCATAAAGCAGCCCCATGGGGCAGGGGAGGAGTTGGTGGAAAGAAGGCAAAAGGAAATAAGAGGAGGAGGGAGGTGAAGGGTGGGTGGGGAGAGCTTTGATGGCACAGTAAGAAATTTGGCTAATGGGAAATCATTTTAAGTTTTTAAATAGGAAATAATGTGATGGATATATGTCCTAAATTAAAATTTGATGACATCACCTGCACTGATTGTCATGACTTTGCAGAGTCTAGCAGGGACCTTGAGAAGTCATTTAAGCAATCTTCTGGTCAAGAGATGATTGCAAAGAGAAGAAAATGAAATTGACCCATACATTGGATTATTAGCAGGTTACAATGAAGCTTTGTATTAAAAACAGCATGTTTGTTCTTACAACAAAAAAAGATAGATATTTGAGGTGATGGATACACTAGTTACCACGATTTGATCACTGCACAATGTATATGTGTATCAGAACATTAATTGTGCCCCATAAATACGTACTATTATGTGTCAATTAAAAAAGATAAAAATAAAAAGCAGTGTGTTCCTTACAAATGTAGCCAACAAGGGAGTCAACATGACAGCCTGCCTGTCCTGTCATCCGGGCAAAAGCAGTAGGGATGCCACCCTCAAAACAGGAGTGACAGCAGTTGGATAGCGAGCCTTCCATGAATTTCATGTATGAAAGGCTTTTGCTCACTTTTCTTTCTCTACAAAGATAAACTAAGTGACACTGCATTTCTTCTTTTTATCTTCATAGCAGCCTGTGAAAGAGGCAGGGTGGTAATTGCAGTCCTCATTTTAAGGATAAGAAAATTAAGGCTCAGGGAATCTGAGTGATCTTAGGCCAAAGTTACAACTGCTCTGGGCTGTCACTTTTAAGTGTTCTAACCCTTGCATCCACGCTCACTCAGTGAGGCATGCTGAAGCTTGAAAGACAAGTTTGGTCTAGTCTGCCTGTCATCGGACATTTAAGGTCTTCCATCATGTGTCAGTACTGCTGGGTCCCAGTCTCTGCTACAGCCTTCATCTCCCAGCCGAGGCCACCTGACTCCCCCATGAAGGCTCTACCCATAGAAATGTCCAAAACCCACCCTGGCCTTCAACAAGAAGGATTTAAGAAGTACTAGCCCACCTGTAATCTTAGGGATTACAGGCCACTTTGAGAGGCCAAGGCAGGCAGATCACCTGAGGTTGGAAGTTTGAGACCAGTCTGGCCAACATGGTGAAACCCCGAATCTACTAAAAATACAAAAATTAGCCAGGCATGGTGGTGCACATCTGTAATCCCAGCTCCTCAGGAGGCTGAGGCACGAGAATCACGCTTGAACCCGGGCGGCAGAGGTTGCAGTGAGCCTGAACAACAAAAGTGAAACTCCGTCTCAAATAAAAAGAAGAGGAAGAGGAAAAAGGAGAAAAGAAGAATAAGAACAAGAGGAAGAAGGAGGAGAAGGAGAAGGAGAAGGAGAAGGAGAAGGAGAAGGAGAAGGAGAACAAGAAGAAAAAAACCAGCCCAATAGTCTGGGACTCAGTAACACATTACAGTGGAAATCAGTCTGACCTGGATTGGGTGCCCAAGTCTACATTGAAATGCCCTCCTGTTCCCTTTGCCCAAGGCTGTTGCAGTGACCTCGGTCCTGATAGAGTTGGGAACTTCCCTTGTTCTTGTCACTTTCTCATACCACCACCCACAGCTTGGTGTCTTGATCCCAAATCTCAGCCCTGCCTTGTCTGATGCTGGGCTGCTGCCTTGACTCTGAGGCTTATTCCCACGGGGGACTATCTCATCGTCAGTGATCAAAGCCTTTTCCCCTTAGCCTTGCTGATCCTGACCTGGACCAATTTCATGGATTATCTGTTGATGGCACATCCTCTTAGATTCCACATTTGCTGTATCAGCTCAGAGTTTTCTTCCTTTGATCTCTCCTGTCACCATAAGAAAGCCAGGCCTGGTATCTGACAAACTTAGTACCAAATTGTACATCCCATTTTGCTCCCCCTGATGAACCGTCAGCCCTACTAGGCTGGTCAGTTTCTTTTTCTAGATGCATATTCTGCACATGTCTGCCTCATAACTTTGTCCTCACCATCCTTTGCCCATCCTCTGCTCATCCTCTGCCCTGGCCCATCCTCTGCTCATCCTCTGCCCTGGCCCATCCTCTGCTCATCCTCTGCCCTGGCTCCTCATTAAAAATCCTCCTGTAAATATTTAATGAAATTCTACCCATCTTTCAGGGTCAAATTTGGGTACCACCTCCTATTCATCCCATCAACCCCTGAGTTCTTTCTCTTTTTTTGAACCCCTGGAATTGGTTGTACAGACATGTGACCACTTAAAACACAATAACCACTTGAGCTTGCACCATATAGCACTGAGTGTGTGCCAGGCACTACTCTACACACATAATGGCAAGCCTATGAGGTAGGTGCACTGTGATTATCCCCACTAAATAGACAGAGAAAGTGAAGCACAGAGAGGCTAAGTTATTGAGCCAAGGTTTTATAACTAGTAAGTTGCAGAGCCAGAATTTGAACCAAGGTGGTCTGGCTCTAAAGGACATGTTTTTAACCACTACACCATACTACCTAAACTCATAACACTTAATACCTGACCCTGTGCAGCCTCTGATAGCCCTAATATTGTCATTTAAAACTTACATTGTATGCCTTAATCCCTGTTTATTGTAGTAAGGGTTGCATCTTATCCAATTCTGTGTCTATTTCTAGCAAGTCTCAACATAATGCCATTTATTGAGAAAAAAAATCCTTTGATTGGAACGTTAGCTTGAACAAATGTTAACTTGAACAAATAAAGCTTGAACAAAATCGTTAGCTTGAACAACAAACTTCTTTCTATTTTCACTCTGTAGGAGCTTCATCCTCAGGCTCACCAGGCTGCATTCTGGGACCCCTTCCAACCCCCATACTTCATACCCCCACCTCACAGACGAGGCCGAAGGAGGACTCCATATCGCCTTCCCAGTCGCCCTATTTCAGGCCTGCAAGTGCTTTTACCTGTGAAGCAGTGATTAAAAATCTTCTTGTCCTTCTCTAGATTCAGTTCTTTTATTCCTTTTTCAGTGTCTTTCATGGACAAATATAAGGCACTGCACAGAGATAAAAAAGCAAACAAACAAACAAACAAAAAAAAACCCAGTTGGATGAGTGGGGAACATTTCAGAATGGTAAGTTCTCTCTGGGAGGTGAGCACAAGCTCCCCCACCCCAGGTATCCCCTGAGCTTAATCTCCCTCCATCAGATCATAAGTAGTGGAGGGGCAACATTCATATCTGCATAACTCTGTAGCCTGCACAGCGTTTAGCAATGCTGGAAGGTACTTAACGTCTCCTAAATTCTCTTAAATTCATTCAGCTGTTTGTTGATTTAATTATTGGTTCCTGGGATGGAAATTTGCCCCAATTTAGAGGTCAAAGATGAAAGGTTCCTAGGGTCCATTTTCTACACATTCTACATCTTTAATGTCCCTCAATCCTCATATCCCAATTCTTTAATGCTCTTCAAGGGACCATCTGTGGTAGACATTGGCCTTTAAGAAAGTGAATGCTTCCACTAAGCATATGTCTTATCTTTAAAATGATGAGATATAAGGCAAAATGGTGAGAAGTTCTCATTTTTGTCCTTGAAGTAATACATCAAAGATAGCCTTACGAGAGAAGCTCTAAGCAACAAAACAGAAGGCCCCTTCCATGTAGCCTGTGGCTCCCTATAGCCCGAGCATTTTTCCCACTTAGTTCTGACAGCACTGGCCAGGACTGTGGTCACTCGATGGCCCCCATCAGCAGCTGCAGCTGCACTAGGTGCCTCGTTGGAGCTCTTTGCCAAAAAGCTTTTGTGGTGAAGGAGGCTGCTGAGTCTCACTCAGCTCAGTTCACAAACTTTGTCAAACTCCTGTGCCATGCCAAGTCTTGTGTCGTCATGCAGAAGTGCAGAAGGGATGTCTTTAGGCTCCTCTCAGTGCTTCTCCCCACCCCACCCTCCATAAAAACAAAATTCTTGTTGGACATTTTAAGCAGCTGGCATGGGATTCTTCTCAACAGGGCTCCTGCTTCAGGGAATGCTCAACAAAAAAGCAAAACTACCAAGAAGAAAGTGACTCCTAGAGAAAGGGGCTCATGTGACCAAAGATGTGAGATACTCAGGAAGGAAGAAATCCCATTCCCAACCTCTGTCAGGAGCTAGATCTTCCTGTTGGCCTCTGACCACCTTTAGTCTACAACTATCACCTGCAATTCCAAGCCAACCAACATCAGCGGCCATTAAACTGGGTCAGGACATAAATGGCTTCCACCAGGATGGGTGTTTACCCTGGCTGGCCCTTCCTGAGTGTGTAAATGAATGAACTTGAACTTGAAACCTTGCTTGCTTGGATGCATAGCCCCTGCTTTTTCCTTTCTACCTAAAGATCCTAAAGCTTTATTTCAAGACTGACTTATTATGGCTATGTTATAAATGCAATGATGATGTTTCTTTCTCTCTCTCTCTCTCTCTCTCTCTGGTACCCAGTATGAGGGAATTTGTACTCCATTCGCCTCCTCTCCTCAGCTAGTAGGCCTTGGATCACTCCTTCAGACCCAGGTAAACATTTTAGTACACCAAGTGCCAGTATTGACCTGGCAGAGTGGATACAACATCAGAGGTGGTCAAAGCAAGCCTTGGAGCAGGATCTGCTATGTTTGTGTCTTTCAGAAGGAATGGGTAAAGAGAAGTAAACACAGAAAATCACCCTAAGTCAATGGTTTCTGGCAGTCGAATGGACCTCCTGGTAGATTTCCTGGCAAATTTCTGGCCTCCTTCAATGCATTTAATGGCCTTCTTGATATCCCGAACCCAGGCATCTCTCTCCTCCAGGAAGGCTGCCTGGAAGAAGTGGTCCTGCTGTTTGGTCGTAGTGATCTTAAACACAAACTGAAAATCAAAACACATCCCATTAGAAATGGCTTATTTCAAGGGCTTGGGGCCCCTCATGAAGCAGAGGCCATTGGCCTAAACCTCTTCTAGCCAAGAGAAACCCAAATGCCAGGGTGGGGTGTGGGTGGTGGTGAGAGGGACCAGCCCAAGGAGCACCACCCACATTGTAGGCAATGCTTGCACCAAAAGTTGAGTGCCTGACCAGGGGTTCACGGCAGCTCATGATGTCAACTTACCATCCTTTTGCCAAAGTCTTGACAAGGGCTAGTCAGAGTGCTCCCTTTCAGCGGGATCATTCCTTTGGGGCTGTTGTCACTTTTCTTCTTATAGAATTCAATTCCATCTTCTAACAATACAACCCACATGGGTTTCCACGTATTGAACACGCTCCCCTGTAATGACAACCAAAAGAGCTGAGATGGACAGGGCTCTTTGCAAACTGTATTTTCCTCCTAACAGGAAAGATTCTATATTTACTTACAGTTGGTTTTTAAAATGTTTGGTGACATCATCTCTGTTCCTTCAACACAAATCCTCTCAAATCAGTGGCTACTTGGGGAGCCATTCTCATTTCTACTCCCGGCTCTTTGCTCAAGCCAACCCCATTCTCTGGAATACTCCTCCCCAACTCTGCCCTCTCCTCTTTCTCACCTTGCCTAACCTCTCCATATCCTTCAAGGCTCAGCTTAGCCACCTCATTGATGAGGCTTCCCGAACTGCACAGACCCACCGTGATCTCAGGGGTGCCTCCTGCTTTTCTCACTGATTGTGCCATACAACCTGGAACTTTGTTATATATTTCCTCATGTAGTTCTTTAATTGTCTTCAGTATGGTTATCTTTCCTTCTCCATGGCAATTACATTATCAGGTACTTTCCTTGGTTCATGATACTGAGCACACAGGGGATGTTCATTAAAATAATACAAAAGAAGATCATTTCCCAAACTGCCAAATGCTAGCAGCTATCACACTTCATTGAAAAGAGCAACCAATCCTTCTTATTATCTACTTCATCCCCACCCAAACCCTTTCCTGCTATGATTTCCCCTGCACCTCCCTTTTCATGTCGGGTTCACACCATTAAGAACCACAAAGGACCCACCTCACAGAAACATTCTCACCCCCGCTATGTGTAAGAACTGCCGGCAGATCTTGCTTCTGAAACTACATCTGACACATGATCTTAGAGTATAGTTCTTTCTTTTTTTGAAGTCTTTATTTATTTTTACATGTTTAATTGCCTATTTTGAGGAGAAAAATACAAAAATGATAATTATTGGTGTTCGGTTGGAAGGGTTTTCATTTTTCAGGGTTTTAGAACATTTCAATTCTTGGGAGGGTTAGTCAGAATTGGAGAAAGAATTAAATATTCTAAAGCCTAGTGGTTTTCAAAATATGGCCTGCAAACCAACTAATCTGACTCACTGAAGACACATATAAATAAAAGCTGGTTTTACCCCAAATCTGCCTTCACTTACAAGCTCTGGTAACACTGCTGAGATGGTTGGCTGAATCTTAGATGATCTAGCTCAAGCACTCTCTCTCTGTCTCTTTTTTTAAATTTTATTTTTATTTTTATTTTTTTGAGACAGGTTCTCCCTCTGTCACCCAGGCTGGAGTGCAATTGCATGATCTCAGCTCACTGCAAGCTCCGCCTGTCAGGTTCAAGCAATTCTCCCACCTCAGCCTCCCAGGTAGCTGGGATTACAGGTGTGCACAACCACACCCAGCTAATATTTATGTTATTTTTTTCAGTAAAGACGGGGTTTCACCGTGTTGGCCAGGCTGGTCTTGAACTCCTGATCTCGTGTTCCTTCTGCCTCAGCCTCCCAGAGTGCTGGGATTACAGGTGTGAGCCATCGCGCCCAGCTGGTTCTATGACTTTCTTACTGCCCACACTTGTGTAAGCCACTTGCCCTCTCTAAGGCTCAGTTCCCAGCACTAAAATGATAAGAATGACTACCTCAGAGATTTCTAGAACATATGAAATGAAATAATTTGGATAAGATTTTATAAGTTCGAATGTGCTCTACAAATGAGAGGTTGTATTATTAAGTATCTTGACAGATGGCCATGTATGAATGTCTTCCATGCTTTGAGTTTTCATCCTCTCTATTCTTGGAAAAATGACAATGAACTGGTATCAGTATCATCCCAATGAGGAAGAGTCAAAAATATTTAGCCAGTTGCCATGTGGAGTAATGAATGGGAAAGCTGAAGGCCCTGAGGATCTGCATGAATGTATTTGTGAGGAAACACACTTCCCTTTGGTTTCTCTTCTGGTGGAATAAGGTTTGGGATTGTGAAGAATCCGGCCTGCCTCAGACTTGCAGGCCTCCTCCATTATTGTATGACATGTCATCCAATGATGCTTGAAGTATTTAGGATACTTCAGTGTATGCTATGATTTGGGGTCAAAACTCGAACCTACATTTGAGCCTCATGTCAACCACTTATTAGTTGTACATGTCTTTGGGTAAAATGTTTAATATTTCTGAGCCATGGCTTTTTGTTTGCTAAGAGAGAGATAATAATTCCATCTTAAAGCATAGTTTAGATTTAGATCATGTATAAAATATGTATATATAAGTGTATAATGCATGCCATATGCTTATATGTGAATAATGTACATATACATTATACAGTGTATATATCTTTAAATACATATGTATACACATGTTTTATATATAAAGTGTGTAAAATCACTCTGTCAACTATTGCCACCCAACTATATGTTCCAGGGGGGCAAGAACTTACTTCACCATCATATTGTCAGGTGTTCAATCAATAATTTGTGGAATGAACGGTGGTAATTAAAATCACATTATGACTGTAAGAAAATATTGGGGAAAATCTACAAGACATTGGTCTGGCCAAAAATTTCTTGAGCAATACCCTATAAGCACAGACAACCAAAGCAAAAATAAGCAAATGTGATCACATCAAGGTAAAAAGCTTTTGCACAGCAAAGGAAACAGGCAACGAAGTGAAGAGACAACCCACAGAATGACAGAAAATATTTGCAAACTACCCATCTGACAAAGGATTGATAGCCAGAATATATCAGGAGCTCAGACAACTCTAGAGGAAAAAAATCTAATAAACCATTCAAAAAATGGTCAAAATATTTGAATAGACATGTCTCAAAGGCAGACATACAAATGGCAAGTGTGCATATGAAAAGGTGCTCAACATCACTGATCATCAGAGAAATGCAAATCAAAACTACAATGAGATAACAGCTCATCTCAGTCAAAATGGCTTTTAACCAAAAAACAGGCAATAAGAAATGTTTTTGAGGATGTGGAGAAAAGGCAATACTTGTACACTGTTGGTGGGAATGTAAATTAGTACAAACACTATGAAGAACAGTTTGGAGGTTCCTCAAAAAACTAAAAACAGAACTACGATTTGACCCAGCAATCTCACTGGGGGGTATATACTGTAAAGAAAGGAAATCGGTATATGGATGAGATATCTGCACTCCCATGTTGGTTGCAGCACTGTTCACAATAGACAAGATTTGGAAGCAACCTAAGTGTCCCTCAACAGATGAGTGGATAAAGAAAGTGTAGTACATATACACAATGGAGGGCTACTTTGCCATAAAAAAGAAGGTCCTGTCATTTGCAACAACATGGATGGACCCGAAGATCATTATGTTGAGTGAAATGAGCCAGGCACAGAAAGACAGACATCACATGTTCTCACATATCTGTGAGATCTAAAAATCAAAACAACTGAACTCATGGACACAGAGAGTAGAAGGATGGTTACCAGAGGCCAGGAAGGGAAGTGGGGGACTGCAGGGAGGTGGGGATGGTTAATGGGTACCAAAAACAAGAAAACAGAAAGAATAAATGAGACCTATGATTTCATAGCACAACAGTGTGACTATTGCCAACTTAATTGTATATTTTAAAATAACTAAAAGAGCGTAATTGGATTGTTTGTAACACAAAGGATAAATGCTTAGTGGGGATGGATACCCCATTCTCCATGGTGTTATTATTACTCATTGCATGCCTGTATCAAAACATCTCATGTACCCTATAAATACATATACCTACTATGCACCCACAAAAATTTAAATTTTAAAAATTAAAAATTAAAAATAAGATCACATTATTAATAGATAAGACTGAATAAATAAGACATAATGAAATGATTAACATAAGAATAGACACAATAAGTGTGACAATATTTCCTAAAATGATCCTATAGACCTCTGCAGGACAATATGTAACTCAGCTTTGGCCAGTGTGGAGGCAGGTGGTCCACATTTGCACAAGGCTGCGCAGGAAGGATGCCTTCAGGGGAAAGGAGGACTGTCATTCTACTGGAATTTTTTTTAATTAAGATAAAATGTATATACAGTGACAGTCAACCCATAAGCTCCCCTGGTACATTTCAGGCTGACTTTATGTGGTTTGTTTTCTGCTCCCAAACCTGCCCATTGAGTTCAGTTCAACTCAAGAATGGCAAGTAGAATCTATCTCAAGTGTCAATTCAGACTGAGTAGTAGTGGATGCTTGAGGCTGGACTCAGTGGAAAAGTGTTGTGATCCAACAGCCGTGTCTCCCATAGACAAAGCAGTCATAAGTGGTGGCATGCACCCTGCAGTTGCTTCCATCTCTTGGGCTAATCAGATTTTATCTGAATATGAATGTCAAAAAGAAACTCAGACAGCAGCCTTGTGTGCAGGCATGGCTAAGTTGTATGAAAATCACTTGCAAAAGGTCTATAATGCCAGAATGAGGCTATCCACATTAATGTAGCCCTTAAAAAAATCCTTACTTAAAATGTTTTCAGTTTGGGTTCATGCCAGCTGCCCCTTTAGCAATAAGTTGACCATTCTGATTAAAACAGGGAAGTCTCTATTTCTGGTCTATATTTTGGAAGAATTTGGCAAAGGTCTATTCTTTAACCCATGATATCACCCTGTCATGACTACCACAAAATAGAATTATCATCCAGTTCCCAAGAGACCCTGCTGCTTATCTCAAAATACAAAGGGCCTCTATATAAAGGTCCAGTTGACCAAAAGGAAGACTATTTATGCAAAGATAAATACTTGTGGGACTATCACTTTGCTTGTCCAAACATTTCCTTTGTTCTAGTTACTAAAATAATTTTCTAAATTAAAATACCCTATCTCTTTTCTGCATGGGCAGAATAACTATTCCAGACGAACACTGGATTATTTCCCCTTTTAAAAATGAGCAAGATCAGACACTGTGCCAACACATGAAATAATTCCAGTAAAATGCCTTTCTGTTTTACAACTGAAACATATCTAGAATACAAAGAACTCCTGCAAATCAATAAGAAAAGTACAAATAATCCTATTTTTAAATGAGCAAAAAGTATCGAGCAGGCACTTTAGTAAAGAAAACATCCAAATGCTTATGAAAAAGTGTTCAACATCATTATTTATCAGGAAAATGCAGATTCAAATCACAATGAGATACCTCTACACACCTGCTAGAGTACCTAGCATTTTCAAAGTCAGAGAAGAATAAGACTTGACAAGGAGGTAGAATAACTGGAAGTACCAAACATAGCTGGCAGGAGTGCAGAATATCACATCCAGTGCAGAAAAAATATCTGGTGGTTTTATGCTAAAGCTAAACACATATATGTCCTTTGCACCAGCAATTTCACTCCTGGGCAAAGATCTGAGAGAAATGAATGCATATTGTCATAAAGGTTTCATCAAGAATGTTCATGACACCTTTATTCATCATAGCCAGAAACAAAGACTAACCCAAATGCCCATCAACAGGAGAAGGAATAAGTAAACTGTATAATATAATATATAAATCCATTATTAACACAGTAAATGTATACTATGGAAAACAACCTAGCAATTTTTAAAAAATGAACCGCTAGTACCTGGAACATTATAAATAAATCTCATAGATGTTGAGTGAAAAGCAAACAGGCAAAACATGTGCTTAGAGTATGATTACATTCATATGACGTTCAACAACAGGCATAGCTTATGAGAAAATATTACAATAATGGTTACCGACGATGGGAGTATAGACTAGGAAGGGAACAATGGAACTTTATAGCATACTAGAAATGTCTCTGTCTTTATCTGTGTGTTGATTACATGAGGTATAGGTATGTAAAAAATTATGACACCCTTCATGTACCTTATTGTAAGTTATCCTTCAATTAAAAAACAAAGTTGTTAACTCCAGGTCCTGTTAGTTAACTCCATGGAGGGGTATACAGTGATTATAGTAACACCACCCTTCAAGTTGCTTCTATAGAAGGAAACTATTCCACATTAGTTACTTCTCTCACTTAATCACTGGAAAAACAGCATATTCATGCAATGAATTGTCCTCGATTGAATCATGGATTCTTTTCAAAGCCGCTATGCAGAATATTATTGAGTGATCTGGCATCATTTGAATGTAAAAGGTGTATTAGATAAGGTCATTTTATTAGTAATAAATTTCTTAGATGTGATAATGGCATTGTGATTATATAGGAAAATGTCCTTTTTCTTGGAAGATGTATGTTGAAGTATTTTGGAGTGAGGTAGCGTGATGTCTGCAAATTACTCTCAACTATCTCAACCTAATATGATATGTGTGTTTATTTATACAGAAATTCAGAGATAGGGAGAGACAAAGCAAATGTGCCCATCCATTATCAATTGATTAATCTAGGTAAAGGCTATATGAATAATGGTACTAGTTTCCTCATTTTTCTGTGGGCTTAACTTTTAAAATAACTTGGGAAAATTATTAAATGAATGAGTAACATATGACTCTGCTATGTATTAAAATTTAGAATATACTTTTAGTGAAATACATAGACAAATCTATTTAATAAAAAATTTTAAAAATACCTGGAAATAAGAAAAGAAAGACATGTTCTCAGAGCTAGAAATGAAAAGTTGCACTAGATGATTGCCAGAATCCCTTTTAAACCTAACATTTAATATTCAACCTCAGGAATAGCTGAGATTATTAACTGCCATCATCACTCAGGGCTTTTGACTTTGAAATTGGGATGCATCAGTAGCGATAAGCTGGCATTGCATGCCTTCAGTAGACAAAGCCTCTGGAGCCAACTGTCCAATATGAGTTTGTGCTTTTCTTTTTTTTTTTTTATTTTCTTTATTATACTTTAAGTTTTAGGGTACATGTGCACAACGTGAAGGTTAGTTACCTATGTATACACGTGCCATGTTGGGATAGCATTAGGAGATATACCTAATGTTAAATGACGAGTTAATGGGTGCAGCACAACAACATGGCACATGTATACATATGTAACTAACCTTCACGTTGTGCTTTTCTAAATCAAGTGCAGCCTCCGGGGTCTGACTCTGAGGAGGATGTGTCATTTGGGATTCAGGGTCATTATGCACAATGAAGAGGCTGATACTTTATGAAACAAGAGAAATCTGACCACTTACAAAGCTTAAACATCCTTCCAGGCCTGATAGTGCTGAGTTAGGTCAGGATGATGGAATTTGAGGAGGTTTTTCTCTCCTCTTCACCACTACTGCAGCTACCAGTTTCTCACTCGGGTAACCTGGCAGCACCTCTCCTTGACCATTCCTAAATTTTTCCTTTTCTGGCCCCAACCCACTTGATGCTCACCCAAGAGCAAACCTGGAAGTGTGATTATGGAATGTCCAAATGACAGAGAAATTTAGGATCATCTACCAACACTGTCACCATATTGATAAAAAAAAGTGGAGGCCCAGTTAAGTGATTGGCCTACCACATCTGAACAATTAATGTTAAGTGATTGGCCTAGTACATCTGACCAGTTAATGTAGAATCCATGTCTCCTGATTCTCAATTTTATGTTTTTTCCCTTCCCCTCAGATGTCATTTTCATTTTGGTTCTTGTATAACACTGAGTCATTCTGGAATCTGTATCGATTTCTTTAGACCACTTAGCTAGCTATTTCACTTCAATGGAGATATATATACACACACACACATATATATCCATATGCTGTGTGTATGTGTGTCTGTGTGTGTGTGTGCATGTGTGTGTGTAGCATATATGTGTTTTCACCCATTATATGCCAAAACCTGTACATGTCCACAATGGGATGCTGAGTCAGATTTGAAGTTTTCTGGTAAATACCTGTTCATCATCATGGGACTGGTATAATTTAGCACCTAAGAGTCTGACATTGCATGACATCAAAAGAAGAAATCATAAAGAACGGCAGATTTGACCATATTAAAAATAAACTTCTCGGCTGGGCGCAGTGGCTCATGCCTGTAATCCCAGCACTTTAAGAGGCTGAGGTGGGTGGATCACTTGAGGCCAGGAGTTTGAGACCAGCCTGGCCAACATGATGAAAGCCAGTCTCTACTAAAAATATACAAAAATTAGCTGGGTGTGGTGATGCACACCTACGGTCCCAGCTACTTGGGAGGCTGAGGCAGGAGAATCACTTGAACCCAAGAGGTGGAGATTGCAGTGAGCCTAGATCACACCACTGCACTCCAGCCTGGGCAACAGAGCAAGACTTCATCTCAAGAAAAAAAAAAATGAACTTCTCTATATTTAAAAAACTGCAACAACTGAAAAGCAAATGAAAATGCATAGATATTTGTATCATCATATGATTAAAAATTAATATCCTTAATTCTTTAAACACTTTAGAACCAATAAGAAATATATCAACACTCCCAATTTTTTAAATGAGCAAATAATATAAATAAGCAATTCTCAAACGAATAAAAGCTGGGTCCAATAAAACATAATTGATTGCTTCAACTGCAATCAAAGAAATGCAAATTGAAATTAAATAAGATACAGCCTTTCTCTTTAATAATATTTTGTAAAGACTTATAAGGTGTGGGAAATGAGCATGTGGGAAAAAAGGAGCTCTATGAGTCAGCAATTTGATGTGGGCTGTCAAAAAAAAACTAAACTCGTTGTGGTTGTATACAGAGAAGTGTAAGATCGAAAGCAAGGAAAATGATAATTCTGTCTTTAAACGAAGCATAGCCTGCAGGTGACCATGGGCTCTGGAGCTGGATGGCTCAGGCTCAAATCCCAACTCTGCCACTTTCTAGTAATGTGGCCTTGAGAAAGTTTTTAAACTTCATTCTCTCCTTCTGGCAAGCAGATATGATGATATCTACTTCTCAGCTTTGTTGGGAGATGAAAACAATCCATGTAAATTGCTTAAATCAGTAATTGGCATATAGTAATCACTCATTAAATAGTACCTATTCCTTACAGTTCTATGCTTATCAGGTGCTCCTGGAGAACTATACTAAGTTCAAGTGACCTCAAAGCTGCAGGTAAACCAGAGCCTGTTCAAAGCAGAACACCAAGATGGTATCATCTCTCTAACTGTTGGAGGAACTAACTAGGTTTTAGCCCATAAAGGAACAGGTAGAGCAGGTGTGAATGCCTGGATTGTTTTGAGGTCCCAGCCGGTGGAGGTTTCAGGAAAACAGTTTTCTGCATAACTTAAGGGAGAAAATGTAATTAGTGAGTTCCCTAACAAGAGAAGTATTCAAGCATGCTTGTTAACAGATGAATAAAAGAAATGCAAGCTGCAGATGAGAAGCTGTATTAAATCTGTAACATCTCTTTCTACCCTGAGATCCTACACATCTATTCCAAGGTGCCTGCTGTCCCTCTTTTCCCCCTTTAGTCTTCTATTTCCAGGTGTCCCTGCTAACCCTTGGGCTTGCTTGAAAGCCAAAAAATAATAATAAATCTTTGAAATATATTCTACATGATCATCTAAAAATGACTACCCCCGTTGAAATTACTTTTTCTTAAGACTTAAGAAGTTACTTTGGTCTCTATGAAGTCTATTTTAGGCAAGTTTCTTTATTTGGGACACGTTCATTCAACAAATAATGATAGAATGGCTCCTATGCTTTCAACACTGGCCTGGTTGTTGGGATGTAAAATTAAGCAACTCTGAGCGCAGTACTCACACCTGTAATCCTAGCACTTTGGGAGGCCAAGGCGGGTGGATCACTTGAGGTTAAGAGTTCAAGACAAGCCTGGCCAACATGGTGAAACCCCATCTCTTCTAAAAATATAAAAATTAGCTGGGCTTGGTGGCACATGCCTGTAGTCCCAGTTACTTGGGAGGCTGATGTAAGAGAATCACTTGAACCCTGGAGGTGGAGGTTACAGTGAGCCAAGATTGTACCATTCCACTCCAGCCAAGACTACAGAGCAATACTCTGTCTCAAAATACATAAATAAATAAAATAAAAATAAAAACAAAAATAAACAAGACCCTATCTCTGCTCTCGAATAGTTCACAATCTCACATGGGAGAGAGTGACCTCCAGGTCAGTGTGATGAATGCACAAATTGAGGTGTGCCTTCTTGTGTACACCCAGCATCACAGAAAGAAGCTACAACCAATGGCTGAGGGTTGGGGCAATCGGATATTTGTGTTTAGAACCCCTCTCAGACACTCCCTACAAAGTGAAGGCATCTCTTTTAACTTCCCCTTTCCCTCAAATTTCTCTTTTCACATACAATGTATGGCTGGAATTCAAAGGAAAATTACACTGTGATCAAAACTGCATATCTAAAGCAGAACTGTCAGTTACTATTATCTATTCTTGCACACCCATGGGACATGTTATTTTAAGTTGATGCTGCATTCAATTAAGCCCTTATGTTGGCTACAACATAAATCACATCATCTAGTTTTCCAATCTGATCCATCAAATCACTGACATAACATCCCAAACAAATGGTTGTGTTGTGCCTATACAAACTCACTGAAGGCAAAGGAACTAGTCTATTCAGTAGCATATTTTTTACATAAGTGAACTCTTCCAGGTTGGAAAATTTATCAGTGAAAACATATTAAATAAGTAATACAGAAATGGCACAGAGAGTGCTTAACAGCATGACTTCTGGAGCCTTAGATTTAAATTCAGATCTCAATTTTGCCTCTTCCAGGCTCTGTAACCTTAGGTAACTTATTTAATTTTTCCAAGCATGAGTCTCCTCACCTGTAAAATGAAGGTAACAAAGCACCTGTTTCACATTGTGGTGAAGATTAAATGAGATAATATACATAAAGCATTCACCACAGTGGCCAGCATGTAGTATACATTTGAAAAATGGCGACCATAGAAACAGGTAAAAGTACGGTTTTGGGGGCGGAGGTTGCAGTGAGCCGAGATCGTACCATTGCACTCCAGCCTGGGCAACAAGAGCAAAACTCCATCTCAAAAAAAAAAAAAAAAAAGAGTACGGTTTTGTAGGCAACACTGTGGAGTCGCTCTGGCATAATGTTCCCCTGGGTACCCCTCATCATGGTGACAGTGCTTTGGAAAAGAATGTCACTGCAGTACGAGCCCACGAGGGCCACATAGAAAGTGGTTAGGCTCTGCGTGATACTGGGGCCACACTGCTGGGTTGCAAACCAGCTCTGCCACTTATTAACTGTGTGACTTTGGACAAGGCCATTTGCCTCTCTGTACTTCAATCTCCTTATCTGTTAAGTAAGGATAATAATTGTCCCCATTTTGTTGAGTTGTCTTAAGTATGCTGTATAAATGCATTAAGGCATGAAATGCTTGGAACTGTTCCTGCTTCAGGGTAAACACCACATGCGTTAGCTGTTACAGTGATGATGAATCAGTAGGCACAAATCGCTTCAGATTATTTCATGCTGCCTAGAAGACAAGGTAGATCCAGGAAAGAACTCCTGGGCCAGGACCCTGACTCTCGGGCTCTCTTCCACTTCTACCACAGCTTTCTGCAGCCCTTTCCTTTCCTGTCCCTGCTGCTTGCCCTTCCCTTTCCCATCACCCTGATTCCTATGCTTTCTCCCAGCCTCAAAGGACATCCAAATCCCTCAGCCACTTTCTGAGTCAGCGCTGCTGCGCCAAGTGCTTGTGAGGTTGGTTGTCCTGGAAACAACAGCTTGCTCCATAAACCTCTAGGAATTAGGCTGGTTTGAGACATGACTTGGAGGAGTCTAGGTTATGCAGAGCATATAATTTGCTCTTCTCTCATTTTTTCCAGTTATGATGATGAACATATCTAATTCAGTAGTAGGTATTCGAGTACCTTCCAAACATGTTTATTGGCCAGAAAGAAACCCCCTAAACAGAGAGGAAAGGAGGCTGAGGTTTTTAAACTTAATCTTGCCCACAAAACAATTTGTTCGTGCCTTGCTCTGGCTCTAGTGAGTTCTTTTGCAGGCCAGGGCAAGCCTGCCTTTCAGAATGCTGCCTGGGATCAATGAGATGGTAGGCTTTGCTGTTAGGCAGGCCGGGATTTGAATCCCAGGTCATCCTCTTGCCACATGTTTCACTGTGGACGAATCACTTATTCTCTGTGAACCTCAGTTTTCTTATCTGTAAGATGAGGATCACATAGGGTGGTTAGGATTAAATGAAGTCATGTTCGTATAGCAGCTTGCTGCTCCATGGTTGGCTAGAAGTGCTCTTTTTTAAAACAAAAAAGTAAGGTGAAAGACTCTGAGGCAAAGAGACATGGGTGTTACTTGGAATGAAAAAGCTGGAAAATGACAGAATCTTGTATTTTCCCTCCCCCTCTTAACCACTGTCTTCATTTGGAGATCTTATTCAGGAGGCAAAAGAGGAAACCTGGATTGTGAAATGTCAACAGTCATCTTGCACAGAAGAAAAGCAGAAACGTTTTACAGTTAACACTATTGACCCCAAGATTTCTGACCTGACAAAATTCCTGCACCAGCATTTTCTAATGCTATATTTTTTCCACCCAAAACAACTTATCTGCAATAAAATTATTTCATAAAACAAGACACAGGACAAAGATGTTCTCTGTTACTACCCAGGTATCTTGAACTGCATAAGAGAAAAAGGTGAATGGAGGAAGATTCACTATATTATTTTTCATGCTTTAATATCAAAAACCATAGCCAAGGCTTCTAAGAGCCTTTTCAAAGATTTTTATGGCCCTTCCTTCATAATTAATTTGGCAACCAACCCAGGAACCAGTACATAGCCCCATTAACATCTAGGGGAGGCCCCACTATCTACTGAAGCATATATTGATGCTGATACAAATAATCAGTGTCTTATGCAGCTTATGTACACCAATTATATGTCAGATTCTTGACATATACAGTTTTTAACCCACACGTGAGGTAACTGAAGGAAACTTAATGTCTAAAGTAGTTAAGAACTTTAATACCTTCTCAGGAAACTCTGTCTTTAGGTTTAGTTCTGCAGCTGAAAAAGGGAATATTTCTGGACCAAACATTTCTTTAAAATATCAAATGAGACGCTGGAAGCTATGTGAGAGTGGAGGGTTGGAGAAGGGAGAGGATCAGAAAAAATAACTATTGGATACTAGGCATAGTACTTAGGTAACAAAATGATCTGTACAACAAACGCCTGTCACAGGAGTTTACCTATATAACAAGCCTGTACCTATACTCCTGAACCTAAAATTAAAGTTTTAGAAGAATAAAAAAAAAAAAGAGAATCTTAATGCATTATATCAGAGTGTTCAAAAGGTCCCAGAGAAAAATGCAGTAATTATGGAAGATGTAACTTGTAAACATGAAAATTATGGAAGATATAAATTGTAAAACTATCAATACAAAATTTCACTATTTAATTCCAGGCACATTTTCTAGATTGGCTTTTACAATCTGAGAGAACTACTCTCACTAATTAAAAACTATTTATTAATTTAAATCCACATGCTTGACAACCCTGACTCTATCATCCCCAATTTTTAGTGAGACAGCTTCACTTATTAGAAATTTAGTCTTCATATTTTTGTAATTTAGGGAGATTAAAATATGAGCATACAAACTTTATAACAGCAATTTTCATTGCAAGATGTTTTTAATTGTTTAAAAAAACAAACAAAAACTTGCAGAAATGTTCCTATTCACTTGCTCTTCTCAGGATACTAGCACAAGTGATCAGGAAAGGAATAAGTCAATATTAATTATTACCAGGTCTCGCCAATTATTATTGGTGCCTATTGCAAGTAATCTTTTACACTTCTATGTATAAGTGTGTCTTTTCCAAAGGATGTTTCGAAGCACAGCTGGCTACAGAGATTAGCAGCTGAGGGCCCACTTATTCTCCAGTACCAACTCATAGCTCTCACCATCACAAATACACTACAAATCCTAACTTGGAATAAATCTGCTTTAAGAAAATGCTGGAGTAATGAACAAAGTTCAGTGCCATGAATCAGAAACCTAAGCATCAGAGAAGGAGTGGCTGGTCACAACTGTCATAGCCATGTGACTTGGGGCAATCACCGAGCCTTCTGGGTCTGTCTCCTCTTCTGCAAATGAAGGAATTAGGCCAGATGACCTAGGGTCCCTCCAGCCTGAAGTCAAAATGGAAGCAGGCAGCAATGTGTGCTATTTAACCCCCCTTACAGGTAGAACATTGTAGGTTAAAACGTGAAACAAATGAGTAGCCTAAAACAGACTCACATTCACTGTTCATTCAACTAAAAAGCTAAGCACCTGAAGGAAGGCACTACGTTCAGCTCATTTCTGAAACAATCCACTCACTAAGGTTAGTGTGAGCATATCTGTGTATATAGGTGTTGCCCACAGGACACCAAGTCCTATGTGTGAATTCACATCCCGGGGAGCTTTCACAACCACACAGCACACACTCAGCATCCGAAGAAAGACAAACAGCACTAAGAAAATTCAATTTTCATGATGCACACCAGGGAGGCTAAGCCTTTTTCAGTACCCTAATCTTTAAAATGGTGCATCTACCACCTCGATGCCACATTATGCAAATTTACTAAGAATTGTGAGTGAAGAGATTTCAGCCCAATTAAAAAAAGATAAGGTTTTTTTTAAACGTGTCAATTCCAAGAAGATGGCCCAAGAAATAAGCCGTAATTACTCTATCATTATATCAACTCTTTAATCACTTTTTTCCCCTTGCCTCCCAAAAAAAGAACTGAGGGGAAGTGGAATTTAAATAAAAAATGAATAGTCCCTCCAAGAAACCTCCATAGAAGAGGAGTATATCTTCTGACAGAACACATCTGTGTGCCTCTTAAAAAGGATATTCTAAATCTGGAGGGAGTTAGCTTAGATCCCCACCTTCCAGGCCCTGCCATCTGGAATTCTCAGACCCGTAATATCAAACTGTAAGGAAGCCGGGGCTGGATGAGTATCCCCACTCCCCTAACCCCACTCCAACATTCTATGTGCTACCACGCTCCCCTATTTCAACCCAACTGGTTGAACAGGAAACATTCCTAAGATGAGCAGGTAGCCGGTGGAGCTGAACCCAAGTCTCCCCAGCCCATGTCCACTGACACCCTGGTAAGTGGCACCTTCGCTCACCTTCTTCACAAGGTAGCCCTCTCTGATCCGCTTTGGTTCCATGCTGGCTGGACAGGCAGATGCAAAGGTCACTCTCAGGCAACTCCTCTCAGCAGCTGGGCCTCCTCTGCATGCTGAGGTGGCTGTGGGCCGCCTTTTCTACAGCAGGTCGCTTTCACAATTTCCCTTCTGCTGGCGGTCGCATGATCACATCCTCTTCCCCTCACTGGGTTGGAAGATCAGAATAAGGAACTGCAGAGTAAACCACCCATTCCTTGCTAATGCTGGAGACTTATTAAAACCACAGTTGGGTTGAATATTTACCTAAGGGAAATTCTTACTACCATACAGAAAATCCCTCTTTTAAAGAGAAAAAGAAGTGATGAAAGGAAGAGGAAGATGAACAAGAAAAACTTGTTGGTGAAAATTGTCCTGAGTAAGGATTATTCTTGAGATCCTGGAAATGCCCAATAAAAATGCCAAGAAATTCAGAACCATCTGGTTAGCATAACAAAGTTAACTACTAAATGAATGCCTACTTCTCTCTATGCCAAGCCCTGTATCAAGTGTTTCTCAGCCTACTTATTTTAAACTAAATTAGTCTGCACATCGGCCAGGCATGGTAGCTCACGCCTGTACTCCCAGCACTTTGGGAGGCCAAGGCAGATGGATCACCTGGGGTCAGGAGTTCAAGACCAGCCTGGCCAACATGGTGAAACCTTGTCTCTACTAAAAATACAAAAATTAGCCGGGCATGGTGGCGTGTGCCTGTAGTCCCAGCTACTCGGGAGGCTGAGGCAGCAGAATCACTTGAACCTGGGAGGCGGAGGTTGCAGTGAGCCGAGATTGGTCCACTGCACTCCAGCCTGGGCGACAGAGAAAGACTTCATCTCAAAACAAACAACAACAAAAATGAGTCCACACATCAAACCCATAGGGAAAGTATATTATTTTCCTTATCTTAGAGTAAGGAAACTCAGGCTCAGAGAAGAAAAGTTGTCTCAAGTTGACGCTGCAGGTCACAGGGGAAAGCAGAAGAACCAGGGAGGGATGTGCTAGGGTGCCACTGCCTCACATCAGGCATGAGAACAGGTGTTCCACGTTGAGTGCTGATCTCACAGTCAGCCTGTAAAAAGAAGTCCATCATCAAACAGGTTTTTGAGAAACTTTACAAAATAATCCCAGGTTGGCAACTCCTCTAAATGATGAACAAATTAAAGACCTTCGCCCCGCCAAAGTACTACAGTAAAGAATCCTATAATGGTGTTTTCCAAACTTACTTCGCCATAGCATTCTTTTTTGAACAATTTATGTTAACTTTTTTTGTCATAAATTGAATTAGATCTCCCAAAAAAGAAGTCCTAACCCTTAGCACTTCAGAATGCATCCTTATTTGGAAATAGGGTCATTGTAGATATAATTAGTTAAGATGAGGTCATACTGAAACAAGTGGGCCCTTAATCCAATGTGACTGGTGTCCTTATAAGAAAAGGGCACACAGAAAACAGCCATGTGACAACAGAGTGATGCATTTACAAGCCAAGGAACGCCAAGGATGGCCAGCAACCCCCAGAAGCTGGAAGAGGCACGCAACAATTCTCTCCTAGAGTTGCTATAGAGAACATGGTGCTGACGACACCTTGATTTCAGACTTACGGCCTCCAGAACTGTAAGACAATAAATTTCCATTGTTTTAAGCCACCAGTTTGTGGTACTTTGTTATGGCAGCCCCAGGAAACCAATATAATCCTGAAAAACGAATATTCCATAGAATAAACTTAGAGACCCGTTAATCTGACCATGTGAAAATGAGCAAGTTTGTTATTACTTTGTGCCTCAGTTTTCTCATCTGTAATACGGGGATAATAACACCTATCCAATGAGGTCATTCTGAAGATTAAATGAGATAGACATGGAAGTATTTAGAAGAGTGTCTGAAACATAACTAGTATCCATAAATATTAGTTGTTCTTCATCTTCAAGGCAAATCTCCGTTATCCTAGAGCTGATCCTTTTCAATGATAAGTTCAACAGAGATGATGAAAGCAATCGTAGGACTAGATTTTCCTCATTACACCCGTCAGTGTTCTTTCACTGCAATCAACAGATAACAACTCTGGCTAATAGAGGCAAATAGGAATTTACTGGAAGAGAATGGAGTGGCCCACAGACTGCAGGAAAAATGAAGACTGGGGTCTTTGAAAGGACAGGAATCAGGGCAGTTGTGGGGTTCCAGGAAGCAAGACACCAAGATGAAAGAATGCCAGTGGTTTTCAGACTCTGCAGTAGTCTCCAGGGATCAGGCCTCTGATTGGCCTAACTTGGCCTAGTGCTTCTCTCTCCGGTATCTGAAGGGGGAACATGTGAACCGACAGCCCCAGCAGGACCATGCTCAATGGGAGAAGGGAGGTGTCCCCTAAAGTAAAATCAAGATGCTATTAACAATAGATGAGCGATGGCTCCGAGAAAGGCAAAACTGACAGACGTCCACGAGGGCATCTGAGGAGCCAGGAAAGTTAGGGGAAAGAAGAAGTTCTGTTCTTGGGGTTTTCTGAGAGCTTCCTGATTCCCTCTCCTCTTCCCTCCAGCTGTGTTTCTAGCTAACAGTCACTGCCCCTGTATTTCTCACTTTTCATTTTATGCTAATATCCATTACTTAAAATCGTTGATGGTTTCTTTTCAGTTTCTCATTGCACCAAAATTAATTAGAAATTGTTATAAAGTGTTGGGGGCTGAGAGTAGAGGGATCAACGTTTGATGTCACCTGAGCAAAACAGGAACAAATAAAAGGGTAATTTTCTGTATCTGCACTCAAACAAGTATTTTGCTATGTCTGTATAGTCAATGGAAACCACTCTTAGATTTACCAAGTCTGATTTCATAGTTAAATATATCTCCTTTTGTTTAACTGACCAAGTGACTTCTAATTTGGAATGTCTTCACTGTTTGTCCTAGCATGATCAGAAGGCTTTAAAGAACCCTCACTCAGAAACCTCATATTATTTTTGGATGCCTCCGGTGTAAAAGCACCCCCTGCGTTCCGAATAATTCATTTCAAGAAACATGGTATTAAGTGTTTAGTATGTACCAGGCGCCTGAATAGGTGCAGGGGTAAAAATGTCTTGACACCAAGGAACCTCCGGCATTTGTGAATCTGCTGAACATCGCCATTGATGGACTGGATGCTGCCGCCTTTGCCCCTCCCCCTCCTGCCACGTGTCATCGCGCCTACTTAGCGACACCTAGTGGTCAGTAAAGAGAACTATCTGAATCAATGACGCCTTTCAGGACTTCTCTCAACAGAGTTTGACCAAGTTTTCTTCTGCTGTGTCAGATCCCTCTCCCAGATCAGATCATTAGAACCTCCTCCAGTATCTTATGTATATGTGTCTAGAATGACTTTTTTTTGAGACAGAGTCTTGCTCTGTCGCCCAGGCTGGAGTGCAATGGCCTGATCTTGGCTCACTGCAACCTCCACCTCCCAGGTTCAAGTGATCCTCCCACCTCAGCCTCCCAAGTAGCTGGGATTACAGGGACACGCCACCACGCCCGGCTATTTTTGTATTTTTAGTAGAGACAAGGTTTCACCATGCTGGCCAGGCTGGTCTTGAACTCCTGACCTCCGGTGATCTGCCTGCCTTGGCCTCCCAAAGTTCTGGGATTACAGGTGTAAGCCACCGCACCCAGCCTAGAATGACTTTTTAACATCTCTTTCTGTACACATTTGATCAATAACCTTGGAAACATTATTCTTGTAGCACATTTTATTGCTGTAAGGGCAAGTTAAGACTTCTGAATAAGCAAAAATGATTACTGAGCATCTCCAATGGAAAACTATGCATTCTTTACAGCACACTTTTCTAAGTTATTTGTTTCTATGGAATCTGTGTTTTTTTCTTGTCTTGGAGTTATTCTAGAGCTCGGTAGATTGTGGATAAATACAAATAATTCTTGTCTATAAACATGCAAATAAATTCTGCCTGATGGAAGTTCAGTAGACTCCACCTTACCCCACACCCGCACTCCACCCCGCCTCCCATGGAAAAAGTCAATTTTGTGTCCATTGGTAAATGAATTTCAACGTTGCTTTACTCTATATAAATTGGTCTTTGACCTTGCCTTTGAACTGGTGGTGACCTCTGGCTAGTTTCCCCTTTAATTCATGAGTTAAATAAAATTTTGACATGTTTTCATTCTATTATATGTAAGAGTCATCGTTTTATCTTTTTCAAAGTTATTCTTTAGCATTGGTAATTCAAAAGAGACATTAAATTTAGCTGAGAAATATCAGACTACCTCTAGTGCTAAATATAAATTAAGTAAAAGGTGTCAAAACCTGTGAGAAGAGTCTGAGATGTTACCCTACTTGTAAGTTAACAGGTCAGCCTGCCTGTTTCAGGGATGCTCACAGAAGACTCAAGACTTCTGGAGTTTTGAGTGAGACAAAGGACTTTGCTACTCACAGCACAGTAAACAGAATTAGCTCCATATTGGTCTTGATGCTTTTTGGCCCTAAGTCTACCAAGGACAAAGTGGAGCGGCCTAGATGGATGCTGCACATACTGAGGGTTCGCATCACAATTGAGGACCCAGAGCTTAGGGAACATGAATCTTTTGTAATGGGCTGCAAGCAAACCAGCCCAAACTTTGTCTCAGAGGCAGACCTTATTTTTATTTTACTGGACAGTAAGTGAATCTGCCCTTTGCTCTGGAAGGAGACAACCTCTACCTTCAAAGCTGTTGTTCACTGTACAAGCATCCATAAAATAGAGTACCTCTGCTTGCAAGTTGTACCTATACACAAAAAACCCATGGAGAACTTTCTCCCAACAAAAAGAAAGCATTAAGTTGTCTAATTCACTTAAACCTATTAGAGAATATCTAGTTGGTGCCCAATGGGCTTCAGTTCAAAAGAGGGAACTGAGCCCACATACTGAGTAATCCCCTTTCAACAGATACACAAATTCATATGGAAATGATTTAAGAATATATAAAAGTGTGAACATATACCCACTTGCTCAAAAGAAAGCACTTTCACACATATATTTCCTTGCTGTGTTAGTGGAGAAGGCCTAGAAGCGACAACACCCTGGTAGTGTCAAGCACATCTAGCTCCCAGATCTTGATTACTAATACGATTCTCCAATAAAAGGAATGAGACGTCCTTGGAGAAATAGATGGCTCTAAGATTTCAGCAGGAAATGCAAAAGATGACCCTGAAGCATCCTGCGTACCAGAAAGTAAGAAAGTGCTAAAAATTTTAACTAAAAACACAAAAAACTAAAACCATGATGGTGATCAAAGGGACCAAAGAGCCAACTGACTGAGCACCTAGTGGCCAAAGCTAGAAAATTTAGAGCAAGAAAATAAAGAAAATAGTATTGGATTATAACCAAAGTCTAAAAATAAATAAATTAATGATTGAGTAAATAAATAAGAGAGAATACACAGATCTATTCCAAGATTCCAAGAATTCCAAATAAGTTATCTAGACTCTCCACCCTTAAAGAGGTGGAGCATGAATCCTCACTCCTTAACTATAGGCTGTGTATAGTGACTTTTTAAAAAGTACGGTACAGAAAGGAGAAAAAAGGAGTAACTTTATGGTGGAGAAACATGATAAATGCAACCTCAGCCAGAGCCAGGTGATCAAGGTTAACATCATGGTCATAAATCAGATTATAGTATACACCCTTGGTATCTAATCATGAGAAAAACACTAGACCAAACCTCAATTGAGTGATAGTCTATGAAAGACCTGACTAGTGCCCCTTAAGATTGTCAAGGTCATCAAAACCAAAGGAAGTCTGAGAAGCTGTCACTCCCAAGAGAAGCCTAAGGAGACATGGCAACTAAATGTCATATAATATCCTACATGGGATCCCAGAACAGAGAAAGGGCATTAGGGGGAAACTAAGTATATCTAAAGAAAGTGTGAACTTCCACTGGAGGTCGGGAGTTCGAGACCAGCCCAACCAACATGGAGAAACCCGGTCTCTACTAAAAATACAAAATTAGCCAGGCGTGGTGGTGCATGCCTCTAATTCCAGCTACTCTGGAGGCTGAGGCAGGAGAATCGCTTGAATCCAGGAGGCGGAGGTTATGGTGAACCGACATCACGCCATTGCACTCCAGTCTGGGCAACAAGAGCGAAACTCTGTCTAAAAAAAAAAAAAGAAAGTATGACCTTTTAAAATGATAAATGTATCAATTTTGGTTAATTAATAATGACAAATGTGCCCTGCTAATGTAAATGTTAATAATAGGATAAACTGGACGCGGGGTAAATGGGTACTCTGTACTATCTTAATTTTTCTGTAAAACTAAAATTATTCTAAAATAAAAAAGAGTCAAGCGTGGTGGCTCATGCCTGTAATCCTAACACTTTGGGAGGCTGAGGCAGGCAGATCACCTGAGGTCAGGAGTTCGAGACCAGCCTGGTTAGCATGGTGAAACCCCGTCTCTACTAAAAATACAAAAATTAGCCAGGCGTGGTGGCGGGTGCCTGTAATCCCAGCCACTGGGGAGGCTGAGGTGGGAGAATCAGTTGAACCTGGGAGGTGGAGGTTGCAGTGAGCCGAAATCATGCCACTGCACTCCAGCCTGGTCAACAGAGCGAGATTCCATCTCAAAAAAAATAAATAAATAAAATAAAATAAAAAATAAAAAGGTCATTTTAGTAAAAAGAAAGCATTTCCAATTCTTCTCCACTTTCTCATTTTCATCATGTACAGATGGAGATTCCAATGCAACCATTTCCATATTGTTATGTTCACATTCTCTTCATTCGGAAAGGCTTTAAATTCAGTAAGAATTCTTTTTTTCAGTGGGATCTTTGTTTGATCAGTTCTTCCTCTCCCCTTGAGGATCATGGAGTTACAGAAGGTTGCTTTTTAAAGGATGTGCCTTTGTTAAGTTTAAGATTTTAATTCGGGGTATAATTCCCTGGCTGGAAAGCGTCCAGATTTCAGGTTTTTTATAGTATTCTTAAACAGAGGCATTACACCACCAATAACCACCAATAACGAACAGAATGAATCCTCTAGAAGAATCTCATTAATACAGGTGAGCCCAGAGCTCTAACTACTGGAGGTGTGGACTGTTGAGGGTCAATGAGGACCAAATACCAGTCCTGCTAGAAATTCAGGGAAGTGCAGCAGGCCCAGTGCATGGAAGAGTACAGCCGGGCACTGGCTGCCAGCTCACACTTGCAAAGAGCCAACCACCTAAAGGAGTGTGGCTATTCTGCCTGCGAATGAGGGCAGTTGCTCTAATGAAAGGGCATGCTAGGGGGAGCTGCAGGTTTACAGAGCACCCTGTAGTTTGTTTACTGAACAGTGATGGCCATGAAGGCAACTGAAGGCTGAGATCCAAGCTGTGTGTAGCAAGCCCTCCAGCACAAGTCAAGGCTGCCCTGGGGAAGAGGTACCTTGTTATTGTGTGCAATAGTACCCTCCTCCAGCTAAACCCTGTGCTCATGGGTTTGCACCTGCCCAGATTTAATGAATCTAAAATTTACTCTACTTTCTGTTTGGGCTCGAATGATAGTGAGACAGTGAGAAAAAGGGCTCCCCAGAGAACCTCTGACCGGCCTGTGCACTGGGAGGATGGAGTGGGGCCTTGGGAGGTTCACGCCATTTGCAGCGGGTAGGAGCCTGGCCTCTCCTATTCCTGGGTGGTAACCTGGGATTCAGTCTGTGAGATGGGGGCCTGTTAACAGGAACCCCTCTTGCTTGGCTGAAAGAGTCTTTTTTCTTTTCTCCCAATAAATTCTGTAACCTTTCACCCTTTAAAGTGTCTGCATGCCTAATCTTTCCTGGTCGTGTGACAAGAATCCGGTTTTTTTTTCCTACAGCAATAGGAACAGGAACAGAAGTTAACATCAATTCTAACATTGAAATATAGAGATCGGTCTCTTGAAGGACAAAGAGTAAACAACAACAACAAAAAAAATTAGCCCATATAAAGAGTTGACATAGCTGAAAATGCAGCACATCCATAAAGGAGCTGAACCCAGTAGGATACAATCATAAAATCATATTTTTTCCTCAATACTCCCCGTTCTGACCATCAGGTTTTTCTCTGTCCCTTGGATGAAATCTTAGGCAGGTTTCACAGATTTCCTAATAACTCCTAGCTTTAATAAAATCCAAATCAGTCTAATTGCCATATAACTGTAGTCCAGTGTACTATAAAACACTATAATCCTTTTTTTAAAAAATTTACAGTGTTTCCCCATCTCCAACTTAAAAACTGGAGTAGAGGGAGAAGGTAATGATCAGCGTCTTCACCATAGCCTAGCTCCCTGTCCAGCCCCATTTGCTAGGTCTGATTTTATGATTTCTCCAGGGTCAAAGGGGGAAGGTGAAAGCTACATCATCAGGCCTGTCTCTTGAGCAGTTCCAGTGCCTGAGGAAAGGGGACAGTCTATTGGGCTTTGGGCCTTAACTCCTCATTCCTACACATCACTACAGCTTAATTTGAAAAATTCTGCTTTTCACGATAACCTAAGGGACCATCAAGATGCCCTACAGTGGGGCCCTTCAAGTGGCCCCACTCATTCAGTTGCCCCAGGCCCATGCCCCACTAGGGACAGCACTCCCTGCGCTAGGTCTTGCCTGGTGAGTTCAGCCCCTGCATGGCTGGTGTACCAGGGCTGGCTCCTTCTCTCCTGGGATGTTCATGCTGGTTCTGCCATTGGACACAGATGATGACAAACCTTTCAATGTGGACAAGGTGGCCCTTTCAGTGGTTTGATTCCGACTCCCTGCTCAGCCTCAGGAGTGAGACCCTGCAGGCAAATTCTCTGTGAAGAGTCCCTCATCCTTCCTGTTGGTCCTCTTGGACAGGATTCTTTTTAAGCCAACCCCAGGCATGCTTCCCTCAAGGGATCTGCATCTGGCCCCACAATGTGAGCTCCCAGGCCTCCAGCAATGGGAGTGCAGTTCTGTTCCAGTGCCCCCTTTAAACCTTTCAGATTGGGAACACTCTGAAGGTCTCCCTGAAACCTCCCTCCCTTGGTCTGAGGCAAGGGAAGCATGTCCTTCCCTCCCAAATAGGGAGAAGTAGAGGAGTGGAGACTCCAGCACACTGACCAGGCTCCAGAGAAATCCTCTCCTCAATCTTCCCAATCACAGTACGCAGCAGTAGCCCAGCACTTGGCTGATCTAGCAGAACTTTTTACCCCTTTAGCAAGTCCTACATGAATGGTGACTAGTTTAACACAGGGATCAGCAAACCACAGCCTGCAGATGATATTCCCCTCCACTCTTTCTTTCTTGTTAATTCTTTGTCCATGAGCAAAGAATGTTTTTTCCACTATTAAATGGTTTTAAAAATCAACAGAAGAATAACATTTTGTGACCCATGAAAATTATATGGAACTCACATTTCAGTGCCATAAATAAAGTGTTCCTGGGCCAGATGCTGTGGCTCATGTCTGTAATCCCAGTACTTTGGGAGGCTGAGGCAGTCGGATTACTTGAGGTCAGGAGCTCGAGACCAGCATGGCCAACATGGTGAAACCTCTGTCATCTTTACTAAAAATACAAAAATTAGCCAGGTGTGGTGGCACGCACGTGTAGTCCCAGCTACTTGGGAGGCTGAGGCAGGAGAATTGCTTAAGCCCAGGAGGCAGAGGCTGTAGTGAGCTGAGATCATGCCACTGCACTCTAGCTTGGGCAACAGAGCAAGACCCTGTTTCTAAATAAATAAATAAATAAAAAGTGTTCTTGGAACACAGCCGTGCTTATTTGTCTCCATATCATCTATGGCCATTTTCACACTACAAAAGCAGGGTTGAGTAGCTGTGACAGCAATCATGTGACCCACAAAGCCTAAAATATTCATTATTGTGCCTTTCACAGGAAAAGTGTGCTGACCCCTGGTCTAGAAACTTACTCAGAATGTAAAAGTATTTGACACTAGTGAGTTCCTTTCTCGCACGGAGCTTCCAGCAAAACTCCAAGATCTGGTCCGATAAGTGGTTATAAATTCAATAATTCAAAAGCAGAGCAGAATGGAACTGCAGAAAGCGAAACTGACAAATCAGAAAACTAGCAACAAAATTTCCCAGACTCACAGCCAATCTATCATATATGTTTGAAGACTTTTCAAAAAGACATTTTCATGTGTTTAAGGGCTTGAAAAGTATACACACATACATCTTTTTGACTTTTTAGAAAAAGAACTTGATGAACTATATGAGCTAACCAAAAAAATTAATTACTCAAAATAACCCTAATCAGTTGGAGGAAGAAACATCAGTAAGAAGCCTGTTTCCTCACACCCAGAGAATGGGCTCTGGCAAAAGAATATATTTGAAAGCCTGTTTACGGGAGTTAAGTTGATTCTCACTCTCTCACGACCACAGCCCAGTGATTGGCCCACTCCTGTTATAATAGGAGAGGAGAGGTTTACTTCCTAGAGCAATGGTTCTCAAACATTACTGGTCTCAGGACCCTCTTTTTTTTTTTTTTTTTTTTTTTTTTTTTTTGAGATGGAGTCTCGCTCTGTCGCCCAGGCTGGAGTGCAGTGGCGCAATCTCGGCTCACTGCAAGCTCCGCCTTCCGGGTTCACGCCATTCTCCTGCCTCAGCCTCCCAAGTACCTGGGACTACAGGTGCCCACCACCGCGGCCGGCTAATTTTTTGTATTTTTAGTGGAGACGGGGTTTCACTGTGTTAGCCAGGATGGTCTCGATCTCCTGACCTCGTGATCCGCCCGCCTCGGCCTTCCAAAGTGCTGGGATTACAGGCGTGAGCCACCGCAGGACCCTCTTACACTCTTTCTTTTTTTTTTTTCCTTTTTTGAGACGAGGTCTCACTCTGTCACCCAGGCTGGAGTGCAGTGGCATGAGCTCGGCTCACTGCAACCTCCGCCTCTTGGGTTCAAGCAATTCTCCTGCCTCAGCCTCCCAAGTAGCTGGGATTACAGGTGCCCACCACCACACTCTGCTAATTTTTGTATTTTTAGTAGAGATGGGGTTGGTCTCGAACTCCTGACCTCAGGCAATCCGCCTGCCTCAGCTTCCCAAAGTTCTTGGATTACAGGCATGAGCCACCGCGCTCGGCCTATACTCTTAAAAATTGTTGAAGACTCCCAAGGAGATTTGGTTTACGTGGATCCTACTTATTGACATTTACCAATTAGAAATTAAAAACTGAGAAATTTAAAAAGCATTCATTCATTTTAAAATAACAATAATAATCCATTACAAGTTAACACAAATAAGATTTCTTGGTGAAAAATGTTTTGTTTTTCTAAAACAAAAAAAAAATCAATAATGAGTGATATTGTTTTACATTTTTTAAAGCATGTTAATATCTAGCTCAATAAAACAGCTGGGTTCTCATAGCTGCTTCTGTGTTTGAACAGTTGTGATACGTTGTTATGGTTGAAGTAAATGAAGAAAATATGACCTCACACAGATATGGAAAAGGAAACAGTATTTTAATAGTCTTTTGAGATAATTGTACATATTCTTCTTACAAACACACCAAAACTCAAAGTTTCTAAAGGTTAGTCGTGATGTAAAATTTAAAGCCATATCAATAAACTTTTGGTGTGCAGTTATTTAAGTTATTGATCTGCCTTGCACTTCAAATAGATTTATGCTATCCTTGCACCATTTTGTAGCATGATGCATTGATCATTTGAAAAATATTGGCTCACCAAGTTATATAAATCTTCTAAATATTGATGGCTTATACCACAATATTTTTAAAAACCATATTTTTGAAAATATCATCCCCAATTTCATCACAATAATATTAAATTATTGGGAAACTGTCAAGATTATGGTAGCAGATACAAGTTTTTCAAGATTCTAATTTTCACTTGAAAGTTTGAATCATATCATCAGCAACCAATACCATTTTGTCTGAAGTGACAGGGTCATTTTATTCATTTTCAAGAAAATGTCTACCAAATACCCAAGTCTGAATAACCAGATTGCCATTTCTTTCAAGCAAAAATTGTGTTTCCACAAAAAAGTGGCTAGTTCAGCTCACAGCTCCAAGAATCACACATGTATGTTTTTCCTTTAGATATTATAATAACAGAGAGTATTATAAAGATATGCACTCAAGGGTAAAGATTTCATAAAAGATTTTCATAATAACTTTTACTGCATCTTCAAGGACATTTTGAAGTTTGCTTGCTTTTTTTCTCCACCCTGACTGAATCACAGTGAAAATTACACAATTTCTGCCTTGATTCATGCTAAGGTGTCAGCAATTTTACTCACCATTTTTTTTGCACTGTCAGTGCAAATGTTGACATAGAAAAAAATCAAATAACATCTTGGTATTACTATGAAAATAGTTTACACCTCTTAGACTCTTGAGTCTCAGAGACTCTCAGGAGCCTGTAGCCCATACTTTGAGAACTGCTCATTTCAGAGATGTTGAATAAGGAAGACAAGAGAGGATTCTAAGACAACCATCACAGCTAAAAATGGAGATAAAGCACATATGAAAACAGATAGATAAAGTCTGCATACCAGACAGTGAGATAATAGTCAGCTCACCCCCTCTTCTTGGGTCAGGGATATTGGTAGCCAGGCCAACACCCACCCAGAGCATGATTGGGGTGTACCTCTCTGGGGAAACGACTATCAGATATGACACTGAGGAGGCCTCCAACAAACGACCAGGTCTCTGCCCAGCCAGCCACTGGGAGCAAGATAAGTTGAAAAATACCACCCAAGCACAAGTAAGACTTTTAGTGCCTTATATCTGAACTTGAATGGCATCAAAAGATAACTAGGCACAGGAAGAAAACCGTTAAGATGAAGCTAGAAATGAAAACAAACATGCAAATCACAAAGAACTGTGTGAGAAGAACAATGCAAGGAAGAAAAGAAAAAATAATTAATAACCTCAGAGAATTAACAGAATATATTGCACAAGAACTGGAAACATAATATTATATACATTCTTTTTAGCTTGTTTTTGTTACCCAGTATTACATTCCTAAAGTTCAAACATCACAGGCATTATGTTGATGCATATAGCTGTACATGTATTCACTCATTTGCACCTCTGTATAACATTCTGTTCTGTGAATATACCCGATATTATTTATAGTTCTCCTGCGAATAGACATTTGAGTTATTTCCAGTTCTTTGTTTTTACAAATGTTCATCCTATGAGGATTGTCCTCTTGTGCTTATGTGCTCTCATTTATGTTGGAGATATACTGACGACTGGAACCACAGATATATTGAGGACTGGAACGGAGTTTCACTCTTGTTGCCTAGGCTGGAGAACAGTGACACGATCTCTGCTCACTGCAACTTCTGCCTCACAGGTTCAAATGATTCTCCTTTCTCCTGCCTCAGCCTCCCATGTAGCTGGGATTACAAGTGCCTGCCACCACCCCCAGCTAATTTTTTGTATTTTTAGTGGAGACGAAATTTCACCATGTTAGCCAGACTGGTCTCGAACTCCTGACCTAAGGTGATCCACCCACCTCGGCCTCCCAAAGTGCTGGGATTAGAGTTGTGAGTCACTGTGCCTGGCCCACAGCGTCATACTTTACAAGATAACAACCACCAAATTGTTTCACAAAATTTACGCATTTATTCTCATATTGGCAGGATTCTATCAACAGTTAGTATTGTTAGACTTTAAAATTTTTGCCAATCTAGTGGATATAAAATGGTATCTCATGGTTTTAACTTGTCTTTTCTTGAATTACCAAAGTTATATGCTTATTAGCTGTCTCAGCATGAAAGTGGGTATTGTTAAATAAAACACAGGCTTACCCAAAGTACATATATTCCTCTCTCATGTGACAAACTATCTAAGGCCAGAACCACTGTACAGTCTGTGGAGCCAGGGCCCCTCAATCTTGATCCCTGGTCCCCACAATAAGGTAAATTTTCTTGAAGGGTGCCCATGATAAAGACCCTGAAATCTCTTTTTACGGAGATGATGTATTCTAGCACCACCTTCCTCCATGCTCTCAACTCATGTTTTCAAAAGCAGAATTGGGTAGGGGGCAGGCTGTGGTCCACAGCAAGGGAAAAGAGGTCCTGTTAGATGCAAGTGGACTACAGACTCAAGAGTCCCATTAAACACTGACCAGTGCAGTATGGCATATTGTACTGTGATGCACGTTCAGGTTTAGGATAGAGGAAGGGAGTATTCTAAACCAGCGCAGTCAGAAAACTGGGCAGGTCTCTATAGGAGCTTAGAAGTCCTGAGCAAAAAGCCCTGTGACTCCAGCAGTTCCTAGCAAGGTCTTCCCAAGCTCACCTCGGTTTTTACCTTTCTTTTATCTTTCAAGAGAGGCCCTCAAGGTAAAAGAAAGATTCCTTGGAATTGTAACATGGAGAAACATCACGGGTTTTGGACTCAGACAGAGTTGCATTCAAATTCCAGCCCTACCTCTTATCCTGGGCAAAGGGCTTTCACCTCTCTGAGTCTCAGATTCCTCACCTGTGAAATGAGATCTGTTGCAGAGAGCAATCGTAGCCTCCTCTAGGGTCGTTGTGAAGATTAAATGAGATCTTGACTAATGCCTGTGAGGAAGGCAATATGGAAGAGTGGTGAAGATCTTACCCGGGTTCTAACCCCAGCTCTGATATTTCCTGTCCATGTGACCTTGGGCAAGTTACTTGGCTTTTTTGTGACTCAGTTTGACTCAGTTTCCTTGTTTGTAACACCAGGGTAATAATAGTTCCCCACCTCATAAAGTTACGATGAGAAGTAAATGAGGTAGGTTGGGCACAGTGGCTCACACCTGTAATCCCAGCACTTTGGGAGGCCAAGGAGGGCAAATCACCTGAGGTCAGGAGTTTGAGATTACCCTGGCCTACATGATGAAACCCCATCTCTATCAAAAATACACATCTTAGCTGGGCATGGTGGCACACACTTGTAATCCCAGCTACCCGGGAGGCTGAGTGAGGCAGGAGAATCACTTGAACCCAGGAGGCAGAGGTTGCAGTGAGCTGAGATTGCACCACTACACTCCAGCCTGGGCAAGAGTGAGACTGTCAAAAAAATAGAAAAAGAAGTAAATGAGGTAATTTGTGTACAACTCTTAGCTGAATGTCAGGTGGATAGTAAGTGCTTAGTTAATATTAGCTATTTTTTGTGTTTTTTTAAAAGTTAAAGCCCAAATGACAGCCTAGAAAAATATTTGAAATAAGTATAAAATACAAAAAGTTACTATTTACAACATAGGAAAAACTCCTACAAATCTAATATGAAAAGAAAATCTAAGAGAAAAAAATGAGGACAAAAGACAGGAAAACGTATTTTACAAAAGAAATATATAGATGGTCAATAATGATGAAAAATGTCCATCTAACTAGTAATTTTTTTTTTTAAGTTCCAGGATACATGTGCAGAATGTGCAGGTTTGTTACATAGGTATATGTGTGCCATGGTGGTTTGCTGCGCCTATTAACCTGACCTCTAAGTTCCCTCCCCTTGCCCCCCAACCCCAACAGGTCCTGGTGTGTTTTTCTGCTCCCTGTGTCCATGTTTTCTCATTGTTCAGCTTGCACTTATGAGTGAGAATATGCAGTATTTGGCTTTCTGTTCCCGTATTAGTTTGCAGAGGATGATAGCTTCCAGCTTTGTCCATGTTCCTGCAAAAGACATGATCTCCTTTCTTTTTATGGCTGCATAATATTCCATGGTGTATATATACCACATTTTCTTTATCCAGTCTATTACTGATGGGCATTTTGGTTCGTTCCATGACTTCACTATTGTAAATAGTGCTGCAATAAACATATGTGTGCATGTGTCTTTATAGTAGAATGATTTATATTCCTTTGGGTATATTCCCAGTAATGGGATTGCTGGGTCAAATGGTATTTATGGTTCTAGATCCCTGAGGAATCACCATACTGTCTTCCACAATGGCTGAACTAATTTACATTCCCACCAACAGTATAGAAGTGTTTCTATTTCTCCACAGCCTTCCCAGCATCTATTGTTTCTCGACTTTTTAATAATCACCATTCTGACTAGAGTGAGATGGTATTTCATTGTGGTTTTGATTTGCAATTCTCTGATGATCAGTGATGTTGAGCTTTTTTTCATGTTTGTTGACTGCATAAATGCCTTCTTTTGAGAAATGTCTGTTCATATCTTTTGCCCACTTTTTGATGAGGTTGCTTTTTTCTTGTAAATTTGTTTAAGTTCCTTGTAGACTCTGAATATTCGACCTTTGTCAGATGGGTAGATTGCAAAAATGTTCTTCCATTGCCTGTTCACTCTGATGACAGTTTCGTTTGCTGTGCAGAAGCTCTTTAGTTTCATTAGATCCCATTTGTCAATTCCGACTTTTGTTGCAATTGCTTTTGGTATGTTTGTCATGAAGTCTTTGCCCATGCCTATGTCCTGAATGGTATTGCCTAGGTTTTCTCCTAGCGTTTTTATGGTTTGGGGTTTTACATTTAAGTCTTTAATTCATCTCGAGTTAATTTTTGTATAAGGTGTAAGGAAGGGGTCCAGTTTCAGTTTTCTGCATATGGCTAGCCAGTTTTCCCAGCACCGTTTATTGCATAGGAGATCCTTTCTCCATTGCTTGTTTTTGTCAGGTTTGTCAAAGATCAGATGGTTGTAGATGTGTAGTATTATTTTTGAGGTCTCTGTTCTGTTCCATTGGTTTATATGTCTGTTTTGGTACCAGTACCATGCTCTTTTGGTTACTGTAACCTTGTAGTATAGTTTGAAGTCAGGTAGCATGATGCCTCCACCTTTGTTCTTTTTGCTTAGGATTGTCTCAGCTATATGGGGTCTTCTTTGATGCCATAAAGTGTTTTTTTTTTCTAATTCTGTGAAACACGTCAATGGTAGTTTGATGGGAATAGCATGGAATCTATAAATTACTTTGGGCAGTATGGTCATTTTCATGATATTGATTCTTTCTATCCATGAGGATGGAATGTTTTTCCATTTGTATGTGTCCTCTCTTATTTCATTGAGCAGTGGTTTGTAGTTCTCCTTGAAGAGGTCCTTCACATCCCTTGTTAGCTGTATTCCTGGGTATTTTATTCTCTTTGCAGCAATTGTGAATGGGAATTCATTCATGATTTGGCTCTCTGCTTGTCTATTGTTGGTGTAAAGGAATGCTTGTGATTTTTGCACATTGATTTTGTATCCTGAGACTTTGCTAAAGTTGTTTATCAACTTAAGGGGTTTTTGGGCTGAGATGATGGGATTTTCTAAACATAGAATCAAGTCATCTGCAAACAGAGGCAATTTTACTTCCTCTCTTCCTACGTGAATGCCCATTATTTCTTTCTCTTGCCTGATTGCCCTGGCCAGAACTTCCAATACTATGTTGAATAGGAATGGTGAGAGAGGGCATCCTTGTCTTGTGCTGGTTTTCACAGGAAATGCTTCAAGCTTTTGCCCATTCAGTATGATATTTGCTGTGGATTTGTCATAAATAGCTCTTATTATTTTGAGATATGTTCCATCAATAGCTGGTTTATTGAGAGTTTTTAACATGAAGCGATGTTGAATTTTATCAAAGGCCTTTTCTGCATTTATTGAGAAAATCATGTGTTTTTTTTCTTTGGTTCTGTTTATGTGATGGATTACATTTATTGATTTGCATATGTTGAGCCAGGCTTGTTTCCCAGGGATGAAGCTGACTTGATCTTGGTAGGTAAGTTTTTTGATGTGCTGCTGGATTCGGTTTGCCAGTATTTTATCGAGTATTTTCGCATCAATGTTCATCAGGGATATTGGCCTGAAGTTTTCAATTTTTTTGTGTCATTGCCAGGTTTTGGTATTAGGTCGATGCTGGCTTCGGAAAATGCATTAGGGAGGGGTCCCTCCTTTTCAATTGTTTGGCATAGTTTCAGAAGGAATGGGACCAGCTCCTCTTTGTACCTCTGGTAGAATTTGGCTGTGAATCTATCTGGTCCTGGGCTTGTTTTTTATTGGTAGACTATTAATTGCTGCCTCAATTTCAGAACTTGTTATTGGTCTATTCAGGGATTCGACTTCTTCCTGGTTTAGCCTTGGAAGGGTGTATGTGTCCAGGAATTTATCCATTTCTTATAGATTTTCTAGCTTGTTTGCATAGAGGTGTTTATATTATTCTCTGATGGTAGTTTGTATTTCTGTGGAGTCAGTGGTGTTATCCCCTTTGTCATTTTTTATTGTGTCTATTTGATTCTTCTCTATTTTCTTCTTCATTAGTCTAGCTAGCAATATATCTATTTTGTTAATTTTTTCAAAAAACCGGCTTCTGGATTCATTGATTTTTTGCAGGGTTTTTGTATCTCTATCTCCTTCAATTCCGCTCTGATCTTAGTTATCTCTTGTCTTCTGCCAGATTTTGGATTAATTTGCTCTTGCCTCTGTAGCTCTTCTAATTGTGATGTTAGGGTGTCAACTTGAGATCTTTCTAGCTTTCTCATGTGGGTATTTAGTACCATAAAATTCCCTCTTAACACTGCTTTAGCTGTGTCCCAGAGATTCTGGTAGGTTGTCTCTTTGTTCTCATTGGTTTCAAAAAACTTGATTTTTGCCTTAATTTCATTATTAACCCAGGAGTCATTCAGGATCAGGTTGTTCAATTTCCATGTAATTGTGTGGTTTTGAGTGAGTTTCTTAATCCTGAGTTCTAATTTGATTGCACTGTGGTCTGAGAGACTGTTTGGTATTATTTCACTAGTAATTTTTTAAATGCAACTTAAAACAATAAGGATATGTTATTTGTTGCTCTTCAGGCTTGGAAATTTTTTCATATTGATGACAGCCCACAGGCACTTTCATATACTATAGTGAGAATATGAACTAATAAAAATCTCTTTGGAGAGCAATGTGTTAGTACCTTTCAAAATTTTAAATGCATGCTATGAGACAGATCAACTATATATCTCAAGAGTCATATACTTCCCATATTTGCTTGTCCCTGAAAGAACAATTGTATTGATCCCTCCGAGAAAAGTCCATTCATTCTTCAAGATTTCACTTGTGATCTATACCTCAAATGCAATACTCTGACTCCTCTTTAAAATCCACCATAGGATTATTCATCTTCTTTAAATTTATGTTCTGGAGTGGAACTTAATCTATTTTTCATTTGAAAATCTAAATCAAGAGTTGGAGGATTACTTACGCATCCCATCTTCCCTCAACACATTTCTTTACCCTTTATCTCTCTTCCATTTGGCTGTTCCTGAATTATACCCTTTATAATAAACGGTAAATCAGTAGTATTTTTGCTGAGTACAAAAAATTATTAATAAAAATAAAAATAAAGGGTTGGTACACCTTTTTTGTAAAAAGCCAGATAGTAAGGCTGGGCGTGGTGGCTCATGCCTGTAATCCCAGCACATCGGGATGCAGAGGCAGGTGGAGTGATGACCTAGGTGTTGTGGAATAAATGGTCAAATTTTTAATAAGAGCATGTTTAATAATGAACCATAAGCATTTCAATAGCAACAATTATACAGTGTTGATGATTTTATGGCATAGCTTTGGTGTCCAATTAACATACTATTCCACTAATGAGAAAGCGCCTTCTGCTTTGGTGTGGCTTCAACACACTGAAGGCTCCAGAAGACCAAGAAAGCTTTGTAGGAGCTTGGCCCATCAGCACTTCTGCTGGCAGCAGCACCATCACCTGGGCTCTGCAGTTGGGAGATGTGCTCTCAGTGCAGACGTCAGTTCCGAGGGTGTCAGGTATCAGGCATCTGCAGCCTGGATGCAGCAGAATCCAGGCATCACCTGCTGCGGTGGCTGCATGGCTGCAGAAGAGAATCGTAAGGAGGGGCAATAGAGGAAACCCACAGTGACTGATAGAATTAAGCCCATGAATCCATGTGAGTCATCCACAGAATCTCCAAAATACACAGGAGACCCAGAAAGGGCACCAGAGTTGCCATCACAGAAGATATGGGCAGAGCGCTAGAAATACCATGTGTAACTGTTCTTGTGATGCTAGATTTTCTGCAGACTTGCATGGCTGGGGACACACTGGATCTATATCTACATCATGGTCACTAGATACCGAGGGTATCTTCAGTCTCCGACTTGTTCAGACAAGTTCTTTCCTAAAATGAGCTTCTTAGGATAACAGCTGCTTGGAGTTCCAGTTGTCACCCAACCTTCTAACATTTCCTGCCTATGTCCAGATGAGCTAACTGGCATTAAGTGTAGCTGAGGTCACTGAAAAGATTTTTAAATAAGCTATTTTAAAAGTTACTGACATCATCAGCTCATAGCTGTTATTCCTGGGTCAGCACAACCTCCTCTCTGCAGCAGCGGCAGTCCTTGCTGGTTACTGCCTGGCTGCGCTGCGCGGGACATGGAGTTAGATGTGGTGTCCCCAGCGCGGTGAGATCTCATGCCCTGTCGCTTCCCACTCCCCATAAAAAGTGGAGGAAACTGCTTCCCAATGGCATTTAGACCAAATGAAATGTCGGATCACAATTCAGTTCTGAGAATATTTTGACATTCTAAAGTTTAGAAATAATATGAATAATATGTATATATTTTATTCTGATTCAAGTAGATTTCACATTTCTTTAAAAGATACTTCAGTCTCATGCATAGGGGAAAAAGTTAAAATCTGAGTTTATTTACATATTTACCAAATAACTTTCGGAAGGGAGATTGGACTAGATAACATCTAAGTTCCAGCCCAACATCTAGATTCTGAAATTCTATAAAATAAATAGGATTCATTCACATTTTGTTTATTTTTGTATAGTTTAATCTTTTCAAGTGCATAGCTTATAGGCTATTCAGAACAATAGCAAAAGAGAAATAATTCACTTCTTCATGGGAGGGACAGATGTCAATGCATCTAAGGCTTTTGTTAATCTTCCAAATGCTATCAACCTTTTTAAAAATGGTGTGATTCTTAACACCTCGATCAAAATGAATCCACAGTAATAGTAACAGCTAATGTATATTGAATGCTTACTATATGTTGGCATTGTGCTAAACCTTTTACTTATTTTTTAATCTCATCTAATCCTCCCAATTTAATAAGGCAGCTATCATTATTATTATTCCTGTCTTACACATAAGGCAGCTGGGACAGAGAAGTTAAATAACTTGCCCAAAGCAACTCAGCTTATTTGGGTAACAGTAGGGACTTGATCCATGTCTGCCCCACTCTAGAGCCTGCAAGCTTCAAACAACACCCAGCATGCCTACGCCCCTAGGCTGTGTTGTTTGGCAGCCAAAAGAAATCAATCATTAAATTAACATCAACTCCCCAAAAGAGCCACATTTCCACAGGATAAACAAAGCTTCTTTGACTCTTCATTCTTAGGGAAAAAAATTGCTTCCTGTGTATTTCATGTAGAAGGCACTGAATAAAATATCTCTATAATAAATGCAGTCTTAGATTTTGTATAGCCATTTAAAAAAATCTCTCAACAGATCCTAAGTAAGGAAGTAAATGCTCAACTTGAAAAAGGCCCAGACTGGGAGCCTCAACTTGAAAAAGGCCCAAACTGGGAGCAGTGGCTCACACCTGTAATCCCAGCACTTTGGGAGGCATAGGCAGGTGGATCACGTGAGGTCAGGAATTCAAGACCAGCCTGGCCAACATGGTGAAACCCCATCACTACTAAAAACACAAAAATTAGCTGGACATGGTGGCTCGTGCCTGTAATCCCAACTACTCGGGAGGCTGAGGCAGGAGAACCACTTGAACCCGGGAGGTGGAGGTTGCAGTGAGCCGAGATTGCACCACTGCACTCCAGCCTGGTGACAGAGCAAGTCTCCATCTCAAAAAAAAAAAAAGAAAAAAGAAAAAGGCCCTGCTTCTGATCCGTGTTAAGACAATAGGAGCCATATATAAAACTCTCTAATCATCTGTCTTTCAAAACTGTAATTGGAAAAATAAGAAGAAATAAACACACAGGCACACAAATGTCAGATGAATATCCTTTAAAAAATCCTCCACATAAATCATTTTTCATCGCAATGATTGGGATAAAACTTGAAAGACTCTACTCTCAGGGATCATTTTGATAGTTCGTTACTAGGATAAAACTTGAGCATCAATAGTTTTGAGGTTATAGTTTTTGACAAAGCCCTACAGTGTGCATATTCTATGTGGCCAATAAAGAGTAGATATGTATGCTTTGAAATGTAATCAAATTATTATTCAATAAATAGTGGTGTTGTAACAGATAATCAAATGGGAAAAAAGGTAAATTTATATCAAAATAATTCCAGATAGATAAAAAATGTAAACATTAAAAATGATACCAGGAAAGTTCTATCCAAAAACCATGGGATAAAATTATTTTTATAATTTCATAATGGAGATGCCATGAGAGATTAATAAACCAAGTTACATAAAAGTAAAAAAAGTACGTATGAGAAAAAATCACAAGCAAAATAAAAAGACAAATGTCAAATTGGAAAAAAGTTATTACAGATCATGGACAAAAGGTTAATTTCTCTAATGTACTAGGAATTCATACAGAGAAATATGATAAAGACAACAGAAAATGAATAAAGGACATGAAATGGCAGTTTACAAGAAAGAGAGTTCAAATGATTCTTAAGCTTGTGAAAAATGTGTGATGCAATTTATAATAAAAGGAATGCACAACGGAATGATGAGATGCTATTCTTCACATATCAAATGGTTCAAATGCAAAACTTAGATTGTACCTTGTGTTGATGAAGGTAGGGGAGAGTAGTCACATTGCTGGTAGAAATGCAAAATGGAGCAACTCTGCAACAGGAAATTTGGCAATATTTACCAAATTATAAAAGCACATATACTTTGACTCAGCAAATCTGCTTTTGAACAATTGTCTTAGGGATGTACTTAGCTGTGTGCAAATGATAAATACACAAGGACTCCCCTCACTAAGGTATAAAGCAGCACCTTCCATCATCCTCTATCTCTTTCTATTTTATTGACCATATGATAATATTTATCATTACTGTCTTGATGATATACCTGGGTTTGTGTGTATCCCCATCAAAAGTATGCCAGTGACTAAAGGGGTAAACCGCAGGCCTGCTTGGAGAGATGACCCCGGGATTGCCTTCTGAAAGCACAATTCCCTTGCATAAATGTCAAATATTACATACCATGAGTTGGTTATCTGTCTTGTTTACTGGAAGAGCAGCAAAGTGGCACTTAAATCTTGGCTCTATGTAACTGAAATCATATCAAAAGGCAAGTGGAGTATTAGGGAAGTACATTTTCTGTTTCAAAATAAGTTACACATACCTTGACCTGGTTCATGGTAACTGCATTCCCAGAAAGTAGTTTTGGGACTACTGATGCAATCAAAGACGTTTGCATGCTGTTTCCCATCTACAGAGTAAACTTAGTGTTAGACTCAATCCCATTGTGTCTTACTGGTTGAATGCCCAGTATGATACCTGGAATTACTGCTGGTGATGGACAATACATCATTAGGTAGGCTGCAACCCCAGCATCTAGAACAGGACCTGGCACATATGAGGAACTCTCTAAATAATCTTTAAACGAAGAATGAATGAATGAATGAATACATTGTTATGTGAAAAAAGGCAAGGTCCTTGCCTCTGCCCTCCCTTCCTCACTGATATTCCGCCCTGCAAATCCTAGCCAGGACCCCCCTAACCCTGATTGCTTCTTCCTTAATTTGGTGAGTCGGCCAGGCTCTGTTTCAGTTCTCCTTCCTGCCCGGTGGCCCTGAGTTGGCTCCTGACAGTGAGCTGCAACCATCACAGGGCTCACCTTATTGGTTTCCCTCCTCCCAGGTTTCACAGTCCTATGTTGCCTGTTGTCCACTGTCTGAAAACACTTGTTATATATACTTTTTCAATTTTCTAGTTGTTTGTTACAGGAGGGAAGTTCTTGCAGCCTTTAAACCTTCACTAGAAGAAGCGCAAGAAAATAATTTTTTTCTTTAAAACTCCTCCAAGAGTGATAAAGACCATCTCCAAGGTCAATTTAAATAGTACTGTGGTCGTGTTAAAAACATACACGCACACACACACACACACACAAACCCAACTCTCATCTTTTAGAGGTTCTATTGAAATATTTATGAACTAAGGAATAACAATTTTTGAGATTTGCTCAAAAATATAGGCAAGAGTGAAATTGCATGGGAATGTGCGTTGGTCATGAATTGGTAATTCTTATAGTTGGGTGATGAGTTCAGTCTACTTTTTCATGTTTGCAATTTTCCATAATAAAAAGTTTTCTTAAATCAATTTATAGGAATCTCTATGTTTATTGCCCACTAAGTGACTTCTACTGTGTCTACTTGGTAAGAATGAATGATCTGAGAGCAGGTGTTTGATACTAGAAAGGGGCGGAACATGAGGGCACGCGGTGTAAAAAAAGAAACTGAAGGGAGGGAAACTGAAAAGCTAATGGTAATCTTTAACTGCTATAATTTATCAGTCAGTTGACTATGCCCCAGATAAACCCAGAGATCCAGAATCCAGCAGCATGCCAAGCTGACAATAGGTTCTCCACTACTACCGTGTAGCTGAGAGGTGGCAGAAAATCTACCCAACACCGTGTTGTTACTGCCACCCTGGCTGCCTGGTCCTTATTTTTAGAGAGTGAGATTTTTACAAATTGCAAAAGCCAATCTGTCCTGTCACAGACTCCTAAAATGAACCTGGATCGCCATGGTAACAGCAGAGGCAGGCAGGCAGTAGGGGAGGAACACATAGTTTGTCACGGCTACAAAAAAGCAGGCAAAAAGCAAGTCAGATTCATCCCTTAGGATTCACTCCAGAATGCTCTTCGGTAAATGCCCTTGAGAATGCAAATTCTGTCTCTTCTCAACCCCCATGTCCTCCTCTATAGAGCCATATTTATAGAGCACCTAATCTGTGCATCCCAGGAAGGTAACATCTCCATTTTGCAGAAGGGTAAATTGAGACATAAAGAGGCTAAGAACCTCTGTAAAGTCTAATAAATGTCAAAGCTGGGATTGAAACCCAGGTCCATCTAGTACCAAGGCTCATGTTCTCTCATCTCTGATTCTGTAGTAGTTAGCATTTGCAAGTGCTCATTCAGAAATTATTCATGGAAATTCTTATGTCACCACTAATAAAATAAGCATAATGCACAGTATAATAAAGGCAAAGGTAAACATAAAAAATAGAGTGTAACCATTTAGAGGTCCAGAGTGTTTTAAGAACTCATATTTAATTCTCTCTCAAATTTCCACCAAATAAGAACTTAATATTAGAATATAGTTATAGGGAAGATCTCTTTTCACTATGGGAACATGAGAAGAGACATATAAACAGGGGATGGGCCCAAAAAACAATATTCTAGGACATTAGTCTATCTGTCAATCTAGACATCATAAGGATAAATAAAAATCATACTGTTCAGCTCAAGTTTTCTCACATAACTCCTCAAATAAGCAGTACAATGTCAGTCACATTTTTTTTTCCGTGCCTGTAATAAATCCTTTAATTTAAAATGTTTGGATGTGGTAGAGAAATGCATATTTATCATCTCATACTGGTTTCTAAGGAAGGTGTTTTTGTTTGTTGTTATTATTTGAGGATTTTGTTTGCTTAGGCATTTTTTGTTTTGTTGAACATAAAATTGTTATCTTCAGTATAGTTGCCTTGAGTATCAGAGAAACAAAACATGTCTTTTTTTCCTTACCAGTCAACACAGTACACAGTATACTTCACCTCTGGTTGCCAAAATGTAGGGGGACGGGGGGTGGGGGGTTGTCCCCATGCACCAATCAACCCTTCAGCAGACACCAACTAGTGTCCTATAATTTAATTCAATTCTGACACTATCTACCTGGAGTAGAGTCGGATCCCACAAATTAAGGGCTCATTCCCACAAGACTGCACCCCACCTCAAGTGCCAATCACAAGTCTAGTTACCCACAATTTCTGCCCAATTTGGCTACAAATTCGGGACTCCAAGTTGCACCCCCTCCTCAGGCTCAATTAATTTTCTAGGATGGCTCACAGAACCCAGGGAAACACTTACTTACGTCTATAGGTTTATTATATAAAATATCACGAAGGATACAGATGAACAGCCAGATGGAAGAGATGCATAGGACAGGGTATATGGGAAGGGGAGCGGAGCATCCAGACCCTCTCTGGGCATGGCATCCTCTAGGCACCTCCACTTGCTTAGCTCCGAACCCAATAGTTTAGAGATTTTTATGGAAGCTTCATGACATAGGCGTGATCAATCATTAACTCAGTCTCTAGCCCCTGTCTCCTTCCTGGAGGGTGGAGGAGTAGGGCTAAAAGTTCCAATTGTCTAATCATGGCTTGGTCCTTCTGGTGACCAACCTCAACATCCAGGAGCACATCAAGAGTCAGCTTACTAGAACAAAAGATGTTTCTATCACCCAGGAAATTCCAATGGACTTGGGAGCTCTATGTCAGACACTATTGTTACTCTGGAACTTACAAAGGTTATCCAACATGAACTACCACTGTGGATACCGGGATATCCACCACAAACTACCACTGTGGATGATGTGTTTTGTTTTGTTTTGTTTTGTTTTGTTTTGTTTTGTTTTGTGACAGGGTCTGGCTCTGTCACCCAGGCTGGAGTACACTGGCATAATCACAGCTCACTGCAGCCTCTACCTCTGGGCTCAAGCAATGCTCCCACCTCAGTCTCACTAGTAGTTGGGACCACAGGTGTTCACTACCATGCCCAGCCAATTTTTGAATTTTTTGTTTTGTAGAGACAGCATTTCACCTTGTTGCTCAGGCTGGTCTCGAACTCCTGGGCTCAAGCGATCTGCCCACCTCAACCTCCCAAAGTGCTGGGATTACAGGAGTAAGCCACCACTCCTGGCCTAATGAATTCTAACTATGTTTTAGTCTTTGCATCATTTATTCAAGATTCAAAGTCCTGAAAAAGATCCATGCTTTACATCGTACACAAAAATTAGCTAAAAGTGAATAATAGCTCTAAATATAAATGCTAAAACTAGAAAACTTGCAGAAGAAAGAAACAGGAAAAAATCGTTGCAACCTTAGGTTACCAAAGGTTTGTCAGATACAACAACAAACTCATGATCAATAAGAAAAACAAATTGAAATATTGAAATCCTTCGAAATGAACAACTTCTGCTCCTTGAAAAACATCATCAAGAAGATGAAAAGACAAGACATAAATTGGGAGAAAATAGTTGCAAATCACATTCTGGGTTGAATCCAGAATATATGAAGAACTCTAAAACTATATAATAAAACACAAACAACCCAGTACAAAACTGGGCAAAATAAATGGAAAAAGCACTTTATGTAGATTGTATGATGCCTCTCCATCTACAGGGTTGTCCACACCTGAACCCTGGAACTTGTGAAGATGTTACCATACATGACAAAAGGGGCTTTGTAAATGTAACTAAGTTAAGGATCTTGAGGCAGGTATTATCCAGGTGGGCCTAATGTAGTCATGGGCGTTCTTATCAAAGAGAGGAAGGAGGGTCAAGGTCAGGAAAAGGCAATGTGATGATGGAAGCAGAGAGGGATTGGAAGATAATATGCTGCTGACTCAGTCCATGAGCCAAGGAATGCAGGTGGCCTCTGAAGAATAGAAAAAGGCAAAGAAATTGATTGTCCTCTCAAGCCTTCAGAACGAACACAGCCCTGCCAACACTTTGTTTTAGGACTTCCAACCTCCAAACCGTGTGATAATACATTTATGTTTTTTAAAGCCACTAACTTTGTGGTCATTTGTTACAGCAGCAATGGGAAACTAGTAAATACTTCACCAAAGAAGATATATATGTGACAAAATAAGCACATGCAAAGATGTTCAACATCATTAGTCATTAGGGAAATGCAAATTAAAATCATGAGATGCTATTGCACATCTACTAGCATAGCTAAAATTTTAAAACTGATAATGCCAAGTACTGGTGAGGATGTGGAACAACTGGAAAACTCATATGTTGCTGGTTAAAATATGAAATGGCACAGCCACTTTAGGAAATAATTTGGTAATTTCTTATCAAGTTAAACATATACTTATCACATTACCCAAGAATTCCACTTCTATGTATTTATCCAAATTAAATGATAAGTAAAGCTAATCTAAAATGCTATGAATAGACATGAATGTTTATAGTGTCTTTATTTATAATTGTCCAAGACTAGAAACAATTCAAATATAATTCAACTGGTAAATGAATAAACAATGATACATCCACACTATGGAATACTATCCAGCAATAAAAAAGATACACACTAACATGGGTGACTCTCAATTGCATTATGAAAAGTGAGAGAGTCAGCCTCAAAGGCTCGTATTGTATGATTCCACTTATATGACATTCTGGGTGAGAAAAAATATAGACAGTAAAAATACCAATGGTTATTTGGGCCTGAGAATGGGGGAAATAGTTGAGTACAAGACGTGAGGGTATTTGGGGAGGTGATAGAGATGCTCTATGTCTCAATTGTGGTGGTAGTTATATAACTGCATGTGTTTGTTAAAACTCACAGAATTGAGCATCTCACTGCAGTATATTTTACTGCTTATAAATTATACCTTATTTTTTAGTGGATAAAAGTGAGATTAAAACCAACTCCAAATGTGTTTAGATCTAAATGCGAAAGGGGAAAACAAAAGTTTTAACGAATAAATATGGGGAAAGATATTTAAGAACTTAGGTTAAGCAAAAGAAATATAAAAAATTAAGAAATAGAATTATATTAACATTAGGAACTTCTGTTTATCAAAAGACATCATTGAGAGAATGAAAATACAAGTTACAGACTGGGAACAGTTAGTGGGAACATATTTAGCCAACAAAGGAATCATATCCAGAATATACAAAGAATTCTTACAAATGAATAAGAAAAAATAGACTTTTTTTAATTTGCAAAAGACACAAACAGGTACTTTTTACAAAAGAGAACATTTTAAAGGCCCATTAAATTTATGAGGGAAAGACTCAATCCCATTAGTCACTATGGAAATGTAATTTAAAACCTAGACATAAATTAAAACCACAATGAGATAACATTACTCACTCACCAAAAATGGTTAACATTTCAAAGATTAGCAATCACAAATGTTGACAAGAATGTGGAGGAACTGGAAATTCTTGTACACTGATGGGGGGATGTAAATTAGCAAAACAATTTTGGAAAGCTATTTGGCAATATTCGCTAAAGCTGAACATTTGCAAATGCACCCATATGTTCACCCAAAAAAAAAAATGGTATAGAGTTCATCACTGTAGTCTTTGTACTAGCTAAAATGTAGAAATTGCTTACTTTCCCTCAACAGTAAATAAATATACCAAATAAATGATGGTATTTTTATTCAATGGAAAGGCTATATATCATATACACGGATAGACAGCTGCCAACATAGTAACAGGAATGAATCCAACAAATACACTTATCAAAAGAAGCCAGACAAAAGAATTCACACAGATTCCGTTCACACGAAGTTCAATAACAGGTAAAACTAATTCATGATGTTAGACATCAGGTTGGTGGTTATCTTTGGGAAGGAATATGTGAGTAATGATTAGGAGAGTTTGGGGGACATTATTTTATTTATTGATGTTAGTGATAGTTATGTAGTGAGAATTCATCAGCCTATACCCTTACAATTTTTGCACTCTTTGGATGTATTGTATATTTCAATATAAAAGCTAAAAATAATTATAAGGGAGTCCTTAAGGACATAGAAATATTGAGAAATATTAAGTTTTAAAACACTGCCTTAAGCCCAGGCACAGTGTCTCACGCCTGTAATTCCAGCACTTTGAGAGGCCGAGGCAGGTGGATCACCTGAGGTCAGGAGTTCGAGACCAGCCTGGCCAACATGGTGAAACCCCATCTCTACTAAAAATACAAACAAACAAACAAACAAAAAATTAGCTGGGCATGGTGGCATGCTCCTGTAATCCCAGCTGCTTGGGAAGCTGAGGCAAGCGAATCACTTGAACTTGGGAGGTGAAGGTTGCAGTGAGCAGAAATCATGCCACTACACTCCAGCCTGGGCAACAGAGTGAGACATTGTCTCAAAAAAATAATAAAATAATAATAAAAAATAAAACATCGCCTTAAAACAATATGTAGAGGGTGGTCTTATGTTTGTTATTTTGGGTGGCTCATTATTTTCCCTTGTTTTCATGGGGAAATAACTGTCCCCTTACAATCTTCCCCCCAAATATACACATACTTCTTTGGTCTGGGTGCCTGCTCTTGTCACATTCCAAGTATTTGGGGGGTTTCCTAATACAGTGCTCCATGCCCGCTAATAAGCACCTTTGCTGGGATTTTAGATCTGGAGTGTAACCATTCAGGGACAAAAGTTGTTTAAAGATAAAACAACCTGAGGAAGGGTCCTAGGGAGATTGCCCATGATTTTGGTTGCTGACAGCTGAGGGCCACCAAGGTTCCTGTGTATTCCGTGGCCTGAGCATTCTGCTTGATTTGCACAAGGCTCTGTAGTATTCTTCTAATAAATAATTTTCATTGTATGTGTCTGTTTTTTTTGTTTTGTTTGTTTGTTTGTTTGTTTGTTTGTTTTGACAGAGTTTTGCTCTTGTTGCCCAGGCTGGAGCGCAGTAGCTCGATCTCGGCTCACCACAACCTCTGCCTCCCAGGTTCAAGCGATTCTCCTGCCTCAGCCTCCCGGGTAGCTGGGATTACAGGTGCTCACCACCACGCCCGGCTAATTTTTTGCATTTTTAGTAGAGACTGGGTTTCGCCATGTTGGGCAGGCTGGTCTCGAACTCTTGACCTCAGGTGATCCACCCGCCTTGGCCTCCCGAAGTGCTGGGATTTCAGGCGAGAGCCACCATGCCCAGCCTTTTCATCGTTTAGGTAAGTCAGAGTCAATTTTCCTTACTGGCAACCAAATAACAATAATGAAGTTGGGGCATGGCAGTAGGCTGTAGAATCAGATAATATACACTAAGATTTTAAAAATAACAGTTGCTTTTCTTTTCATTTTCCTTGTCTATATTTCCTACAACAAATAATGAATATTATTTTTATAATATGAAAGAATAATAAAACTATTTTTACAAGCAGAATTAGAGACAGAGATGGCATCAGGCACCTAGAATGAGGTAGTTACTTACCCCAACTGAGCTCTTAGTGTATATCTGACTTTTCTAGAATTTTTATAAATACCTCTTCACACTCTGTAGATTGTCTTTTCTCTCCTTTATGGTGTCTTTGATGAACAAGCATTCTTAATTGCAGTACAATCCATTCTAATAATTTTCTGTACTTTTTCATTTGTTTTTGGCTGTTTTTTGTTTTTTTGAGAGGTAGCTGTGATATATTGCTTACTGATGGATGTGGTCAGATAAGAACAACACAATTATCCTCATTGGTGGGAGTGTGGGCCCCGGTCTGGCTTTTTTCTTTGCTTTTATCATGTGATACATATACAGAGTAGTACATAAAATGTGTAAACACTTTAAAGAAAAATGATGAAATGAATATGTGTGTAACGACTCGTCAAGAAATAGAATAGTTCCAGTGTCCTAGAAACCCCATGTGCCTCTCTCCTTCATACATCCCTGCCTCACTCACTCCCAGTGATTACAGTTACCTTGATTGCAAGATAATCATTTCTTGATTTCCTTTATCATTTATGTGCACATATAAACAGACAAATATCTCTAACTGTTATCATAATTTACTTGTTTTTGAAATATATAGGATCCTATTATTTTTATTCTTGAAGTTCTTGTTTCTTTAGTTTAGTATTGAGAGATGCATTCGTATTACAACATATAGCTCTAGTTGGATCATTTTCAATAATGCACGGTATTCTATTGCCCATAATGTATTCATTCTACTGCTGGTGGATAGTTGATTCTTTCCCCAGCTCTGTAATGTTGTTTGGAAATGGATTACTGCTACCTGGTCTCATTGAATTTTAAATTATTTTTTATAGCTACCTTAGCATATTTTATAGTCTCATGACCTAACTCGTCTTTGTGGCTTCATCTTCTCTCTCTTTGAACATTTCATCCATATTTTATATTTCCTAGCTGGTGTTCTAATAACTGAAGTCATTAGTGGTCTAAGTGTGTTGCTTGTTGTTTGTGTGGAATCTTATTCTTTTTTCTTCTATATGGTTTTGGTGATCTTTGATCATGAACTGATATTTTGCTGAAATTCATCAGTTGAAAAATGTTTGGGCTTAAATCAAGAATTCTTCCTCCAGAGATGATTTTTATTCACTTCGTCAAAGAGTTGGGGGCGTTACAAACCTGCAACCATTTATTTTTTTATTATTTATTTATTTATTTATTTATTTATTTATTTTGATATGGAGTTGCGCTCTTGTTGCCCAGGCTGGAGTGCAATGGCGAGGCCTCGGCTCACGGCAACCTCCGCCTCCCAGGTTCAAGCACTTCTGCCTCAGCCTCCAGAGTAGCTGGGATTACAGGCATGCGCCACCACACCTGGCTAATTTTTTGTATTTTTAGTAGAGATGGTGTTTCACCATGTTAGTCAGGCTGGTCTCGAACTCCTGACCTCAGGTGATCTGCCCACCTCAGCCTCCCAAAGTAGTGGGTTTATAGGCGTGAGCCACTGCGCCCAGCCTGCAACCACTTTTAATCCATATTTGGAGCATCTGGGGTTTTAAACGTGTCCCTTCCCCCAACTTCCCTCATCTTACCACTGGCCATCAGCTGAGTTTCTGGATTGCAGGGTTGATCTCTTAATTTTGTTTGCTCCCTCTTCAACTCTACCTTCTCAGAGGCACTTAAGACTCACTGGGTGTCTGTTGTTGTTGTTGTTGTTGTTGTTGTTGTTGTTTTCCTTTGGAAAGTTTCCTATTTTCTGTGATACAAGAATATTATAAAAATTAGGTTTTGTGTTGGTTCAAGTTGTTTGGTAAGAGAAGAGCTCTTTACGACTATATGGTTCACCATCATGTCAAAAGCAGAAGTCCCAAGATAATATTTTTTGGTAGGTTGGTAAGGCATTAATGGCCTTGTTTGAGAACAATAAATGGAAATTATTCTACTAACTAAGCCATACATTTTTATTAAGTAAGGTAGGCAAAAGCTTGATTGTCCTTAGTTGAGGCCAAGAGATGAACTTGGATCAGAGAGGATTTATAGAAATTTGGGGATGAGAAAGAGGTGAAAAGAGATAACTGGGAAGAAGACCCAACTCGACTGGATGTGTTTGATTAAATTTCTGCTGTTCAGTGAGGAATGTGCACAAACTAATCACAAATATATCCACTTGTGAAGAATAATGTTGTGTTGGCCGGGTGCAGCGGCTCACGCCTGTAATTGCACCACTTTGGAAGGCCGAGGTGGTCGGATCACGAGGTCAGGAGTTCGAGACCAGCCTGACCAACATGGTGAAACCCCATCTCTACCGATAATACAAAAATTAGCTTGGTTTGGTGACATGTGCCTGTAATCCCAGCTACTCAGGAGGCTGAGGTGGGAGAATCGCTTGAACCCTCGAGGCGAAGGTTGCAGTGAGCCGAGATGGCACCACTGTATTCCAGCCTGGGCGATAGAGTGAGACTCCATCTCAAAAAAAAAAAAAAAAAGAAGAAGAATGTTGTGAACTGGATCTACATTGCAAGAAGTCAGGCTTTAAGGTAAGTGAAAGTAAGAGCTGGGATTTCCCTGCATTTGGTTGGTACCTGAAGAATGAAATTTATCTGACCTTATTATTTTGGTCTCTTGCATAGATACCTTCATTATGTTAAGATTTACTGTGAGTCTCTTAGTTTTTATACCATACTAATATAAAAATCCATTTGAAGAACACTCTGTCTTTTGTAAAACCACATTTCAAGATAATAGCCGTTAAGTTACTCTATGTGTCTTATACAAGAACCCACACGTGTACAAGATTTCTCCTTAAATTCAGTGCCAGGAAAAACCTCGTCTCTTTAGCAAAATAAGTTTTCTTCTTTTTGTCAGACTAAATAACCCATATGTTTCCTGTCCCAAGTTTTCTCCTTAACTCCCAGGAACCTTCGAGCCAAATTCAAGGCTCAATTGTGGTAATCAACAAATCCCAGGTGCCTGGTTTTATCTCTGTCTTCGATCCTGGTAAAAGTAGCTTTATTATCCTTTCATTTGATAGTATAAAAATAATACATATTCATTATTCATTGTAGAAAATATAGACAAGAACAATTTTAGAAAACAACTGTTACTGTTAAAATCTTAGTATATATTATCTGATTATACTGCACCCCCTGACCCCAACTCTACTGTAATTATTTGATTGCCAGAAAGGAAAATTGACTCTGACTTACTTAAACAATAAAAAGTATTTATTAGAAGGATACTGAGCTGGATAGAATAGTATGTGCCTGTAGTCCCAGCTACTTGGGAGGCTGGAGGATCACTTGAGCTGGGGAGTTCGTGTCCAGTCTGGGCAACATAGTGAGACCCCCATCTCCAAAAAAAAGAAAAAATAAAAGAAGGATATTGGAAAGCTGCCATTATTCAAATAGAATGCCCAGACCTCAGAACGCACAAGAACCTTGACAGCCCACAGCTCCCAGCTCCCCTCATGAAAACATACACAATCTCCTTATGACCCTGTCACTGGCTGACTCATCTCCATACTACTTTTTTCCTGAGTGACAGCCAGCACAAAGCACTGTGTTCAGCATTTCCACTAAGACTGCGTGAAATAGGGCAAGACCAGACAGCCAGTGCAAATGAGTAAGAGAATGGTTCTGCCACCATAAAAGTGGGTGAATAAAAGGGGGTATTGCAAACCCCCTCTCTCAGCTGGGAAACATCTTGGTCTTGTCATATGCCTATTTTTTCTTCCACTTTTCTAGTCATGACCAGGGTTAATGAATTTATATTGCTTCAAGAAAGGACCCAGGGACTCATTGTCTTGGTGGATTTCCTGAGTGGGCCTCAGTTGCTGAGGACTGTAGCTGTCTGTTGCTTCCATTGTTCTTCCTGCCCTCATCCCACCAAAGATGGCTGGGTCTTCAGAGGAAGGAGAAGAAGGAGTTCACAATGAGCAGAGGTCATGATACCCCTAAGTTTATAACACATAATTACAGCAAGATACAGGTTGATTATGCTTATTTCAAGATTAATAGTAGATGGTGTGCATCTGTTCTATACTCTCAACAAGTGGCACATAACAGGAAATATGTATGGTATGTATCTAATGCAACACATCTCAATACTTATGGGAACAGGAGTTGGTGGAACACAAGTGCCCTCAGTGATATTAACATTAGTTTTGAGGAATGGGTTTTGGCAGTTGAAAAACATTTAGAAAACATTGCATTGTTTTCTGTATTGTTTACTGTATCAAGCTAAAAGCTCTAGAAAGTTCTAGTTGTGTGTGTGTGTACACATACATATGTATACAAACATATATGTTAATATTTTTAAATTTTGGATTTCCCACAGTTACTTGACCACACATCATTTCTCGTGGAACACCTAATAATTCTTGTGAGATCGATGTTCTGTTTAAACAGTTTATGAAACATTGGTTTAATATGTTAGAGATACTTAATATTACAAAATTTGTTCAAAATTTGACTGTGTTCCAATAAAAATTTATTTAATGGACACTGAAATTTGAACCATGTAGTTTCCCACGTCATCAGTATAGTTATTGTTTTGACTTTTTACCAACCATTTAAAAATATGAGGCTGGCTGCGGTGGCTCAACCAGGTGCGGTGGCTGACACCTGTAATCCCAGCACTTTGGGAGGCTGAGGCAGGTGGATCGCTTGAGCTCAGGAGTTTGAGACCAGCCTGGGCAACATAGCAAAAACCTTGTCTCTACTAAAAATACAAAAAAATGAGCCAGACATGGTGGCATGCTTGTGTTCCCAGCTACTTGTGGGGCTGAGGCTCGAAGCAAGAATGGCTTGAACCTGGGAGGTGGAGGTTGCAGTGAGCTGAGATCGCACCACTGCACTCCAGCCTGGGTGACAGAGTGAGACTCCATCTCAAAAAATAAATAAATAAACAAATACATAAGTAAATAAAAATGTGAAACCATTCTTATTTCATGGACCACACAAAAATAGGCAGCCTTATTTGGCCCAACGGCTATAGTTTGCTGACCTCTGTTTTAAATATTTGTAGAGCAATGATCACATGCACACACATACACATACAAAATGTCGTTTATTCAAACCAAAATATGTCTATTCTCTTGGGCTTTCTTGTTAGGAATATTTCAGATTTGACCTGGCATTTCTGAGGGAGAACAATCTTAATGGATACTTTTGTGCCTGTAGTACCCAGGCTCCAACTTGGCCCCCAACAATCCCTGCCTCCTGGTCATCAGTGTAGTCCCTCGGGTAGTCAGTCCTCTCCCACAGTGCAACAGCACACGGTAGAAACTATAACATGTCACTTCCGAGATGAGGTTACAAAGACTGCAGCTTCTGTCTTGAGTGCATGTTCCTCCTCTCTTTCCATCTCTGCCACGTCATGTGGTGAGGCCCACATAGCAAAAAACTGAAGCCTACAGCCAACAGACACAGAGAAACTGAGACCTGCCATCACCTATGTGAGTGAATTTGGCGGCACATGCACCAGCCCCAATGGAGCCATCAGAAACTGCTGCCCCAGCTAACAGCTTAAATGCAACCTCATGAAAGACCTTGATCCAGAACCACCCAACTGAATGCCCCCGGACTCTTGCAAACCCAGAAAGTGTAGGATAATAGATGTTTGTTGTTTTAAGCTGCAAAATTATGGGGTCACTTTTTATGCATCCACAGACAAGTAATAATGTTGCCTACGTTAGAACAAGACCTGTTGGATTCGTAACACTAACTCCTGGCATATTGCTGCTCTCAAGAGCCTTCTACTCCGCCTCATAACCCAGTCCCATGTCTGGACACCCAGTCTGTGAACACTGCTTTACCAGACGGTCCCTGAAACTGACACTTAACTACCATCTTTGGAATGTCTATGTGTAACCCAAGGAACTAGTAAAGGAAGAGGGGGGAATTTCCTGCACATTATTTTCCATAAAACACTGGTCAGATTTTCTGAACCTTATAACATAATAGCATCTTTTCCCCTCAAAAAAAAATGTAAGTTTATTCGCTGTTTCCTAGTCTACTTATGGAACTCCCCATACTTTCTTTATTCCCACTTTTTAGGATGTTCTCAAATAGTATATTGCACTTTAAGTGACAATTTGATCTTTGGGAATTGTGCTTTGTTTTTCAATCAGTCGTCTGATTTTCCTCTAGAGCACACATTCTATTCCACTGTTTATTAGTTCTTACTTGTCAGTATTATAAGTCCTCTGATTATTCAAGAATGACATTTTGTAAAACATAACGTGGGACAAGCAAGAAAATAACGGTCACTCTGCCAAGCCAATCACATGATCCCAACAGCAGCTTGGAGCCAGACCAGTCATCATTAGTAGGAAATCTCATTATATTTTGTAATTTAAGGGCATTGGGATTTCTTAATGTCAAAAAATACCTCCTATACATTTAGACAAGTGATGGGGATTGTGCATGCTACTTCAGTGTGGGGTGTTCCCAGCACCTGAGTATGTGGCCATGCACGTGGGTGTTGGGAGGAGAGGTTGGAGGTGGGAAGTGGAAATATCCAGATACCCTAACTTCCCTTATTTAGCTTGTTTCTTAGTTAATCACAGGACTCTAGATGTAGAACAAACTTCAAGAGATTGTTAAAAAAAAAAAACTCCCATCTGGTCTTTGAACTCCATAATTATGTCTTCTATAAGATTAGACAGGATTACAGTTATTTGACTAATACAATAAGGGTTATCAGTGATGGTGGGCTTGGCAGGCACTGTGCTTGGAGTTCAGGCACTGGAGTTGGACCATCTCAGCTCAAATCCCACCTCTGTCATTTATTATTATTTTTATTTTTTCTTTTGCCTTCCCAGAACCTTCACTGGTCGCTTCCTTGGGAAATACTACCCCCTTTTATAGAGCGATGATTCTCCCTTCCCACTCATTTGGCTCTCAAGTTTCTAGTTCTGGTTATTCCTGAGGTCCAGCTGATCCTTTCTGTCTCTTGTGTATTGCTTCATCAACTCTTCCTTTTGTCACATAATATGCCCAGGTAATAATCCCCTAAGCTGGTTAGAACTGAATTTTTATACTTACAACCACTTGCAAAAGAATCCTGACTAATTCAGCTGTGCTAGGTTTTGTGACATATATAAAAGAAGAGGAAATTATAGTCTGATTAAAACATAAGACATATGAAAAAGAAACAAATAGAAAATCATATAAGATAGTAAATAAATATAATTGTTATAGTAACAATTACTAATTGTTTGGTGGTATATTAATTGGTTTGCAACATAATTGCATTTAGAAAGCAATATTGCATCTGTGGAAAAATATTAAAATTGCCATAACACCTGCATATTTAAAAACATCTGTTAGTTAATACCACCTGCTAAGCATTAAACCCCTCACTGATCAGATACAACCTACTGTGCCACAGCCTGACATTCTGCCACTGTTCTCTGGAAATCTGAGCTATATGCTGTTGTTAAACGTTTGAAAGTTTAAGTGTAATTAAAATAACCTCAGTAATCAAAACGTCAGCATCTTAACAATGTTTGAAATATTTGAACAATTAGAAAAATGGGGGGAGGGGCACATGGTAAGCAACCTGAATCATTGTCACTTGCGTTTAACAGAGTAAAAAAAAAAGAAAAAGAAAGAAAAAGAAAAAAAAGAAAGAAAGAAAGAAGGAAAGAAAACGTTATGGAAAATTGTTTTTCTTGGAAGAGAAAAAGATGTAATGGATTGGATCCATCACAGGAGACTCGGGAAATGGCCCTTGTTTGGTTTGATCTGCACTAAACAAAAAATATTTGCAGCCTTAAGAATAGAAGACAATTTTGGCCGCATGCAGTGGCTCACTCCTGTAATCCCAGCACTTTGGTAGGCCGAGGCGGGCGGATCACGAGGTCAGGAGATCGAGACCATCCTGGCTAAAACAGTGAAACCCCGTCTCTACTAAAAATACAAAAAATTAGCTGGGCGTTGTGGCGGGCGCCTGTAGTCCCAGCTACTTGGGAGGCTGAGGCAGGAGAATGGCGTGAACCCGGGAGGCGGAGCTTGCAGTGAGCCAAGATTGCACCACTGCACTCCAGCCTGGGCGACAGAGTGAGACTCCGTCTCAAAAAAAAAAAAAAAAAAAAAAAAAGAATAGAAGATAACTTTAATGTGTTATTTTGCTCAATAACCATATTCACACAATATCATTAGTTTTTCAGAGAACACACTGGAGAAAATGGCAATGACCAGTGGCATAGGTCCAATGCATGGAAACCTTGTTTGCAAAGACTGAAAAATGACAGCTTTGTGAGTTTGCTCAGTGTGAAGATGGGAAATGATGGTGTTTGGAAAGCAGAGAGCAAAAACAAAATTGAGCTCAATATCACAGACTATGACTGGAAAATACAGAACTCTGAAAAGACAGTTTGTTCATTGATACACTCATATGCCATGGACCTCGCTGTATTATTTGAAAACCAAAGAAGACTTTGCTATTTTTTGATTTAACAATTTGTGTAACATTTTGTGTTCCTAAAAGTAGCTGTATCATTTTTACCTTTGAAAGAAATCTATACAGGGAAAATATGCCCTAAAAATTAAGTATATTATAAATATTATATAAATTTTGTACTGGATTTTTTACTAATTCCATTTTTACCTCAGATTTGGATTATCCATGCTGCCTTATCTTCTCCCAGCCCTCCATGACCCCCAACATTTCGATTAATTGAAAGTTGCCCATACCATGATTGCTGTAGGACTTCAAAGGAAGTGAGTGTTTGTGGGGGCTGGACTAGTCGGTTATAGCTTCAAGGAAAAGGAAGAACTTGACTCGGGCCTTGATGAAGGAGAAGAATGACAATCTTGAATAATTAATGTATCTGTACATTCATTGAACCAATATAAGCACCCCTATACAGTGGGGTCAGTTCTAAGTACTGGGAATATAGTTATAAACAGAATATAATCTCTGCCCTAAAGGTATTTATACACTGGGGTTGCAGAGGACAGTGGGGGTACAATATACAAGTAGGCAAGTTTCTTTTGTAATTACAGTTGGTGACAAGTGCTCTGAAGAAAAATACAGTGAGTGAGGACCTGGAGTATGATACAGGCGGGGAAATATTCACAACAGACTGTAAGGGGAAAGAGTGGGAGTGGGATGGACATCAGGATGCCATGTGCAGTGTTCTGCATGGGGGTGATAGCAGCCTGTACCGCAGTGGTAACAGTAGGAATGGTGAGAGGTGCCTGGAAACAGCTTGCTTGTGAAGAACTGATAGGACTTCCTGATAGATTTGATGCAAAGGGTTAAAAAGACAGGGATCAAGAATAAACCAATTTTTTTTTACCGGAGCAACTGAGTAAACTATGATGCCTCTTACTGAGATAAGAAACCTTTGGTGGGGTGTGGTGGCTCATACCTGTAATCCCAGCACTTTGGGAGGCCAAGGCGAGTGGATCTCTTGAGGTCAGGAGTTCAAGACTATCCTGGCCAATATGGTGAAACCCCATCTCTACTAAAAATACAAAAATTAGCCATCATGGTGGCAGGTGCCCGTAATCCCAGCTACTCAGGAGGCTGAGGCAGGCAGATCACTTGAACCTGAGAGGCAGAGATTGCAGTGAGCCAAGATCACGCCACTGCACTCCAGCCTAGGTGACAGAATGAGTGAGACACTGTCTCCAGAAAAAAAAAAAAAAAAAAAAAAGTAACCCTCAGGGAGAATGAATTTGAGGTTAAAAAAATTGAGAATTCACTTTTAGCCATGTTATGCTTGGGACACCTGTTAACCTATCAGACACGCATGTAGAGATATTCTGTCAGGAGTTGGTTATGTGAATCTGGAACTTAGACAAATGTTTGAACCTGGAGATATAAAATTAGAAGTATCGGTGTGGTAGAAATAATACAGATATTTCCACCTAATGTAAGGAGGTTTGTGTTCTTTTTCAATGGAACTCTAGCCAGCCTCACAAAAGGAGTCAAGAACAGGAAAAGTAGAAAACTATCTTCATGGAATCTAGTTTTAATTGAGTATTTACTTTCATTTGTGGAGAAAAAGTGAGTGGAGCTGTCCTGGTTGTTCAGGAAAGATAACATTTATGTAGGGAAACAGCAAAAGTATTATTTGGAACATAAAGTGCTATGCTAAATTGGCCCAGAACAAAATACGAAACTGACATTATGATCGCCATCACCTGACCAAGGTGCATGTGACTGTATAAGGAGGTAACCAGATCCCCTAAGAGCCTAGCAGACAAATGAGGTCTACTGCTTATTGCCATGGCTACAAAATCCTTTGGGTCTAAGGGAGGACCTAGGTTCTTCAGAATTGGTCCAGGAGGATGGCTTTGTCTTTATGTCTGTTAAATCTAGCCAGAAAGAAAGCCCTGATATAAATGTAAAGTGTACCTGGCTGGGCACTGTGACCCACATCTGCAATCCCAACACTTTGGGAGGCTGAGGCAGGTGGATCACTTGAGGTCAGGAGTTCAAGACCAGCCTGACCAATATAGTGAAACCCTGTCTCTGCTTTAAAACATACAAAAAAAATTAGCTGGGCATGGTGGCACGTATCTATAATCCCAGCTACTCAGAAGGCTGAGGCATAAGAATTGCTTGAACCTGGGAGGCAGAGGTTGCAGTGAGCTGTGATTGCACCACTGCTCTCCAACATGGGTGACAGAGCTAGACTCCATCTCAAAAATAAAAGTAAAATAAAATAAAATAAAATGTAAAATGTACCAGTTAAGATCTCTAATGCTAAGACATTCTGAGGTAGGCAAAGGGAAGGAGTCAAGCACCTCATAAATCATTGACACTAATTTAAGAATAAAAATAAGAAATAACTCCTGCAGATGTTAAACTGTACCTGAATGCAAACATGAATACAAAGGAAAATACATTGTTAAATGTGCTGGTATTATATTGTGTATATGTGTTTGTGTGTGTGTATAACCCAAGCCCAGGACACATTATGACACATGACATAATTGAGTGTATACATATGTATGTGTATAACCCAGTCCCAGCACTCTTAACTACGTTATTTTCATATACATGCACACAACTATGTCCTGTGTCATAATTCTAACTGTTTTTGAACTCTATATTATGAATTCAGCAGAGACTGGAACAGCGAATATGGAACGGTTGTTAGCACAATGTCTTAGTCTGTTCATGCTGTTATAACAAAATATCTTAGCCTGGATAATTTATAAACAACAGAAATTTATTGCTTACGATTCTGGAGGCTTGGAAGTCTAAGGTCAAGGCACCAGCAAATTTGGTATCTGGTGAGGGTTCACTGTTTGCTTTATAGATGGCAAATTCCCGCTGCATCCATACATGGTAGAAGGGGGCAAACGACCTCCCTCAAGCCCCTTTTACAAGGGTACTACTAATCCCATTCACGTGGGCAGAAGAGCCCTTATGACCTAATCACCTCCAAAAGAACCCACTTCTTAATACTATTGCTTTGTGGATTCGGTTTCAACATAGCCATTTTGGGGGAACACAAGCAGCTGGGAGGCTGAGGCAGGAGAATCGTTTGAACCATAGCATGTGATTCCTCTGAATGACAACTAAGTCCATCGTTCACTTGGGCTCAATTTCACAGTTTTCAAAAGAATGATAATAAGCATTGTCCATTAGACAGACAATGTTTAAGATCACCAATCTGAGGTAATAATTAAAGAATCTACAATAAGACTGAAAGCACTAGATACCTTAAAAATATATAGCAAGAAATGAATTAATGCAGGAAAAAAAAGCCAAATACCGCATGTTCTCATTTTTAGTGGGTGCTAACCATTGGGTACCCATGGACATAAAACAGTTTTTCAACCCTTACTTGTCTCCCTCCCTCCCTGGCTAGTAGTCTTCATTCCATTGGTAACAATAGACACTGAGGACTTGGATGATGGGATCATTTCTACTCCAAACCTCAGCATCATGCAATACGCTCCAGTAACAAACCTGAATCTAAACTAAAAGTTGCTACATATTCAGCAAGTATATTTTTAAATAAAAATAGTTACAATGTATTGAGTGTCTCTATGGGCCTGATATTCTTGCATAGTTTACACAATTTCATTTGGTTCTATATGCATCATCTATGTCACCATCATCATTTTACAAATGAAGAAACTGGGGCTCCAAGAGACTAAAGCAGCTTTGCTCAAGGTCACTCAGTTTGTAATCCACAGATCTGGCAACACAAACACAGATCCATCAGACTCCATATTCATATTCTTTGCACATATGTATCAGTGATGATAAATTTTCCAATTACTTTTACATTTATTAATTTCATTTTAAGACATTACATTGTATGGTCCTGAAAATGCTATTCCTAATGGATATTGCCCAGCATTAGTAACACCTCGTATTTGAAAAGTAATTTATTTTTTTCAAACAATTTCCATTTCCTCATTCAATTCTCACAATGTTGGGAAGGAGGTATTTTAATCCTCATTTTACAAAGATGAAACATAAAGATGTTAAGTTATTTGCATAACGAAACTAAAAAGTGGCAGAGTTAGGTTTTTTTTATTTTATTTATTTATGAGATGGCAGTCTTACTATTTTGTCCATACTGGCCTCAAACTCGTCGGCTTAAGTGATCTTCCCACCTTAGCCTCCCAAGTAGTGGGGACTGCAAGAGTGCACTACCTAGCCAGGCTAGAACCAGAGTTTTTGTTTTTGTTTTTGTGTGGGTTTTTTTTTTTTTTTTCAGATGGAGTCTCACTTTGTTGCCCAGACTGGAGTGCAGTGGCATGATCTCGGCTCACTATAAGCTCTGCCTCCCCAGCTCAAGCGATTCTCATGCCTCAGCCTCCCAAGTAGCTGGGACTACAGGCATGCGCCACCACGCCTGGCTAATTTTTTGTATTTTTAGTAGAGACAGGTTTTGCCATTTTGGCGAGGCTGGTCTTGAACTCCTGGCCTCAAATGATCTGCCCTCCTTGGTCTCCCAAAGTGCTGGGATTCCAGGCATGAGCCACCATGCCGGCCTTAGAACCAGGTTTTAAAATGGAGTCATCATCCTCCAGGTCCAATGCTCTTTTTGATACACAGGTGGAAGTTGGCTTGAGATTGTGGGGTTGCTAAACAAAAGGTTGAGGAAAAAAGGCAAAATTTCCAAAAAGGCTTTTAAATGACCCCAAAAAGATACTCACCCTCTTTCCACTACTCATAAACCATAATAACCAACATTAAGTTTACTGTGTAACTCTCTCATTCTTTTAAAAGAGCTAATACAAACATACACATTTATATTCTTTTTAAATTTTCATTTTTCTAAAACACTAGAGATGCTACTTGCAATTAGATTTCTTTTCATCATTCCAGGTAAATCGCAAGGATCTAATTAATTTTAAAGATGTGAAAGAATTTACATATGGACATGATTAAGACCACAACCGTAAGTCAATTCAACAACGATTTCTGGAGCACCTACTATGTGTCAGGCACTATTTTGGCATGCTGGGGAAACAGCAACAAACAAAACAGACAAAATGCTCGCCCTCAGGCTTTGTTTCCCAGCCATCCCACTTTTATCATTAACAGTTTTTGCCTGTGTGTTTGCCAATGCAACCTATATTTCATTATTTTGATAGTTGTGTAACGTTCTATAGTGTGGGTATATAAGAATTTATTCAGCCATTTATTTATTGGTTAACATTTCATTTAGGTTTTATTTTTATTTTTGCAACCAATGTTGCAATAAACACCCATATTACATATATATTATATGTATAGCTTATTATTTCTTAAAAAAGAGCAGTCTAACTTGGGTAAACAAAAACTGCCAAGGAAACGCATCCCTACCCATTTGTTCTCACTAGCCCACTTCATTTCCCAGGTGTGCTCCCTGGCTCTGGTACTATCCATCTGGGTGGTGCTGAAGCAGGTGCTCTCTCTGCTCCGGGAAGCCATTCCCAGTATAGTCCTCACCCCCTGAGTCTCCCCTCGCTTCCAAAAGTCAGCTGTCTACCGACCTCTGCCACGAAAACTGTCTAATCACGCTTAATATGCAAATCTAAACTCTGCGGTGTCGCATATGGCCCCCTGCCAATAATCCTTTGACCCATCCCACCTCTTGGCCATTTTGTCACCAGAATGCCTTAGGCTCATGTCAGTTGCCTTTTACAGGGTTAATAGCTCACCCTTCAAAATCTGTGTAAATATATGTGATTCATTACATATATTTATGTATGTGTCATTTTTGGGACGAGCATACGTATAATGGAAATGTACACCCACAAGAAGATGTAGCTCCTTGAATATGGTTATTTTCTTCCTCTTGCATCCATTCCTCATCCAGCGTGGCTCCATCACGTGGAATTGCGCCTTTCCTCGGCCATTTCCCCTAAGCTTTGGAAAGACTCATATTTCCTGAAATTTAAATCACCGGCTAGCGGTTTCCTGTCCCCCCTTCCCGCCTCCCTTTACCCCCCCTCAGCCTCCTCCCGCCTGGCTGGCGCCGGATCCGCGAGCAGCAGTGTCCACCTCACGTAGCTGGCCGAGGCGGTATCCAGATTCCGGGGGTCTCGCTCCTTGGCATAGTGGTCGCTTAACTCCAGCGCCTTCCCAGTGCCTCCCAAACCTCTCCTCCTCCTGCCCGGGGCTGTTCTAGGAGGAGCCTAAATGTCCGCTTCCCCAGCTGAAGGGGATTGTGGTGCGTAAACAGGATTAACTCCCTCGCCCCCAGCTGCGCGGATCTGCGCGGCGGCCTGCGGGCCAGAGCGAGCCTTCGGGTGCGTGGAGGGCGCAGCACTGGAGCGGGGGATGGGGAAGCGCGCGGCCTTGGAGCCGTCTCTTGGGCCCGCTTCCTCGCCGAGTGGGGAGGGGGGCCACAGCCTAAGGAGCTGCTCCTCAAAAGCCCGGGCGGACGGCGGCGACGGCGCGGGTTCCTAGCGGCAGCCTCAGCTCCACCACCTCCCTCACCCTCCCCGCGCTTCCTCTCCGCCCCTCGCGCTCCAGCCACTCGGCCGCAGCCGGCGCTGTCCTCCGCCCCCCGGAGCCGCCGCGCCAGACCCTCGCCCAGACATGGGGGACCTGCCGGGCCTCGTGCGCCTCTCCATCGCGCTGCGCATCCAGCCTAATGACGGCCCGGTCTTTTACAAGGTGGACGGGCAGCGCTTCGGCCAGAACCGCACCATCAAGCTGCTCACCGGCTCCTCCTACAAGGTTGAGGTGAAGATTAAACCCAGCACGCTGCAGGTCGAGTGAGTGCGGGGCGCCTGGTGGCAGCAGGGTCCCCCATGGGGTACAGGCAGAGGACTGAGGCCCCCAGGACAGCCCGAGCCTCTCAAGGGCCTCTGGCCTCGCGCCGCTCCCAGCGGGCCCGGGGGTTGGAGGAAGAGGTCACTCCCTGTCCGCCTTCGTCCCCTTCCTTCCCTTTGGCTTGTATTCCTCCATTCTCGCTTCCCTCCACCCATCGCAGTGACCTCAGTGGGTTCTTTAAAATCAGTGACAAGAAGCCAGGGTTTTTGCTTGTCTGTTTCTTATAAATTTCTCCTGCCTTCTGTCCAGCCTTGGGCGCGGAACCGCAGGCGGTCGGGGTGGAGCAGATGGGAGAGGTCCGCAGGGTTCAGCCACCGCAATCCCAGCCCTCCTGCGCGCGGTCCAGGCGGCCCACAGGGTCTGCCCGCAAGGCTGAAGGAGGGAGAAAGGAGGAATGAGGTGGAAAGGCAGGGGAGGGGTGATTACTGGGGCTCCCTGAGGGATGCTCCCCACTCCCTTCGCCATTCAGTGGCTGGGACCCTGGGGTGGAGCAGCAGACACTAGTAAGAGAGCGGCCGCCCCTTCTCTGGCCTAGTTTCACGGTTTTCCATGCCGTATGCTGTTCTTTTTCTCCTGAGTTTTCTGTTCAGGCTGGTGATGGTGCCTGGGATTAGCAACATCCCCACAGCAAGAGGATGTTTTTTGGTTTATCCATGGCAGGGACGATTTCTTGCCAGCGACCGCTGGATAATGCACCCAGTAGACCTCTGGCGGGAAAGTGTGTGGGAGCATGCAGTAGCCTACCCGGAAGAACTGCGGGTGGAGCCCCTTTACCTCTCGTTTCTACCTACCAAAGTCTAGTCTGCAGAGAGAAAATAAACCAGCATTTATTGTATCTACTACATATGGTGGGCATTATTGCGGGGGTGGAAGGACTTTGAATTCATCAGATACTACTTATAGCTTACGTTTTAATTCAGTAAACTTGTATTAGCCTTCCAAGGTGCAAGGACCTAGAACCAAATCTGGATGGTTTCTGGTACTCCTGATTCATCTATTTGTCAGCATCCCCCACAGCTCCATGCACCCTTTATTCTCACATTTCCCAGTGTTCTGTGCACCTGGATATAATCCAGGCTTTTCCTTTCCCTTCTTTCCTGCCAACCTTATCCCCGGAGTTATCTGTTAATATATTTCTTTTTTTTTTTTTTAGAGTATTCCTCTAGTGTTCAAACTAATCTAAAAGTTAATTTGTTAGGAATAAAACTATTTTTTCTGGTTACATTTTAATGCTATCAAGGATTTCTCAACTCTAATCCTGTGGTTCTCAAACCTGAGTATATATCAGAATCACCTGGAGTGCTTGTTAAAACACAGATGCTGGAGCTCTCCCTAGAAGTTCTAGTTTAGTCTATGGTAGGGCCTAAGAATTTGTTTTCTAAGGTCTGCAGGTGATGCTGATACTGCTGGTCCAGGGACTTGGCTTTGAGAACCATTATCCTAACACAAAAGAATGATGCCAGTGAGAATTTCTGATGGTGTAGAAGGCTTGAGGTACTCCAAATCATAGGACCCCTGATTGTTGGAACAGGAGAAAAAAAATATTAGAGGACGAGTTCAGTATTCTCAATCCTACCTGCATATTAAGATCACCTAGATAACCTTAAAATAAATGTACCAGTGTCCAAACTACATCCCAGGCCAACTGAATCCTAATGTCTGGGGCTGGGGATAGGTAGGTTTTTAATTCATAAATAGGAGAAGCACTGCCCCCTGAACTTGCAGAACTTTCTCCCGCACCACAATGCCCCCCTTAGTGAAACCCTGTAAGTTTCCTGCCTAGAGTTTTGGTCCAAAACAGGACAGGGTGCCTAGGCTAATTTCAACCGTATGTGGTCAACTCAAGTCTATTGCAGGAATATTTCCATTGGTGGTGTGCTTGTCCCACTGGAACTGAAGTCTAAAGAGCCTGATGGGGACAGAGTTGTTTATACGGGTACATATGACACAGAAGGTGTGACCCCAACGAAGAGTGGAGAACGGCAACCCATCCAGATCACCATGCCGGTAAGGCTTGCTTGCGGGTATAGGAGTATGGTGCCATGGAAAATGGAAACCACAGAAAAGAAAACAATCACTATCTCTCTGTAAGAAAAGGTGTGTTGGGAGCCAATTACTGTGGAAATTGAGTTGTGGATTTCCTTCAAGCATCTGCTGGAGAGAGAACTACTTAATTAATGCTCTTTTGCATGACAGACTGACCCTGTAGATGCTGAAAAGACACCATAAGCAGAAGCAGATGGTTCTGGAAGAGACAGAACCTACATTGCCATTTTCCCAGTTATAGTCTACTTCAGAACTGGTTTAGATAATTGGCTGTGAAAAGTTTCTGATTCCAAGTAGGCCACAATATTCTGGTTAAGAGAAAGCTGATTTGAATGACACTTTGCTACTTAAAGCTAAATGGAGGAGCCAAAAAAAGTGTCATGGGAAAAATACACCTCTTATATAATATCCTATAATACACCTATTTTATATAATATATACCTATTATATATACACCTATATAATATATATATACCTATATTATATATACCTATTATATATAATATCTGGTAATCCTATCAGATATCATATATAATAAAATGATATACCCTGGTAATATGGCCCCAAGTAAGAAAAAACAAATTGGTAGAAAGGATAGAGTCAAGACATAGATTTAACTATATGTGCAAACATAATAAATAGGTGATGAAGCAAGCTTGCTAAAGCACAGGAAAAGGAAGCTTCACCTAAACTGCTGCTTGCAAACTGGGCAGCCTTTTCCCTCTGCAAGAACAACCTTCAACTGTCTGCCCTCTAGCTTTATAGGAAGTATCACAAGGGTTCTCAAATATCGGTATGCGTGAGAATCTCTTTGGGAGTTTGTTTAAAATTCCAGTCCTAGGTTCCCTCTCCAGTGATCTTAGCTCAGTAGAGCTAGGGTGGGGACAGAGAAACTCTTAGCAAGCATACCAGATCCTGAAGAGGATGGTGTGGGAATGCACTTTGAGAAATGCCTATCTAACCTTTGGAAACTTAAAGTGTTCCCAGTCCCCATTATACTTTTTAAAACCACAATAGTCACATAAGGAAATAATCTAGCAGCTCATCCCTTTGCATCCAATGTTTGAACTATTTTTAGAAAGTGCTCTTGTTCTGTCAAAGAACCTTCAACACAGAAAAATACAAAAATGAGGGAAATGTATAATTCCTGCAAGAGAGAAGTGTTGTTAACATGTCAATAAATGTTCTTAGAAAGTTGTTTCTATGTCTTTGAATATATATGTGTGAGCCTGGGCAACATAGTGGGACCCTGTCTCTAAAAAAATTTTTTTTAGTTAACCGGGTGTGGTGATACCACACCTGTAGTGCCAGCAACTTGGGAGGCTGAGGCAGGAGGATCACTTGGATCCAGGAGGTTGAGGCTGCAGTGAGCTATGATCACACCACTGCACTCCAGCCTCGGTGACAAGAGTAAGACCCTGTCATTAAATATATATATTTGAGTATCATTCCATATATATACTTTTTTCTACTTGTATACATCTTTCAATGTCAAATATATGCCCATATATATATATGGAATGTCATTTTAAAGTCTGTATGGGTATTGTATTTTATGAATGTATCAAATTATCCTCAGTCACTTATTGCTGATTATTTCTGGTTTTCGGTATTATAAACAAAACCACATTACAAATCACTGAGTACTGTACAATTGTCTAATGTTTTCTTGATTTCTAGAAGAAATGTGCACGTTAAGGCATTTTATAAGACTGCCTCACTGACCTCCAGAAAAGCTAGGCAATTTACACGCCTATCATCTGTATTTAAGTATCCATTTCTCTCTGCACTAGGTATAGTTTGTCATGTTTACATATTTTTAATCTGACTGAAATACTTCAATTTTTACTTACTGTTAATTTGAAATCCTGACATATTCATTTACTATTTGTATTTGCTTCATGGATTATATGTTCATAGTTTTCACCCATTTTTCTGCTTAAGTGTATCTTATTGATTTTTTGAAAAATCTTTATAAATTTAAAATCGTCATTTTTATCACATCTTGAGTGTTCATTTAATATTTTAATTTTTATTTTGTTTACAATATAAAATATAAATTTTGTAGTCAAACATGTTAGCCTTTTCCTTTATTATTTTGCAGTTAAGATCCAGCTTAGAAAGTCTTCCTTGACTCCCAGATTAATTAATTATATATAGACATATACACAGTGGCATTTGTGTATTTTCATCTGAACTCTTATGGTCTCATTTGTTAAATTTTAGATGAATTACAGATTTAGATATTATTTCAGTTCTTACTTTTATATTGGAAAGTATTTGCCCACAGTGTCCTAATACAATTATTTAAATAATCTATGCTTCTCCAAAGGTCAGTTTCATAGAAATTTCTTATATTGCAAAAATTTTATCTCCTCCTATACTCCCTAATCTATTCCATTGATCTATCTATTGTTACACCAATACTGCATTGTTTTAGATACACTGTTTTTATAATATGTATTCATATACTTTGTAACTGACCACCTTACTGAACTTGCTTACTAAAATTTTTCAGCAAATCATCTTGGGTTTTTCATATAGATGGTCAGAATCTGAATATAACTGTCTTTTTTTTTCCTGGTCATATTGCATTGTCTAATGTTTCTAGAATAATGTTGACTGCTGCTAGCAGTCAACTACAGCTAGTAGCAGTAGTTGGAGATAATTTATCTTATTTGATATATTTGATGAATTACATAAAGTAATACACTTCCAAATACTAAACCTTATTTTTTACAATAAGCCCTACTTAAACATGTATTATTAATATATTGCTAAATTCTATATGCTCTTTTATTTAGAATTTTTAGATTTTTAAAATTTGCTTGCTTTATCAGCAAATATTTGAGGATTTCCTGTATATCAGGGACTCAGGGGGAAGAGTGGTGAACAAAATAGATAACCCGGGTTTCATAGAATTTCTGATCTTGAGGGTGGAAACATACTTTATACATGATTATCAATGATAAGGTAAATAATTGCTAATATGAAAAGTATAGCAAAAAAGTAGTGCTGTTAGAGTATATACCAAGGGTCTTATCCTAGTCCAAGATTTGCGGGATGGTTTTCTTGAGGAAAAAATGAAGGATGAATAAGAGTTGAGGAAAGAAAGAGCATTTGAGGAAAGAGTAGTTGTAAAAGTCAAGAGCTGGAGACAGCGTATGTATTCTAATGGATGAGAAGCCCAACATGGTGGGCATAGAGTGAGGCAAAGACAGTATAAGATAAAGCCAGAGAGGTAAGTAGGGGTTGGATGATATAGAACCTTTTTGCCACTGGATTTATCCTAATGACTATAGGAAATCATTGAAGTTTTTGAAATCAGCTTTGAGATATGATTAACATAAAATGCACCAACTTTACAGTTACATAGGTTTTGACAAGTAGATGCTACTATATAATCACCACCCCAATAAAGATAACAGAACACTTCTATTACCCTGAAAATTATTTGCAGTTAATTCCTCCCAACCTAACCTATCCTGAGCTTGCCATCTCAATATGTTAGTTTTAACTATGTAAGAATTTCATGTAAATGGAACAGTGCTGTTTGACTTCTTTCACTTAGTATAATGTTGAGATTCACCTATGTTGCACATATCAGTAGTTGGTTCATTTTATTTCTGGGTAGCATATTATGTTGTGTGGATATACCATAATTTCTCCCTTTACCAATAAATGGACATCTGGGTTGTTTTCAGCTTTTGCTATTATGAATAAAGCTGCTGTGAACATTTGAGTATAAGTCTCAGTGTGAACATATTTTCATTTCTCTTGAGTAAATACCTAAGAGGACAATTGCTAAATCACATGGTAAGTATGTGTTTATCTGTGTAAGAAATATCCACACTGTTGTACCATTTTGTATATCCACCAGCAGTGTATGAGAATTCTAGTTGCTTTACATACTCAATGTATGTCTTTTTAATTTGGAAATTCCAAAGACATAGAAGACCCAAAACAATCTTGTTTGATCTATATTGTAGTCCTTAAAACAGGTAGCATAAATCTTCTAGCTTTGTTTATTCTAAGTTCTTTTGCTTAATCTAGGTCCTTTGTGTTTTATATAGATTTTAGAATGAGCTTGTCAATTCCTCCAAAAATTGGGATATAGAGTTTCCATTAAACCTATAGGTCAACTTAAAGATATTTGACATCTTAATATAGAGTTTTCTATACCATGAACATGAAATATCTCTTAGGTCATCTTTAATTTTCTCCACAATATATTACAGTATTTCCTCTACAGACTTTATACATATTTTGTTAAATTTATTATTTCATATTTTTGAATAATGTAAATGGAATCTTTGCTGGTATATGGAAATAAAATCGATTTTTTTTGTATATTGATATTGAATCCTGAGACTTAGCTAATCTCACTAATCCTAATAGCTGTTTTTGGAGGATCCCTAGGATTTTCTAAATATGCTATCATGTCATCTGTAAATAGTTTCTCTTTTCTTTCCAATCTGTATTCATTTTATTTATGGCCTAATTGCAATGGCTAGGACCTTCGCAGTATGCTGCTAAATAGAAATGGTGAGAGTGGACATTCTTGTCCCTCAGTCTGAGAGAGAAAGCATTCTGTTTTTCAATACAAAGTATAGTAGCTGTAAGGTTCTTTATTGTAAATCTTTTTATCAGGTTAAAGGAGTTCTCTTCTATTCCTGGTTTACTGAATGTTTTTTTAATCATGAACGTATTATAACATGTTTTCAAATAGTTTTTCTGTATCTTTTGAAATGATCATAAGGTGTTTTATTCTGTTTATGGTAGATTACCTTGCTTTTTCAAAGTTAAAATAACCTTGAATTCCCAGGTTAAATACCACTGGTCATGGTTTATTCTCGGTATGTAAAACTGGATTTGATTCATTAATATTTTGTTAAGGATTTTTGACATCTATGTTCCGGGGGGGATATTTGTCTATGGTTTGCTTTTCTTATAATGCCTTTGTCTAGTTTTGGGTATCAGAGTAATGCTGGCTACATAAAATGATTCGGAAAGTGTTCATTCTTCTATTTTCTGGAAGAGTTTATATAGAAATGATATTTTTCTTAATGTCAGAATTCACCAATGAAGGCATAGATTATACTTTATTTGAAGATTTTTTATTACAAATTCAATTTCGTTAATAGATATCGGGCTATTCAGGTTTTATTTCCTGAGTTTTTGTAATTTATCTTAGAAGTCATTTATTTCAATTAAATTTTCAACTTTATTCCCATAAAGTTGTTTATAATCTCCGCCATTCTTCAGTGTCTTAGGATCTCTAATAATGTCTACTCTTTTACTCTTTGATCCTTTTCTTTTTTTTTTTTTTTTTTTTTTTCCCCGGAGATGGAGTCTCACTCTGTCTCTCAGGCTGGAGTGCAGTGGTGCAATCTCGGTTTACTGAAACTTCTGCCTCCCAGATTCAGGCAATTCTCCTGCCTCGGCCTCCCAAGTAGCTGGGATTACAGGTGCGCACCACCATACCCAGCTAATTTTTTGTATTTTTAGTAGAGATGGGCTTTTGCCATGTTGGCCAGGCTGGTCTCGAACTCCTGGCCTCACAAGATCCGCCCACCTTGTCCTCTCAAAGGGCTCAGATTACAGGTATGAGCTGCCGCGCCCGACCTACTCTTTCACTCTTGTTATTCAAAATTTTTATTTTTATACCCTCTGATTAGTCTAGCTAGAGATTTCAGTTTTATTGGCCTTTTCAAAATCCTAGCTTTTTTTTTCACATGCTTCACTCTGTTTTTCTACTTCATTGTTTTCTAATCCTATATTTATTCCCTTCCCTTGTTTGCTTTGAAATATTTTAACTTAAGTATAATACATATACAGTAAAATGATCCCTTCATAGAGTTCTTTCTGCTTGTCAGTAGTTTGGTTATGATGCATCTTAACTGGTTTTTCCCCCCTTGGGGATCACTGAATTTCTTGAATCTAGAGGTTAATGTTTTCACCAAAATTGGAGTATTATTAACCATTGTTTTGTTAAATACTTTTTTAATACTTCATTCTCTCCTTTCTTTGTAGGACCCCAACTAAACATATGTTGAAAAGCTTGGTATTATCCCATAAGTCTTTGAGGACATGTTCAATTTTCTTTCTTTTTTTAATGGATCTTCAGATTAGATCATTTCTACTGATGTATCCTTAAGTTCACTGATTCTTCTATTTCTAGTCTTGTGCTTATCTTCTAAATTCTATAACATTTTTTAGCTCTAGAATTTTCATTTGTCTTTTTTATAGTTTCAGTTTCTCAAGATTCCTTATGTTGGCTAATTGAGACCATGTTTTCCTTAATTTATCTGAGCACATTTGTAATTGCTGGTTTGAAGTAGTTAATAAATCCAACACCTGGCTCTAGTTAGAGTAAATTATTACAGCCTGACTTTTTTTTTTTTTAATATGGGTCACACTTTCATGTTTCATTACATGTCTCGTAATTTTTGGCCACAAACTTAACATTGTGGATAGTTTATTACCAACTCTAGTTTCTGCTTTATTCTTCTGGGTATTACTGGTTTTTTGTATTCTAGCTGGCAGTAAACATTCCTGTACTCAAACTTCAAATTCTATCTTCCAGCAGTATGCAGCAGCTGATCTCTTTGCTCAGTTTTTATAACTTCCAGTTGCTGCTTTTCTAGCCTGGTCTCCTTTTGTGCCCATGGAGCTTAGCAGTCAGCCAAGGAACTGGAGAGCTTATACTGAGATTTTTGGATATACCCACCCTGAGGTTCCCCTATTTCTCCAGCTGCTCTATCAATCCAAAACTGTTTTGCTTTATTTGAGATGGAGTTTCACTTTTGTTGCCCAGGCTGGAATGCAGTGGTGCGATCTCAGCTCACTGCAGCCTCCACCTCCCAGGTTCAAGCGATTCTCCTGCCTCAGCCGCCAGAGTAGCTGGGGCTACAGGCGCGTGCCACCACACCTGGCTAATTTTTGTATTTTTATTAGAGACAGGGTTTCACCATGTTGGCCACGCTGGTCTCGAACTCCTGACCTCAAGTGATCCACCTGCCTCGGCCTCCCAAAGTGCTGGGATTACAGGAGTGAGCCACCGTGCCTGGCCAATCCAAAACTCTTTACTCTGATACCTACTTCTGAGGTTAGGGAATGTACTCAAAATACATGCATGCATACATACATACATACATACATACATACGTAAATATAAAGAAGCTATTAATCTTAGCACAACTTTATCTTTCAAGGATTGACTTTTTGCTGGTTTGTCTGCTTTTTCAATGGCCCCTGTAGGGTGTCCATGTCCCACTATCCTTCATATGCAGTTAGCTAGGGATTACAGCAGAGTTTATAGTCAGATTTGGGGTTCTATTCCTTCTGCAGATCTCTTTCTTCCAGGATTTTTCTAGGTTATTTCCAGCTTCTCTGCCAGTCCTGATGCTGTCTTCTGCCACTTCCAACAGATAGGGCTGTCATTTTCTCCTGCCAGTCTTTCAAGGGGTTGAGAAGTACCCCTTTCTGGTAATGTGATAAGATAGGCACCTTAAAAGCACTCTAGTGCCAGTGCTTAGATTAGAAGTGGAGACAGAAAAGCAAAGAACAATTAGAAGGCCTTTGCAGTCTTAAATTTTGGTATTAGGGTTAATAGCTTTGTGAAGTGAATTAGGAACTTTTTTATAGTTTATGCTCTGAAACAATTTACATACCATAGAACTTAACTGTTACTTGAAAGTCTGACAGAAATTTCCCATAAAAGTCAGGACCAAAAATAAAGATATTTAGAAGGAATGTCTTGAATTCTCAATTTAGCACATGACTTTTGCCTTTTGGGGGTTTTATTGAGTGACTATTATGTTTTTCTGAGGAAAACATCCATTTCTACAGAATTTTAAAATGTATTTTTAGACCTCTAGAAATATTAAATGCTACTGATAGACCAGTTAAGCCATCAAAAACAACACCCTTAAACAAGTTTAGAAGCACTTTAACTGAGTTGCACATTGACACTGGGCTTTCAAAGGTTATGAAAGTTTGCTCTAAGAAATAGCTGTGTGTAAAAACAGCTCACAGCTAAATGCCCTAAATGTTTCATGTGGAGTGTTTTCATTTTTATTTTTGTTTTGTTTTGTTACAAATTAGAGCTAGAAAGGCTTTTTAACTTTTTTTTCTTCTGGGAAACTGAGAATATTTCTCTCCCTTCTAATGATGAGATGATTTAACTCCTTTTTCGGACTGTTTTCTGAATTCTGGATCCACCTGAGATATTTCAGTGCTCACTGAAAGGGGTGGGGAGAGGCAGGCATCTCTCTTGTTCATCTAGTCATGTGCTGTCTTATTGGGTAGAAAAAAAAAGTTCTGCAAAAACATTAAAATCACTGATAATTGACAATCTGTGTTTTTTTAATTTTTGCACCAGCAACCAGACAGCCCAGCATCAAATCTAAGCTCAAACCAAGCATTATGTTTAATATGCTTATATTTCAGACCATCATTATGTGTGTTTTTTCATTTTATATAAAATGCTAAATACCTTCTTAAATTCTTTGTAAAATGATATAGGTATAAATATATAAATTAAGGTTAAATAAGGTGGGAAAGTTAAATTATAAAATCTAAAATTACGGAAAAATCAAAATAGACTAGAAAAGTTAACTTGATTTTTAAATAGAAATCATAAAGAAAAATAAGAAATTATGTCTCTACACAGTATAAAGTGAGAATAAAACAATAGAAATATGACACTTCTTCAAGAGTCTGTGATATTTTAAAAATACCAATCTTCAACAGAAATATTGACAAAACATTTTCCAGAAGAAGAAACTAAGTTAAAATGTAGAAATGTGCATTCTTGTAAATGGTAGTGAAAAGTAAACTAGGAAATCTATTTTTTAAAAGTAATTCCCAATGACATCGGGGGTTTTTTTTGTTTTGTTTTGTTTTGTTTTGTTTTTTTAATAAGAGACAGAATCTCACTCTGTAACCCAGGCTAGAGTGCAGTGGCATGATCATAGCTCATTGTAACCTCAAACTCCTGGGCTCAAGAGACCTTCCTGCCTCAGACTCCTGAATAGCTGGGACTACAGCCACATGCCACCACGCCAAGCCAATTTTTAAATTTTTTGTGGAGATGGAGTCTCACTATGTTGCCCAGGCTCATCTCAAACTCCTGCGCTCAAGCAATCCTCTCACCTCAGCCTCCCAAAGTACTGGGATTACAGGGGTGAGCCACCACACCTGGCCCAATGATATCATTTTTCTAAACAATGCCTTCTTTGCTGTTAACATTGTAAGATTGTTTGTATACTTTAAAAGGAGCAAAATGGTCATATGTGGGAACAGCCATAGAGATTCATTTCTTTTGACCAAATAATTCCACTCCTATTAAAGTAGACATATATACAAAATTATTTATTAAAGCACTTTTTGTTAGAGGGCAACTGACATATCTAACATCTGGGGAGTAGTCTAATTGTCATGATACATCACGATAAGAGTCCTATGTCATCATTAAAATTGGAACAATGAGGCCAGGCACAGTGGCTCACACCTATAAATCCACCACTTTGGGAGGACAAGGCAAGAGGATCGCATGTGGGCAGGAGTTCAAGACTAGCCTGAGCAATATAGCAAAATCCTATTTCTACAAAATAAAAAATAAAAAATGAGCCAGGCGTGGTGACATATGCCTGTAGTCTCAGCTACTCCAGAGACTGAGGTGGGAGGGTTACTCCAGCCCAGGCATTCAAGGCTGCAGTGAGCTATGATCAAACCACTATACTCCAGCCTGGGCCACAGAGTGATCCTGCCTCAACAAACAAGGACAAAATTGTAACGATATGTAGTTAGACAATATATACAATCCTATACATTTTGACAAAATTGTAGCAAAGAATATGTAGTTAGACAATACATACAATTGTATAACATTTTGACAAAATTGTAACAATAGTTTGACAATATATACAATTGTATAACATTTTGACAAAATTGTAACAATGATATGTAGTTAGACAATATATACAATTGTATAACATTTAATGTTAAATAATTGCAACTGTAAAATACGTATATGTGAAGGGGATCTGAAAATCAACTGAATCAAAATGTAAGGATTACTGCCACTTTAAAAATTTGCTCAAATTTATGAATCTTATTTCACTTTTTAAAATCATGCAAATCATCTAAGATGCTGGGACACATTCCTAGCCTTCCCCTCTGTGCCCAACCAAAAAGGAATTCTACAGGTACTTGAATGGCCTTCTGTCCTGTTTGGTGTGATTGTAAATGACAGTATTCGAGAATCTGACTTTCTTCAAAAAATACATAATGCAATACCCTTAAGGGTAAGTTTGTAATTTTTTTTTTTTTTTTTAATGGAGTCTTGCTCTGTCACCCATGCTGTGGTACAATGGTGCAATCTCGGCTCACTGCAACCTCCACTTCCCAGGTTCAAGCGATTCTCCTGCCTCAGCCTCCCGAGTAGCTGGGATTACAGGCACCCGCCACCACGCCCAGCTAAGTTTTGTATTTTCAGTAGAGACAGGGTTTCACCACATTGGACAGGCTGGTCTCAAACTCCTGACCTCAGGTGATCCTCCCACCTTGGCCTCCCAAAACGCTGGGATTACTGGCGTGAGCCACTGTGCCTGGTCGCCATTTGTAATCTTTATACCATGATAGAGCTAAAAGTGGCCTTAGAGATTAGATAGTGGAATACACTTTTCATTGAAAACTCAGGCCTGACGAGTTCAGATATGTCTAGGATCACACAGTTAATTAGAGGTAAACAGTATCCTGGTACTCTTTTTTTTCCTTTTTTTTTTTTTTTTGAGATAGGATCTCACTATTACCAGGCTGTTATCTCACTGTTACCCAGGCTGGAGTACAGCAGCACAATCATAGCTCACTGCAGCCTTGACCTCCCAGACTCAAGCGGTTCTCCCACCTCAGCCTGCTGAGTAGCTAGGACTACCACTACGTACCACCCACACCCAGCTAATTTTTTTTTTTTTTTTTTTTTTTTTTTGTAGAGGTGGGGTCTCTGCTGCCCAGGCTGCAATGAAGTGGCATGATTCTAGCTCACTGCAGCCTTGACCTCTGGCAACTGATCCTCCTACCTCAGCCTCTCTAGTAGCTGGGACCAGAGGCACGCACCACCATACCCAGCAAAACCTTTTTATATTTAGTAGAGACAAGGTCTTGCTATGTTGCTCAGTCTGGTCTTGAACTCCTGGCCTCAAGTGGTTCTCCTGTCTCGGCCTCCCAAAGTGCTGGGATGACAGGCATGAGCTACCGTGCCCAGCCTTAATATCTTCTTTACTGCCAGGTGTGTGTGTGTGTGTTTTTTTTTTTTTTTTGGAAGAGTCTTTCTCTGACGCCCAGGCTGCAGTGCAGTGGTGCCATCTCGGCTTACTGCAAGCTCCGCCTCCCGGGTTCATGCCATTCTCCTGCCTCAGCCTCCCGAGTAGATGGGACTACAGGTGCTCGCCACCATGCCCAGCTAATTCTTTTGTATTTTTAGTAGAGACGGGGTTTCACCGTGTTAGCCAGGATGGTCTCAATCTCCTGACCTCGTGAACTGCCCGCCTTGGCCTCCCAAAGTGCTGGGATTACAGGCGTGAGCCACCGCCCCCGGCCTACTTCCAGTTTTAATTCTGACATTTCTGACTTGACTTAGGCACCCACACTGATGACATTTCCCTTGACGAAATCTGAATAATCCAGGGACTTGCTAATTAATTGATTGGATTTACTTGGACATGTCAAGTTTTCACAATTGTCCATGAGAGTGTGGTGTCTATATATATTTAAATATATATTATATATGTTTTATATGTACACACACACACACACACACACACACACACACACACACATATATATATATATATTTTTTTTTTTTTTTTGAGACGGAGTTTCACTCTTGTTGCCCAGGCTGGAGTACGATGGCGCAATCTCGGCTCACCGCAACCTCTGCCTCCCGGGTTCAAGCAATTCTCCTGCCTCAGCCTCCCAAGTAGCTGGGATTGCAGGCATGTGCCACCATGCCCGGCTAATTTTGTATTTTTAATAGAAACAGGGTTTCTCCGTGTTTGTCAGGCTGGTCTCAAACTCCGAACCTCAGGTGATCCACACCCCTCGGCTTCGCAAAGTGGTGGGATTATAGGCGTGAGCTGCTGCACCCGGCCCAGTGTCTATATTTTTTAATACATAAGTTTGAAATGTTGGTGACTTTAAAATGTCATTGGATTGTGTTGGCTATCTGAAAGCTTCAAGACTAGAATAAAAATTTGAACTTAATATAGGAGCTGGTGACTTGATCAGAAAACCTATATTTTCAATCATTTTCTTTATTATCAGCCTATTAGAAATAAGATACAAACACGCCTGTAGTCCCAGCTACTTGGGAGGTTGAGGCAGGAGAATGGCATGAACCTTGGAGGCGGAGCTTGCAGTAAGCTGAGATCGCACCACTGCTCCGGCCTGGGTGACAGAGCGAGACTCTGTCTCAAAAAAAAAAAAAAGACAACCAGATGACCAGTGCTCAAACCAAAACCTATGTGATCATGGTGGGGAACAATCAACTGTCAATCAGCTGCTGCTTCTAGATGTGAAAATTCACATATAGAAACCTAGCCTTTACTGCTGGATTCACGAGTTACAGTTAGGGACCGCAGACCTTTTTCTTAAAACATACCTTCAAATCATCTAGTAACTAAGCTAAGGCTCTCCAACTTTATTTTTTTTTTGAGATGGAGTCTCACTCTGTCACCCAGACCAGAGTGCAGTGGCGTGATCTTGGCTCACTGCAAACTCCACCTCCTAGGTTCAAGCAATTCTCCCTGCCTCAGCCTCCTGAGTAGCTGGGATTATAGGCACCCACCAACACACCCATCTAATTTTTGTATTTTTTTTTTTTTTCAAGTAGAGACAGGGTTTTCACCATGTTGGCCAGGCTGGTCTTGAACTCCTGAACTCAGGTTATCTGCCTGCTGCAGCATCCCAAAGTGCTGGGATTACAGGCATGCACCCCCTGCACCTGGCTGGCTTTTTTGTTTGTTTTTTTTGTTTGTTTTTAGACAGTCTTGCTCTGTCGCCCAGTCTGGAGTGCAGTGGTGTGATCTTGGCTCACTGCAGCCTCTGCCTCCCAGGTTCAAGCAATTATCATGCCTCAGCCTCCAAGTAGCTGGAATTACAGGCATGCACCACCATACCCAGCTAATTTTTTGTATTTTTAGTAGAGACAGGGTTTCACCATGTTTGCCAAGCTGGTCTCAAACTCCTGACCTCAGGTGGTCTGCCTGCCTTGGCTTCCCAAAGTCCTGGGATTACAGGGGTGAGCAACCGCGCCTGGACTCTCCAACCTTTTAATGGATGCCTGGACAGGCAAATAAGACTTATGGTAGGTAATAACATCTTTGTTTTAATGACTAAGTCTGAATCATTTTCACATTAAAACAGAAGAAGACCCTGTGCTTCAGCTATTCAAAAAGATATAGAAATTCTTACTTTACAGATCCAAATAGGAAGAAGTTTTGAATCGAGTGCTTTTGAAACTGTTTGAATTAATCTTCTTTCCTAGTGTTCTGTTTACATCTAAAGCAAAAGAAGTGTGAATCCAACCTGCTAAGACCAGAGGCCCAGAGGGAGCAGTAGTAGCATGAGGAGGTGAACAGGAAATTACAGCTCAGGTCTCCCCAAGCCAGGTCAGCTCCAGAGAGGAGTTGGGGAGGTCTCCTCTCTGCCCTCTGAGTACTTGGAAGAGAGGAAACAGTCTCATTTATGATGACCTTCTCCACACTTACCCAGTGCTCAGGATATTTTAAGTGAAAGGTAGCTTATTAGCCCTCTAAGACCTCATTAAAATTCTGGCAATTTTAGTATTTGCAGTTCTGCTTTAAGATAATATTTCCTTTCAACTCTGATGACATATCCTAGCTATTATTGTCTTTTGAGTCTTGCTTAAGAGTCCAAAGTTGATACCAAGTAGTTTAAAATGTTTTTCGGCCGGGCGCGGTGACTCACGCCTGTAATCCCAGCACTTTGGGGGCCAAGGCGGGTGGATCACGAAGTCAGGAGATCGAGACCATCCTGGCTAACACAGTGAAACCCCGTCTCTACTAAAAATACAAAAAATTAGCCGGGCGAGGTAGCGGGCGCCTGTAGTCCCAGCTACTCGGGAGGCTGAGGCAGGAGAATGGCGTGAACCCCGGGGGGCGGAGCCTGCAGTGAGCCGAGATCGCACCACTGCACTCCAGCCTGGGCGACAGGGAGACTCCGTCTCAAAAAAAAAAAAAAAAAAAAAGTTTTTCAAATCATTGAATAAATGATTCTGGGATAACTGGCTATTTGGGGGAAACGTTACTGTTCTTTTCTGATATCACACTTCAAAGTGAACTGGTGAAAAAATCATTGATAACATGTATAGTCTCCTAAGCTGTGTTGCCTTGATTTGCCACTGCCCATAGTGACACTGCAGCTACTGTCAATGACATTTCACAGCCCTTTACTGCCTGCTGAAGCTGTGAGTGGCCACTGAAGTCAGGAAATAGTCAAATGCCATCTGACTTAGATTAATGGCAATGATCTTCAGATAATTCTAGAGGCCCTGGTACTGGGAGCTAATAAAGTGACACCCAACTTTATGCCTCTCAAACCCCATTTCACAGAGCAGTGTGACTAATTCCCAATCAGTCCCTCCAAGGAGAAAGGCCAGATAGAGAGTCTGTCTGCACGAATCATCATCATAATCCCTTTTGTTGGCCCTCTTCACTGGGAGACTGGTGAGAGTTTGGAGGAAGAAGGCAGGGAGGTATATGAGGTGGTAATGAGGCTGAGTATGTGTGAGTGGAGGGAAATAGCCTTCCAAATATAGAAGTTGGTCCTCGTGACAGCTGTCTGGTCTAGTATTTGGTGAAAGCTGTGACTTTATACAACAAATTATTAGAAATGTGTAAGAGATAATCATAAGATGTAGGAAATTAAGCAAAAGATATAAATAGGCAATTTATAAAAGAAATACAAGTGGCCAATAAATATATGAAAAATGGTTTTATCTCACTATTGGTAAGTAATACAATGTCAACTTTCATGTAAAATTGGTGAAATAATAAAGATAATTGTTCAGGGCTGGCATATTTCTTTATGAAATATGAATTTTATAAGTTAATATTGTATCCTGAAGCCTTGCTAAATTCACTTATTCTACTGGCTATTTGTTAAGGTTGCTTAGTATTTTTTTTTTTTTTTTTTTTTTTGAGACGGAGACTCGCTCTGTCGCCCAGGCTCTGGAGTGCAGTGGCGCAAACTCGGCTCACTGCAAGCTCCGCCTCCCGGGTTCACGCCATTCTCCTGCCTCAGCCTCCCAAGTAGCTGGGACTACAGGTGCCTGCCACCACGCTGGGCCAATTTTTTTGTATTTTTAGTAGAGACGGGGTTTCACTGTGTTAGCCAGGATGGTCTCGATCTCCTGACCTCTTGATCCACCCGCCTCGGCCTCCCAAAGTGCTGGGATTACAGGCATGAGCCACCTCACCAGGCAATTGCTTAGTATTTTTAGCGGACACAGTTGTTCACTGGATAGACCGTTTTACTCTCCCCACCGCCCTTTTCTTCCTCTTGCCTTAAGGTACTGGCTAAGACCTGGAATGCAATGCTGAATAGGGGCAGTAAGAACACATATTCTTGCCTTGTTTCCCATCTGACAGGGAAACCACTCGGTCTTTTGCCATTAAGGATAAAGTTAGCTATAGGTTTTTTGTCAATGCCCCTTAATGAAGTTGAAAAACTTTCCTTTGCTGAGAATAGAATCAATGATGCACTGTCAGGTGCTCTTTCTCCAACTATGGATATAATTATATGGTTTTTCTCCTTTATTCTGTTAATATGGTAGATTTTCAAATGTTGAACCACTTATGAATTCAGAAGATAAATCCCTGTTGGTTTTGATATATTATTCTCAGTATATATTGCTAGATTTGATTTACCAATACTTCAAGCAAATAAAAATTATAAACAAATTTTACGTATATGCCCATGAGGAATCTGTCTGTAATTTCTCTTGTAATATTTTTGTCAGGAATTAGGGCAATATTGGCTACATAAAATTATTTGAGAACTGTTCTGTCTGCTGTCTGAAAGAATTTATGTGGAATTGGTGGCTTTTTCCCCTTATATGTCTGAATTTATCAATGCAGCCATTTGGGCCTGAGAGATTTTTAACTACAAATTCAATTTCCTCATTAGGTAGATGTCAACTCATAGTTTGTGTCTTTCAAGGAAGAACTTGTCCATTTTGTTGAAATTATTAGTATAAGGTTTTCCTAATTTAAGGTCTGTAGGATCCATGGTGATGTCCTCTTTTTCATTCCTAATATTTGTATTTTTTCTTGCTCAGTTTTGTTAGGGGTTTATCAATTTTAAAGATATTTTCAAAAAAACTAGATTTTAGTTTCATTGTTTTCTCTATAGTCTTTCTTTTCTAATTCATTGATTTCTGCTGTTTCTTTTTTCTTTTTTCTTTTTTTATTTTTTTGAGGCAGAGTCTTGCTCTGATGCCCAGGCTGGAGTGCAATGGTGTGATCTCAGCTCACTGCAACCTCCGTTTTCCAGGTTCAAGCAATTCTCCTGCCTCAGCCTCCAGAGTAGCTGGGATTACAGGCACCCACCACCACGCCCGGCTAATTTTTGTATTTTTACTAGAGATGGGGTTTCACAATCTCAGCCAGGCTGGTCTTGAACTCCTGACCTTGTGATCCACCTGCCTTGGCCTCCCAAAATGCTGGGATTGCCAGCATGAGCCACTGCACCCGGCCTCTTGATTTCCTTTCTTTGTCTTATCACTATATAGTCACCAGACTGGCTAAAATTGAAAGGACTGGCAATGCCAAGTGTTGGAGAGGATATAGAGCAATTGAAATTCTCATTGCTGGTGAGAATATAACATGGGCACAATCACTTAGGAAAAGTTTAACAGTTGCTTATAAAGACAAATGTACTTTATAAGACCTAGAACTTTTAGTCCTATTTAGTGAAGAGAAATGGGAAACATTTACTAATAAAACCTCAAACAATTCAGGAATAGAAAGGCTTGAAATTCAGTGGAAATTGATAGGTCACACCACACTAAAAGTCACAGATGCATATTTATACTGAATTTGTTTACTAATAAAGTAACATCATGTTTCTATGAATAAGATTGTTCTGTCCTCCCAAGCCAATGGATTTCTACGTGATCTTGATTAATTTCATGTCTGCAGTAGAAGTAGGTGGCATGGTGAATAGAAAGAAGTACACTCGAGATTCTATGCCAGTGGGTTGTAAGACCACCAAAATTGTTTAAAACAAGCTCTTCAGATTCCTCATTTGTTATTGAGGACAAGAGATGAGTCTCCTCTCCTTGGAATCAGATGTGTTCTCTTCCACATTAGTTGTGAAGTAAAAAGTGGACCAGGCTTGCAACTCGTAAGAACATTACAGCAAATAAAATGTCCAGGTAGAGTGTTGTCTCCGCTGGGGCTGCTAAAACAAAATGCCATAGATTGGATGGATGAAACAACAAACATCTATTTCTCAGAGTTCTGGAAGCTGGGAAGACCAAACATCAAGGCAGTAGTCTGGTGAGGACCCTCTTTTTGGTCCATAGACACTTTCTTGATGTATCCTCATACGGCAGAAGAAGAGATCATCTTTCTCATGTACCTTATGAGGGCACTGAACCCATTCATGTGGGCTCCACCCTCATGACCCTCATACTTCCCAAAGGCCCTACCTCCAAATACCATTACAGTTAGGATTTAGGCTTCACCACATGAATTGGGGTTGGAGGAGGGCATAAACATTCAGTCCATAGCAATGCCCTAAAGCATTCTACCTGTGACAACTCATGTAATTTCTCATTCAGGGAGAAAAAAAAACTGTCCACTATAACCATTTATATCAGCAGTTTTGTACAGTGATAAATAGCTCCTAAGCTAGGAATTAGGAGACCTAGGTTCTTGTCCTGCTCCTATCATTGGCTGGCTTTGGAGTCTAGACTGAGGGCAAATCATCTAACCTCTCTGAATCTTAGTTTTTTTGTCCATAAACTGGAGATAATAAAACCAGGCACAAGACTAAAGTGGAATGATGTATGTGAAAGTATCACATAAAATAGGGTGCTATACAAATATACAGAATTATACCTGTGCATAAATTGTACCACCCAGGAGCCTGCCTGGGTACATTCTCCTTAGAAGGGACAGATGGGCGGGGAGGGAGTGAAGAGCCTGTATAATTGTTCCTGTTCTTTAAGAAGAATGTCAGCTTTCAAGACCCCATCTGTTTCTAGCCAGACAAGAAGAAATTATGAGCTAGGTAGTAAGAGGCCCAGGAAATAGAGCTCCAAAAGAAAGAATAGGAAGACGGCTAATGAGAAGTATAAACAGCTAAGGCATCGGGGAGAGGAAGACATATGCATAGTTACCAGCAGTTACATTTACTTCAACGTGACCTTAGGTCCCACATTAATAAACCAAATTTGAAATATTAATATGAACACTTAAATATATCTTTAGCTATGACTGTTGCTATTGGCAGATTTTAACTTTGGTCTCCTTTGTTACTGAGAATTCTTAGATTGAGACTTTTGAAAATTTTTTTAGACATAAGCCTTACGTTTTTCTTGTCTGGTTGTAATCAGCTTGGTGGGCTTTTTATTTTTATAACCAACTTTTATTTCAAAAAATAAAAATCTCAGTGTTGTTTCTCTGTTACCTAGCATGATTTTAAGCTGCTTCCTTCAAAATATTAGCTGGCATTTGAAAAGTATTATAAAATATTTTTAGTATAAAGTTTATATTTCAGTGTATATTTTATTACAAAATATTTTTATAATTTGGAATTAAAATGTTAATTGAATTGTAAAATTCAGTTGCACTTAAAGTGTGCAATGCCTTGTGCTGGTCAAAAATAATACTAAATCCTCTTTAAAAGTCTTGGTAAATTATAAAATGAGATTTTGATTTATACATACCACCACTAACCTATTGTGAACAAAGTCATAATTTCATTAGAATGTACATATTTTTAATAGAATTTATAAAATCCCTTAGGCTTGCAGGCTGTATATATTATTGTAAGATGATAAATCCATTTCACCATTTAAAAAATTTCTGATTTTAAAAGTAACATTTATTGTAGAAAAAATCTGAGTAAGGATAGAAAAATTCAATTTCTTTACTTAGAAGGTAATATTTTTCATTTTTTCTATACATCTTATTTTACATATTTGAGCTCATAATGTATATAAACCATTCCAATTCATCTTCCTTTAAACATTGTTCTAAGCATTTCCTTGAATCATCGACAACCCTAAATTCCTAATTGCTCTGTAAGTTTATCATATGGATATGCCACCATTTTCATATTTTCCTAATGTTGGATGCTTAGATTGTTTCTGGCACTCAGAAATTGTCACTAAGTTGTTAGAGGAATAGTATCTCTTTAAAAGTTTATATTTCTTTAATTACTAATTACATTTGAATATTTTTGCAGGTGTTAGTCATTTTTTCCTTTTTTTTTTTTTTTTTTTTTTTTTTTTTTTTGAGACAGTGTCTTGCCCTGTTGCCCAGGCTAAAATGCAGTGGCAAGATCTCAGCTCACTGCAACCTCTGCCTCCTGAGCTCAAGCGATCCTTTCACCTCAGCCTCCTGAGTATCTGGGACTACAGACACACACTCCCATGCCCAGCTAATGTTTTTAATTTTTTGTAGTGACAGGGTTTCACCATGTTGTCTAAGCTGGTCTTAAACTTCTGGGTTCAAGTGGTACTACTATGTTGGCCTCCCAAAGTGCTGGCATTACAGGCATGAGCCACTGCGCCCAGCCTATGGTTTTTGCTTTGTTTTGTTTTGTTTTTAATGAACCATTCCAATTTTTTATTCCAATGTTCCTCGTAGTACTTACTAATAATGCATATGGTCCTTTATATTAAGGATAATGACTATTTGGTAATACTTTTGGGAAATACAGTTTTGGTTTAATTTTTTTTCTGGTAAAGTAATCGTTAAATTTTGAAAATACAAATAAGAATATAGAAGAAAATCTGCTAGGTGCAGTGGTTCATGCCTGTAATCCCAGCGCTTTGAGAGGCCGAGGCTGGTGGATCACTTGAGGTCAGGAGTTCAAGACCAGCCTGGGCAACATGGTTAAACCGCGTCTCTGCTAAAAAATATAGAAGTTGGGCCGGGTGTGGTGGCTCACGCCAGCACTTTGGGAGGCCGAGGTGGGTGGATCACGAGGTCAGGAGTTCAAGACCAGACTGGCCAACATGGTGAAACCCCGTCTCTACTAAAAATACAAAAAAAATTAGCCAGGCGTAGTGGCACACACCTGTAATCCCAGCTACTCAGGAGGCTGAGGCAGGAGAATTGCTTGAACCCGGGCAGCAGAGGTTGCAGTGAGCCGAGATCGTGCTGCTGCACTCCAACCTTGGGCGACAGAGCTAGACTCCATCTCAAAAATATAATAAAAATTAAAAAAAGAACATAGGAGAAAATAAAACAGTCCATCAGGATTTCTAACATTAAATACACACACACACACACATACACATATATACACATACATTTTTTTTTTGAGACAGGGTCTTTATTGCCCAGGCTGGAATGCAGTAGCATGATTATAGCTCACTGCAGCCTCAAACTCCTGGGCTCAAGCAATCCTCCTATCTCAGTCTCACAGTGTGTGCCACCACACCCAGCTAATTTTCAAACATTTTTTGTAGAGGCAGGGTCTCACTATGTTGCCCAGGCTAGTCTCAAACTCCTGGTCTCAAGCGATCCTCTCATCTTGGCCTTCCAAAGTGCTGGAATTACAGGTGTGAGCTGCTGCACCTAGCCAAGTTTAATTTTAACTGAATTAATACTTCATGTTCTTCATGGTATTCTGCTTAGTTCATGTAACAATATAAAATAAAAACTGTATTAAATACTTTACATTTAAAAATATTACATGGTATTCCATTATATAGATATGCCACAAATAGTGCCTTAAAGATGGACCTTTAGTGTTGCATTGTTTACTACTCTAAACTTTGTGATGTTCTTAAGATAAATTATAAATGGAATTGCTGGGCCTGAATGTACTCACACCTTTAACTTCATGCAAATGATCCTTCCAAAAGGCTAATTCAATTCCCATTAGCAGCATTTAGAATACCTGTTTTCTTATAGCTCACTAAAAATGGATATTTCTATTTTTCTTAACTTTGAGGTATAGTTTACATGTAATAAATGGACTCATCTTAAGCATACAGTTCAATTAGTTTTGACCAACATATATGTACAGCCATGTAACCACCATCCCAATCAAGATACAGAATGCTTCCATCACCCCTAAAAAGTTCCCTCTTGCACATTTGCATCAGTTCCCCTTCTCACCCTAGGCTCTAGATAACCACAGATGTTTCCTGTCAGTGTAGGTTACATTCTGTCACTATATAGATGGATTCATACAGCATGTACTTTGGGGGCCTAGATTATTTTGCTTAGCATGTCTTTGAGATCCATCCCTGTTGCTGCTTGAATCAGCATGTCTTCCTTTATTGTTCAGCAAAAGGCCATTTTATAAATATACCAAAACTTGCTTATCAACATGTGAATAAACATTTGGGTCAATTCCAACCTGGGGCTATTGTGAATAAAGCTGCTGTATGCTTATATAGGTCTTTAAGCCATGACTCTCTAAAAAGAGGTAATCCACTTTCATACCTGGGAGGTCTGTGGACTCTAGGTATATCATCCACTATTTCAAATCAAGCAAATTTCCCAGAGGAAAGCCTAGATCTTGTTTTGGGATCAAATTAGCAGGATGAGGCAATGGTGCAAGATATAATTTTGAGAGCATCTTGGAAAGCTATCTGGAAAGCACCTGATCACCCTCCTCCTGTATCAGCAAGAAGCATAAGACTCCTAATGCTCACTGCCTTCCTCTGTCCACGTCTTCTGGCTCCAGACAAGTCTAAGAGTCCTGCCAAGTCAGTCCCTGTCCCCTCCCATGACAGGGGAGGGTCAGAGGAGAAAATAACGACAGGCATCATGCAGTTTAATGCCAGATCCCCTAAATAGCTCCAGAAGGCAGTAGCAGGGTCAGGCTACCCCACAGGCCACTTGAGCATCTGCCCAGTGGCCTCCAGGGTATTCCAGGTACTCTTCTCAGCTGCAAGAGAAATGTGTACTTTATACCTCAGGAGAGTTCTGTGCAGTGATTTACAGGGCCTACCTTCTGGAAGTAGAATGCTAACTTCTTAAGAGCAACAATCCTGCCTTATACGAATTTTTATACATGCAAGGTACATAGCAGATACTCAAATATGGTTCTGGGTAATGTATAATCTAAGCCCAAGATGTAGGCATGGACTCCTGACTTATAAGTATTCAATGTTTAATAGTTAAAATATGGCCTTTAACACTTCCAATGAAATATTTTCAGTTATCACTTTGAAATATTTTTCTTTGGAATTGAAACTAATGATGGAAATTTTATGTAGATGTATTGTAGACAGGTTGTTTTGTACCATTGTATTTTGAGAAAAGCCAGTAAACTTTATTCCTTCTCTTCCCTTCGCCATTCCCCTTCTGTAGCAGGGACCATTTGGGGGATGAACATGGGGGTTTGTTTTAGAGACAGAATCTTGCTTTGTTGTTCAGGCTATTCTGGAACCCCTGGCTTCAAGCTAGCATCCTGCCTCAGCCTGGGATTACAGGGGTGAACCACTGCACCTGGCCAGCAGGGGCCATTTTAGAGTAAGCTTTAAAATTCTAAGTTTTCAAAAAATTAAACTTGAAAAACAAGATAAACTTTGCAGTTATTTTTATTAAAAGCAATATGATAGCGAGTGGCACGTTTGCAATGGGAATCAGATTTTATAGAGAAGAATGGTTTACAGACAGCTTTTTAGGAAAATATCTCCCATCATAAAGGAGGGAGCTAGACCACTAAAGGAAAGCCTTCCGAGCCTTGCAGACCAAGAGAATCTGGACTGGGTCTGCTTGATTATCCAGGAGCTACATCACTAATGTTAGCTCTCATCTATTGCTCGTGGCAGAATGAGGTTTTTTATCAGGCATGTTTCTCTTCCCTCAGTTCACAGACATTGGGACCTTCGAGACAGTGTGGCAAGTCAAGTTCTACAATTACCACAAGCGGGATCACTGCCAGTGGGGAAGCCCCTTCTCTGTCATTGAGTATGAATGCAAGCCCAACGAGACACGCAGTCTGATGTGGGTGAACAAGGAGTCCTTCCTCTGAAAGTGGCTCTTTCTGATGCTACTGGACAATCTTTTCAGAAATCTACTTTTAGATAAACCAGCGCAGGCCTTAAACAAGGCATGCCACACCATTGCTGTTCCCCATCTGGTACTAATGACCTACTAGCCCTGGTTATTTTGAAAGTGTAATTCCCCTCTGACACAATATCCCTCACATACAAGATGGTGATGTACCACTCCCGAGAATATTCCCATCTGTATTTTGTGCTGATGTTCCTGCATCCAGTTGTTCTCGGTCATACTTTTGACCACTTGTGACTGGAGTTCAGTGGCCCTGGCAGGCTTGTCCTGCTCTTGACCATTCCACTGACTAACTTTGGTGTTTTGTTTCCAAGTTAAGTGATTCCTCCTTTTTTTTGTTCAATGTTAAATTTAAAAATAACAATGTGTATGGGTCCTCCCATGTGTAATATGGTAACATGTAACTTGCAGTGTTTGCCAGCTTTCAAAGCAGGCTTTGTGAAAATGTAATACAAACAGCAGTGAATGGGACTCAAATGTTGTGCTTCCTATAAACAGCTCCGCTCTTTCAGGGAAGGATGGTAACAAACTAGAAGGACAAATATGTACGTATTTATAACGTATTAAAACTCTTTTAAGTAGCTTAAGGTATTGTGCAATGGCCTAGCCTAGTAGAAATGGGGGAAAAGCATTGCTGTGGACCATTGTTAAAGTGACAGGAGTTGTAGGGTTACCCCTTTGACAAGCTTCCATAGTCTTCAGACACGCACATTGATGGCATCCCTACAGTCTTCTTCACTTGAACTTTGTAAAACTGCATATGGACCTGTAATCAACTTTTGATATTTCTTAATAAAGGCGTTGAAAATCATGCCCTGACTTGCATTCTTAATTTGGGCAATAATTATCTAGCAGGTGAATCCCTGCTCTAGGCCAGCTTCACTCAGGCCTGTATGCTACAGGATGACGGGGATGTATCCGGAGTAGAATTAGCACACCTATTCATGAATCAAGCCTGACCTTTTAGCAGGATTGCTCCAGCCAAGTTTAACAGGGCTAGCACAGGCCCAGGTGCTTGGCGGGCAATCAAAAAATGCTTGTACCTATCTCGCTCCATTACTCTTTCTGTGGTGACCCCTCCCCAGTTGGTGAGCTATGTGACTCAGTAGCAGGAGAGCAATGGTGCTATAATAGTGTGTGTACATCATGGTTGAGGCCTCCTTGCCTACTTCCAGCACCTTGCACAAAGCCCATATACCATACAGTTTAAGGATAAATTCCATAAGAAGGAAGTGAACTTCCTCTTGAAAAGTAACATGCTATTTTCCAATAATGTAATATTTACTTGGGCAGCACAAATCCTATAGTATTGGAAAAAGTTCGTTGGGGATTGTTTGTTTTTGCTACCTGTAAACCCTTCTTATAAGAAAATGCAAGCTACTGGGAGTATTTTTAAAAGTTGATTCATTGTAGAACTGAATTTGAAAGGCTGGCACTCAACACCTTTTCTACCTCCAAATCGCTTACCTGCAGTGATGCTGTACAGCCACCAGGGAACAGCAATGCCTTGCCTTTGGGGATCATAAATGATGTTAAAGGAGTGTAACATGTTTCTCAATAAGCTTGTGTTTTTTGTTTGTTTTTTTGTTTTTTTTTAAAGTCTTCATTACAATTGCTAAAACGTAAGTACTAACCCATTCCTAATGACTATTTTTTAAAACCAACACTCAATTATTTGAACAGACATTGAGATATTTAAAACAATGGATTTACTACAGAGGTTTTTCTTCCAGAATATCCAATAGAAATGCAGAGTGAATAAAAGATTTAAAATAAAAAGTGGGAACTACACAATTTAATATTTACTAATTTGATTAGTAAATATTTTCACTGGTGAAACAGGTTTTCAAGCCAGGGACTAGAGCTTGAGTATTTGTGTTGAGGGTGGAGACATTATCATGACTTTTGCAATAATCCACTCTTTTTTTTTTTTTTTTTTTTTGAGATGGAGTCTCACTCTGTCACCCAGACTGGAGTGCAGTGGCATGATCTTGTCTCACTGCAACCTCCACCTCCCAGGTTCAAGCAATTCTCCTGCCTCAGCCTCCTGAGTAGCTGGGATTACGGGCGTGTGCTACCACGCTCAGCTAATTTTTATATTTTTAGTAGAGATGGGGTTTCACCATGTTGGTCAAGCTGTTCTCAAACTCCTGACCTCGTGATCTACCTGCCTTGGCCTCCCAAAGGGCTGGGATTACAGGCGTGAGCCACTACGCTGGGCCCATACTTTTTTTTTTCTTTTTTAACTAAAGGCTTTATTTAGAGTTTGAAATGAGTCAAAGCAGACTTGGAGGAAACATGTCCTGGGATAGCTGCGCTGTTATCAGTGTCCCACAAACGAGCCAGAAGATGAGCCCTGGCAGAGCACCTGGAGCGTGGGAGTCCTGCTCACATCCTGGATGGTCACCACACCTTTCTCTGCCTCAGTTTGCTTATCTCTAAAATGAAGGGTTAGACTAGTAGAATTCTGAAGCCTTTTAAGAGTTATGGTTTGTTCCTCTATTTTATACTCCTTTAAAAAAAAAAGGGGAAAGTGTGTGTGCATATCTGTCTATGTCGTATGTGTATGTGTTTCCTTAGGGCCAGAAGTAAGGTTGAATCAAGGGAGTTGGGGAGGAGATGGAGATGAAGTAACAGAAAAACTTAACAGCTAATCTGCACGTTAAGTGATCGCTCCTGGCATATACTGTTCTACTTATGATTGGGCTCCAGCCCAGTCTCTCTGGCTACTTCTCACATAGCTCTCCTCCTACTCCAAAATTTGAGTGCTCAGCTATATCGAGCTGCTGAGTTGTAACTTTGCCCCTCAGCCATCTGGAAGGGCTATTTTTATACAAGTTGTAGCCACGTCTCTCTACCTCCAAGCATCAGATGGCTACCCAGAAGCTTGAGGAACTAGGCCATCCTTCCAATTATGATGATGACTAAAACACTTTTGAACAGGTGGAAGAATAGAAATGCCTTGAGTTTATATTTTGTGACACCTCGCTTACTGAGAAGTCACTTATCCAGCCATTTAAACTATCTGGATCACAGTTAAGAACAGAAAACATGCCAAAAAATAAAGATCCCTGTCACAGATGTCACCAAGTCCATTCACTAAAGGCTCGGGTCTTCTCCCAAGGCCTCTTGACTCCTGTTTTAGACACAATTCTAACATGTGGGGTGATCTGGTTTCTGACTCTTATGAAATTGGAAGTAGAACATGAAAGGGAAGAAGACAATTTGTAGAGGCAGATATACTGAAAATATTCTTTTTTTTTCAGAGAGGACAGAGAAAACTATAAAAAGCAGACAAAGTAAATCAAAAGAACAGTAGATGGGGACAACTGTATCCTGTAGGTACATAAATAATCCTGTATTAAACCACAGTAGTTTCTGTATATATCAAATAAAAATTGATAAGCCTAATGATATTCCTGATTCATTTAGAAAGAGGGCCCATTATCATCAGTAATGTATCATGGTTCAGTGTTTAAAAGCTCAGATTCTCCACCAAGCGCAGTGGCTCACGCCTGTAATCCCAGCACTTTGGGAAGCTGAAGCGAGTAGATCACTTCAGGTCAGGAGTTCAAGACCAGCCTGGCCAACATGGCAAAACCCCGTCTCTACTAAAAATGTAAAATTTACCCAGCATGGTGGTGCACGCCTGTAATCCCAGCTACTTGGGAGGCTGAGGAAGGAGAATCACTTGAACCCAGGAGGAGGAGGTTGCAGTGAGCCGGGATCATGCCACTGCACTCCAGCCTGGGCTTCAGAGGAGACTCCTTCTCAAAAAAAAAAAAAAAAAAAAAAAGTTCAGATTCTGGGCAAAAATACCTCAATTTAAATCCCAGCTCAGCTGTTTATTAGCTGTGTGGTCTTAGGCAAGTCACTTAATACCTCTGTGCCTCAATTTTCTCATTTGGAAAATGGAGATAATAGTATTTACCTTGCAGAATGGTTATGAGGATTAAATAAGTTAATGTACATTAAACCTTCAGAACAGTTCCTGGCACATAATATCATTATTTGGTATATTTCATTAAAAAAGAAAGGGAGCCTGGGCACGTTGGCTCATGTCTGTAATCCCAGCACTTTGGGGGGCCAATGCAGGTGGCTCGCTTGAGCCCAGGAGTTTGAGACCAGCCTAGGCAACATGGCCAAACCATGTCTCTATGAAAAACACAAAAATTAGCTGGGCGTGGTGGTGTGCAACTGTGGTCCCAGCTACTCAGGAGACTGAGGTGGAAGGATCTCTTGAGCCCTGGAAGTGGAGGTTGCAGTGAGCTGAGATCCTGCCACTACACTCCAGCCTGGGTGACACAGCAAGACTCTGTCTCAAAAAAAAAGAAAAAAAGAAAAGGAGCGATACATTTTCAAACAAAATTATTTAAAATGCCAAGAGAAAAACTAAAGGAGTTTAAAAAATAAAACTTATTTTCCTAAAATATTCCATGAATGGATTTCAGATAATGGCCAAACGTTATACTCTATTTTGATGCTTGGAAAGGTAAAATTTTTAATTATTTAAAAATAGTTTAAAATAGCATATTTTAAGATATGCTAGAAAGACTTTTTCCACAAACAGCCATCTTAAGTTTCCTATATAAAGACATAGTTTTGAAGAATATACAAACATCAAGACAGAATCAGAAAACTTAAGATTTTCTGATTAAAAAGTCAAGGTCAAGAATGATGTCAATTTCTTTTGTTATTTCTTTTAATCCTCTTAACCACCCTGTGAGGTAGGCAGGATGTGTCATGTCTCCATTTTACAGAGGAAAAATGTCTCAGAGATTCAAAAATAAGGCTCAAATTTAAACAGCTCATTTTATAAGAAGCTACTTTATTTGATCTTTAGTTTTCACATTTATGAAATGGTGATAATAACATTCACTTCACAACATGTGTTAGGATTAAATGATATATCATACGTAAAGCTCCTTGTTTTTCTTCTCCCCATCACTGTTCTCTTGACAAATGTATTTCATTTAAAATCACCTCATTACCTGCCCACTCTCCTGCAGTGTTTGTTTTTATAACCTGGTAGTTTTGCCTTAATTTGTTTGCAGCCTAGTAGGTAACTTGTTTTCCCAAAGAAAGTTTCTGTGGATATATTAATTGTTGCCAACAATTGTTGCCAACAAACAGAAGTATTCAGTTGCTAGAAACTCATTTGCCTATAGTTCTCTTTATAGCAAATTACTTGCATATAATCTTTTCTCTTTGAAGCCATGTTAACTACTATTAGAGCACTAGGTAAGACTAAAATTTTTCCTTAACAAGTAGGGTATTTCATTTCCCACTTGCTAACAAATGAAAAATACAGTATTTTTGGCCCTACGCTAGTACTTTAACAGTAATCCTGACAGGCATTCTAGTCTCTGGTCACAGTGAATTTCTTATTCTCCTGCAGATCTACCAAGTCCAAAGCAGTTTCCTTGCCACTGCACAGCCTGTTCCCTCTGCTTGGAACGCCCTACTCCATTTCCTACCTTGCAAACGCCTTCAAGTGCCAGCTTAAATGTCACTATGAAGTCTTTCCTGACTCCTCTAAAACGTTGAGTCAAGAAAAATATTGAAATATTGTTTACTCAGATATTTTATTATCCTATTTCTGAAAAGCTTTACCACCCTCAACCTAACTTCTGCTTTTCTTAAGATCTCTGGACAGCTTCCACATCTTCTTACTGACTCAGGGAAAATGAGCTGACTCAACAAAAAGGTGATGAGATTCTAGAAAGAGCTGGCTGGCTGGCTGGCTGGCTGGCCGGCCGGCTGCAAACCAGCCAGCAAGAAGTTTGCAATCTGTTAGCCTTTACGGGGTTAGTTCTCCTGCTCCCTTTAAAGGAGACTAAAAGAAGGAAAGTGGATGAGAAAGAAAAAAGTTTCTGAATTCTTTTACTGACATTGCTTCCAGTGAATTTGCCTTGTCACGTTCGTATTATTAATGATAGTCCTAAGGTATGTTATTCTTTGAAGTTTATGAAGTTGTTTATTTTCATCAGGGTAATTACTTGTGCTGCTTACCAAATGTTTCCAGCCCTCCCCCGTCGAGGCACATGATAGGATCTGACCTCCATGGCCTGGGCTAAGGCCATGTGCTGGTAGCTCTGGCCAATGAGTTGTAAGCAGAAGTGACACATGTCATTTCAGGCTGAAATTATCCAACAGTCTGTGCAATGCCAACAGAACTCTCTTTCCCTTTGCCATGGCAAATAGCCACTTTCAAGATGATTGATCACCTTAGGTCCTGGAGTGAGAAGATACGGCATGGAACCCTAGCCACCTTTTGTTGGACCCATAGCATAAGTGAGAAATAAACTTTTCTCCCAATATTTTATCGTGAAAAATGTTGAAATGTATAGAAAAGTTGAAAGACTTGCATAACACACATTCCCATATCTATCACCTGAATTTCACAGTTAACATTTTGGTATATTTGCTTTATCCCTTATCTGTCCTTTATGTTGTATCAATCTGCTTTTTTGGGGTGGAGAGATGAACAAGAAACTATTCTATAAACCATCACTAAGATTCTGGGGTTGTTCATTACTTCAGCATAACCTTGCCTTTCCTGATCCACATCTGGGGAATCCAGACCACCTACTCTCCTTTTCTGCTGAAGACAGTAAAGTAAAACTTCTCCAAAAAGAAAAAAGTAATGGTCTGAAGTTGGTTCTAAGAAATCATTTCCTGCCAGAGAAAGTTAGAAGTCACAATATGGATTAGGAGAAGGATTAAACCATCTTTTTTTCCTTCCATGGTCTTAAAAAATAAGATAAATTATGACTGACCTAGTTTTGATAAGGCTGTATTTGGAGGTAGAGAGATGAATTAAATGAGGAAAGGAAAGACAAAATTAGCATTCATTGACTATCTTTTGTATGGCAGACATTTTATATATATGATCTCATTTAATTTTCAAAATCATCCTGAAGAGTACATATGATTTCCATTTTTAAAATGAGGCTATTAAGCTCAGAGAGGTTAGGCTACCTGCCCAAGGTCATATAGCTATTGTGAGCAGAGGAGACAGAATGAAAATCCAAATCAGTATGACTTCAACACGCTTACCCTCATCTAGAAGTTTATAGACCCTTGGCCTCTGACAGCCAAGGGTATTTCCTCCCTCTGAAATGACCATCCCAAGGGAGACCGTGGCCCAAGAGGTAACAATGGTGTTAGTGGCAACCTCCCTTCATGCTTGAAGCAGAATTTGAAATGTCCAAATTATTTGACAAAAATATTTTTTGAATGTTCAGAAAAGTTCAACAAGCCCACTAAACAAAGGAGCATTGTGAATTTCCCAAAACTGAAACAGCTGATTTTTCCTTTACCTTTATCAGATAGTCACTTTCTTTGACAAAACATATATTTTAAAATACTAATGTTTTTTCCAACTCAAAACCCAGTTGGAATCTTGATCTTTTCCCAGTTTATTTTTTATGCTTGTGTTTGGTGTGAAGTAGATCTATATAATGTGTATATGAGTGTGTGTGTGTGTGTGTGTGTGTGTGTTCGTAAGGTCCTTAATTTCCCCAAATCTAGATGGTTACACTTTGAAATGTAACTCATATGGCCACACTGAGAGTCTATTTTCAGAATTTTCATGGCTACAAGCTAATGATTTTGGATTCCTATTGTTAGTCGAAAAATAATGGGTATGGTAGACATAACTTTAAATCATCAGGCTTCCACTCAGAGAGTTTATTGTGGGCTAGATAGCTACTGCTTGACAGGGTAGGAGGGGATAGCTAACCAAATTTGCCTGAAAAGACAACGTAAGTACCTATATAGGTAATGGGAATTTGTCCTCACCCTATAGAAACAATCTAACCCTGAATGACAAGTTTCTTCAAATAATTGAACACAGACTATCTTTAACTTTTCTATAGCATTTCACCTTTCCCTGGAGATTTTTATAAGATTAAAGCCTTAAAATAAAGCTTGGATACACTCAAAAAGGTAGCAGGAGGGAGCTTTCTGGGGCGATGGAACTGTTCTGTATCCTGATAGCGGCAGTGGTTGAATGAATCTATACATGTATTAAAACCCATATGGCTGTACACACACGTGCACATGCACACACATGCACACATACCTCTGGTGGACATCTGCTGCCTAAAGGTTCTGCCTTTCTTTCTTTTCTTTTCTTTTCTTTTCTTTTTTTTTTTTTTTTGAGACAGGGTCTTGCTCTGTAACAGCCCATGCTGGAGTGCAGTGGTGCGATGTTGGCTCACTGCAGCCTCAACCTCCCAGTCTCAAGTGATCCTCTCACCTCAGCCTCCCAAGTATTTGGGACCACAGGCGGCCACCACCACATCCAGCTAATTTTTGTAGAGATGGGTTTCACCATGTTGCCCAGGCTGGTCACGAATATTCTGCCTTCTGATCAAAAGCCTAATCCACATTTACCATTGTCTCTGCAAAATCCCTTAAGATTGATTGTATGAAGACATTGCTTTGGCCAATGTGGTCCTTGGCAGTTCTGCATTGTGTAGAACCTGTGAATCTTTTTGGAGCTTGTCTATCTTGGGAGGGAGATTGTCTGAGCAGACTTGAAGGCAGGGGTGGAAGCCACCTGCTGAAGACAATAATGAGCATTTGGGAGGGTGGGTGGGGAAAATGAGACAGCGCAGAGGGGAGGGGCCTGGAAGGGATCCCACTCCCTCGCTCCTGCCTGCATCTGGTGCCCCAGGAGCTGCTCTTGAGCAATGTCTCTCTAATGAGTTGGCGTGAACTTGTGCTTGTTCCTCCCTCAGGGAACAAGGGAAGACAGGCTTAAAGCTGCTAAAATGCTTGGAGAACATCCAAAGAGAAGCTTGACAGAAATGCAGTGTATTAGTGAAAACAGCTTGGGCCTGGCTAAATAGTGGCTATTTTAACAAAACAAACATATGGGATTTGATGACAATTGTCCTTACAAAGAAACAATCTAGCCCTTTACACAGAGCTTGATGCTTCTTTATAGTCTTCACAGAATTCGCTTCGCTGTGGTTTTCTTTTCTTTTTTTTTTTTTTTTTTGAGACAGAGTCTCGCTCTGTCACTCAGGCTGGAGTGCAGTGGCACAATCTCAGCTCACTGCAACCTCTGCCTCCCAGCTTCAAGTGATTCTCTGCCTCAGCCTCCCAAGTAGCTGGGACTACAGGTGCACCACTACCACAGCCAGCTAATTTTTGTATTTTTAGTAGAGATGGGGCTTCACCATATTGGTCAGCTGGTCTCGAACTCCTGACCTCAAGAGATCTGCCTGCCTTGGCCTCCCAAAGTGCTGGGATTACGGGCGTGAGTCACTGCACCTACCCAACTGTGGTTTTCTCAAACTTATTCTGGTATCTATTTATTTTCAGGAGTGCCTGGAACAACGACCCCAAGAGATCTCTCTTACATATGAATGTGAAGAATAAGCACATTCTTCAATGTGTGCCATCATGAGGAACAAATGTTCTTTTTTTTTTTTCCAAATTATTTGCTTTGCATTCTAGGGGAGGGCTTCTCACAGGCCATCAGAATTATCGGGGATGCTTGTTAAAATGTAGATTCCTAAACTCTACCTTTTTAGACCTCTTAAATTGAGCAAACTCTCTGAGAGTAAATCCAAAGCATCTGCATTTTATTAAGCACTTTAGGTGATTCTTATCATATTAAAGTTTGGAAAACACTACCCAAGGGTTTACTCACTGTACTCCTTCTTATTAAAGTTCAGTTATTCATTCAATAAGCATTCATGTGCCAGGTCCCGTGGGGGCAGGAGATGGCAATAGGAGTGTGATAAGTAATCAAGTTGTTTATAGCCAAATAATTACAATAAAATGAGGCAAGTGCTATACTAGAAAAAATACAAAATACATCAAAGCATTGAGGAGGAGTCTGTGGGAATTGGAGGCAGCTTCATAGATGATATTTGAGCTGCTTTCAGGCACAGAGAAGGTACTGCAGGATATTGGCATGTGAAAATACATGATCCACTCTGGAAGAAGAAACTCTGTGTGGCTGGAGCATAGGGAAGAGAGAGGCATGGGCTGGGGCAAGGCTATGAGGAGCCTTCTACACATGCTGAGCAGTTTAAGTTTAGTTCTACAGAAAGTGGGAACCAGAGGAAGTTTTTAAATATTAAATGATAGAATGATATTTGAGTTATGAAGCAATATTCCTGGAGGCAGTTTGGAGGCAGGAGATAAGAACAGAGTCTTCTGCAGTGGTGAGGGGTGGGGAAGCTAAATAAGGATGATGGCAGCTGGGGTCTCTGAGGTGGAGTAACAGATGATGAGAGTACAGGAGGGTAGGAGGAGGTGGGAAGCTGACCATGTCTGATAAAGGCTAGTCTGAGTCAAGAACCTCATCCAGGGAGGGCATTTTCAATAGCCAGACAACTCTTCCAGCTCAGAATCTGAAAGCAGACCTGATACTTGCGCTTATGAGCAAATCCTAGTGTCTGCGCCCATTAGCAATAGTTTCTACTGTGCTAGAGAATAAGTTTAAAGATATTTGTTAAGTGAAAAACATCACCCATAAAATATATGATTAAATGATTCCATTTATGTTTTCAAAATGTTAAGCGCATAGAGAGAGAGACAGAAAAAAAAGGGGGACAGAGAGAGGCTGAAATTTGAGGAAATGCAGAGGAAAGGCACTATTAATAAGGAAGAACAGTGGGGTTGGGAGAGACTGGAATTGAAGGACCCTTGACAATTTACTCTGAATTCTTGTGCATGTTTCAATTGTTTTAAACAATGAGTTTTATTGATGCTTGCTTTTAAAATTTTTTAAAGCAATTTTTAAAAAGATGCTTACACATCTTCTTGGCTACCACTAGGTGGTACTAGTGGCAGGACAGATTGGACAGCTTTTAAGCTTCCTGCGTTCATCCATGACACCTGCATATCCATCGAATTTTAGACACCTGCATGTGGGTTTAACTTCTTAACTTTATAGAGTAAAACAAATACCTTTGCCAATTATTATTAGCATGTGTCTTCAGAGCTTAGGGGTCGAGGTCCACAGACTATTTTTCTTTCTCCTTCAATATAACACGTAGTATTTTCTGTATTTAATTTGTATCAAAACATTTGCAAGTGTAAAAAAGTGTTCTTTCTGCATCAATCTAAGCTGCACACAGTTTGGTTCACATATATCTAGATATTTCTCAGGCTCTTCACTTTACAATGATATTCCCAATCCAAATCTTAATCACATGCACAAAAAGAATGAAACTCTGTGCTGGCACCATACACCTGTTTTCCCTAATTCCAAGACTGGCTTTTCTTTCCAACCACTTACTTTTAATTATTTTAGGCTGTCATGTTTTCCATCACCTCGGTTGACATGGCAGGAGACAAAAGTGTTGCCACAGCCTCTTTCTACACACACCCATGTTTATTGCAACCCATGATAATGCAGCATTTGTGATTTCACTTCTGGGGGCTTTTTTTCCTTTTAAGCAGGGTTTGTTGCTTCTTATATCATGGAATAGTCTGAACTAGCTACTGTATTTTCCTTTGTATGAAAACAACACTTCATTCCAAAATGGGATTCCCAATACTGGAGTTTCCATAGTCTAAAATGGACACAGTGACAACACTCACATGATCTACTAAGGATACCCACGGGGCCAGCCTGGCACACACAACGCTACTCAGTCCTAATAGGTGCAAAGCCAAGAGGTGCCTGCAGTGGCTCTGACTTGGCTAAGACATGCTCCTGGTTGTAATCCTCACAGAGTATAGCATGATTCTTCACCCCCTTACCCCACCCCACCCCAAACTCCGTCACCTCCAGCAGGGGCAGTTTGCAGAGTCAGTCTTTGGATGGAACCCAAGAAGAAATTGACCAAGGTATACAGTTGTATTTGACATTCCCTGAGTGGTCACTTGAGCCACCAATAAATACTAGAGAAGAAAGTCAGGAACATTCCATGCATAGGATATTAGCTATTAAATGGATATTAGCCACTATCCATCATTAATAATAATAAAGACTTTTTTGTTTGTTTATTTGTCTTTTGAGACAGAGTCTTGTGCTGTTGCCCAGGCTGGAGTGCAGTCGTGCCATCTCAGCTCACTGCAACCTCCGCCTCCTGGGTTCAAGAGATTCTCATGCCTCAGCCTCCTGAGTAGCTGAGATTACAGACGCCCACGACCACGCCCAGCTAATTTTTGCATTTTTAAGTAGAGATGGGTTTTCACCATGTTGGCCAGGCTAGTTTCAAACTCGCGACCTCAGGCGATCTGCCCACCTCAGCCTCCCAAAGTGCTGGGATTACAGGCGTGAGCCACTGCACCTGGCCATGAAGACTACTGTTTACTTGAACTGTTGCTATTTGCCAAGCCCTGTGCTAAATTCTTCATATATTTTCTCTTACTCAATTTATTCAACCGCCCTGAAAAGTAGCATTGTTGCTACCATTTTACAAATGTGAAAACAGGGACTTGGAAAGGTTCAAGCAACAGGTTCAGGCTTATCTATTTTCAAACCTGTCTTCTTAATTCCTATCCTATTTTGAAGACAGTTAAGGGCTCTAATTGTTCAGAGATTTTTGCATATCACCATTTAATAGACTGCTGAGGACCTTACTTTTTCCCCCCTTATCCCCTAGTTCACTACCCTTTTCAAAGGACAGAGACAAGGTCAAAGAAAAAAAGTAAATGTAAACCTATCCATATGCTTTGTACTGACATTCAGCCTTAGTTATACATTTATTTGAATACAAGAACTATGCTTTTCTATTACATTTGTCTCCCTTCAGCACCTCCCATAATGTTCCGCCCACAGCAGTTTCTTAACACTCTGTTGCTTCAGTAACTGGCTGGCCCCTTGTTCACATTTGGGGTTGAGAAGGTTAGTGATGGGATATAAATCAAAATTTGTGTTTTTGTGTAGGTCAGATTATTTTGACCATCTGATTTCCCTTACCATGAATCTCTGAAAATTAAAAGTAAATTGACTCCAAATTTAAATATTATTTTATTAGATGAGTCTAATTTTATTAGCTGAGTCTCATTTTATTGTTTTGAGAAAAATTAATCAAGAGTGCTTGGGGTTGAAAGTAGTAAACAAGAATAAATCTGTCACAACCTTCTCTTTTCTAAGAACTATGAGCTGGAACTTGTTTTCATGATATAATTAGGTAGGGATTTCTGTGACTTAATTTAAAAGCCTGATTTATAATCACTTTTATTTTCAAAACAGTTTTTTTTCCACTTTCTCTCTCTCTGCCACCCCTGAATGAACCTGGCTCTGCTTCTCCAAATTCAATGATGTCAGGTTAGCAGGGAGCAAATTTGAGACTGCACAATTCCCATCAGCTATTAGCTAGGGAGATCTTTTGATCCCCAAGGTCTAAGTTCAATTCTAAAGGCTATGTTTTCTTTTGGACCTATGTGGTAACTCCTATTAACAGTAATGGGTGTTACACATGAACGTACAGAAGACTGTATACCCCTAAGATTTGCCCAAGCATGAATTTCATGAGGCAAAAGTGAACACATTTTTTTTACTTTGGCACCCTTCCCTTCCAGGTTACGATAAATGTTGGCACTTGGATAAGATTCTAAATGATGAAATGCCAATGCATGTTGCTTCTGCATATGTCATCTAAAGTATGTGGCTTCTCAAAATGGATGCCCTTCTTCTCTGCTCAATGCTTGGCCTGGCAAGCCATTGTAACCCTGACAGAGAGGAGAAAAGACATTTCTAAACAAATATTTTCCTTTTCAGATATCATACAGCTTGTGTCAGTGAGTGAGATAAACCCAGTCCTAATGTGCTAGTCTGAAATGCTTGTATCCCAGTCTACTTTCCATTGATTTGATCAATATCAGATACTCTGATATCCTGAAATGAAAAACAGGTGTGAAAAAAAGAGGACTGAAATATGAATAACAAACTGTTCAAGACGAGACAGCCAGTTCTAGAGAGCTGGCCCCACTTGCCTAAGAGGTGTGTACCAACGCCAAATAAGCCAAAGTAAGAGGCAGACTTGTTTGTATAGTATTTAATAGGCCCCAGAGGGAAAGGGAAGCCTGCTGAAACAATTTTTTTTTTTTACTTCAAAAAATACCTGGCACATAATATGTACAAATGAAACGATCTTGCTTAATTTGTTTTAGGTTCTTTATTTCACGTAACTCATGATTTAGAAAGGTCTCTAAAATGTGATGATTATAAGAACATTCATCTGCCAAGACTCTTAAAATATATTCTAACAGCTTTAATCCTGTTGCAGATAGAGCTATCAGTAGCAGCAATTAGCATGTATTTAAATTCAATAATTTCTGCATAAAAAGGACTTTACTGACATTTATAAATTCTTCCTCTGACAAAGGGGTGAGAAAGAATGTGATTAATAGTAAGATGAAGATTCTTTAATTTCTTCTGAAATTATTTTTAAGGACATAAACAACTTGCCCTTTTCTTTGCTAGTATTAACCTACAAAACACAAAAAATCAACTCATGGTTACCTTTTCAATACTGTTGGCCTCAATTCCTGACTCAGGAAATAATATAAAGCAGTTCAACTGGTTTTGTCTTGCTTGAGAAACTAAAATTAAAATCTCTGGAGTTATTTAACTTTAAACAGGAAAGAATGTGGTCTTTCAGAAATAGTCATACAGACAGTTTTCCAAATGTGTAAACCTCTTAAACTTAGTACCAATCTAAAAAAGAAAATAAAAGGAAAAAAAGGTCCTTAAAAAAAGTGCATGTGTTTTGGGTTTTTTTGTTTTTGTTTTTACATCTTTCTCTAGTTGCAACTGGAAACCGTAGGTTTTATTCTCATCTTTCAGCTACTGGCATGTCATAATCTCCTCTAGTGAATGACTACCTAAATTACTATATCCATAAATATTCTAGTGGAAAAACATTTGCAAGGCTTATTTTCAGAAGTACACTGCAGTATCTTGATGTTGACCAAATTCAATTTTATTTTTCTGTATTATAACTAACAATTTCAAGGTGTTATTTTATACATCAAAACTCCAAAAGTATGACAGAAAGGAGCTTATACATATGCTAAATAAACCAGTATTGCAGTGTAGCATGGAAAAAAAAAAACTACCCAATGATGGTGAATTCTGTTTCTTTATGCTACCCAATAGTGGTAGTCAGGCAGCCTCTAGCATTTATTCTTGGCTAGGAAAAGTGATGTTTTGGAAAATAAAATTTGGGCAAATGTATGTTATACTGGCTCTCGACACATTCAATCTCTTTTTGTTTTTTAGAAATCATAAGTCATAGTCACCAAATCATCAAATTTTTAGCTTCTAAAGAATTGCACTGGGTGTTTGTCAAAGTTAACTGAGTTGAAATCAACATGGCTAGTTCTGGTTTATTTCTTGGATTCTTCTAATCACAAATTATCTGATCAAATGAGTAAATGCACAATATTAACTGAATGCTAGAATGAGTAAATTGCTCAAACATTGTATTAACCATTATACAACATTCTATATTAGTCACTGATGAATGTATGACTGGGAGGAGTATTATGTTTCAGCCAATAAGTCCTTATTGAGTGCCCTCTATAAACTGAGGAGGTAGGACAGGAGAGGAGATCACAAAATAATTCCTAGACTACCTTACCAGTAACAACTATTGAAAAAAATTATAAAAGTAAAATCACAATAAAAAAGCAAATCTATTATCTGCATGGCCAGGCGTGATGGCTCACACCTGTAATCCTAACACTTTGGGAGGCCAAGGCAAGGGAATCGCTTCAGTCCAGGAGTTCGAGACCGGCCTGGGCAACATGGGAAAACCTCATCTCTACTAAAAATACAAAAAATTAGCCCAGCATTGTGGCACACCCCTGTAGTCCCAGCTTCCTAGAAGGCTGAGATGGGAGGATCACTCAAGCCTAGGAGGTCAAGGCTGCAGGGAACCATGACTCTGCCACTGCACTCCAGGCTGGGCGACAGAGTGAGACCCTGTCTCAAAAAATAAAATATAAAAAAATTACCTGCTTAATGGAGAAATCTGTTTTATTTACCTTGTTGCTTTCAGTCTTCATTGTTCTTATTAAATTCCATTTTCTAATCCATCTATAGGAACAATTTGAAGCTTACTAAGTAAGTGTAGATCTAACTAATTGAAGTGTTAGCATTACCAACAAATTATTTGTCATTGCACATCCTGGAAACAAAGAGCTAACATTTGGGAAGGGTGGGTGTCTCAGTAATATACACAATCCACTCTATCTTCACACATATATCAATCTAAAGGGGAGCAGAAATGTTTTTATCCATAAGGAATGAGACTCTTCTTTTTTTTCTTTTTTTGAGACAGAGCCTCGCTCTGCCGCCCAGGCTGGAGTGCAGTGGCGCGATCTCGGCTCACTGCAAGCTCCGCCTCCCAGGTTCACGCCATTCTCCTGCCTCAGCCTCCCGAGTAGCTGGGACTACAGGCGCCCGCCACCACTCCGGCTGATTTTTTGAATTTTTTTAGTAGAGACGGGGTTTCACTGTGTTAGCCAGGATGGTCTCGATCCCCTGACCTCGTGATCCGCCTGCCTCAGCCTCCCAAAGTGCTGGGATTACAGGTGTGAGCCACAGCGCCCGGCCGAGACTCTCCTTAAGTTGTAAATACATAGGGTTCAGATTCCAACCTCTTGGGTTCCTTTTTCTGGCTCAGCAACTTCTTCCACACATCCCCAGGGTGAGTTGCTTGGTCTCATGGAATCAGTCTCCCTGCCTGTTCAAAGGGGAGGAGGGGTAATAATGCGTTTACCACAGGGGTGTTGGTTAAATTAATTAGTATTTATTATGTGCTCCATTAAGGTCCTCAGGTGATGTATAACTTGACAGTTATATGGCACCTGATCATTGCTTTAAGTTTTGAAAACAGTCCTTGGTTTTTAAACCCATGCAAGAAACATAACAATTCTTTATGCTTCCAACAGTAGGATTAAGCATAGGAATATTTTAGCTTTTCTTACTATTTTTCTTTTTGAGATGGAATTTCCCTCTTGTTGCCCAGGCTGGAGTGCAATGGCACAATCTCAGCTCACTGCAACCTCCGCCTCCCGGGTAGCTGAGATTACAGGCACCTGCTACCACGCCTGGCTAATTTTTGTATTTTTAGTAGAGATGGGGTTTCACCATGATGACCAGGCTGGTCTCATACTCCTGACCTCAGGTGATCCACCTGACTCCACCTCCCAAAGTGCTAGGATTACAGGCGACAGCCATGGTGCCCAGACCATTTTAGCTTTTCTAAGAACAATTATTTTCCTGGGGTGAAAATATTGGCAGGTTACAAAAGCTTATTTCCTCAGCTTTAGACTATGAATAGAATAGCTTTAATTTATAGTTGATAAAAGCAGAAGGAAGAAAGTTTTATAAAAGCCATTTTAATGGCTTATTCTGCCATCTTCGGTGGCATTTTAAACTACTCACAATTGAAGGGAAATTGGTTCATCTATTTTACAATTATTTAATTCTGGCATTTAAAAGAAACCCAAGAAGTAATTTAATTGAACTCCTTTGCTTACTATAATAGTACTAAGCACCTGCTCTTCAAGACAACATTCTCGTTTTATAGATGAGGAAACCAAGGTTCAGTGAACTTAAATCACAGTGCAGAGAATCAAATCCCAGACGCCATTCTCTCTCTGCCACTTCAGACACCGCCAAGAAGTTATACTTAAAGCTGCCCTGTACAGAAAGGAATTTCTTCTCTTCTTTATCCCTATTCTCTCTCTCTCTCTTTGAACTTAGAAACTAAACCAATTTTTTTTTCTTTTTTTCTTTTCTTTTCTTTCTTTTTTTTTTTAAGAGAAGAGATCTCACCATGTTTCCCAGGCTGGTCTCGAACTTCTGGGCTCAAGCGATTCTCCTGCCTTGGCCTCTCAAAGTGCTGGGATTACAGGCAAGAGCCCCTGTCCACAACCTAAACAAAGATATTCTAATGGAATCTCAGTTTTATCCCCAGAGAGCTTATGAGTGCCCCCAAGTCATCAGTTAAAAGTTATCTTGAAAGACAAGTAGTTTAAAATCACTCTTAAAAGACACTTCTATACATTGTTATTGAAGAAACAAAAGCTACACATATCCTTTTTTTTGAGAATTAGTCCACTGAGTTTTAGTGATGTTTTAATATCAAATTAACATGAATACTATATGGTCAGAGCTTTTTCAACTTTGTATTGAAGTATGTGGTTCCCCCTTACCCGTGGGGGATATATTTCAAGACCCCCACTGGGCGCCTAAACGGCAAATAGTACAGAACCCTATAGATACTGTTTTCTGCTATACATGCATAACTTTTTGATAAAGTTTAATTTATAAACTAGGCATAGTAAGAAGTTAACAATAACAATAACAAAATAGAACAATTATAGCAATAGGCTGTAATAAAGGTTAATGTGGTCTCTCTCTCAAAATATCTTATTGTATTGTATGTTGGGCAATTGAAACCATGAAAAGTGAAACCATGGATAAGGGGGGGACTACTGTACAAACAGAAATAAAGTACACTCATTTTTTGAAATATCTAAAATCTATCCCATCTTCACTTTGTAATAAGACGAGTACATATCATTGCCATTTCATATCTCAGAGGAATGTACTATGTGTACTAAAGAACTCAAATAATGAATAAATTGGCCTACATATCTAAGAGTGCTTTGAAAGTTTAAGCTCCATATTGAAATTAAAATATTATTAGTAAAGTATTATTACAGCTATGATTTCATTTTAAGTAATAATGATACATTTTCTTATGGCTTTGGGCAGCAGGCAAAAAAGATAAAGATAATATTTAAAATTGAACCTGGGCAACATAGTGAGACCCCATCTTGAAAAAAATAAAAAACAATTTATTGGTCATGTTGGCATGTGCATGTAGTCCCAGCTACTTGGGAGACTGAGGAGGGAGAATTGATTGAGCCCAGGAGTTCAAGGTTGCAGTGAGCCAGGATCACGCCACTGCACTCCAGCCTGGGTGACAGAGACCCTGACTCTTTAAATAAAAACTTTGTAGGCACCTCTGTATGCTATCATTGTTTCTTAAAACAATGATTATAACTCACATATTGTATAGATGTGTATAAAATTTTGTCCATAAAATTTACCTCTAAATAAACTGCATAAATCATCTTTCTTGCCCATCATAGAAAAAATATGGTCTTAAAGTCCAGAAGGACCCAAGAATTTGAATAATAATTCAGAGGAGTTCATGCCAAGTTGATATCCATCTTTTCCTTTAATTTTGACTCATTTATTTCTATTTAGCATTCACTGACAACCAAATAAATGGAGACACCTTGGCTAATTCATACCACTGTTCTAAGATAGTAAATATCAGACGCCCAACTGCAGAGGCTTTATGATGCTGCTGGCGGGAACATATAAGTTACTGAAACATTCTCCCTGAGCAAAGGTTCTTCTTATTATTTTTGTTTAATTGTAGCTCATTGCACTACTCATCTCTAGAGAGTGAATCAGCTCAGCCCTACCTTTAAATTGGACAGAAGGACATAGGCCACTAAATGTCCTGCTCTACACCAAGACCCTAATTAAACAAAAACAAAATAGCCATTCCTCACATACCTCGAAAGACTAATGAGGCTTTAATCCCTATCCTCAGTGTCGATTGTAGCAGGAACAAGAGCTGAGCAGCCTTCTGGGTATTGAGTCTCAGTGGCGCAGTTCCCTCCTGGAACTGCATAGAGCTCTGGCACCATAGGGCCATAGGGCTCTGGTACTACTAGCAGAAAATACCCTGAGAAGATTCCTGAGGGACCAAATTCAGGGCTTTTTTCTGCCTGGTGAAAAACATAATTCTTCTCCATCAATCCCCTTAGGATTTTTCCTTCTCCATCAATCCCCTTAGGGTTTTTCCCCATGGAGTAACATATGACACCAAACTGACCCCACTGAAGAATGAGTTAGCTGAATGAGAAAGAAAAACAATGTCTCATAAAGTTACTGACTTTGCAACCTCAATAGTTTGAGTTTAATTTGCTATCAGAAGTTGATTAATTATAATCTTTCAGAGTCAATTCCCATTTTTACCAATATAGCCCTGAAATTGTGGCTCTAAGTTTTCAGGAAAAAAATCACATTTTTAAAGTGTATTAAATATAAATGCAGATATTAACTAAACAGATCATAAAAACTTTCTTATCTAAGGTGTTTGTTGAGAATAACTTATTTATGAAATTTACTATAATCCAATATGATGATTTATTTAAATCATTTGATTTTCTAATTTTTTTCTTTAGAGTTGAAATTTTTACACTGTCTCAGATCTACAACAAAATGTATTTACAAGGAAATACATTTTATATTTTTAAAGATGAAGTCTTGCTATGTTGCCCAGGCTGATCTCAAATTCCTGGCCTCAAGTGATCCTCCTGCCTCAGCCTCCCAAATTGTTCGGATTACAAGGGTGAGCGACTGTTCCTGGCTTACATGGAAATATTTTTAAAGGTCTGCATCTTATAAACACTTTATGGTCCCAGAACTTAAACAAACAAGCAAACAAAAAAAAATCAATTAGAAAAAGAAGATCACCTCCTTTGAGAATAAAAGTGAAAACAATTTTTTTTAAAAGAAGAAGTAACGGAGTGAAGGGTGGACAGAAATTGGAACTGATCTATTGGTCATGTAATACATTTTTCCTGCTAAATCAGACAAGAATTCTATTAGGTTGGTACAAAAGTAATTGCGGTTTTGCCCTTACTTTCAATGGCAAAAACCGCAATTACTTTTTTACCAACATAATACATCAGAAGATAAAAAGCTATTTCAATTTCCCTTAAAAATACATGCTGATACTTTAGCAACTCCCATGGTAAGAAAGTGTTTTAGTGTATCTAATAATAATAATAAAGAATAAAGGGTCATTATCTACATGGAAAACTCAAAAACTAAATTTATAGAGCAACCAAAAATAAGAATACAGAACATCTGTATGAATCTATTTCAGAAATGAAGTCTCTTGACTATTTCAAAAGAATCAGTCTCTCACACACTCACTAGGTTTCTTTAACTTCCCTAGTTACATAACTGATTCTGTGACTTGTAAACAAACAGCCCCATTGCTTGACAATTCTGGATCTGTGGGTTTGTACTGCTGTTTCCCTGTGGAGGCTGAGAGCTGCATAATGATTTATTCTTTCCCCACTCCCTGCCTTCTTTTCCTATTTTGCACTCTCTTTTTCTTTTTTTCCTTTTTGTCAAAGTCAGTTTAAAAAAATCCCAGGGAACTAAATGTGAAAACAAACCCTGGTGTTATAAAATTGAGGCCACCAATTTAAACACCGTAGGCATAAGAAGTGCAAAACTTGAGGGTCTCATAGTCAGATGAGCTCCCCATAGGGACACTGTAAGTATGTATGCAGTGTTTTTTCAGCATCCCCTGGCCTCCTAACCATATGCTTTTGTATAAGGTAGCTTTGATTCCCCTGATTTCCCACGCATGAAACACTTGCTGGCTTCAAAGAGAGCTCTGTATGCAAAAGACACATGGGGGTGTAGTTCAGGAGGAGAATGGGGATAGTAGGCAGAATGTGGGTGAACTAACATTTGAGTCTGTGTTAATTCCAGTGCTACCTTTTGCTGGTATGCCCCAGTTATAACTTTGACTGCTGGCAAACTGGAAGCTTTCTAAATTTGTTATTAAACCTAATCAATTACCTATAATTAAAATACATCTCATTCCTCCAACGAGAAGTTAGATTTCAGATTGGTTGTTAGGTTGTGAATTTATTTTTGATACTGTACATTAAGTATGATTTATAATATGAGGTCTTGCACCATGCATTTACTGTTACTGTGTTGCTGATGGAATCTTCAAGAAAATTATTATTACATAATAATTTAATGCATGTAAAGTACATATAGGATAAATTAAGTATTTTGAGTTTTAACAATTTAGAAAATAATTTGGTCATAAGTGAAGAAAGACAACAAAGCCTTTAAACATCTTCCACAATTACACAAAATGTACCACTAGTTCTCCTTTTGTGTTTGCTATTTTAGGAGATCTTTATTTCTAAATATATCCAAACCGTTTTCTCTCCCATTTATCTTCTATTCCTCCATCATTCTGGGCATTGAAAATAATTTCTATGCCAAGAAATCTCTTGAAACATTAGAGTCTAATCTACTACTGACCTTTCTTCTTCCAAGACAAAAAGAAAGAAAGAAAAGAAAGAAAGAAAGAAAGAAAGAAAGAAAGAAAGAAAGAAAGAAAAGAAACAAAAGAAAGAAAGAAAGAGAAAAAAGGCCCTTGTACATATCCTATTAGCTGCATCATGGCAGAAATAAGGATCTTTCGAAATTGCAAAAGGCATCTTTGAATGCTGTCTTTGGAGGTTTGGTGGTTTTGTCTTATTCCCAGGAATAAAAGCAATTTGTGATTCAGAGATATCTGATGATCCCTTTTACAAAATTTTATTTTTTATTTTTTTTTAGAGACAAGGTCTTGCTCTGTCACCCAGGCTGCAGTGCAGTCGCACAGTCATAGCTCACTGCAGCCTTGAACTCCTGGGCTCAAATGATTCTCCTGTCTCAGCCTTCCAAGTAAATGGTGATTACAGGCATGCATGACGATCCATTTACCTGTCTTCCCTTTTAAAAATCATTTTGTGGCCAGGCGTGGTGGCTCACGCCTGTAATCCCAGCACTTTGGGAGGCCAAGGCTAGTGGATCACAAGGTCAAGAGATCGAGACCATCCTGGCCAACATGGTGAAACCCCGTCTCTACTAAAAAAATGCAAAAGTTAGCTGGGCATGGTGGCATTGGCCTGTAGTCCCAGCTACTCGGGAGGCTGAGGCAGGAGAATCACTTGAACCTGGGATGTGGAGCCGAGATTGTGCCACTGCACTCCAGCCTGGTGACAGAGCAAGACTCCATCTCAAAAAAAAAAAAAAAAAAAATTGTTCTGGGAACATTTTTATATTGGTATATTATTTAGATTTATTTTTAAAATATATGTTCACATGTATATTTTGAATAAGAATGCCTGATTCACTCTGACATTGATCCATGTGATTCAGGTTGGAAATTCAGTTCTGTAGCCAGAAGACTAAAATAATATTCTGAAGTAAAACGGTTGCTGAGCCCAAGAAATTAAGAGGCTCTTCTGTGTTCCTCTTAGAGGCTGCAGTTGGACCTTGCCTGGTTTTTCCCTGCTAGGTTTCAAAAGGTCTGCTGGAAACAATAGAAGCATAGACCTTTAGAAGTGGAAGGGATGAAGCTTAGCCTTCATCTCTTCTAAGCTTCTCAGTTTAGAGATGAGAAAAATGCATCCCAGACAGGGACTGTGATTTTGAGAGGAGTGTTTTCTATTTTTTTCCCTTTTAGAAAAATTTTTTGGGCTGGGCGTGGTGGCTCACACCTGTAATCCCAGCACTTTTGGGAGGCCGAGGTGGGCAGATCAGTTGAGGTCAGGAGTTCGAGACCAGTCTGGGCAACATGGTCAAACCCTGTCTCTACAAAAAAATACAAAAATTAGCTGGGCGTTGTGACACGCACTGTAATCCCAACTACTTGGGAGGCTGAGGCATAAGAATCGCTTGAGCCCGGGAAGTGGAGGTTGCAGTGAGCCAAGATCATGCCACTGCACTCTAGCCTGGGCAGCAGAGTAAGACCCTGTCTCAAAAACAAAAGAAAAATTTTTTGTTAGAGTGGAGGTCTGGCTCTGTTGCCCAGGCTAAATTGCAGTGGCACGATCGTGGCTCACTGCAGCCTCAAACTTCTGGGCTCAAGAGATACTCCAGTCTCAGCCTCTAGAGTCACTGGGATTATAGGCATGAGCCACTGCACTGGGCTTTTTGCTCATTTTAAAAGGCCATTTTTAATTCAAGTTCACTTTAGCAATATTTATATCCGGCCGGGCGCAGTGGCTCACGCCTGTAATCCCAGCACTTTGGGAGGTCAAGGCGGGCGGATCATGAGGTCAGGAGATCGAGACCATCTTGGCTAACACGGTGAAACCCCGTCTCTACTAAAAATACAAAAAAAAATACAAAAAAATTAACCAGGCATGGTGGCGGGCGCCTGTAGTCCCAGCTACTCGGGAGGCTGAGGCAGGAGAATGGCGTGAACCCGGGAGGCGGAGCTTGCAGTGAACGGAGATCGCGCCACTGCACTCCAGCCTAGGCGACAGAGGGAGCCTCCATCTCAAAAAAAAAAAAAAAAAAAAAAAAAATTTATATCCTACCAATGGACTGGGACCCCAAAATGTGCTGTGATTGCTCTATCCACATGGTGGAGGAATTGGGGCAAAGTTTTAGTTTGTTCCCATGAAAGGACTAAGAAAATGCAGAGCAAAATACAGAACAAAACTTAAAGACCTGGATTTGATTCACCAACCTCTGTATTTATAAAACACATTACCTGATTTTAAGAATGCATTGATTACTTCCTTCCATAAGAAGTCTCTTATTTTTAAGAGACCAGATCTCACCATGTTGCCCATGTTCAAGTGCAGTGGCTATTCACATGCACCATCACAGCGCACTGCATCCTTGAACTCCTGGGCTCAAGCATTCTTCCTGCCTTAGCCTCCCAGTTAAGTGAGATTACACATCTGCACCACTGCACCCACCTCGGGAACCCCTTTCTCATTTTATGTCTGATAAACCAATGAGTGATCTTAATTCAAACACATTTGAAAAAGCTGAAGAGGAGAAATCAGATTCAAATAATGAATGTTAAAATACCAAAACAAGATTTAATGATGTTTAGGACTGATCTTCATCCAGCCTCTGTGAGCATTTCTGAGGGATTTGTCCTTCAAGTAAACATCCTATATTAACTGATGTTTGATACATTTTAGGACGATGAAATACGCTAACTGCTTTGAATTCAGTTTTATACATCACTCCTCCCTAATTACAGGCCTGCCATCCTCCAACTATGTTACTGTGAGAAGGACATCTATATGATGTTCTACTCAATCCATATATAGAAGCCACAACACCACAAGCAAAAATGTTTCTTTTGAAAACTGTAAGCGACTTAAAATATATACACTTGATAATTTTGAAATACACAAACCAAAATAGAGATATATTCTTAGGATATCAAAGTCTGGTGTTCCAAATTCAGAGGCCCATTTTTTTTATTCGTATAAATTTGGGGATACAAGTGTAGTTTTGATACACAGATATATTACATAGTAATGAAGTCTGGGCTTTTAGTGTAACCATCATCCAAATAGTGTATATTGTACCCATTAAGTAATTTCTCATCCCTCACTCCCTTCCCAACCCTCCCATCCTCCCAAGTCTCCAGTGTCTGTTCTTCCACACTCGATGTCAATGTGTACACATTTTTTAGCTCTCACAAATGAGAACATGTGGTATTTGACTTTCAGAGTTATTTCATTTAAGATAATGGCCTCCAGTTCCATCCATGTTTCTGCAAAAAACATGATTTCATTCTTTTTTATGGCTAAGTATATATGGTATAGATATACACCATATTTTCTTTATCCAATCATCCATTGATGGAAACAGGTTGATTCTACATCTTTGCAATTGTGAATAGTGCCACAGATACCTACAAGTGCAGGTATCTTTTTGATATAATGATTTCTTTTCCTTTGGGTGGGATTGCTGTATCAAATGAGAGTTTTATTTTTAGTTTTCTGAGAAATCTCCATACTGTTTTCCATAGAGGTTGTACTAATTTACATTCCCACCAACAGTGTATAAGTGTTCCCTTTTCCTGCCAACATGTTTTTTTTTTAAATAATAGCCATTCCGACTGACACAAGATAATATCTCATTGTGGTTTTAATTTGCATTTCTCTGATGATTAGTGATGCTGACCATTTATATGTCTCTTTCTGAAAAATGTCTGCTCATGTCGTTTGCCCCCTTTTTAATGTGGTTACTTGGTTTTTGTTGTTGTTGAGTTGTTTGAGTTCCTTGTAGATTCTGGATTAGTCCCTTGCCTGGTGCATGGTTTGCAAATATTTTTCTCCCATTGTTCAGGATTCCTGTTCACTCTGCTACTTATTTTGCAGTGCAAAAGTTTTTAATTTAATCAAGTCCCATTTGTCTATTTTTGGTTTTGTAGCATTTGCTTTTGAGGTCTTAGTCATGAATTCTTTGCCAAGGCCAATGTCTGGCAAAGTTTTTGGTTAGGTTTTCTTCTAGTATTTTTATATTTTCAGGTCTTACATTTCAGTATTTAATCAACATTAATTTTTGTATATGGTGAGAGATAGGGGTCCAGTTTCATTCTGCATATGGCAATCCACATTTTCCCAGCACCATTTATTGAATAGCATGTTCCTTTCCCAATATATGCTTTTGTCAATCTTGTTGAAGACCAGTTGGCTGTAGGTAATTGGCTTTATTTCCAAATTCTCTATACTGTTACATTGATCTATGTGTCTGTTTTTATACTAGTACCATCCTGTTTCGGTTACTCTTGCCTTGTAGTATAATTTGAAGTCCAGTAATGTGATGCGTCCAGCTTTGTTCTTTGTGCTCAGGATTAGTTTGGCTATTTGGGATCTTTTTTGGTTAATACGAATCTTAGAATTGTTTTTTTTCTAATTTTGTGAAAAATGAAGTTGGTATTTGATAGGAATTGCATTGAATCTGTAGATTGCCCTGCTTTAGACAATATGGCCATTTTAACAATATTGATTCTTCCAATCCATGAGCATGGGATGTTCCCATTTGTTTGTGTCATTTACAATTTCTTTCATCAATGTTTTATAGTTTTCCTTGCAGAGATCTTCCACCTTCTTGGTTAAATACGTTCCTAGGCATCTTGTGTGGGGTTTTTTTTTGTTTTGTTTTGTTTTTTGGAGCTATCCTGAATGGAATTGACTTCTTGATTTTGTTCTCAGCTTGGTTGTTATTGGTGTATAAAAATGCAACTGATTTGTGTACACTGATCTTGTATCTTGAAATGTTACTAAATCACTTATTAAATCTAGAAGTCTTTGGAGGAGTCTTTAAAGTTTTCTAGGTATAAGATCATATTGCTAGCAAATAATTTGACTTCCTCTTTTCAAATTTGGATGCCTTTTATTTTTTCTCTTGCCTGATTGATCTGGCTAGGATGTCATATGTATGTTGTTTTTTAAAAAAATTATGTCACAATTTAAGGCTGATTTTAAGTACCCACATTGTCATCGTAAATAAATGAAGCTTGCCATGCTAAGATTTTGATAATCAACTTCAGCTGTTTCTATTTAGGAGCAAATTGTTTACCTTGATTTAAAAACTTCCCTTATCATTATAAATTAAGAAAAACTTCAAAATGTGGATAGCACCTCAAGTAACAGAACCAACCTGATAAAAACTTCCAAATATGAAATCTAAGTTTTAAATGAAATTTGTGTCTAAAACCAACATATCACCATAGTACATCTTATTATCATCTAGCCTTTAAAGAAAGACTTTCAGAAAAAAATAAAATGGACTTTTTGAACAGTTACCAGTTAACGATAATGTTGTTTTCAGGGAGGAGGTATTTCTTTTAGCTTTCTGTATTGGAAAGAGTGAAATACAAATGATAATGTTAAATAGAAAGTAATGAAAAGTTTTCACGTTTCAAAAATCACTAAGATCTCTGGCTTTTGTTCAATAATGACCTTATTAATAATAAATAGTAAGTAAATCATTCCTTTAAAAATAAAGGCTTTAACTTAAAACATGGCCTCACCCACATCCCAAATGCTCTACTAGCCTTTCCAGATAAGAGAAGAGGTCTGTACAAAGGCCGTTTAAAAAAAAAAAAAAAAAACTCTCCCTATTCTGTTTTCTTATGTTTCCTTTTTTAGGCTCTTTCATTTATGAGCTGCTTATTGCCTCTTTTGATTTCTATAATGGGCTTCATGGATTTTATTAAAAGAGTAACAGTTAAACTTGTGAAACTGGAGATATGAGTAATAAAAATGGATTTTTAAAAACTTTTTCTTCTCAGATTTTCATTTCACTACCTTATTCTCAGATTTTCATTTCAATTACTTCTCAGATTTTTATTTCAATATCATATTTTATATATACAACCACCAACTTTGAAATAACAAAACAGTATTCGGCAGGATTACATGTGCAAGCAATGGGACCAAAGCATGACTGTGGCTTAAACAAGGAAATGATAGCTTAAAAAATCATTTTCTTACTCCACATATCTGCTTCCCATATATCTTGGAAATACACTTATTTATTTATTGTATAAGCAACATTGTAACTCTTAAAAAATTTACTGTTGCATATTACCATCTAATGAGTATAAACTTATTTGGAAACAATAGAGAAGATTGTATTTCTGCGATTTCTGCATAATAGCCCAAAATGTTCTAAATGGGAAAATGTTGTTGAATTTGTGGTCATGAATGTCTTAAAATGTCTCCATGATTTGACTGTTTTGACAAAGTCAAAGAAATTGGACCATTATCTCTCTTCTCATGGCAACTTCTGGGCTTATTGGATGACAGACAAATTGCCCAAGTCACTGGTACCTTTAGTATGGCCTTCTGGGTCTGTTCTTTGTGGAGGGAATTGGGTTTTATTTACACTTTGTTCTTAGGCTTACGTTTGGGTATCTTGAACCACTGTTACCAAAGCTCTCCAAAACTTAATGCGTTATGTGAACACAAGATTTGATGAGAGAAACAGTTACAAAACAGCATGATCCTATTTTATTTAAAAAAGAAAATGAAATATATAATGAAATGTATAATGCATGTGTACGCACATCTGCACCCCCCTGTCCCATAGTTATGCACCAAATGGCAGTATAACATAGTGCTGAAAAGGTTGGGTTTTGGAGTCACACAGATCTAGGTTAAACTTTCAGCCCCAGCACTTAATCTTCACTCTTCTCAGACTCAATCAACTGAGAAGACTTAAAAATAGCACATGGTAGAGGCTTCAAAGTGCTTAAAATTGTGTCTTTATAAACTACAAATACTCATTCCCATGCTCTTCCAGCCATACCTGTGATTCTTCGTTCCACACTAACCAGCCAGGCTCAGACCTCTCAATGCTTCTCCACCAATGCTGGGTCCCGGAGTACGCTGTTGTGGTTCAAAGTTCTTAAACTCAGTATTCACAGTGTCTAACCTGCCTACCCATCACTATCTAAACATCCTGTAGATCTTTTTTAGCCAATGCCTATGTTACTCTATTATAAGAACATGCCCATCTCTATCACTCCTTGATTTGAGTCTTCTGAGACTCCTCTCATGACCTTAACTTCATAAATCCTTATTCTTAAACACATGTCCTTTGAACACCAGGATCTTTTTGTTTGAGTCTCCAAAGACCAATCTTCTCAAAGCATCTTCTAAAGGCAAATGATTCAACATCTTTGGTGTCCAGATTAATGCAGTTTTATTGTACACTAAGAATATCCATTGCTAATTAGACCTTGGATATTTACATATTTAGGTTTAATTTAAAATGAATACCATTATGCAATGTTTCATTTATGCCATCTCTCTTTATGATATACCATTAAGAAGAGTTTCTTGTGTTGCTGTATAACTTAGATAGATAAAAATAAGATGGGTGTGGTGGCTCATGCCTGTAATCCCAGCACTTTGGCAGGCTGAGGCGGGCAGATCACTTGAGATGGGAAGTTCGAGACCAGCCTGGCCAACATGGTGAAACCCTGTCTCTATTAAAAATACATAAATTAGCCGGGTGTGGTGGCACGTGCCTGTAATCCTACCTACTGGGGAGGCTGAGGCACGAGAATCACTTGAACCCGGGAGGTGGAGGGTGCAGTGAGCCGAGATAGCACCACTGCACTCCAGCCTGGGTGACAGAGCAAGACCCTGTCTCAAAAAAAAAAAAAAAAAAAAAAAGAAAAAAAGAAAAAAAGAAAGAAAGATAGATGAAAAATAAGAAATGTAGTCACATTTAAAGAAGGACCATAGGGTCTAATGCTTCTAAGTTAGAAGAAAGGTCTTTTTTCTATAACATCAGTTTTTGTGATGAAAAGGAGATTACAAAATATCACGGTGGGCCGTACTCTTACTTTGCAATTTATCCAATTACATGACAGGGGGAGGATCTGTTTAGTCATACCAAATGTTTACACAGCATTGTAGACAGCACAATCAATTTTAAAGTGCTTTCTGTTACCTGCTTTCTGCAAATAAAACCATCCTCTGGCTCTTGGGTAGATCCACTATAATTGCTAATTTCAGTGCTTTATAGGATCTCATAAAAAGAATCAAGGATAGAAGACTGGGTTGGAAACAGGTGTAGGTTGGGGATTTCAAAGCTCAGGATTTGAGATTAGTGTAGGCAAGAAAGGAGGGATGACGGCCAGAAAGTATATAGCTCGAGCATGAGTTTCTGGAAGGACCTGATTGCAATTGTTATGCTGGAGGCTCTACTGCTTCTTCACTCTTCACACTTCACTATTCCCCATTGCTTTTTGCAAAGTCTTTTTTTTTCTTGGCAAACCATGCTTACACAGATGCCGACAATGGGAAAGGACACAGGTCCCTGCTAATTGTAAATACATTGATTTATAGTAAAAGTAAGAATCTTTTCTTCTTAGACAGGGTAACTAATGACTATAGTGATGTCTTGGAACTAAAATGAGCAACAATTTTGATATATAATGGGAAAAACAAATTGAAACTAAGCAAAATCACCATTGACAAAATTTGTGCCTAAAGTGGAATGGGCCCTGAAACTCTATTGCTTTTGAATATAGGTAATTTGTTTACATTTTAATGCCTCTCTTCCTTCAGATTTGTCACTTGAGTAGTTAACAGAACTCTTTTTGATTTTGTGAGGAATTGAACATGCTCTTTAAAATCAAAGAACACATGGAATTCACTGAAAAAAAAACTTATTTACCAAACATTTCATTTTTATTCAAAAATATACAATTTTAAATATTTTCTTAGAAATGCAACCAACTTCCCCATTCTGATAAAATGCACAAAATGTATTTACAGTGCAATTTTCAGCTCTGACCTTGAGAATTTTAGCACTAGTGCAATTTGCCATTTATGCAAAAATAAATTCTTAGAGTATTATAAATTTTATATATCTTATACAAATTTATAAATTATTTTCAAAAGAGTAGACTTTTTTAAAGCACACTGATTAATTTTAGTGATATAATTTTGAACAAGGAGGCATGGCTCATTTACTATATCTTAACAATTTACAATATCATATATACATAAATTATATCATATGTATTTATTTCTAAAAGTATATTTCTTTGAAATACACCTTTTTGATTACTTTCATTTTCCTGGAAGAACAGCATTATAGATAATGTGCTAGTGAATATTTTGAGTTTGGTTCCAACAAGTTTGCTCTAAAATAAAAAACAAATGTATATGACAATTTTAATTATTACAAAGAGAACCGATATAAGCAGTCAATTCTTTTTTATAAAAGATATTTCTAATTTAGAATATGCACAAGGAATAATCTATTCTACCAGGAAAACAGAAGGAATTAACTACCTAAAACTTAAATCAGACTTGTAACTGTATCTAGTTATGATGTTACTTTTGTTGAAGCAAATCCTTCTATTACATTCACAGAACATAGATATAGAGGAACAATGTTGCAGTTACCTTTAGGTACAAATAAGTGGCTGGTTTTATTTTCTGTCAATTACTTAGGGTACCATGGAGAGAAAGAACAATATGATATAAAATTTTGCATAATTTTTTTTTTTTTCAGACGGAGACTTGCTCCGTCCCCCAGGCTGGAGTGCAGTGGCGAAATCTCGGCTCACTGCAAGCTCTGCCTCCCGGGTTCACACCATTCTCCTGACTCAGCCTCCCGAGTAGCTGGGACTATAGGTGCCCGCCACCATGCCAGGCTAATTTTTTGTATTTTTAGTAAAGATGGGGTTTCACCGTGTTAGGCAGGATGGTCTCGATCTCCTGACCTCGTGATCCACTGGCCTTAGCCTCCCAAAAAAATTTTGCATAATTTTTAGAATGGTGTATGTGCTTGGATAGAGAAATGCGGTACAGCAATGTATATGACATATAGAACATTTTATAACCAGATGCATATGTGGTTTATGTGTGTAATTGGTACAAATTATAACAAAATAACACATGCAGTTGACCCTATACCATATGACATTTTCAGACCATATTATCTTCAGCTGTTTCTAAAAAAAATCTCTGAAGACTTCATTTGTCAGTTGTATGGGTAGCTCATTATGTGGCCTTAATGTAGTATTTGCATACATTACTTGACCCTTCATTGAAAAAATGATGGATACATTAGTTTTGCTTATTTTTAAGGTAAAAATGAAGTTTTCGATGAATTTGATTAGTTATTCAATAGTAAAGTAGCCAATGTCAAGTAAGACTTAATTAACCCATGTTCTGTAAGTAAAAGTTTTTATTAATTTACTATTTTACCTTCAAGTCTAGTCATTGAATATACATATGCAATTTTCAGCATAGAAGTCATAGATTAATAAGAAAAAATAGTTCACAATTAACTAGGATACCTATATATTAAGGATATGAGCTCTTTAGCTGTCATCTGTATGTTGTATTTTCTCCCATATATAGGATGAAAAATAAACTTTAAAAATGCCACAAACAATCAAAAGTCAAACTATAAACTTGGTGGAGTCATCCTAACAAATGTATGGGGGTCATATCCTTCATATACAAAATGTATAGACAAATTTCCTCAAGAAAAGTGGGCACTGAACAGGTAAGTCACAGGGATATATTCTTAGTGGTTGATGTAAAAGATCAAAACTTTGGAAAAATGTTCAATATTACCATAAAACCAAGAAATGCAAATTAAGATGAGATGCCACTTGTTTAAAAGCCTATGTTTAAAGGAAATATCAACATATAGTTTGTATAGTTGTGGAAAAATGGGTGCTTCTTGTTTTTTGTAAATTCTTGGATAATAATTCATTTAGGCTGGTATCCTGTAAATGGGGGTAAGCCCCCTAGGGATAATAAAATTGATAAAATTATGGATATTAATCATGTTAGTTTGTTTCAGGCGTGGGATAGTAATAGGGCTGTGGTGCTTGAATTCAGATTGAGTGCTAGGAATGCAGTAGTTGTTAGGATAAAATAAATAATTAGGTTAAAGATGGTAATGTTTGGGTTATATATTAGTACTGCTATTATTCAGCCTATATGGGTGCACAAATATACGGGGTCACAAACTTAAAAAAATGTTTATGCCCAGCCGGGTGCAGTGCCCCAAACCTATAGCCCCAGCACTTTGGGAGGCCAAGGAAGGCTGATTTCTTGAGCTCAGGAGTTTGGGACCAGCCTGAGCAACATGGCAAAACCCCATCTCTACAAAAAAAGAATACAAAAGTTAGCCAGGTATGGTGGCACGCACCTATGGTCCCAGCTACTTGTGAGGCTAAGGAGGGAGGATTGCTTGAGCCCAGGAAGCTGAGGCTGCAGTGAGTTGCAATTGTGTCACTGCACGCCAGCCTGGCCACAAAGTGGGACCTTGTCAAAGATATATATATCGGCCGGGCGCGGTGGCTCACGCCTGTAATCCTAGCACTTTGGAAGGCCGAGGCGGGCAGATCACGAGGTCAGGAGATCGAGACCATCCTGGCTAACAGGGTGAAACCCCGTCTCTAGTAAAAATACAAAAAATTAGCCGGGCGTGGTGGCAGGCGCCTGTAGTCCCAGCTATTTGGGAGGCTAAGGCAGGAGAATGGCGTGAACCCGGGAGGCAGAGCTTGCAGTGAGCCGAGATCGTGCCACTGCACTCCAGCCTGGGTGACAGAGTGAGACTCTGTCTCAAAAAAAAAAAAAAAAAAGAAAAAAAAAGATATATATATCATTGTCTATAATAGAAAACAACTGAAAAGAACCAAAATCAAAATTTATAAAGGATTTGTTAAATAAATTAAGGCATATACTAACATAATTGGATATATATAATCAAAAATATTCATAAAGAATATTGAAAGATGTGAGGAATATTCCCCAAATATTAAGTGAAAAAGTATTTAATAAAACAGTACATGCCCAATTAATAAATACATCTCTATACATTATATATATATATATGATTGGCTATACATCCAAACATAGTGATTACGGTGTTATGATTACAGATGGTTTTCCTTTCTTTACCCTTTTCCGTATTTAAAACATCTTCTATAATAACCATGTTAATGATCCAGTACTGTTTCGCCAAGGATCTTTTAGAATTAAGCTATTCCATTTACGCCATTAAACAATTATGCAGTGTCCAGAGTCAGGCAAAAGAGAGAACAGGCTTGCTCAAAAACAATAGCGCAATGTTCAGAGTATTTTCTTCTCGTGGAAACAACAGAAGTAAAGGACATGCAAACGCAGGTTACTAATGCCCAATATATGGCCTCAGTGTCCCCTGCTCTGTATATATCCCCACCTAGAAAATGCCACCCTAAGTTATGTTCTCGTCATTGTTTACTCACGACTGAATGGCATTGCAGTGGCATTTGCTCCTTATTCCCAAGAGGAGTCAGTGGGGACTTTTGAAGTCTGCCATCCAAAACCTATTAATCCCTAGTACACGTGAGTTTTAGTTTGAAAATAATGTTCCCTTTTCTAGTGGTCAGCCTGATCCTGGAGTATATACCTTTTCAAGCATCAGATGAGTTAAGTTAACGAATGAATATTCCATGCCAAACCAATCTTTTTTAACTAGTTTACTCATTTTCTTGTCTTCCAAAAATAGCTTGTACTCTTATTTTTTCTTTGGAAGCCACAGTCTACCATCAAAGTTCCCTCAGAAAAATTTTGACAATTGAAAGAACTGGATTCAGTATGTTCATGCACAAAGTCCTGATTCAGTACTATGAAATGTTATTTTTATATTTTTAGATAGAATATACAACTGAAATCCTAATCCTTTGTTAAAGAATCTTAAGAATTTTTGTGAGATGACCCAAATATCCCTTACCACATGCCCTCTGCATTTAAATTTTTTTCTTTTTTCTTTGTCTTTTTTTTGAGATGGAGTCTTGCTCTGTCACCAGGCTGGAGTGTGATGGCACGATCTCGGCTCACTGCAACCTCCGCCTCCTGGGTTCAAGCAATTCCCTTGCCTCAGTCTCCCAAACAGCTGGGACTACAGGCGTGGGCCACCACACCTGGCTAATTTTTTGTATTTTAGTAGATACGGGGTTTCACCATGTTGACCAGGATGGTTTAATCTCCTGACCTCGTGATCCATTCACCTCGGCCTCCCAAAGTGCTGGGATTACAGGCGTGTGCCACCGTGCCCAGCCATTAAAAATTTTTCTATAGTGTTCTGATTGCTACTTGAAATATATCTTAAGGCTTTGGGTAAAATGTGAAAATTGGATTATAGGGAAAAATAAAAATCTTTCATGAAAACAAAGTACAATTTCTGAAGTAAATTAACTATTAATTTTATGCAGTTGCTAAAATATTTTTATAAATTAAACATTTTCTATTGCATTTGTTGTGAAATATCTTTTTACATTGTAATATATTGTTTGACACATTTTAATAAAGAATATATGAATTTTGGTAAAAGTACTGACAACATTTGTCTTCAGTCTCTCATATTTATAAAATCTAATATATATATTCTGATATTAGTATGTTTTCATTTGCTTGAATATATATATATATATATATATATATATATATATATATATTATTTTTTTTGAGACGGAGTCTTGCTGTTGCCCAGGCTGGAGTGCAGTGGTGTGATACCAGCTCACTGCAACCTCCACCTCCCGGGTTCAAGCGATTCTCCTGCCTCAGCCTCCTGAGTAGCTGAGATTACAGGCGCACACACCATGCCCAGCTAATTTTTGTATTTTCAGTAGAGACGGGGTTTCACCATGTTGGTCAGGCTGGTCTTGAACTCCTGACCTCGTGATCCGCCCACCTCAGCCTTCCAAAGCGTTGGGATTACAGGCGTGAGCCATCACGCTCGGCCTTTTTTTTTTTTTTTTTTAAAGGGGGATTTAATTGCATGTTTGTTCAAATTGTTAAGAGCACTTAAGGTAGTTTAACTCATTATATTTGAAATGTGCCTACCTTTATAATAAACAAGCATTATATCAGTGGTTGGTGATGAAAACTTTGAGGCAAAGAACTTACATGAGTACTGCCTAAAAGAACTTTCTTTAATGTCCAATACCATAGCCACTAGGTATGCAGCTACTGAGCATTTGAAATGTAGTTAACAAGACAGAAGAACTGAATTTTTATTCATTTAAATTAATGTAAACTTAAATAGCTAAAAGTGGCTACTGACTATCATATTAGGCAACTTAGGCTAGATGACTATCCAAAATTCACACAGGAATGTCCTGGAACCAGAAGTGAGATTAGAACTAGGGTCTCACTCCAGTCTCACTGATACATGTGTGGAGCTAAGCACACAGTTATTTTTGAGTGCATACATGCATTAGTGAGTCAACAAGTATGACAGATAGGTATTCTCTAGTGCCATAATAGTTTTGTTTTACATTTACATTATATTTTCTGTTATGTTTAAGAAGATGGTATAAAATACTCTTACTAAACTAGTAAAATGGAAATACTATCAAAGTCCAAATAACCAGGCTTTTTCTTGGTATTCACTTTTATGTGCAAAAGACCAAATAAATGAGACAGACTTTTAATTCAGATAAACAATGTCATGACATAATCTAGGACACCTCAATGGACACCTCCATCTGTCTTGGTCCTCTCTGACCACACTGCTGGACCCCCCAGCCACTAGATGATGTTGATCAACCTTTGATCTTGAACTCCTCCCTTTCAGCTTCCAGGGTATCCTTACTGGGTCTTCTGCCCTTCTGGTTTGCTCATCATCTTTCCTATCACTTCTTTTTCCTTCTGCCACTCAAACGTAGATGCTCCCTTTAGTTCTGCCTTGCCCCAGGTCTTTACTGTTTAAACTCTCTGATCTCTGTCCTCTCTTTCTTGATTTCAAGTCATTTTTATGTAGATAATCACCCAACTGTAATGTACTCATACATGAAAAAATAATTAGCATAGAAAAAGAATAAAGCTCATTATGTAAAGAGCGTTAACAAACTGTTTAAAAACACTGTGGGCTTTTCTTCTAACACACAAAATTAGTGTGAATGCAAGAGGTTTAGGAATAAATCTTATGAAGTCTTTTTCTTTCCTTTTCTTTTTGTTCCAGTGCATAGTATGGAAACAACTTATGTAACTAATTTATCATATAATTTTTTTATTAGGAAACTCCTAATTTAAAAACTGTCCTAATTTGTATTTCATCTAAAAAGTAAGTGATAGAAGGCTTAATTTTGAACAAATTCAATATTCTTAATTCTCTTGTGGGAACTGGAAAAGTTATACAAAGTCCATAATTTTAAAAGTAATTATATGTACAATTAAAGAAAAAAACCCATCTAGTACTTGGAATACATTTTTTCCCAAATGCATTAATTCAAAAAGATACATATATTTAAGAGTATTATTTTCTACTATTGAACTTTTAGTAGCAAATACACAGAATTTCAGCTACATTGTAATTTAAGTAGGCTTTTTGCAGGAAGGCCATTGTTTATAGAACTCTTTGTGAAATGGTTTCTATGGAGAAATGAGTTTCCAAGATGGAATTTAGATCCTTGGCAAAAACCTCTGCTGCTTAGCAGGAAGGGAATGACCCACTTCTCTTGGCATCTCAGGTGCCTGGGAGCCCTTTCTCAACCACACCCTGGAGTAGGGGGCTAGCTTGCATCCCTGCGTTCTCCTCATTACAAAAAAGAATTCTGAGAAGGAAGGTGATCTATTCCCTATGCAACCTCAGTGTCCACTGAGAAGGGAATCTTGTGGTATGGAACTATGTGGCAAAAAGGTACAAAGTATTCTTACACCTGGAATTCTTAACCTGGGGCATGCATTTTATCTAAGAGGAGAGGCTGAAGTTTCCTCCAACTTTCCATTCTAAAAAGGAACAGACATTGCTTTCAAGTGGTTTTAACTGACTTTCATTTTTGATTGGCATTTTCTTCCTATGTACAAGAAGAGTAGAAAAATCAAACATAGTTTCTAGTTGATGTTAGTAAATATAATCATTACTAAAAGTGGCCATTTGGGGAGTAATACTGTAAATACCTTAAACAACTACAGAAATGGTAATTTGTTTCTCCTGAAACCCTTAAATATTATATATAAAGTAATGGCAGTGATCAGTCCTTTAAGAGTAAGGCAACTTTCTGGATGTCACTGTTATCTTAAAGGTCTACGGAGGAAATAATATCTTGTGACATTTCTAACTTCCTAATGGTAATTGTGGAGACACAGAAGTCTGAGGCTGCCTATGGTCAAACATGACTGTAAACATTACCCACTTTTTTTTTTTTTTTTTGAGACAGAGTCTTGCTCTGCTGCCCAGGCTGGAGTGCAATAGTGGTTCGATCTTGGCTCACTGCAACCTCCATCCCCCAGGTTCAAGCAATTCTCCTGCCTCAGCCTCCCAAGTAGCTGGGATTACAGCTACGTACTAAAACACCCAGCTAATTTTTGTATTTTTCGTAAAGACAGGGTCTCACCAGTTTGGCCAGGCTGATCTTGAACTCCTGACCTCAGGTGATCCACTCACCTTGGCCTCCCAAAGTGCTGGGATTACAGGCGTGAGCCACTTTGCCCGGTCTACTCTCTCTTTCTTAAAACCTTCTTTTCCTTTAATTTTCTACCTAGCAGCTTTATTATCATTTCTGGGTCTTTTCCTTCTCCTATCACTAATTAAATAAGGAAAAATTTGAAGATTTCATTTTAATCCTTTTTAAAATTGATTCCCATATCTCTATTCCTTTCTAACCTGCACTTTCAGCTTCTATTTGGGTGCTTCCACTGGGATAGCTCATCAGCAACTAAAACTTTGCATCTTTAAATCTAAACTCATCTCTTCTCACTCAATAGCCAAACTTTGGACCTCTCCATTTCTCTTAATGTTAACACTATTTCCTGTCATCAAAACGAAAACTGGTCACCTTTTATTTCTCCCTCTCTGTTCCACACATCCACTATGTTGCATAGTCAGTCCATTTTTGCTTCATGTTGTTCATACTCGCCTTTCCTTTCCTCTGCCATTGGTATCCCTTATCACCTCATGCCTACCTGTTACTAATTCTTGTAACTGGCATCCCTGTCTTAAGTGTTTCTCCCTTCAATTTATCTGACATAATTCTTTCTGATAATCATCTAAGAGCTTGTTAAATTTTCTAGGAAAAATAAGCCACAAAGATATGTCCATTACCTCTTCATTTATCTAGTTATTTAAAAACATGTATGCCTTTAGCAGGGCTATTTGGTACATACATTTTTAAAAACACATATGCTTCTGCAGGACTGTTTGGTACCTGTTCCCACTCACACTAAGCTTTACATCAAAATTTAATGGAAAGAGACAAAAAGGAGAATGACTACTTACCATACTTTTCCCCTCAGCCTTTTGATGAAAAACCTATTAAAGGTGCATTTTGGATTTACTTATCTTACTGAATTCAGACTAGTATAAATTGCCTCCAACACAACAAAATTATGGGTTATTTTAAATCCACTGTATTCCAAATAGCTCGAATTCCTTCTTAGTGCATACCCCTTAGTTAAAATAATTTGATTTTCACTGAAAATGTCCAAGGGACACAAACAAATGCAGTTAGCATGATTACCTCTGGTAAGTGGAGAGAGGAAGAATTTTGCATACAGTACTTTTTCTTAAAAAGCACGTCTTTTTATGATAAAAAACTAATTTTAAATAGTATACCTAGAAAACGTTACACATATACCCTAGGGACTTTTTCTTGTTCTGTAATATGTTAGTATCAAATAGCAACATATTTAAATCAAGAAACTTGTGGAAGAAAGTGTCCCTTCTTGGCCTTTCCTTGATACATTCACTGTGTGACACAGCTTGTTATGTCTAAGTTCTTTTCCTTATTCATCCTGACACAGAAGCAAAGTAGCTCCTGAAGGGGGAAGGGGAGGGATGGAGGGGCGGGGAGGGGGGGATTGACAGAGAGAGAAAGACAGAGAGAAAGAGAGACAGGAACCATTTAGTCCTAGGGCAAATCGCTGAGCGTTTATTAGAAAAAAATGCATGCTCATCATATGGAAAAATAATTAGCACATAAAAAGAATAAAGTTCTCATGTAAGGATCATTAAGACTTTTTTAAAAAAAAACAACACAATGGCTTTTTATAAAATGACTCAAAGGCTTTATCAATAAGGAGTTTCCGATCACTCAGAAAACATCCTCTCTCTCTCTCTCACACACACACACACACACACACACACTCTCAAACACACACGAGTGCGGGCGATTATCAAGGCTTGTAAAGGAATAACTGGTTAAAATAGTTGCAAAATGTTTTCTTCGTTATCCTCATCACACCTCTCCTGACAGCTTTATTTCTTCTCTCGAACATAAATTTCCTCCTTATGCTTTTCTGGATGTAATTTCCTATTGTAATCTGAATTTTCTGGGAAGATAATTGCCACAGGAGTGGATATAGCTCTACTAAAAGGATAAGCGGGCAATCTACATTCGAGTTTTTTTCTTTTTTTAAACAAAAACTGATGGACTCCGCCAAAGGGGAGTCTGGACGGTTTATGGGAATGCAGAGCTGGGTGGAAAGTCTTTCTGCGAGTGGGAAGTATCCCTTCTCCTCGTTTGCCCAGGTTCTCCCCACGCCTCGGGCTGCGGCCAGCTTTGGCTCGCTTCTCTGTCTTTGCAACCTGGTTCCTGACTCTGCCAATTCATATTACAGATGGGCCTGCGGGTGCTGCACCGGGGTGACAGCAGTCCTGATGGGCCGTGCAATTCTGTAGTGGATCCAAGTCGGTACACGGATGCACAGATACCTTTGACTGCCTCTCGCAGGACTTGGATTTTTCCTGTTTTTTGGTGCGGCATCCGGGTGGTTCTGACACCCTAAGACTGCTCCTCTGCTCCTCCTCTCCCGCAAGGCTTCCACTCCAGGGCCCCTGTCCCCCTTTCGCTAGCACTCGCGCACCCCTCGCGCTTCCTCCCGCCGGGGAACCCTCGCATTTCCTCCTTCCCCTCCCAGCCTTGCCTTCTTCCCCGCCCGCCTCCAGCCACATGACCGGAAGGGCTCCGCCACGCGACGTCACCGACGTCCGCGCCCCCGCCCCTGGCCTCCCCCCACCCTGCACGCAAGGGGCGGCCGGCTGAGGGGCGAACGTGGTCCGCGCGCTCAGCGTTCCCCAACCAGAGCTCGCCAGAGCGCCGCGGCACTCGCCGCCCAGCGGGGCGCGCAGGTTCCCGGATGTGCGGCGCTCGCGGAAGCCCCGCCCCCGCCCCGCGCGCTGCAGCACTCCGCTTTCCCCTCCCTCTCCGCCCTCCCCTTTTTTCGTGCCTTGAGGTTGCGGGTCAGCGCGAGCCGCTGCAGTGAGTCCGTCACGGCTCCGGCGCGAGCGCGAGGCTGCAGCCCCCGAGTTTCCCGGCCGTCTTCGCCCCCTCTCCCCCTCCTTTCTTCTTCTCTGCCTCTCCTGCCTCTCGCCGCTGCTCCTCCCGCGCTCTCCGGCTCTGAATCTCGACCTTAATTTATTTCCCCCTACCCTGCCCGCTCCCTCGCGTGCCCAATCGCCCGGCCGGCGCGGGCCCCGCGGCGCCGCCTCCCCTCCCCCACGCGCGCCCCCTCCCCGCCGGCGACCCGAGGGCCGCAGCTGGGCCGCCGCCGCCGTTTCCTGCGAGCCAGCCTGAGCGCAACACTTCTCCGAGCCAGCGAGCCAGCGAGCCGCCGACCCGCCGAGCAAAATGGTGAGACCTTGGCTTCCTCGATGCACCATCCCTCCCCCTACTGCCGCCGTCCGGGTCGGGTGCGGGGGCGAGCCCCGACGCCCCCGGTCGGCTGTCCCCCGTGGAAAATTCCAGAGACCCGGGCCCGGCGGGTCCCGCGGCGGTTGCGGGCGAGCCGGAGAGGGCGGCGGGGCGGCTGCTGACAGGACGGCGGCGGGGCCCCCGCGCCCGCCCCCGGCCTCTGCGGGGCGCCCCTCTGCTGCTCGGCCGCCGCCCCGCCGTCGCCCCACCCCCGCGCCGCCGGTCCCGCCCGGCATCGACCCCCGCGGGCACCGCTGACCATCAGCCCGGCGCACTCTCCTTCTCGCGACCCTCCTCCACGTGGAGCACCCCCCTCCCCTCCACACTCACTCTGTTTTTCGAGTTCGAGGGTATTCTGAAATCCTTTGGAAATAACAATATGTGGCAAATGGCACTTTACATAAGACCCACTTACTCTCCAGAGCTGCTGCTGCTTCCACTCACTGCCTGTTTCCCAGCAGTGAGTCTTGGCAGGGAACCCTGCCACTCACTTCCCCTCTCCTGCGAGCGTCGGTTTAGCTGCGGTGCGCAGCCCTGCGGGGTTTCCGTTCGCTGCTGCTTTGCTCGCTGCCCTGGCGAACCGGAAAGATCCAAGGTGTTTGTTCACGAAAACATACGCGAACTTGGTTTGGGAGAAATGGGGGCGCTTAATTTTTCATGCTTCCGTTACTACCAAGGGTTTTTTCATTTTCTTTGGTACCTTCTTGTGTCTCTCTCTTGGAGTGGTTGTTTTTGAATCATGGCGATTTTAATTTGTCTTTCCTTACCCTCACATTAATCCCTAGGTAGAATTCGCTGCTGTAGTGTTTCAGACCGACGCTAGGGGTGTGTCTCCCGCCTCTGTCGCTGCAGCCAAGAAATCAACGACGCCCTTTTAGCCTGTTACCTTACCGGTTCTCTCGCTCGGGGAAGCCCTAGTCGTTAGTTTCCTCTTTGTAATCAAGAGTTGTATACACAGTAGAGAAAGTTCAGAGTGCTATTCCGCGTATATCAGATACTCCATCATGCGATTCAGTTATTAGGCTTTCTCTAAAAGTCTTTGAACAGTTGTCAGAAGACTTAAACTGGTTGACGGTGGGTAATTTCTCGCATCTTTTCCACTGTATGGTATCCCACCCTGTATGTAGAATTTAAGTGCTTCAGTGTACGTGGTGGATTACTGAAGGGAGGAATGCTGTTGCTTACAACTTAAAATCGATTTGGTGAAATCGATTTTAAGGGAAGAACGTGAAATTAGAATATTCAGGTAAGTCAGCTTTTATTTAAAATATAGGGCAAATGAGTAAGTGCTTACTGGTGCACTTAAAACCCAGATTAAGAGCAGACTTAAATGATTGCCGATTTTGATGTGTAGAGAAAGTTTTTCCTTGCCAACTTGCGAGGCAGCTCAGAGAGGCAACTTTGGCACCTGAAAGTCACAAAACAATTTAGGAAGATCATAGCCATTCATCATATAATCTTTTTGTTGGCATAGTCTTTTGAAGTGAAGAATTGCATTTCAGTGCTTTAATAGAATTTCCTTATGCACATGCTTTACTTGAAGGTCAGGATCTTGAAGATCTTTGTTCATTGCAGGGAATGTTTTTACTTAGCTTTATAAACAGCACATTTGAGGAACAATGATCTAGCCTTTTGTTGTTTATATATTATACAGCGAAGTGGTATGGTTTCCAAATAGTAACTCTCTTGCGGTGCACCCCGTCCTCTGTTTTTTGAACAACAGACTGAAACTGGGAAGTTCTCTTTTAGCTCTTCAATTTCTTATTTTCCTGTTAACTCTGTTTTCTTGTCTTTTAAAATATTTTACGGTGTATCAGACGATGTTGTTTCCTGCCAGGTCATTATGTTCCTTTTCTTCCCAGCTCCCTTTTCAGTATTTATTTCCTAATTCAACTGTTGGGTTTTTTTTTTTCCTCTTTCATCCTCCCAATACCATTTCAGGACCTACATAATGTTGGCAGTGGCTTTCCAACTTTAGGGTTATTTTGGTCTGCTGAATACAGTACTGGTTTGAAAGTATCAAGACCATACCCATAACTCAACTTTGCCATATGGGATGTCGATTAACCCAAATAAATCAGGCTTTGGAGTGATCTGGTTAATTTTTCTGGTTAATTGAACATACAATTCTGAAAACTTTCACACCCTTTGGAAAATCTCTCTTAGAACTCTTATTATTTACATTCTGTCAACAGCATTTACAGTATGAAATATCACTAGTTAATTCAAGTATGGAAAGTAAAAAGGCTTATAAGATTTAAATGTACTCTCAAGGATCTTTTCTGACAGGTATTAATTTTAGTTGGTGCCTTAAACGTAGTTTATTTTTTTTTTTCCTGAAAGTTAAAGTCTTTCCCTCCCTTCACCCTTATTTGAGTTTTAAATTGTTAAGCGTCCAGGGAGAATGAAGGTTATATGTTAAAAAAAAAAATCTTGTAAATAGTGAGCTCCTAGGAATTTCCCCTGAACGAGGTGTTTTATATATGTTTTTGTTGAAATAGATAATACGGATTTTGTTCTGGATACTTAAATGAACATAATATAAAGGTAATTGTTTTACGTTTTGTTTCTTAAGGGAACTTTAAATTTTATAAAGGCCTTTTCATGTCTTTGTGCTTTTAAACTTTTAAATTTTTTTTTATCTCCATGATCTGCATCTAGAACTTAAAACAAATTTATTGCCGTCTATAACTGTATGTAGAGTTTTACACAACATATTCTAGTTCAGATTCTGTGGCAAAGGCCACTTTTTAGAAAAAAAAAAACCTGTCTTATGACCAGCGGAATTAAAATTCACATCTGTCCTGAGAAAATTTATCCACTCATTTTGTCCCATAGTGAATGAGAAAATTAAAATGGTTCAAGGTATAAAGTAAAGAAGCTGACTAAGGGTCAGTCAGCAATGAGAGGGACAGACAAGTATGGAAGGATCAGGCAACTGTTATAGGTAGTAAGGCAGTATAAGGAAGTCACCTTGGGCCAGGAGGATATTAAGTCAGACAGTGGGCCTGGAGTCTGGGGCAAGCAACAGGGATTCATTCCTATCAACAAATACTTGTAGATTTTGTCTGCCGTTTACTGGTTGTTGTGCTCTCTGTTGTGGAGGATATTGCAATGATTAAGGCAGGTTTCCTACCTTCATTTAAGTAGAGAATGTAAGACAAATGGCAGTAACCGTGAAGTAAGTTAGCATGTGATGAGTGTCATATGAATAGTACACACAAAGCATGATAGAAATTTAAGAAGGAGCAAGATCATTTTCACCTGGGATTAGGAAAAGTTTTATGAAGGAGGTGGTAATTGAGCTAGCTGGGTCTAAAAAGATCAGCGTTGCAGTAGGCAGAGTTGGAGGCATCTAGAAGAAGGCACTTTAAATCCTAAAGGGAGGAAGAGACAATGTACATTTGGAGCACTGATGGTTCCCGAACCAACAGCAACAGCATCATCTGGAAACTTGTCAGGCCCCACCCTGGAACAACTGAATCCAAAATTCTGGAGATGAGCCAAGCAGTCTTAAGTTTTATAGGTCTTCCAGGTAATTGTGATATAGGCTGAACTTTGAGAACCACTGTTTAGAGAATAGGAAGGAATGTGTAAAGTTGAGTCAAGCGTCTCTTAATGTACCTAGCACTAACTATATGTACTTAAGACATAATTGTTATCTACAAGGAAATTAATCAAGTAGGGTAAATAAGACAGTGATTATGCAGTGTGCTATGTGCTATTAACAGACTAAACATGGGATGCTGTAAGAGCACATGGCAGGGAAGAGGCTTAATCCACACTGGGGATGAATGTCACTTAAAGTTTCCTGGAAGAAATGGTGTCTGAACTGAGTCTTGAAAGGATGAGTATTTAGCCAGTGAGGAAGGGCACACCACATAGAGAGCTTCTGTTCGAAGTCATGGAAGCATGAGATATACAAGCCATCCAGAGAACTACAGTGTTAGTTTAGCGTGGCTGGAGAGGAAGGGGGTAGTGTCTGGTGGATTGACACTAGATCATAGAGGGATTTGCATATCATGAAGGAGTTAATCTTTTTTCTCCTAAAAGCAGTGGGAAGTTATTTTCAAGCAGGAGAATGACATTGTCTCATTTACTTTTTTAAAGAGACCATTCTGATGGCCGGGTGGATAATAGGATAGATGAATCTAGACATGAGGATTCAGAAATAATTATAGTAATTTATATGAGACAGAAGGATGTGAAAGAATACAGTAACAATGCAGATAGATAGTAGGGATCCTACAGGAGATACATTTAGGCGGTAGAAGAAAGAACTTGGTAACTATTGGATTATGGGGAAGAAAAGAGGTGGTGAATTCTGCTTTGGTTTCTGGCTTTGGATAATGCTATCCACCCAGCAAATATTTGTTGAGCACCTACTTGGTTAAGGTTAGGTTTTAGGAATACATGGGGAATACTGTTCCTGTCCTCGAGAAACTTCCAGTTTGCTGGGATGACTATTGTTTCATCTCTAGGCTTCTATTATTTGGTAATTAGTGCTTGGGATGCTATGTTGCAAGACTCCAATTTCAATAGGATAGAGTGCTGTGAAATATTAACAGTGCCTGCTACATACATGTCATGGCCTAGGAGAAACAGAAAGAACTTGATAGCCTGGAGGTAGAAAGAGGCACATGTGTTTGAACAGTGATTCTCAAGAAGTGGATCCTGGACTAGCAGCATCAGTATCATTTGGGACCTTGTTAGAAATGCACATTCTCCTAGGAGATGTAGGAGAAGAAGGTTTTGGGGGAGTGATGAGAATTTTTATTTTTGCACATGCTGAATTTAAAGGAATCATGGGTGGGCTAGGCACAGTGGCTCATCCCTACAATCCAAGCACTTTGGGAGGCCGAGGCAGATGGATCTTGGGCTCAAGAGTTCCAGACCAGCCTGGGCAACATGGTGAAAGCCCATCTGTACAAAAATACAAAAATTAGGCGGGCACAGTGGCACACGCCTGTAGTGCCAGCTACTCAGGAGGCAGAGGTGGGAGGATGGCTTGAGCTTGGGAGGTGGAGGTTGTGGTGAGCCAAGATTGTGTGACTGCACTCCAGCCTGGGTGACAGAGCAAGACTGTTTTGGGGGGCGGGAGGTGGGCAGGGAATAGTAATCTTGGGTTATCTAGGTGATTATGGCCAACAGGTAATTGGCTACCTATATCTGGAGCTCATAAGAGACATCTGGGGCTTGCATTAAAGATTTGAGCATTGTCTGTGCATTTATATTAGGTAGTAGTTGAAGCCGTGAAACTGGATGAAATCCTGTGTAGAGAGAATATAAAATGAGACGTGAAGAGAGTGAACTCTAAAGATGGTGCATGTAAAAAGGCAGGTAGAGGATGAGGAGCCTGTGAAGTTTGTCATTGAATAGCCAGAGAGATAGTTGGGAAATGAGCAGCATAGCATGATGCCAGATTGAAGGGAGTCTTAAAGAGGAAGGAGTCAGCAGTGAATAGATACTGCAGAGATCAAGAAAGAGAACTTAAAGATGTCTTTTGGAGATAACAGGAGAGTTTTGATGACTTGGTCAATAGTAGTTTGTTGTAATGGTGGCAAGGGAAGCCAGGAGGTAGTGAGACATTGAATTTAGATTGCTTTTTAAAGCTTTGAGTAGCAGAGAGGGTGAAAGCTAGAGAATTTAGTTTTGAGGAAGGATTTATCTTGGGGTTGAAAGAAAAAGTCAGAGCCGGGCACGGTGGCTCACTCCTGTAATCCCAGCACTTTGGGAGGCTGAGGCGGGCGGATCATGAGGTCGGGAGTTAGAGACCAGCCCGACCAATATGGTGAAACCCTGTCTCTACTAAAAATACAAAAATTAGCCGGGTTTGGTGACGCGTGCCTGTAATGCCAGCTACTTAGGAGGCTGAGGCAGGAGAATCACTTGAACCCGGGAGGCGGAGGTTGCAGGGAGCTGAGATTGTACCAGTGCACTCCAGCTTGGACGACAGAGCAAGACTCTGTCTCAAAAAAAAAAAAAAAAAAAAAAAAAGAAAGAAAGAAAAAGTCAGTAAAAAGGGTAAAAAGGGAGAGATTATCTTTTGAATCTTTTCAAAGAGAAAAGACAGGATTATTGACAACTTAATGTCTCCAAGGAGGTAGAAGGGAGTTTATGACTCTCCTTAGACAAGAAGGGGAATTTTTCTCATCCTTTTAACATGAAAGAGAAGGAGAAAAAGATGAAAACTATTATGTAGGTCATATAAGAGTTTAGGCTGGAAAGGAAGTCATGTGTTAAGTTGTAAATGGTTTAACTGTTTTGAGTTCAGTTTGGTCCCATTGGGGAACCATTGATTAATCTGGAAATAAGATGCTGGGTGACTTGGAAAGGGTGGAAACTAGATGAGGTGAGTTCCACAAAGGAATACTGCTTTATAGTATTACAAGTATGAAGTTATAAGGATTTGAAAGCAAATAAAAATGGAGGCATTTTAAATATAGAGTTGAAAAGAGTTAGAAACTGATGATGAGGAAACAGTCATGAAGGATGACCCAACCTAGTGATTAGATATAAAGATAGCACATTACAAATAAAACCAGGAAAGTAAGAGTGAGTTGCTGGTGAAAAGTAGTGTTAGAAGAAGGTGAGCTTGGTTTTAGATAGTTAATTTGATAGGCTTGAGACATTATACTGTAATTATTTAACAAATGTGATAATGTACTTGGAAAATAAACTGAATAATTTTTTTTTCTTTTTGGAGACAGGATCTTGCTATTTTGCCCAGGTTGGAGTGCGGTGGTGCGATCTCAGCTTATTGCAGCCTCCACCTCCCAGGCTCAAGCCATCCTCCCTCCTCAGCCTCCCAAGTAGCTGAGACTACAGGTGCACACCACTACACCCAGCTAATTTTTGTGGAGACAGGGTCTTGCCATGTTGCGCAGGCTGGTCTCAAACTCCTGAGCTCAAGCAGTCTGCCCACCTTAGCCTCCCAGAGTGCTGGGATTACAGTCGTGAACCACCAGGCCTGGCCTAGAAGTAGAATATTTGAGTCAGGGTAATAGCTGATTGGATAGTTGTAAAGATGAAGATTAAGAAAATACTGATGGAATGGTCATTAGAAGAATATTGATAATTTTTAAGACTAACTTCAGTCATGTCCTAGGTGACAAACATAAGATTGCAGGGGAAAGTAAACTCTGTGAATGCAGAAGCCTTGTCTTTGTCTTTTCGTTCTTATATTCCAGATACTTGGTATATGGTAGATGTTAAGTACTATTTGAAGGAGTATGTGAAGTGGAATAAAGGAAAAGGTGCTTATCGGACATTGAAGGCAGTGAGTGTCAGTTTCTTTTTTTTTTGAGACATTTATGAAAGAAAGACAAAGGATAATTAACTTCAGTGGTTTACAGTTGGAGTAAGTTCTTTTTTGGTAAGAGAAAGATGGGGATATTCTTGAGAATTAGAAAAGCCAGGAGAGGGAGCTGTAAGAGCGTGATTAATGGAATGAGCTCTAGAAAAGTTAAAAAGAAGAGGATAAAAGGAAAGGATAGACATTAAAAGAGAGAGAAAAAATCAGAGTGAAGAGAAATAGGCCATGGCAACAGATATGTTTTAATAATGGAGTTCATAGCAGGTGGCCTAAATCATCTTAGTATCTCAGGATAATTTGAGGCAAGTTAATTTGCTGAGGTTGACATTGAGCCTGAGGGAACTGGGGTGGTTTTGAGGGGTGAGGGCTGTGGAAGAGGATTGTGTTATCCAGTTTGGGGAATTGTTAGGCAGTTAACAAGGTAATAAATAAATATAACTAAATGGTAGCTAGGACCTAGGAGAAGGCAGCAGTTGGTCAGTGACCTAGGAAATAAATCTAGAAAACAGGGGTTTTAACCAGAAAAGAGCTTAATACTTTGGCAGTCTTTGCTTTATTAACTCAGATTTGTTCTTCTGATCAATTTACATAGGTCTAAAAGGAATCATTTTTTGAGTTCAGCTTTTAAGGAAGGGGAAACATGTTTTAGATCCGTATGTTAATTTTTTTTCCCTAAAGTTCTAAAGACACTACATTAATGTAGTCACTTAAAAATTCAAATGATATTGAAAGATCTAAAATGGAAAGTAAGTCTTCCCTGGCCACCCCTCCCCCAGTATTAAGTTTCTTGTTTATATATTCTTCGAAGAGTTTTTTGTGTGGGGTTTTTTTCCTTCCTTTTTTTTCCCGCCTGTGGCAACATATGGATTTTATTATAATTTAGTTCTTATTAAAAAGATTGATCGTAAAAGTTTTAATGATACGCTACTTATTACAAACTATAAGTAAACTCATAGTTTACTCATTACAATCAGTTTTAGTCCAAAGTTTTAATGGTATTTTAAATGTAAACAATGAGTCAGAAATAATTGATAAATCTAATTAGGTAACAATTTTATAGTGATAGAGGTTGTTACTTTAACGAGGGTCTGAACTATGACCATGTTCTTAAGAAATTACTCTGGGGAAAATAACATTTTACTAGAACTTTTTTTTGTACTTATTTCTACCTAATATCTTATTAAACATAACATGGATAACAAATTATTAAAAGAGAAAATAGCTTCTGAAGTATAATGGATAAAGCGTCTTTTTTAACTCAAGCTTGATTGTTTAAAATTTATTCCTCATTTTTACCCTTCCAAGTAAGCCTTTTCTCCAGTAGCCCTCATCTTTTCTTCCCTTTCTGAATTTTCTCCATAGACTCCATAATAAAGGAAACTTATGGTCAACATCTCCTCAGTGTTTGTGAATTGACAGTATAATTCTGACTAATTTATAGGTCTGGCGCAGGAATAACATTTTGATAAATGTATTCCTGGGTTTGTCTTTGGATTTTATAGTCTTGTACTATGAAATATTTAAAATGTTTGAAGATTTCTGTAGGAAATCTTTTGAAATTTAGCACTAATAATTTAAACAATTCATAGATTCCTATACTGTTCTTCCTCATAGAGTTTTGTTTTGTTTTTTAAATATTTCTTGTAAGTAGTAAAAAGAGGGCCAAATTGGTAGCCCTGTTGGTATCCCAAAAAAACATTCCTGTAGATGAGATGTTACATTGACTTGTTTTTCTGGTGTTGGTAAAATCACTGGTGCGTTGACCAGCTCTTTTTCTAAAGAACACAGAGTATTCATTTTTATTTTTATGTTAGAATTAGGTATGCATTTTAAAACCTAGTTACAATAGAATGAAGCATAGCAGCCTACAGAAAGGATGTTACCCTTGGCCCTTACTAGCGCTATCCATTAGTATTTTATTTTTAATCTGTCTAGATTCAGGGATGATTTTCTTTCATATCCTCCTGAGTGTAATGCCATAAGCAAGCCCCTATTTTAGGCATGCAGTATGCTGGCATTGTCTAGTATTTCTTGTAAGGCAATCTTTAATAAAAATTGGAATCTCAGGAAAAACACGTGATAATGGGCAATAAGATAAATCTGTACTTACATATTTGTTCATGGTGCACCTGTGTTCCCTAACAAATAGAATTTCATGAATTATAAACTAACTTATACTCTTTCTCAAGTAAAGAGTGAACTTATAATCAGAGGAATACTTCAGCTGTATCTTGCTGTCTGGCAGTCACGCTGCTTTTACCTTGCTTCTGGACTGTTAACGTCTGTTCGTACATTTCTTGTTTTTCTTTTCTTTTTTTTTTTTTTAGACGGAGTCTTGCTCTGTTGTCCAGGCTAGAGTGCAGTGGCGCAATCTTGGCTCACCGCTACTTCAGCCTCCTGGGTTCAAGCAATTCCCCTGCCTCAGCTTTCGAGTAGCTGTGATTGCGGGTGCGCACCACCACACCCAGCTAATTTTTGTATTTTTAGTAGAGACAGGGTTTCACCATGTTGATCAGGCTAGTCTCAAACTCCTGACCTCATGATCCGCTTGCTTCAGCCTCCCAAATTGCTGGTATTACACGCGTGAGCCACCGCGCCTGGTGCATTTCTTGTTTTTCAGTCCACCACAGTTCAGTGATGTTTAATTCAGTAGACACTAGCTGTATGTGGTTGTTTAAATTTTAAAGTTAATTAAAGTTAAGTAAAAGTGTAAATTCAGTTCTTCATTCACAATATCTACGAGTACACAATAACTACATGTAGGTAGTGGCTACTGTGTTAGTGTAGATAAAGAATGTATCCATTGTGGCAGAAGTTTCCATTAGATACTGCTTGTCTACAATGATTTTGCACCTGCATGTCAATGAAACTTACATTGGTAGTAATCTTTTTTTTTTTTTTTTTTTGAGATGGAGTCTTACTCTGTGGGCCAGGCTGGAGTACAGTGGTGCAATCTCGGTTCACTGCAACCTCCACCTTCCATGTTCAAGTGATTCTCCTGCTTCAGCCTTCTGAGTAGCTGGGATTACAGGCATGTGCCTCCGTGCCTGGCTAATTTTTGTATTTTTAGTAGAGACGGTATTTCACCATGTTGGTCAAGTTGGCCAGCTCCTGACCTGGTGATCCGCCCACCTTGGCCTCCCAAAGTGCTGGGATTATAGGCCTGAGCCACTGTGCCCGGCCACATTGTCAGTAATCTTCTAATTACCAGCATGAGATTTGGAGTTGGGAAGATCTGAATTTAGATTCTGGCTCTGCCATTTATTAGCAATGTGACCTTGAACAAATATCATAAGCTCTCTAGACCTTATTTAGTGCAGTACATATGTATATAAAGTGGGAATAACAACACCTTAAATTGTGACATATACAGTTGGCCTTCCATGCCCATGAGTTCTGGGTCCATGGATTGAAAATACTTGGGGAAAAAAAATAAAAAATAACAATGAAAAATAATACAAATAAAAATTTAGTATAAATACTATTTACATTGTATTAGATATTGCAAGTAATCCAGAGGTGATTTAAAGTATACAGGAGGATGTGTGCATAGGTTACATTCAAATACTATGCCATTTTATATCAGGGACTTGAGCATCTGTGGAGTTTGGTTTCTAAGAGGTGGGGGTGGGGAAATGGGACCAGTTCCCAGTGGATACTGAGGGACCACTGTAGAGCGTCTAGAGATCCCATAGGTATTCATTAAATGCATTTGGTTTAACATTTTTCTTCTTTGTAATGTTGGACCTTGTCGGGAACTCTTGAAATTCTCCTCTTTTGGCTTCTGCGACCTTTTCTACTATTGCTAGTTGCTATTTCTACCTCTCTGACCATTTTTAGTCTGTTTCCAGCCTTTGATGTAGGTTTGGTCCAAGACTCTCTCAAATATGATTGTATTACTTTCCCGTTTAAAATTCCGGCATTATAAAGACTGAAATCTTCAACATAGCCTAAAAGACTCCATGAATTCTTCATCTGCTTACTTCTGTCCCTTCCACCATGTTCCTACTTGTTTTCTGTGCTCTAGCCACTTGGCCTTGTGTCATTCACCCAGTATCGTTTGCTATGTTTATTCCACCATCTGAACCTTTGCATATGCTACTGGAATGCCTCAAAAGTCCCTCAGTTAACTAAGGGGGAGCCATACACTCCCAGAGCAGGTCAGGTCATGTTCTATGTTACACTCTTTTAGTACCTTTAATGTTTCCTTTGTAGCACATAATTGATTAGTTTTGAGATGTTTGGTCGCTTTCTGTCTCCCCATGATTTAATGTGAACTCTGTGAGAATGGGCATCTTGTCTGTTTTGTTTTTCATCTGTTAAAAGGAAAAAATCTTCATACAAGTTCAATTTAGCAGAGTTTGAGAAAGAAAACTCTGCGTATGGGATAGCTCTCAGAATCAGAACAGATCTAAGAACTCCAACAAGCAACGTGGTCTAGTAGTATTTATAGGTAGAAAATAGAAGTGAAGTATAAGACAGAAGTGAGGTACAGAGCTTAATTGGTTACAGGTCGTTTGTCTTATTTGAGTCATTGGTTGCCTGCGATTGACTGAAGCTCAGCTGCTGTAATTGGCTGAGACTCAGTTGTGTTATAAAATTACAAATGCTCCTTGACTTACGTTGGGGTTACATCCCGATAAACCCATTGTAAGTTGAAAATGCGTTGAATACACCTAATGTACATCTTAGTCTAGCCTACCTTAAATGTGCTTAGAACACTTACATTAGCCTACAGTTGGTAAAATAGATAACACAAAGCCTGTTTTGTAATACTTACATAATTTATTGAAAACTGTACTGAAAGTGAAAAACAATGGTTTTATGGGTACCATCATAAAGTTGAAAATCAACCGCTTTAAGTTAGCGACCATCTGTGTACTCTTAGGTTTTCATTTGGTTTACTGAGCTAGGCAGTGATTATGTAAGGACTCAAATGCAGAGGCATCCTGAGGCCAAATTTAGGCTAATTTAACAACTTTTATATACTGCCGCTGCCAGCATAGGACCCTACACATTATAGAAATTCATTAAATATTTCTTGAGTGAATGCACAAATTCCTTGTTTTTTCCCCCCACCCCAAAGTTTCATCTATTTCTTGTGTACTGATGATTCATTCGTATTTTTCAGGCCACATCGTTCTCTTCTCCAGTCCATAGTTCTGCTTACTGGATACTATTTAAATAAGGTTGTTTCTAAGACACCTCAAACTCAACTAAATGTAACCAAAACCACATTCATTTATCTTCATGTTGATGCTTCATTATTCTCTGTTTTTTTCTTAATGGAAACAGTGTCTATCCATGCACTTTTACCTGGAAACCTTGTACAGTCATACTTTTTTACTCTCTTCACTTCTAAGTCTTAAGGCAGTTTTCAGTGGCACTTCATATATTGTTTATTTCTGTAACACAAATTGACTTATATTCTGTCAGTAAACAGGGAAACATAATATTCCCAGCATATTTATGTTTTGTGTCACCAAGTGGTGGTAGATGAATTCAAAATATAGGAACACAGCTGAAAGCAGCAAGCTACAGAATACGGTACTGTATACTGTCCGTTTAGTTCACATCCTTCCTCTTGACTCATATTGGCTATTTATCTGTGTTGGAACAATTTATTGCACAACTCTTCTAGATCTTTATGCATTTTTCCTTGTTTTAATAACTTTGCTTCAAATAATCCTTACATCTTTTTCTGTTACTTTCGTCTGTACCTTTAAAAGTATTTTATTATGTTTATTATTCAGCACAGCTTTGTTAATATTTTTACTAGGATTTGTATTGTTTTTGTAGTACTGTGGTTACAGAGTTGCATAGGTTTTAAGTGTCTGTTCCGGACTGAATTTTCCTTAAGCCATGTTATTTTTAATGGGTGGTTTTAAGAACACGAGGTTTTTTTCAGGGACATAAATATCATGTTATATAGCAAACGTGTCTTTTCATTTAGATCCCCCAAATGCCACTTGAATCTGCTACTTCTTCATCCCCATTGCCATTGACATCATTGTGCTACCATTTATTTCTCAGGTGGGCTATTTTGATAGCCCACATAATACTTTTTTCTTTTTGCCTGTGGTTTCTTCCTTCATTCTGCCTTACCTATTGCCATGAGAGTTTTTCTTTGGATGAGGAAATCTTATGTCAATGCTTTCATTTGAAAGTCAAGGCTACGTCTTTGAGAATTAAAAATCTAAACTGTTTTGCATGACAGTCGGGCTCTGACCCTTATTTCTAGCCATCCTTATGCTGTAACTGGTTCAAACTGCTGCTTTCTCAGATTCCTTATCCTTTTTCACTTATTGATGCCTTTGTACTCTTTCTTCTGTTGGCAATGTCTCTCCCCTTTCTCTGTCTGGCAAACGTCAAGATCCACAGTGGCATTGTGTGAAAATGTTCCCAACTCTCCCAGGCAGTTAATGGCCATTTGTAAGTAACTTTCACTGTAGTACATTCCATATTTCATTATGTTTAATTGCCTGCCCTCCTAAACTGTTGGCTCCTCGAGGGCAGTGGATGCATTTTTTTTTTCATCTTTGTAAATCTAATCCCTGTTGTGGTATCTGTCACTTAATGCAGAGGTGCAATGGAGCTAAGTTATATTAGTCATCTAGGACTAGGGAGACCTTTGCAAGTCCTGTGGATAAGTGTTTAGAAAACCCCCAGTGTGTTAGGCACAAATAGGAGAGCTACCAGAAAGGAAACTGCTATTGATTGTAAAAGAGATCTTTTATGCTTCAAAATTCTTGTTACATATCTGAGTAGAGACTTATATGTCAGGTTGTTACTTTCAATAAGTAAACATTTTCATAAATAAAGGAAACTCAAAATTTATGAACAGTGTTTACCTTTGTTTACCTAAGCTGATTTATTGTAACCTTTTTTTGTTGCTGTTCTGGAGATTCTAGAACAGCTAATAAAGTGTTAGTGCAAGTCTACATCTTTGATATCCTTCACTTAGCAAACATTTAATGTTCACTTACTAGATATATCAAACATAGTTTCAGGTATAAAGATGAATGAAAAAAAGATACAGCCCCAGAAACTGTGGAGGGAAATATTATAGTAAGTGCTTCAGTAGCGCTACTATGAAGTGCTAGATTTCTTCTGGCTACTCTGCTTGTCCAGTTTGAACTTAACATGTAGCAGCTGTTTTGGTATTTTATTATTCATTCTCGTCACATTACTCATAGAGTTGTATAATGTCAAGTAATTGTTCAAGTGCTGAAAGAATACTATAATTTTTTTGTTGATTACATTGCTTATCAGTAAATTTAATTTGATATTATGAGAAGTAACATGATATGGTAGAGCAAGATTGGGCTATGGAATTGGAAGGCCTGTTTTGGAGTACTCTAAATTAAAAAAAAGTTATATTTGTAAAATAACCACCACAAGATTGCCTGATTCACAGTTCTTCTGAGTATTGGCGTAGGTAATTATTTAAGATGTTTGATAAATTGTAAAATGCTTTTTACATTTTTTAAGGAATCAATTGAACTACTGGAAACCAGTATGTAGTATTCTTGGCAGGTCTAGGTTTCATAATCCTAATTTCTTTGCAGCCCACTATTCAGAAATGTAGTGATTAACAGAGTCAAGAATGTTTCAGGATATTTTTGGCTACAAGTAACAATACCTAACTAAAAGTGACTTAAATAATAAGCAGTTTGTTATTTCACAGAATGAGAAGCTCAGAGCCAGAGAGTTACAGGGTTGGTTCAGCAGTTCAGTTTCATCAAGAACATAAGACTTGCTTACTTTAAAGCTCCTCTGCATGTCAGCAGAGGGCTGCCCCAATTTTAGATACCAACATCTGGCCAAAGAAGAGCAGGGAATGCTTCTTTAAGTACTTATTAGGGAGCAAAACTTCCTTAAAAGTCTCATAGGAGGTTTTTCCTTAGGTCTCATTGTATCTCAATGGCTCTTGCATACTAGAAAAAGGCCACATTCCTTACTCTGGCATTTAAGTTTTTATAACCTGGCCCTAGGTTACTTTCCATCACCAGAGTCTAGGCCATATGATAGTAAAAACAACCTCATCAGTATTTTATTAGGTACTCTGAATAATGGTCCCAGATTACTGATGGGATCTTAAATAGTAAAAGCTGTATCTGGCTTCTGATGTTATACTGACCTCTTCCCTCACCAGTACATAGCTATCCCCTCATGTTGTCATTCTCCTCACCAAAAATTTTGTCTAGTTACTGTAACCAAAATTCTACTTCCTCTCTGAAGGTTATCGTCTCCCCGAAGCTCTTTCAAGCGGAGCATAGCTGTTCATTTTAGGTTAGGGGTAATTAGGAGTTGTTGGCATTGTTTTAGATCATGAGTTGGAAAACTCTTTCTGCAAAGGACCAGATAATAAATATTTGAGGCTTGGGAGCCATACAGTCTGTTGCACCATTTCAACTCTGCCATTGTAGTGTGAAGCAGCTATAGACAGTACATAAATGAATGAGTGTGGCAGTATGCCAATAAAACTTTACAAACGCATGTTCACATAGTTTCTTAATATATATGATACCAAAACCACAAGCAATGAAAGAAAAAAAAGGTAAATTGTATATCATCAAAATTAACAAATCTAAGCTTCAAAAGACAAGAAAATAAGACAATTCTCAGAAAGGGGGAGTTTCTCAAAATCGTTATCTGATAAGAAATTTCTATTCAGGATATATAAACAATTCTTATAACTCAGCAATAAAAAGACAACTCAATTTAAAAGTGGGCAAAGGTTCTGAGTAGGTATTTCTCCAGAGAAGATATGAAGATGTCAGTAGTGCATGCAAAGATGCTCAACATCATTAGTCATTAGAGAATTGCAAATCAAAATGTCGAGATAGCACTTCACACCCACTAGGATTGTTATAATCAAAAAAGACTGATAAGTATTGTCAAGGATGTGGAGAAACTGGAACCCTCAAACCTTGCTGGTGGGAATGTAAATGTTTATAACTGCATTAGAAAATAATTCCTCAAAATGTCAAACATAGAGTTACCATATGACCTAGTAATTCCATTCCTGGGTATATACCTAAAAGAAATGAAACATGTGAAATGAAGTGAAAAACTTGGACATGAATGTTCATAATAACATTATTCATAATGGCCAAAAATGGAAACAGTCCAAATGTTTATTAACTGATGAATCGATAAATATGGTATGTTCATACGAATGAAATGTTCATTAGTAAAAAGAAGTGTGTTGATACTTGTTACAACACATTAGATTAACCTTGAAAATACTCGACTAAGTAGCCAGTCATACAGGATCATATATTGTATAATTTCATTTGTATTTAATATCCAGAATAGGCAAATATGTAGAGCCAGAAAGTAGATTTGTGATTACTTAGGGCTGGCCTGAGGGGGAGTTGGGGAATGACTGCCAGTAGATACAGGCTTTTGTGGGTAATAAATATGCTCTAAATTTGATTGTGGTGATGGCTGCACAATGGTTTGAATGTACTAAAACCATTGAGTTGTATACTTTAGATGGATGGTTTGTGTGGTATATAAATTATATTTCAATAAAGCGGTAATAAAACAAAACAGGTGGTAGGCTTATTGACCAGCAAGCCAAAGCTTGCTGACCCATAATAGATTATTCTTCATTTTCCTGCTAAGCCATTCTTTATCTGTTCTCATTGCTAACTCAAATCTTTCTCGTTACTCAATTTTTCATTCAAAATTTAAGTACTTGTCTCACATTTTCCCTCTGTGTTCCACCATCAGGTTACATCTTTATGGACATTCTAGCCTTAGTGTTTGTTGACCACCTCCATTTTACTAACCTTTAGTTTTCTCTCTACTTCAGCTATTTCCTATGGCCATAGTCAATATGGTATCTTATCATTATCTGAACTGTCCCATTGCTAGGACTTTATTTCTTGTTTTGAGATTACTTTCTCAATTATAATTATTGAAAATGCCATACATATATCATTTTCTGGTTTTTGAGGGGGTTATTATATATGTTTTTAAATTAGAAAGTAGTACCAAATTATTGTTGCTACCTGCAGGAAGTTGTTGGAAAGTTTCCATGTAATAGTATTTCACGTTTTTCATCCATTTTACTCCTCAGCTGTCTTCACCTGACACCCTCTCACTGTCGTGTTTCTGCGATTGTGACTGCTGTTTTAGATATATGGAAGACATTTAAAATTGCTATGCCAGTGTGAGTTGGCAGTAACAAGCCACTTGAATTTAAGTGTTCTAAGATGAGAAGAAAATGGCTGTAATAACTTCTTGCTCCTCTTGCATAATACAGAATGGCTGCGGCTTTATGATATGTTGGTAAGAATGTTATGGGATTTATATTAGCTTGAGTTCAAATTTGGTCTCTACCACTACCCAGCTGCGTGACCTTGTGCAAGCTGCTTAAGCTTCTTTTTTTTTTTTTGGACGGAGTCTCACTCTGTTCCCCAGGCTGGAGTGCAGTGGCACAATCTCGGCTCACTGCAAGTTCCGCCTCCCAGGTTCACGCCATTCTCCTGCCTTAGCCTCCCGAGTAGCTGGGACTACAGGTGTCTACCACCATGCCCGACTAATTTTTTTTATTTTTACTAGAGACGGGGTTTCACCGTGTTAGCCAGGATGGTCTTGATCTCCTGACCTCGTGATCTGCTGGCCTCGGCCTCCCAAAGTGCTGGGATTACAGGCGTGAGCCACCGTGCCCGGCCTTAAGCTTCTTTATAACCTCTGTTTACCCAGGGGATTGTTTGGGAGGATAAATGAGATAATGTATGTAAAGTCTCTAATAGAGTGCTCAGCATGTAAATGTTATTTCTCTGTTTTTTTTGTATTCAGTAAATGTTAACTTTCTTTTTTCCATCCCTGTTTATAGTCACAGAGTTAACTTTTAACTTTTAAGGATTACTTTCTAGATCCATTAGTTTCTACCTACAAAAAAAATTTTGAAACTTGATAAAGCAACATTTATTCTATGTTCAGTTTGAAAAAAGTCATTGAAATGTAAATTAGTTTATCTGAGGTATCTGAAGGATTTTAGAACTTAAAGAATAGTAGAAAAGAAATTCCATGGTTAGAAGAAAACCAGAAGAAAAAAGCTATCAGATTTTTTTTGTTTGTAGACTTAAAAAAAAAATTACTGCGATTTGGGAAATACACCTTTGGGAGTGAGGTGTTAATTTTGAATATTTGGATTTATTAATTGATTGCTTACAGTGTACTAAGCAGTTTGTAAAATATTATTTTTACATTTTGGGACATAATACTCAGTATTTCGAGAATTTGCCTAAATATTGGAAGTCTCATTCCTAGAAAAATTGAGGTTGGCATGCAGAGGAAGATCCACTTGCAAGTGAACTATATCTGAAGCTAAAACTCCAGTTGTTCTGGAGTCAATATATTTTCCCAAAGAAATAAAAGGGATTTACTTAATAATTACTTATAAAAGCATATTTAATGATAATTCAAAGATATTTATTATTTTCTCTGTATCATGAACTGAAGAGTAAACAAAACATGCAAGTGCTTTGCTGTCATGGAGCTTAAAGTATAGTGAGTTAATGAGAAACTGATGCCATGTGTGGAAACATCTCTTTGCATTTAATTTAGGTCTTAGTTAAGATAGAATCTTGTCTCATTCGTAGCCAAAGTAATTGTGTGGTAACTGAGGAAATATTTTTCTACAAGAGAGAGACTCAGAATAATGTGGTCTGCTTTTGTGTGAATAAGAAATAAGAAAGAAAGAATAAGCAAATAAGAAAGTGTTTGTGATTGTATATTATAGTAGATTATAGTAGATAGTAGCCTGGCTAGGATATCTTTGTGATATGTATTACAGGATAATATTATTATAGAAATATAATAGAGACCAGGTGTGGTGGCTCAAGCCTATAATCCCAGCATTTTGGGAGGCTGAGGTGGGTGGATCACCTGAGATCAAGTGTTGGAGACCAGCCTGGCCAATATGGCAAAACCTCATCTCTATTGAAAATACAAAAATTAGCTGGGCAAAGTGGTGCATGCCTGTAATCCCAGCTACTCGAGAGGCTGAGGCAGGAGAATTGCTTGAACCTGTGAGGTGGAGATTGCAGTGAGCTGAGATCGTGCCACTGCACTCCAGCCTGGGTGACAGAGCAAGACTCTGTCTCAAAAACAACAACAACAACAACAACAAAAACACTGTAATAGAATATTAGGACAAATAGAGTAGATCCATAGTCTACTGGTTCTGTTGCTGTATGAGTTTTCTTTTTCTTTGATACATTTCTCTTTCAGTTCTTTACATGTTGATACTCCCTAATGGCAAAATCTAAATAAGATTTTTTTTTTTTGAGACAAGAGTCTCACTCTGTTGCGCAGGCTGGAGTGCAGTGGTGTGATCTTGGCTCACTGCAACCTCCACCTCCCAGGTTCGAGTGATTCTCCTGTGTCAGCCTACCGAGTGGCTGGGGTTACAGATGCTTGCCATCACGCCTGGCTAATTTTTGTGTGTGTGTATATATATATACACACACACACACACACACACACACACACACACACACACACATATATACATATACAATATGTATATAATATGTATATACATATACGTATATATGTATTTATATATGTATATATATATACATATATATGTGTGTGTGTGTGTATATATATATATATATTTTTTTTTTTTTAGTAGATACGGGTATTCCCATGTTGTCCTGGCTGGTCTTGAACTCCTGACCTCAGGTGATCTGCCCGCCTTGGCCTCCCAAAGTGCTGGGATTACAGGCATGAGCCACGGCGCCCAGCCTAAATAAGATCTTAAGATTAGATTGGCAATTTTCAGAGTGGTTCATGGATACTTGGGGATCCCCAGGACACTTTCTAGGGAGCACATGAGGTCAAAATTGTTTTCATAATAACACTAAAACATTACCTGTCTTGACTGTTTATATTTATACTGATGGTGCAAAAGCAATCATTAGTAAAACTTGATGGTACCTTAGCATGAATCAAAACAGAAGCACCCTACTTTACTAGAAGTTGTTTTCTTTATTACTGTGTACTTGCAATTTTAAAAAACACCACTTTTGCTTAAGAATATCACTGATAAAGCAATATTTTGTTAAATCTCAACCAATAACTACACGTATTTTAAATATCTCCATGATAAAATGATAAAAGTGTAAAGCACTACTTGTACATGTGAAATTGTAATAGTAGTTTTGAGGAAAAACAAGCACTTGTGTGATTTGTAAGCTGAACTAGCTGCTTTTTTTCATAGAATACCAAAACTACTAGCGAGAACAACTAATAAAATCTATTATTCACACTTGAGTATTTGGCACACATTTTCTCAAAAATGAACAAGCTTGTGTCACTCAAAGAAAAAACTGACGTACATGAAACAGGAAAAAAAAAAGAAAGAAAACTTCAGCAAAGAAATAGAAGACATAAAGAAAGACCAAATAGTAATTTTAGAACTGAAAAATATAATAAACAATACAGTAGCCCAGTGAGTAGGCTTAATAGCAAATAGACCAGACTGAGGAAAGATCAGTGAACTAGCAGGCAGAAGTAGTTACCCAGTCTGAACAACAGTAAACAGACTGAAAAAAAAAATGTGCAGAGCCTCAGGGAACCATGAGTCTATAAAAAGATTTAACACTTGTGTCGTTAGAGTCACAGAAGGAGAGGAAGAGAGAGGGCAGGATTGAAAAAGTACTTAAGGAAATAATGGCTGAAAATTTTGCGAATTTGGCAAAAGACATTAAGCTACAGTTTTAAAAAGCCAAGTGAATGTTCAACAGGATAAACCTGTAGACATCCAGACCAGGATATCTCAAAGTAAAACTTATAAAAACAAGACAAGTCTTGAAATCAGCACGAGAGAAATTACACTTCATGTAGATGTGGAAAACAGTTCAAATGATAGCAGGTTTCTAATCAGAAGGAAATTTCACATTTTTCAAGTGCTGAAAGAAAAGGACTGTCAACTCAGAAACCTGTATCTAGAGAAAACACCCTTCTGGAATGAAAGGGAAATCAAGACATATGAAGGAAAATGAAGAGAGTATGTCACCAGCAGACTTACCCTAGAAAGATAACAAAAGACATTCTGAAAACAGAAGGGTATGATGAAAGAATCTTGGAACATCAGGAAAGAGGAAGGAACAATTCAAAGTGTAAAAGTACGGGTAAATACAATAGACATTCTCCTTTTGAGTTTTTAAATTATGTTTGAGTGTTGAAGCAAAAATTACAATACTGATGTGGTTCTAAAGGTATGTAGAGGAAATATTTAAGATAGCTGTAAGCAGGGAGAGGGTAAAATGATGATACCAATGAGATTGTGAAAAGTTATCTGTGTAATGTACATAGAGCAACCACTAAGGAAGCTCTACAGATACATGCAAAAGCATTATAGATAAATCAAAATGGAATTTAAAAAATGTTTAACCCACCAGGAGACAGGATAAAGAAAACAGAAATGAAGGCCGGGCATGGTGGCTTACGCCTGTAATCCCAGCACTTTGGAAGGTTGAGGCATGTGGATTGCCTGAGCTCAGGAGTTTGAGACCAGCCTGGGCAACATGGTGAAACCTGTCTCAACCAAAAATACAAAAAATTAGCTGGGCACGGTGGCGAGTGCTTGTGGTCCCAGCTACTCAGGAGGCTGAGATGGGGGCATTGCTTAAGCCTGGGAGGTGGAGAATGCAGTGAGCCAAGATTGTGCCGCTACGCTCCAGAGTGACAGCCTGTCTCCAAATATATATGTGTGTGTGTGTGTGTGTGTGTGTGTGTGTGTGTGTGTATGTGTGTATATATACACACACACATATATACACACATACACACACATATATATACACATATACACACACACCCGTATATATATATACACACATACATACACACACACACACACACCAATTAAACATACTGGCAGAATCAATTAAAGACATTACCCAATCATATGATTTCTGTAAGAAATTTACTTTAAATGTAACAATATAGGCATGTTGAAAGTAAAAGGAAGGAGAAAGATGTATCATGCAAACATTAATCCAAAGAAAGCAGGTATGGTTATATTTAATATTAGATAAAGTAGACCTCATAACAAAGCAGTTACCAGAGACAGTGACTAGGCATTATATGATAAAAGGGTTAATCAATCCACTAAGAAGACATAGCAGTTTTAAATGTGTTAGCAGTAGAACTGCAAAATATATGAAAAAAGACTGATGGAACTAAAAAGAGAAATACACAAGTCCAAAATTATAATTGGAGACGTCAACACCTATTTCTCAATAAATGGTGGAGTAACCAAGCAAGAAAATCAGCAAGGATATAGAAAGATACTCAACATATGTAATCAACCAGTGCTATGTAATTTATAGAATGCTTCATCTTTTCAAGTGACCAGAGAACATATACCAAGGAAAGTTATGTCCTGGGCCATAAAAGTAAACCTCATTTGGGCATGGTGGTTCATGCCTATAATCCTAAATGCTTGGGGTGGCTAAGGTGGGAGGATTGCATGAGGCCAGGAGTTTGAGACGAGCCTGGGCAATGTAGCAAGACTCAGTCTCCATGAAAAAAAAAAAATAATTAGCTGAGCATGATGGCATATGCCTGTAGTTGAGTGGATGAGGTGGGAGAGGATCACTTGAGCCCAGGAATTTGAGGCTGCAGTGAGCCATGTCATGCCACTACACTCAAGCTGAGTGACAGTGAGACCCTGTCTCAGAAAACCCCCCAGAAAACATAAACACATTTTAAGGAATTGAAATCAAAGAATGTGTTCTCCTACCAAAGTGGAATCAAACTAGAAATCAATAATAGATACCTGGAAAATCTCTAAACACTTCCAAATAATCTATGAGTGAAAGAGGAAGTCTCAAGGGAAATTTTAAAAAATACATTGAGCTTCATGAAAATAAGAATACAACATACCAAAGTTGTGGGATACAACTAAAGCAGTTTAGAGAGGGAAATTTATACCACTAAATGCACACATTTGAGAAGAGGAAAAGAAAAGCCCCCTCAAATCAATAATCTAAGCTCCCACTTCAAGAACCTAGAAAAAAAGATGAGAAAAATCTACCTGAAGCAAGCAGAAGGAAGGAAATAGTAAATGAAATAAAAAACAGAAACAATAGAGAAAAACCCTTTGAAACAAAAAGCTCATTCTTCAAAAACATCAGTAAGACTGACAAGTAATAAGACACAAATTACCATTATCAGGAATGAAATAGGGGACATCACTGTAGACCCTGCAGATGTGAAAAAAGATAAGGGGTTACTATGACCAATTTTATATACATAAATTTGACAACTTTGAAGTAATGAACCAGTTCCTTAAACACAAACTATCACACCTCTTCCAGTGTGAAATAGAATTTGAGTAGCCCTGTTTCCTTGATACCAAAATCCAAAAAAGATAACTATGGACCAACATCCTCATGTCAGTGTAGATGCAGAAATCCTTAAAACATTAACAAATAGAGTTAATATTTTTAAAAGATTATACACCATAATCAGTTATGGTGGTTTTATGGGTGCAAGGCTGGTTCACTATTTGAAACTTAGTCTGTATAATTATATTAATAGACTAAAGAATAAAACCCAAGACAAAACAAAAACTTAGAAAAATATAGAGGGAAATGTTATCAGTTGAATAAAGAACATCTGTGAAAACCTACAGCTGACATTATACTTAATGGCAAAAGACAGTACTTTCTCTGTAAGATCTGTAACAAAGCAAGGATTTCTGCCCTTTTTAGCGTAGTGCTGAAAGTTCTAGTCAGTGCAGTAATGCAGGAAAAGAATATAAAGGCATACAGATTGGAAAGAAGAAAAACGGATCCCGTTTGCAGATGGTATGACTATCTACATAGAAAATTTTCAAGAAATCTACAAAAAATAAAAGTACTAATGAATAAGTTCGGCGAAATTGTGCACAATACAAGATAAACACAAAAATTGTTGTTAACATTAAATAGTAGAAGGAAAAACAGGAATGGGGGTAATTTAGGTGTCATTTAATAGGAAATATAGTTTAACTGTCAAAGTGAGTAATAGGATCTTTAAAATAGTTAAACATATTATGTGCCTTCAAACATTTGCTGGATGGATTCACTCAAGTTATAGATTGTAATTATGGCAGCATTTATCAGACTAGAAATTTTAAGGTTTTTTTTTTTTCCCTCCTAAAATCATTAAAGAAGCTTGGATCTGTCATAGGTATGATTGGTTTTTATCTCTTGTTTCTGTCTTTTGATCTTTTCTGTCCCCGACATTCATGCATCCAAACACCTTTTGCTTTGTATTTAAGAATAAGGAGAATCTGTTCTAGAACAGTTACTAAGATGGTCAGTGACTTTACCCTAGAAAAAATTAATTTCATTATGATAATTACATTAATTGTGCAGTCATCAAGCTTTCAGCAGGTAAAGACATTTAGATTGATTCCTAAGATAACTTACTTTTCAAGTTCATGTTATTCAACATTTTTAAAAAATATTCTATTACGATTGTCAGTTTTGGGATCAGATCTGTAGGAATCAGGAAAATAAAGAAATTTTCTGGCAAAGAAATGAAAAAACTTGGTTCTCTTTGGTTTAGAGTTACTTTGATCTTAAAGTGACAAGGTTTGAAAGAATAAAAATAAACTTTATAGATGCATTCTGTAAAGCTTTGAATATTTCAGAGAATATGCAGTCAGAATATTTAGACATCTTTATCTAGTAGAGTTTAAGAGATGACAACATTTCCTTATTTGGTTATAGACTCTTTGTGAACTATAAATATTACTTCAGTATTAGAGTACTGTTTGCTTATTTAAAATGTATGCAGATCCAAATGCTTAATACTCATTATAAAAAGTGAGCATCAAAAGGAAAGAGAAAATCTAAAGTGCTTGAATAACTGGACTTTTAAGAATTCGGGTCTTCTAATGCCCTTAATCTAACCTTGTACTTTAACGCATTGATGCTTAAATTAGGACTTAAACCGTTCCAGACTTTTACCATGCACCTAATCAAATTCTTCCTTTAAAGTAAATTTAGGACAATGTTAAATCTGGCAAAGGATATCAAAAGATAGTAAGACAGTTGGTGCCTTCATGGAGTTTAAAATCAGGGAAGGAGACTAAGGGATGAATTATAAATGTCAAGATTACTGTAAGTGTAAATAGTTTTTGGTGTCTCATGATTCTGTAAGATTAATCTGGAAAATGTTATTTGCTATGAATACATTACCTTGAAATGTGTCTTATAAAAATAAATCCATATAGTTTGAATTTTGAATAATATGACAGCTGTGAAACTTTATTGTTTTAAAGAAAGTGATGAGATTGTTTCTAAACTGGAGACTAAAATTATGTATTAAGCAATTCCATTATATTTGGGACTAAGGTCCTTAATATTTTGAGTTATAAAAATCAGCTTTATTGAGGTACAACTTACCTATGGTAAAAACTAACTAGTTTTAAGTGCATAGTTAATGTGCCTTGATAAATGTATATAGTTTTGTAATCACCACAGTCAAGATGTAGAATAGGTCTATCACCCTGAAATGTTACCTGGTACCCTTTTGTGTTCACTCCCTGTTCTCCCCCTCTACCCCACAACACCTTAACTTTCAGTTACTGTAGTTTGTTTTTTTGTAGCATTTATAAATGGAACCATACAGCACATAGCTTTTTGTGTCTGGTTTCTTTTACTTAGCATATTGCTTTTGAGATTCATTATGTTATTGGGTGTATTAGTAGTCTTTTCCTATTCATTACCGAATAGTACTCCATTGTCTGGATATAACAGTTTATCTGTTCACCAGTTGAAGACATTTAGGTTGTTTCCAGATTGGTCTATTAAGAATAAAGCTGAATAAAGCTGCTGTGGACATGTGAGTACAGATTTCTGTGTGGACATGTTTTCATTTCTGGTTACACTAAGAGTCCAACACACTGTTTTTTTGAAATAGCGGTACAATTTTGAGTTCCCACTAGCAAGATATAAAATTTTCATTTGCTCTACATCTTCACCAACACTTTGGTATGTCAGTGTTTTTATTTTTAGCCGCATACACTATAAGTTTGGATATTAGTTTTCTGTTGCTGTGTAACAAATTCCCATAAACATAGTAGTCTAAAACAGCACTCATTTATTATTTCATAGTTCTGCAAATCAGAAGCTCACCACTGCATGACTGGGTTCCCTTCAGAGTATCACAAGGCTGAAATCAAGATGCCATCCAGACCAAGTTCTCCTGTGGAGGTTCTGGGGAAGTCTGCTTTCCAAGCTGTTCACGTTATTGGCAGAATTCAGCTCTTTGCCCTTATGAGATTGAGCACTCTGTTTCCTTGCTCCTGTTCACTAGAGGTCACTCTTATCCCCGTCAGGCTGCCTGCATTCAATGCCATGTGGCCTCTCCACTTCCCTTGTGTTGAATTCCTCTCCTGCTTTGACTCTTTCATTTTCACCTTCTTAGACCACACAGGGAAAATTGCTTTTAAAGGGCTCTTACAGGTCAGGGCCACCTGGATAAATCTTATCCAGAGGTGGTTGATTTGGGACCTTAATTACATGTGCAAAATCCTTCTGCAGCAGTAACTAGATGAGTGTTTGATTTAGTAATTGGGAGAAAAAGTATGTATACAAGGGGTTCAGAATTTCAAAGGGCTACCTAAGAATTCTGTTCACCACATAATCATTTATTCCACATCTTCAGTTACACTTTGTGTGTCCATTTTTAAATTATAGCCATATTTATTATGCCAGTTGCCTGTATAGTAATATCTCACTTTGGTTTTAACTTGCATTTCTCTAATGTCTAGTGATATTAAATGTCTTTTCATGTGTTTATTTGATGTTAATCATATCTTTTGTTGTGAAATATCTATTCAAGTCTTCATGTCATTTTTTTTAAATTGCATATTGCTATTCAGTTGTTGTAGCATCATTTGTTGCAAAGATTTTTTTTCCCCATTTAATTACCTGGAAACCTTTCTTGAAAATTGTGTGTGTGTGTTTACTTTATTCTGTCCAATTGATATTTGTCTGTTCTTACACCAGTACCACTCTTTTGATGACTAGCTTTATAACTTTTTTTTTTTTTTTCCTGAGACGAGTCTTGCTCTGCTGCCGAGGCTGGAGTGCAGTGGCGTGATTTCAGCTCACTGCAACCTCTGCTTCCCAGGTTCAAGTGATTCTCCTGCCTCAGCTTCCCGAGTAGCTGGGATTGCAGGCGCCTGCCACCACGCCCGGCTAGTTTTTTTTGTATTTTCAGTAGAGACAGGGTTTCACCATGTTGGTCAGGCTGGTTTCAAACTCCTGACCTCAAGTGATCCACTCGCCTCGGCCTCCCAAAGTGCTGGGATTACAGGCATGAGCTACCGCACCCAGCCCTTCATAACTCTTTAAGTCAGATATTGTTAAGTCCTTCACCATTGTTGTTTTTCATTCAGATCCCTTGGCTGTTAGGTTCTTTGCATCTCCATATGAATTTTAGAATTAGTTTATTGATTTCTATAAAATATTCTGCTGGGATTTTTATTAGGATTGTCTTCTATATGCAGATCATTATGGGAAGAATTGCCATCTTAACAACATTGAGCCTTCTGATCTATGAACAAATATAGCTGGGTTTTCTTAGATCTCTTTCTTAGCTATGTCTTATAGTCTTCATGTGTACTCCCTGCACATCTCTTATTAACTGTTTCTAAGTATTTTGTATTTTTGATGATTTTGTAAATGGAACTGCATTCTTAATTTCATTTTCCATGTTTCCAGAATATGAAATATATTTAACTTTTGTATATTGACCTTTTATCTTGCCGTCTTGCTTAATTCATTTATTAGTTTTGATAGCTTTTTAGTAATTTGCTTAGGATTTATGTACATACACAATTATGTCATCTGCAACGAAAGGCAGTTTATTCCTTTCCAATCTGTATACCTTTTGTTTTTTTTTTTTTTTGTCTTCCCTTTTGTATTTGTGCAGATGTCTTTATCTTGTTCTAATCTTAGGGAGAATCTTATTACATATGACACTTTTTGAAGAATTTTTGTAGATAACCTTTTATAGATAGAGAAATAGTCCTAGTTTGCTGAGTTACTCTTGTTTTATCAAAAATGGATGTTGCAATTTGTCAGATGCTTTTATTGCGTCTGTTTGGTTGGCCATGTGGTTTTTTTCTTTTTTTTTCCTCTGTTAATGTTGTGAATCACGTTGGTTTTGAATATTAAACCAACCTTCCATTGCTGGAATAATCCTCAGTCATGGTGTTTATTTTTGGATTCAATTTGCTAAGATATTTTTAAGGATTTTTACATTATTGGTCATAGAGAAACATTAGATATAGTTTTCTTTTGTTGTTGTTGTTGTTTTGAGACAGAGTCTCGCACTGTTGCCTAGGCTAGAGTGTAGTGGCGTGATCTCAGCTCACTGCAACTTCCACCTCCCAGGTTCAAGCGATTCTTCTGCCTCAGCGTCCCAAGTAGCTGGGATTGTACAGGTGCCTACCATCATGCTCAGCTGATTTTTGTATTCTTAGTAGAGATGGGTTTCAACATGTTGGCCAGGCTGGTCTTGAACTCCTGACCTTAAGTGATACTCCTGCCTCAGCCCCCCAAGTGTTAGGATTATAGGCGTGAGCCACCGCGCCCGGCCATAGTTTTCTTTTTTTGTGATACTGTCTGATTTTGGCATCACAGTAGTGCTGGCTTCATAAAATGAGTTCAGGACAGTACCCTTCCTTTCTGCTTTCTGAAATAATTTGTGTAGGATTGGTATGTTTTTGGATTTCATCTTTCTGATGAATTGGCTCTTTTTTAGCATTATGAAATGTATAATTCTCAAAATGTTTGCTTTTAAATCTGCCTTCTTACTATTTACTTTCTTTTTTTTCTCATTTGCTTTTTCTTTGTACCTATTTGTCTGCCTTTCATGGGATTGAGTATTCTTTCTGATTGTATTAGTCAGGTTTCTCCAGAGAAATAACCAGTAGGAGATACATATGTCTAGAAAGAGATTTATTATATGATATTGCCTCACATGATTATGGAGGCTAAGAAGTTCTGTTCCTGCTGTCTTTAAGTTAGAGACCCAGGAAAGCTGGTGCTGTAGCTTGAAGGCCTGAGAGCTGAAGAACTGATGGTATAAATTCTAGTCTGAGTCTGAAGGCCTGAGAACCAGGGGCATTGAGGTAAGGAAAAGCTTGACTTTGCAGCTCAGGCAGTGAGGCAGAGAACTAATTCAATCTTCTGCCTTTTTGTTCTATTTAGGTGCTGGACAGATGGATGTTATCCAATCAGTTTTACTTAGTTCACCAGTTCAGATGCTAATCTCTTCCACAAACAGCCTAGCTGACTCTCACTCAGAAATAATGTTTAGCTGGATATCTGAGCATCCCTTGGCCCAGTTAGGTTGACACAAAATTAACCATCACAATGATACCATTTTATTTCGTCTCCTTTTTTAAGTTGTTCTAGAGTTTACAATATACATCTTTAATATACCATGCTGTACCTTCAAATAATGATACAGTGTTTCTCTTACAGTGTAAGATCCTGACAACAGCATACATCCATTTTTTCTCTACCCTTTTGTGCTGTTGTCATATGTTCACTTTATATACCCCACAACATGTTATCTTTGCTTTTAAAAGTCATATTTTAAAGACATTTAAACATGAGAAAAATATCTTTTATTTTATTTTATTTACCATTTCTGATATTTTTCATTTCTTTGTCTAGATCCAGCTTTCCATCTGGTATCATTTTTCTTCTGCCTGAAGAATTTTCTTTTGACTTTTTTTTTGTAGTGAACATATATTGAAGCCTAATCTTTCCTTTCAGTTTTTGTTATCTGGAAAAAGCATTTGCCATAATATTTGAAAGATATTTTTGCTGGATATAAAAACTGATAGTTTTTTTTTTTTAAACACTTTAAACAGATTCCATTGTTTCCTGTCCTTGGTGTATCTAAGGAGAAATATGCTGTAGTAATTATGTTGTATGTATGTAGTTTATCTTTTTTCCCCTCTGATTATATTTAAGATTTTCTGTGTCACAGCAATTTATTATGTGGCTTTTTTTTTTCCATGTTTCTTCTACTTAGAGTTCATTGAACTTCTTGAATTTGGGGATTTAAAGTTTTCATCAAATTTGGAAGATTTGGGGCCATTATTTCTTTAAACAGCATATAAAACGTTTTATTGATGTGAAATTCACATAACAAAGTCATTTTAAAAGTGAACAGTTCAGTGACATTTGTTTATTTATTTATTTACAAAGTCTTGCTTGGTTGCCCAGGCTGGAGTGCAGTGGTGTGCTCAAGGCTCACTGCACCCTTGACCTATCAGGCTCAAGCAGTTATCCCATATCACCCTCCTGAGTAGCCGAGACTACAGGCATATGCTAACATGCCTGGCTCGTGTTTTTGTTTTTATTTTTGAGGTGGAGTCTCGCTCTGTTGCCCAGGCTGGAGTGCAGTGGTGCAATCTCTGCTCACTGCAGCCTCCACCTTCAGGTTCAAGAGATTCTCTTGCCTCAGCCTCTCGAGTAGCTGGGATTACAGGCACCCGCCACCATGCCCAGCTAATTTTTGTATTTTTTGTAGAGACAGATTTCACCATGTTGACCAGGCTGGTCTTGAACTCCTGACCTCAAGTGATCTGCCTGCCTCGGCCTCCCAATGTGGTGGGATTACAGGCGTGAGCCACCATGCCTGGCCTTTTTTGTATTTTTTGTAGAGACAGTGTTTTGCCATGTTGCCCAGGCTGGCATTTATAATGTAGTACAACCACCACCTCTATGTCATTCGAAAATATTTTCATCACCCTAAAAGGAAACCCCATAGCCAAAAAGTAATTGTTCACCATTCCTCCTCCCCCAGCAACTGGCACCCACCAGTCTCTACATTCTGTTTCTGTGTAACTGGCACCCACCAGTCTCTACATTTTGTTTCTGTGTATTTTCTTTATCAGTATATTTCATATAAATGGAATCATAAAATGTGGCCTTTTGTTTTTGGCTTCTTTTACTTACCATGATTTTGAAGTTCATCCATTTTATAGCGTCCTATTATGTTTTATATTGGATGTCATACATACATTGTGAATCTTATGCTGTTGTGCTAGATTTTGTTTTATTCCTTTAAAGAACGTAAGAGTTTGTTTTGCCATCCACTTAAGTTACTGAGACCCAAATTTGATCTGAGATTTGTTTTCTATCTTTCTTAAGGTAAGTAAAGAACAGCCTTTAATTCATGGCCAATATAGTCGTTCTGAGGACTGGACCCAATTCCCTGTGTATTTACAAGTTTCTCCAGTTTGGCCCATGGGATCATGAACTATTCCTAGCTCTGTGCAAACTCCCAAAAGTTATTCAACCTGCTACTAGTTCTTTTCCTGGACTTGGGGAGTTTCCTCTCAAACTTATGCAGAGACTGGAGGAGACTTTTATGCAGATCTCCAAAGTTCTCTCATGTGTCTCCCTTTTCTGAAGTACTCTTCCTCACAAGTCTCACCTCCTTGGCCATACGAACTTCATGTATCTCTGACTTCTCAATTTGGCGATGTCTCGGGATTGTGTTTCTGTTCTCTGTTCCTGTGCTGCAACCTGGAAACTTTCTCCAGACAGTAAGCTGGGACATAGATCCTAAGGGCTTTACCTCTTTTGTTTTCTTATATAGATGATCACAGAAAATGCCTGATAAATGTTGTTTGATAAAATTTTTCTGATTTACTAGTTTTTTTTAACACTGGTCAAGTGGTTCATATAGCATTTCTCCCCCATGGGCAGATGTTACTGAATTTTTAAATCAGTATAGTGTAAGGGGAGTCTATCTTGAACTTCAGGCAAATGGATTTATTTAAGGACCTCATCAACAAGTGATCTTGTCAGTAACTTGGTCATGTGGCATGATGTTTGAATTCTTCAAGTGTTCTTATGTAAACTTAAAACATGTTAGCTTTAGGACTTTTTTCATATTTAGATATAATTTTATGGTTTTGTTTAGTTGAGTGGTTCTCTTAGAAGTAAATGTCAGTACCTTATTGGGTATGTCTCTCACAGTATCTATCATTATTTTAGTATTTCCCAACCCTAGACTGGAGCTATTGGCTACAAATTCACTGCAGAATTAATTTACCTTCAGAAATGCTATTTTTTCCAGTTAAGTCTGATATAATAATTTACAAACTGATGTGTATTTTTTGTTAAATGTAATTATGCATTAGGTTCAGGGATCAATAAACTATAGCCCACACACCAAACCTGAATGAAACAATTACTGATAAATGTAATACTCCCAGGTAGTAGCTTAAGAAGCTGAACGTGAGGGGGTGTGGAGAGGAGTATAAAGGGGAATCTCCAAAACTCCTGTTTTTACTAATGACTAAGCATGAGGAAGACTGAACGTGGAACAAAATTATATTGACCATATTGACAAAATTATCTTTATATTGCCATGTTTTGCTTTGGTTTCCTTTTTTAAATGGAAGGTAGACTATGAAGACATTCTTGCTGTGAAAGTTCAAACAATACAGAATTTGAAGTAAAAAGTGGGGAGTGTAGGATAGAGATGGTGGTGCTGTTTGGGAGAGTGACTACAGAGATACGAGTTCTCTTAATTAAAGGACTTTACTTAGCTTTCTAAAGAGTGTTGGTTTTTATTCTGAAGGCAGGTGGGAGCTATTGAATTTTAGCAGAGATGTGATGTGGTCAGTTTGGGACAGATTGTGGTTGCAGTAGTGTTTTGGATATATGCATTCCAAGTTTAGGAGCAAGACGAGTTATTCTTTGTTAATGGGAAAGTCCTTAGGAGCCCTGGACTGGTTGGTTCTTAGGTCTTGTGGACGTTGTCTAGTTGGGAATGATACAGATAAATAGGTGAGATAGATGGTATCATTTAGAAAGAATTGATAACACTGTAAAGGTCAGTGAACTGGAGAAACAAGGACCTGGTTTTAAAATCCTGCTTGAAACCACCACATAACACTTTTTTACCTTCACTTATAAAACAGTAATGATACTTATTTAAAAAAAAAAAAACTCACAGTGACAGTGCAAATTTTAGTAAATAAAATACCGGTATGCTCTTGAGAGTCTTGCAAGAAACATACTTAACTTTAAGGTGGAGTGGAATAAGGAAAAAAAAACATTAAAAAAATTAAGACAGCAAGAATATGTAAGGCAGTGAAGATAAGAATCATGGTAAGAATATTAAGATCAATTAAGTAATGTGCAAAGTAAGCAGAAATCCATCTCTGTTCATTAATATCAAGCTTTATTAATGTTTGCTTTCTTTTATCCTCACTTTAACATATTTGATATTTAAAGTGACCTAATATTAAATTAACCAGTTCTGGAAAATTGCAATTATCTGCTATAACTTGCAAGAAAAAGACTAGCTATTGGCAATATGTCAGTTAATTGAATGTGGTAATTTACTGATTAGCCTTTAAGTTTACATAAGATTAAAGGTACGTTGAGGAGTTTAAAAGCCAGCCAGTCATACTAAAAAAAAGAATTCAGGTTTTCAGTAGCTTCTGAAGATATATATTTAAATATGCCCATGTTAATTGTACACTTAAATTAATAGCAACTGTATACTTACTGCTATTTAATTGCTAGGCAGGGTCAAGGTTAGATAAATAGAATATAGGATGCTTCGTATTCAATTTACCACTGAACTTTAAAAACTTAATTTATATTACTTTAAATTCTGTAGACGTTTTTAAAGACCTTAATGATTCTACCTCTGAGTCTGTTATACTACTTGAGATATTACTGTTTTAGATTTAGAAGTACTTTCGATTCCACTGCTAATCAAATGGTGTGATCTTCCAGCAGATATTTGACCTCCCTGGTCCCAGTTCTCAAGAGTTGTTAAATGTAGGCACTGACCCAGGTCTCTAGTTTTTCTAGAACACTTTTTTTCTTAAATATATTTCACATAAAATCCTAGTATAGAAAATTGATAGTTCTACTTTTTTTATATATAAATTAGGAGCTCAGATAAATTATGTTAAGTTAGGGTCTATTCATGAAATAAGACTTTGTATGAAAAGAAAAATTTGAAATGGTTTTCAAGTGGCTGGCTGTCAAGTTAGACTCACCTTTCCATTAATGTTTTTCTTATTTTAGTTGCTCAGCATATAGAAAATTATGTTTCAATGCAGGGAAAAATGGTAGCAGGTTTCTGTTTTTTTGTTTTTAACAGCTCATTTTGCAGTCTCAGGAAACTCTTCAGTTAGAGTTGGCAAGGGAATCTTTGTTCTAATCTCTACTGCAAAATCAGTTCACCCAGCAAGACATGTTGGAACATTGACAGTCCCTAATGTGTTAAAATTTGGCATATAACTTATTTAGGGTATTAGAAAATATTTGAAATATATTGCAATCAAATATTTGCATAAATCCTAAGTGACAGAGTCATAAGTCAGAACAGTTTGATTCAAGAACTCTTTCTACAGTATTATCATTTGTTTTCTTATTTTTTAAAAATATAAATGTAATTTATATATGTGGTCATATTATTAGTTTATGGCTTATTTCCCTATGTTTTTTGACTTAAAATATTTAGGTTTAATATTTTAAACAAATTTGTGCCTATTTTATGACTAATTATTTCTTTCTTTCCCCCCAGGGAAATGAGGCAAGTTATCCTTTGGAAATGTGCTCACACTGTAAGTCATATTCTTGTTACCAAAAGTTACTTTTATTCACTCATCTCTCTCTGTGTGTGTGTGTGTGTGTGTGTGTGTGTATCATACCTCTGTAATGTATATTTACTTACCTTTGTAGCAATGTGAGCCCTTAACTATTTAAAGTGGGTAGTGAATTTGACATACAGTCTATTTATGTTACCAGAGTAGGAACATTTTTTTAAATAGACTTCTTTATTACTCATATCTACACTGTACTATAGTTATAATTAAACCCTGAAATCTCAGTGTCTTAACCTAACAGAAGTTTTTCAAGTGAAGTTTCAAAGTGGATTTGTAGGAACTCTTTTCTCTTTGGTGACTCAGTGATCCAGGCTCCCTTGTCTTGGAATGCCACCATCTCTAATGCTTATTCCCAAGATCACTGAGGAAGAGGGAAATCCAAGGACCTGTCGGCAGTGCTTTTATCTGCCTTGGCCCAGAGGTGATTTATATCACTGGTGCTCATATTTCATATTTATGGGCCAGAGCTAGTTATGCAGCCACTGTTGGGGCTTGAAAGTACAGCTTTCCGTATTTTCTGGAAGAAGAGATGGACAAGGCACACAGCATTCATTAAGTCCTTTTTTTTTTTTAATTTTTAATTTTTTTATTTTTTGAACAAATAGAATCACTAAGTTTTTTGTTTTTCACATTTTAGGGAGGGGTAGGGGTGATTCTCTGACTGAACAGCAAACTTTCAGAATAAAATTCTGTTGTCTAAAGCCTTTTTCTAATGTTTAAAATGTCTTATTTTTAAGTTTGAAAAAGGTCTTTAATGTATATCTTTGATAGAAGCTTAATGTTTGAAAGATTGGATGTTAATTTAGAATTAATTTGCATGTATTAATATCCCAGTAAGCTTTTTTTCCTTTTTTGTTTTTAAGACTTAGCTTAGACCAGTGGTCTGGTCACTTACCATATCCAATTTGATGGTACCCGTTAATGGGACGTTGTATAAAGGGCATGTTCATTTTGCCATCCCTTTAAAAAATACAGGATCGTCCCTCTATGGTTTTCCATTACAATATAAATTTTAGTTTTATTTGGTTACTGTTAGCTCTTAGGGTTAAGAATTAAGTCTAAAAAACAACTAATTGATATATAAAACAACATTCTTATAGTGTGTTTTATTTATAATTTAGTATTTACTAATACAAGACAAGGACTTAGTAGTTCTTAAGTCCTTGTTTACACTGTTCATATACATGGTAGTTTTATTTATTTAGCCCTATCTACTCTACTCTTTCCCCACCCACTTTCCCCTCCATCTTCAAATCCTAATTTCTTTATATCCTCTGAGCAACTTCATTCCCTTAATTTGGTTGTCTTCTATACTCTCCCATTGTAGTATGTTTGTTGGTGTGGAAACCAGAGTTTCATGTTATATTACCAAAGGTATTCAATACTATTCAAACTTTCTGCTATGTAGAAACTGTAAAACTCACAGGTACATATCTCAGATCCCTTTGCAGTCAGAGTTCTTAATGTTACTTTATTTCTGCCACAGATATACTTGTGAGATTTGGAAGGTAGAAGTGAGTCAGAGTTTGTTCTTTTCCTATTTTTACTGTTTTTGCTGGTAGGATTCTGGTTGTGATTTGGATTTGTTGGTGTGTGCAATGCTCTGGAGCCCGAAGCTTTCAAATTTACTATGCGGCTTCCTTATGGACAGGGAATACAGGTTGAGTATCCCTTATCCAAAAATCTTGAGACCAGAAATGTTTTGGGTTTTGAATTTTGGGGGGGGTTTTGGAATATAGGTGTACCTCATGTTTTTTTTTAAACTTTTATTTTAGGTTCATGGGTATGTGCAGGTTTGTTATATGGATAAACTGTGTGTCACGGGGCTTTGGTACACAGATCATTTTGCCATCCAGGTAATAAGCATAGTAGCTGATAGGTCGTTTATTGATCCTCTCCCTCCTCCCACCCTCCACTGTCAAGTAGGCCTTGATGTCTGTTGTTCCCATTTTTGTGTCCATGTGTTCTTGTTGTTTAGATCCCACTTACAAGTGAGAACATGCAGTATTTGGTTTTCTGTTCATGCGTTTGCTTAGGATAATGGTTTCCGGCTGCATCCGTGTTGCTGCAGAAGACACGATCTCGTGTTTTTATGGCTGCGTAGTATACCATGGTGTATATGTACCTCATTTTCTTTATCCAGTCTACTGTTCATGGGTATTTAGGTTTATTCCATATCTTTGCTATTGTGAATAATAATATTGTGAATAATGTAAATATATGTGTCCATGTGTCTTTATGTTAGAATGATTTATATTCATTAGGATATATACCCAGTAATGGATTGCTGGGTCAAATGGTAATTGTTTTAAGTTCTTTGAGGAATAGCTACACTGCTTCCCACAACGGCTGAACTAATTTACATTCTTACCAGCAGTGTATAAGCGTTCCCTTTTCTCTGCATCTTCACCAGCATCTGTTATTTTTAGATGTTTTAGTAATAGCCATTCTGACTGGTGTGAGACAGTATCTAATTGTGGTTTTGATTTGCATTTCTCTAATGATTAGTGATGTTGAGAATTTTTTTCATATGATTGTTGGCCGCATGTATGCCTTCTTTTGAAAAGTGTCTGTTCGTGTCCTTTACCCACTTTTTAATGGGGTTGTTTTTTTTGCTTTTAGGTTTAAGTTCCTTAGAGATTCTGGATGTTAGACCTTTGATAGATGCGTAGTTAGCAGATGTTTTCTCCCATTCTGTAGGTTGTCTGTTTTACTCTGTTGATAGTTTCTTTGGCAGAAGCTCTTTAGTTTAATTAGGTCTGATTTGTCAGTTTTTGTCTTTGTTGCAATTGCTTTTGGCGTCTTTGTCATGAAATCTTTCCAGATCCTTTATCTAGACTGGTATTTTCTAGCTTATCTTACAGGGTTTTTATAGTTTAGGTTTTACAATTAAGTCTTTAATCTACCTTGAGTTGATTTGTATATGGTATAAGGAAGGGGGTCCAATTTCAGTCTTCTGCATATAGTTAGTTATCCCAGCACCACTTATTGAATTACGGAGTCCTTTCTGCACTGCTTGTTTTTGTCAAATTTGTTGTAGGTGTGCAACATTATTTCTGGGCTCTCTATTCTGTTCCATTGGTCTGTATATCTGTTTTTGTACCAGTACCATGCTGTTTTAGTTGTAGTATAGCTTCAAGTCAGGTCTTGTGATGTCTCCAGCTTTATTCTTTTTGCTTAGGATTGCCTTGGCTATTTTGGTTCCATACGGATTTTAAAATAGTTTTTTCTAATTCTGTGAAGAATGTCATTGGTAGTTAAATAGAAATAGCATTGAATTTGTAAATTGTTTTGGGTAGTATGCAGGTGTATCTCATTTTATTATGCTTTGATTTATTGTACTTTTGCAGATAATTGTGTTTCTTACAAATTGAAGGTTTGTGGTAACCCTATGCCAAGCAAGTCTGTCTCTGCCATTTTCCCAGCAGCATGTTTTCCTGTCTGTGTCACATTTTGGTAATTCTTGCAGTATTTCATACCTTTTCATTATTATATCTGTATGGTGGTCTGTGGTTAGTGATCTTTGATGTTACTATTGTAATCATTTTGGGGCAGCATGAACGGTGTCCATGTAAGATGGTGAACTTAGTCCAGTTGTCTGTGTTCTGACTGCTGTACTGACTGGCCATTCCCACAACTCTCTCCTTTTCCTCAGACCTCCCTATTCCCTAAGACAACAGTATTGAAATTAGGCTAGTTAATAACCCTACACTGCTCTCTAATTGTTCAAGTGAGAAAGAATTACACATCTTTAATTTTAAATCAGAAGTTAGAAATGATGAAGCTTATTGAGGAAGGTGTGTCAAAAGCCCAGATAGGCCAAAAGCTAGGCCTCCTGTGCCACACAATTAGCCAAGACATGAATGCAAAGGAAAAGTTCTTAAAGGAAATTAATAGTGCTAACTCCAGTGAACAAACGAATGATAAGAAAATGAAACAGTCTTATTGCTTATATGGGTAAATTTTTATGGTCTGGATAGCAGGTCAAACCAGCCACAAAATTCCCTTAAGCCAAAGCCTAGTGCAGAGCAATTCTCTGAAGGCTGAGAGAGATGGGGAAGCTGCAGAAGAAAAGTTTGAAGCTAGTGGAGGTTGGTTCTTCAAGTATAAGGAGATAAGCCATCTCCATAACTTGCAAGTTGAAGCAGCAAGTGCTGATGCAGAAGCTGCAACAAGTTATCCAGAAGATGAAGGTGGCACTGACTCTCCTCTTGGGGACCAGTGCAGCTGGTGACTTTAAGTTACAGTCAGTGCTCATTTATCACTCTGTAAATCATAGGACCTTAAGAATTATGCTAAATTTCCTCTCCTGTGCTCTCTAAATGGAACAACAAAGCCTAAATGGCAGCACAGCTGTTTACAGCATGGTTTACTGAATATTTTAAGCCTACTGTTGACACTTACCTCTCAGAAAAAAAGATTTCTTTCAAAATATTGTTGCTCATTGACAATGCAGGTAGTCACTCAAGAGGTTTGATGGAAATGTACATAGAGAGTAACGTTTTCATGCCTGCTAACACGACATCCATTCTGTAGCCCATGGAGTAAAGAGTAATTTCGACTTTCCAGTCTTATTACTTAAGAAAGACATTTTGTAAGGCTGTAGCTGCCTTTGATAGTCATTCCTCTGATGGACCTGGGCAAAGTACATTAAAGACGTTCTGGAAAGGGCCAGGCACAGTGGCTCACACCTGGAATCCTAGCACTTTCGGAGGCCAAGGTAGGTGGATCACCTGAGGTCAGGCATTTGAGACCAGCCTGGCCAACATAGTGAAACCCCATCTCTACCAAAAATATGAAAATTAGCCAGGCATGCTGGCACATGCCTGTAATCCCAGCTACTCAGGTGGCTGAGGCACAAGAATGGCTTGAACTCCTGAGGTGGAGGTTGCAGTGAGCAGAGATCACACTACTGCGCTCCAGCCTGGGCGACAGAGCGAGACCTTGTCTCCAAAAAAAAACAAACAAACCGGGAAAGGATTCACTATTATAGATTTGCCATTAATTACATTCGTGATTCATGGGAAGTCAAAATATCAGTATAAACAAGAGTTTGAAAGAAGTTGATTCCAGTCTTCATGAGTGATTTTGAGGGGTTCAGGGCTTTCATGGTGGAAATAACTGCAGATGTGATAGAAGGAGCAAAAGAACTAGAATTAGAAGTGGAGCCTGAAAATGTGGCTGATTTGCTGCAATCTCATGATAGAACTTGAACAGATAAGGAGTTGCTTTTTATGGGTGAGTAAAGAAAGTGGTTTCTTGATATGGAGTCCACTAGTGAAGATGCTGTGAACATTACTGAAATGACAACAAAGAATTTAGAATATTCCATAAACTTGGCTGATAAAGCAGCAGCAGGGTTTGAAAAGATTGACTCCAGTTTTGAAAGAAGCTCTACTGTGGGCAAAATGCTGTCAAACAGCATTGCATGTTACAGAAAAATCTTTTATGAAAGGAATTGTCAAATGATGTGGCAAAACTTTATTGCTGTCTTATTTTAAGAAATTGTCACAGCCACCCCGATCAGTCCGTGGCCATCAACATTGAAGTGAGACCTACCAACAGCAGAACAATTACAACTCACTGAAAGCTCAGGTGATCCTTAGCATTTTTTAGCAATAGAGTTTTTTTTTTTTTTTTTTTGAGACAGAGTCTCGCTCAGTCGCCCAGGCTGGAGTGCAGTGGCGCAATCTTGGCTCACTGCAAGCTCCGCCTCCCAGGTTCACGCCATTCTCCTGCCTCAGCCTCCTGAGTAGCTGGGACTACAGGCGCCCGCCACCACGCCGGGCTAATTTTTTTGTATTTTTAGTAGAGACAGGGTTTCATTGTGTTAGCCAGGATGGTCTGAATCTCCTGACCTTGTGATCCGCCTGTCTCGGCCTCCCAAAGTGCTGGGATTACAGGCGTGAGCCACCGCGCCCAGCCGCAATGGAGTATTTTTAAATTAAGGTATATGTGTTGTTTTTTAGGCATAATGTTATTGCACACTTTGTAGACAACAGTAATACGTAAATATAACTTTTATATGCACTGGAAAACAAAAAAATTCATGTAGTTCGCTTTATTCACTTTATTGTGGTGGTCTGGAAGCAAACTTAAAATGTCTCTGAGGTATGCCTGTATTTGCATTATATATACTGACTGAGCATCCCAAATCTAAAAATTTGAAATCCAAAATGCTCCAAAAAACATTTCTTTTGCATGCCATGTCAACACTCAAAAAGTTTCATATTTCAGAACATTTTGGATTTTGGATTTTTGGATTTGGGATGGCCAAACTGTATGTTTTTTGATGGCCTCGTTCTGTAGTTTGGTTTTGTGAATTTTTCCTAAAAGTTCAACCCAGGCTCATTTTTTAGCCTCCTAACAATTTCTAACATTGAAAAACAACCTTTGCTTCAACTACCTAGAGTTAGATTTTTTTGTCTGTTGAACCCTCGAAAAATATAATTCCAGGAATGCTGTAGTCTGCACACTTTCAAAGTAATGGAAATCTAGATTGGTTGTCTGACTTAGTTGGATTTGAAGATAATAATGATCCCATTATCATGAACAAATTGGAACATTAACTTATTTTATGGTTGCGTAAAATAAAGTTCTTATTGAAGGCAGAACTTTGGTAGACCAAATTGCTATTGTCAAATATTTGCTGAGGAGAATGAGGAGTATAAGGAGTGTGGATGGGCTGGTTACTTTTGGCTGTATTGGAGAACTTAAAGAAAATTACATGCTTAGAAGTTCTTGAATGAAGGACCAGTTAAGATGACCCAGGGAGCTTATGTTAATTGAGAGAAATAATAAGATCTTTTGTGTGAAAGGACAATGGTTGGGAAAGAGGAGATTGTAAGAATTGGAATAGAGGCCAATAGATTAAGATATGAGGTTCTGGAACTGCCACAACCATTCTGAACCTTCCTTGCAAGCAGACATAGCCTCTTCAGCCCCTGTTTCATGAGGCTGGGCTTGCCTTGCTTGAGGAGACATCTTACCTTGAGATGAGGTGTCACTTCTGTTTTGTATTGTTAAGACCACTTTCCCCATTGCTCATTATGTTTCAGCAATCTCCTTTTTTTTCCCCCAAAACACTTGTCAATTTCTTTCATTCCTATTACCACCTTTGCTTGTTTATGAGTTTGGGTAGAGTGGTCTTTGGTCAGCTCTTTATTTGACTGACTTCATTCTCCTTCAACTCTCAGGTATTAATAAGTACCTTGAGCTGTTTTTGTTGGGGCTTTTTTGTTGTTGTTGTGTCTTACAAACTTGGATAGAGGGAGTTTAAAACTCGACAGAGGGAGGCAAAGTTGGCCTCTGTTGCCCAGGCTGGAGTGCAGTAGCATTACCATGGTTCGGTGCAGCCTGGCTCACTGGGGCTCAAGCGATTCTCCTACCTCAGCCTCTGGAGTAGCTGGGACCACAGGCATGTACCACCACTCCTGGCTAAGTTTTTTAAACATTTTTTTGTAGAGTCCGGGTTTTATTATGTTACCAGGCTTGTCTCAAACTTCTGGGCTCAAACAATCCATGCACCTCAGCCTCTGAAAGTATTGGGATTACAGGCATGAGCTACTGTACCTGGCCTTTATTTTTTTTTAATAGCAGTTGACCTAAACCCAAATTACTTATTTATTAATTTATCTGCTATTTTGTAACTTCCACAGTTTTTTTTTTTTTTTTTTTTTTTTTTTTTTTTTGAGACAGAGTCTCGCTCTGTCGCCCAGGCTGGAGTGCAGTGGCGGGATCTCGGCTCACTGCAAGCTCCGCCTCCCGGGTTCACGCCATTCTCCTGCCTCAGCCTCCCAAGTAGCTGGGACTACAGGCGCCCGCCACTACGCCCGGCTAATTTTTTTGTATTTTTAGTAGAGACGGGGTTTCACCGTTTTAGCCGGGATGTTCTCGATCTCCTGACCTCGTGATCCGCCCGCCTCGGCCTCCCAAAGTGCTGGGATTACAGGTGTGAGCCACCGCGCCCGGCCAACTTCCACAGTTTTTTAAACTTAAAAAAAAATGGTGATACCTATGACCAGTTATCCATAATCTTTCCATCCCAATCACTATTTACATTTTATTTTGCTGTTTCCTCCCAGACTTTTTTTAATGATTTTTTTTAAATTAAAAAAAAAAATTTTTTTTTTAGAGTCTTGCTTTGTCACCCAGGCTGGAGAGCAGTGGTATGATCTCGGCTCACTGCAGCCTCCACCTCCCAGGTTCAAGCAATTCTTGTGTCTCAGTCTCCCAAGAAGCTGGGATTACAGGTGAGCGCCACCACACCTGGCTAATTTTGTATTTTTAGTAGAAACATGTTGATCAGGCTGGTCTCGAACTCCTGGCCTCAAACAGTCCACCTTCCTTGGCCTCCCAGAGTGCTGGGATTACAGGCATGAGCCACTGTACCCAACCTTTTTATGAATTTTTAATATAATTAGGATCATATGAGGGCATGTATGTTTCTATTTTAAAACATGAAATAAAATGTTACATCTAGAATAGTGTTAGAATTGACCAAAACTAGACCTAATTACTAGCCTCTAGACCAGGAATATTGGTAAACTGCTGCTTGCCAGCAGTTTTTATTAATAAAACATAGCCATTGGAACATAGCCATGCCCATTTTTCTGTTTTCTGTGCTGCAGTGGCAGAGTTGAGTAATTGCAACAGAGACCGTATGGTCAACAAAGCCTAAAATATTTACCACCTGGCCTTTTAGAAAAAAGCTTACTGAACCCTCTTGTAGACTATAGTGGGCTTCTGGAGTTGAGAACTATTATTTGAGTCATTACTGCACAGTTAACTTATCTACAGAATATGGTCTACACAGAAGTTACAGACTGGTGCTTTGGGTGTTATGTAGATCTATAATACTTGTCTCTGGTAAAGTCAGTGAGTCGGGCGTTTTTTGAGACAGCAGTTTTGCTCTTGTTGCCCAGGCTGGAGTGCAATGGCGTGGTCTCGGCTCACTGCAACCTCCACCTCCTGGGTTTAAGCAGTTCTCTCTCAGCCTCCCAAGTAGCTGGGATTACAGGCACCCACCACCACGCCTGGCTAATTTTTGTATTTTTAGTAGAGATGAGGTTTCACCATGTTGGCAAGGCTTGTCTCGAACTCCTGATCCCAGGCGAGCCGCCTGCCTCGGCCTCCTAAAGTGCTGGCATTGCAGGCGTGAGCCACTGCGCCCTGCAATGAGTCTGTTTTATAGTTTCTCTAGAATTGAAAGAGTTCCACTCAAAATTGAGCTTCTGTTTACCATTTAGTTTGAGCATGTGACGTGAATTATTCCTCCACTTGATAGTGGAAAGAAAGAGGTGCAGAGGTCTGTAATTAGGCTTTAGGCTGCATTAGAGTTGGGATTGATTGTGGCTAGCATAAACTCCAATGGGGATGAGGTACTAGGACATTAATTTTTTATTTCTCAGTCAAAGAACAGAAGTCTTGAGGGAACCATAGTTCACAGATTCTTTTCTGCTGCTCATTCTTTAAATCTGGGACTGAGGGCCAGAGAAAAATGTCCTAGGGCAAAAGGCAGATAGATGTTCCTTACGTACATCTGGGATGGCAAAAGTCATGGTTTTTTATTTGTGTGGTAAGCATTTGAAATAAGATTTCATACACTGTTAAAGCTGTCCTTTTCAGTTAATCCTCAGAACTTAGTAGTAAGTCTTCTTTCTTATCACTTTAATCAATACTTTGATTAAACTGTTGAGCCTTGTCACTAAAGATCTATACTTGTCATTGTTCAGCCAGCTGTGAATCTATCTAAATTATTTTGTCTGTTATGTAGTTCTTTTTTCCTGCTTGGTTCACTAGAATCTTACATGCTTTTTTTTTTTTTTTATCATATTTTCCTGACTATTTGGATCAATTTCCCAAAAATGACCTTCTCCACATTAAAACTGCCACTTTTTTTGTTCACCCACACATTGTAGTAATTTTTTTTTTTTGCTTTTTTTTTTCCCAAAACCTCTTTACTATTGGAAGAGCTTAGTTTTATCTGTGAATAGTGCTTTCATATTATAAGATTGTTGAAATCAGTCCTTGACACACTTCACTATTTATACTTCCCTATTTAGGTTAATTCCTGTCATGCCTTCTCATCCCTTCCATACCTAGCTCAAGCCAGTGTTCTCTGTTTGTCCTTATTTAATTGCCCCAGCCACAGTGTCCTCTCAGCTTTTCTTCTTTCAGTGTAGTTGTGCTACTTTTTAAAAAAGTTTAACAGGACTCTAAATTATATGCTGTAACATACTGTATTCTTTCCTGTGCCACACAGATAAGTAAGCACCTACCAAGTACTTATGGATTAGCCACTGGGAAAAAGGGAAATACATAGATTATTACAGTATGGGTAAACTATTACGAGAAATAAAAACACAGGTTCCAAGGAGGAAAAATGACCTTTGGTTAAGGAAATTAAGAAAAGCCTCCTGGAAGGGGTGACATTTGAAAGCTGTGTAGGATTAGAATGTGGATTAATTCTTTGACCTGTGTAGTTATTTCTCTCAGTCTCCTTATATGTTACCGACATCATCAGCATTCTACCCAAACTTGCCTGCATTACCTGGTTTTAATAAATGATTTTGCTCCTAATGCTTGAGAAAACTAGGGACTGAGAAAACTTGGGGATGATTTAAGTGTTGGCCTCCCCCCTCACCTCTGCCTGCCACAAGAGAAACTTGTCTGATCTCACATTTAATCTTAACCTCCTTTCCTTCAGTATCAGGCCTCCCTTTTTCATGGTTAGCCCTTCCCCTGTGCTTTTGATCTTGTGCTATCTCATCTCTAGGATCTTACTTTGTTAAGTTTCTCTTTATTTTCCCATATGTCTTCAGCTTCTTCCTCTCTTCAGTTTATAACACAGTCGACTTCTCTTTGATTTTGATCCTGCATGTACCTGGAAGTTTCTCTCTGTTCTTTCACGTATTTGAACCTTTTAAGAGCCGCCGGGCGCGGTGGCTCACGCCTGTAATCCCAGCACTTTGGGAGGCCGAGGCGGGCGGATCACCTGAGGTCCGGAGTTCAAGACCAGCCTGACCAACATGGAGAAACCCCGTCTCTACTAAAAATACAAAATTAGCCGAGTGTGGTGGCGCATCCCTAAATCCCAGCTACTCAGGTGGCTGAGGCAGGAGAATGGCTTGAACCCAGGAGGTGGAGGTTGCTGTGAGCCGAGATCGCGCCATTGCACTCCAGCCTGGGCAACAAGAGCGAAACCCCCTCTCAAAAAAAAAAGAAGAGCCTACACAATCACCTTTATTTCCTTATTTCTGCTAATTTCTTGGTCTACTGCAATCTGGCTTTCGGCTGCTATAACTCCACGGACACTGCTATCAAGGTCATCTTCATTTTATCAACACATTGTCTAATTGCCACATCTGGATTGATTTAAAAAATCTACAAAATCACTTGTGACCTTTGGGGAAATTTGAACACTGATTATTTGATACCAAATAATTAATTTTTAGGTGTGATAATGTTATGATGTGTTAAAGAGTTTTTATCTTTTAGAGATAATACTGTTTAGGCTAGGTGCAGTGGCTCACCCCTGTAATCCCAGCACTTTGGGAGGCCGAGGTGGGTGGATCACCTGAGTTCGAGACCAGCCTGACTGACATGGTGAAACCCCATCTCTACTAAAAATGTAAAAAGTTAGCAGGGCATGGTGGTGCATGCCTGTAAACCCAGCTACTTGGGAGGCTGAGGCAGGAGAATTGCTTGAACCCGGGAGGCAGAGGTGGCAGTGAGCTGAGATTGCGCCATTGCACTGCAGCCTGGGCAACGAGTGAAACGCCGTTTCAAAAAAAAAAAAAAAAAAAGATAATACTGATTACTTACAAGGAAATGATATGTCTGGGATTTGCTCTGAAATAACTGGGGTGGGATATAGATAACATTTTTCTTATGTTTAATGGTTGAAACTGGATGATGAGCATATAGAATTCATTATACTCTTTTTTCAAACTTTGTGTGTGTTTGAAATTTTCTATTATTGAAAAGTTGGGGCTTTTTAAATAAATGGAAAAGGGGAGAAGGAAGTAACCAAGAATAAAATCAATAAGAAATAATTATTTAATTACAATTCAGAATGGCATGCAGACTGTAAACTTTAATAATAAGTGGCTGTTCAAACTAATTTTCACCAGTAAAAGAATTGGGACTTTGACAGTGGAAGCATAATGCCTGGCATAAAGCAGATGCTGAGTAAATAATTGGTTGACTGAATTAGCTAGCAAGAGCTCAGAGCTGGATTACATAGACAACTCGTTGGATAATTTTAAAGGCTGTATACCTTTGGGAAAACCTGGTAGTTACTAGTCACCCCATTTGTTTTCATAAATAATAACAATCCATAATGGTATGGTGCTTACCATGTCCCAGGAATTATTCTAAGCGTTTTACATACATTAATTCTTTTAATTCTCATATTAGCCTCAGGAGAGGGGCACAATTACTTTCCCCATTGTACAGATGAGGAAATAGAAGCAAAGAGACTTTAAATAACTGGCTTAAGTCACACAGCAGGTGAAGTAACAAAGCCATGATTTGATCTTAGGCCATCATGTTTCATAGTCAATATTTTTAATCATAGTATTATATAGTCTGTCTTCAGTAAATCTTACAAAATTAATGTTATAATTGTCTACATGAATAATTCTAGGCAAGACTAGATTTGTCTAAGACATAGGTATTCTGATATATATATATCAGAATATATATATATAGTGTGTGTGTGTATATATATGTATATGTCATTCAATTCAGTGTTGGATTTTTATTGAATTTATTCTAGGCCGTTGTGACTTTATTTCTGTCTGTTGGCTAACCTCTCTGGACTAGGAAATGTATACTCTGTTGAGGTGATTTGCTCAAAGTGGAAGCCTTAGTTCTAACTTGGCATGATAACTTTGGAAAAGTGACTGAGTGCAAGATACTACCTTAGATAATTTAAGCAGAAGACTAGATTGGGGCACAATTGAAAGTAAGAGTGGAAAATCAGATTCAGCTAATTTTTGATAAAGCCAGTGTAATTCTGAGTGGTTTAGATAAAATTAGTAAACACAAGGGCTGTTTTGTAGACTAAATGTAGGTGAAAGATTAAATCTTTTATCTAAAAAGATGTCTCATCTCTCTTTTGTTAGAAGGTCCCCTAAGAAGAGCTTGGCAGACTCTGAAGGAACCTCTCCTTTTGCATAATGAACTGCCAGTAGAAACCCTTCTAGCCGTTAGAACGCTGTTTCTGTTTTTAGTAAACAGTTTCACATTCAGGCAGTTTTGTTTCTGGTTTGAGTATTTACAGGTGATGTGAAAGTTTAAGGATAATAACTTTGCTGTTAATGTCTGCTCTTAATCACATTCGTCTCAGGGAGGTTTGCTGTTTTGAAAACAGTGTTTTCAGAGAAAAAGGTTATCTGTAGTTAATTTGATTTCCTCTTTCATTTCAGCATTTTTTTTTTTTTGAGACAGAGTTTCTTTCTTGTTGCCCAGGCTGGAGTGCAATGGCGCGATCTCGGCACACTGCAACCTCTGCCTCCTGGGTTCAAGCTATTCACCTGCCTCAGCCTCCCGAGTAGCTGGGATTACAAGCATGTGCCACCACACCTGGTTAATTTTGTATTTGTATTAGAGACAAGGTTTCACCATGTTGGTCAGGCTGGTGTTGAACTCCTGACCTCAGGTGATCCACCCGCCTTGGCCTCCCAAAGTGGTGGGATTACAGGTGTGAGCCACTGTGCCTGGCCCTAAAATGCCATTTATTGTTAAAACATTGTATGCCGTTAATTTTGAAATTGACTTGTGCAGTTGTTGCTTTACATTAACATCTTCATAAATTTATTATACAGTTAATGTTTCTTAGACAGTTTACCAGCTGTCATTTATCATTTACTTGGTAATTTAGTGATCTCAATTCTGATTTAATTCACCTAGTCACTGAGAATTACTTATGCTTTGCTTGCTCTCAGTAAAGCATTAGAATTAAGTAATGACGAGAAGAACAAAGGATTTTCTTAAGTATAGTACATGAACTTAAATAGTTTGGGTTACCTTGTTTTAGTGTTACAGACGGTTTTTAATAATCCCTGGATTCAAATTAGCCGGGTATGGTGGTGGGTGCCTGTAGTCCCAGCTACTCGGGAGGCTGAGGCAGGAGAATGGCGTGAACCTGGGAGGCGAAGCTTGCAGTGAGCTGAGATCATGCCACTGCACTCCAGCCTGGGCGACAGAGCGAGACTCCGTCTCAAAAAAAAAAAAAAAAAAAAAAAAAAAATTCCCTGAACTCTCTAGTATATATTAAATATTTCAAGTTTTTAAACAAGTAGTCTCAAGTAAAGGACTGGCCGGGCACAGTGGCTTACACCTGTAATCCCAGCACTTTGGGAGACCGAGGCAAGTGGATCACCTGAGGTCGGGAGTTCGTGACCAGCCTGGCCAACATGGTGAAACCTCGTCTCTACTAAAAATAGAAAAATTAGCCGGGCATGGTTGTGGGTGCCCGTAATCCCAGCTACTTGGAAGGCTGAGACAGGAGAATCACTTGAACCCAGGAGGCAGAGGTTGCAGTGAGCCGAGTCTGTGTCATTGCACTCCAGCGTGGGAGACAGAGCGAGACTCCATCTCAAAAAACAACAACAACAACAACAACAACAACAACAAAAAACGAAAAAAGAAAAGGAAGGACTGGCTTTATTTGCTTTATCCACACTGTCAAATTTTGGTATTGTGGCAGCACTAAGAAATTTGTAGTTTCGGTAATGAGGTTCATGACATATAGTAATCTCGTTATCTAGCACAAATTTGAGTAATTTGAAGAAATCAGTTACTTTAGCTAGTGAAAAAGTCTAGCTATCTGCGTAACAAAAATAAAACTTCTTGAATCTTTCTCAGAATGTTAGAGCAAAAGATAAAAGATATGGAAAAATGTGCAAGGAAAGAATGATTTGGAGAACACAGAGTGATAGCGTCTGACTGAAAGAAATTTCAGGAGCTGTATTAGATAACATAGAAGGGGAAATAATCAGTGAAATAAAAGGAGAAATTTCTCTTTCTTGAAAAATTGAATCTTTTGTTTAAAAGCATTCTGATTGCCAAGATTAGATGAAAGAACATCTATGTTTAGTTTCAACTTTTGTAATTTTAAAATTTCAAGAGTAAAAAAACCCTAAAAGCCTCCAGACATAGAAGTTGTTACCTAAAAAGAATAGGAGTCCGCTGGCATTGGACTTCTTCACAGCAGCAGTAGTTGGTAGAAGGCAGTGGAGTAATACATTCAAAGTTCGGAGTTTCTAATCCAGAATTTGATAACAGCCAAATGATCACTCAAATGTGAGAACAAAAAAAGACATTTTCAGAAATTTAAGGACTTGGGAAGGTTAACTTAAACGAGTTCTTGAATATGTACCTAGCAAAATGAAATAGAAGTTCAAGAAAGAGGATGAAATGAGACCCCAGAAACGGAATTCCTAACTAACACACCAGTGAAAATCTCAGGATAACAACTATGCCATAGGCCTAGAAAGCAGTTGGTTCAAATTAGAACGAAATGGCAGAGTTGTCTGTGAAGAATGTCTTCAAGAAGAAAGTAAAAGCCGTTATATGAATTATGTGGTGGAATTTTTTAATGTTAAGATAAAAGTCAACGAGAGAAAAAAAAGAAACTGGGGGATGCAGTATGACATTCTTGGCAGTAAACCACATTAAGCTTTGGAGGAGCCATACGTGTAAGTAAGTCTTGAATAATGGAGGCTGAAAGTAAAAGAAGACTCTTAAATATGCATTCTTTTGTGGAAATATAATTTTTTTTAAAGGAAAATAGGGTGGGGAGTGGAGTGTGGTACAAAGCTAAAGAAAGGTGCAGCTAACATTCAAATGCAACATCACATAGGAACAGTAGATAAAATAAGAGGAAGATCTGGAAAATGTGATGTAATGGGATGGGATTGGACTTAATATATAGAAAAAAGAAATGCTTTAGGAGCCAGATCTTTTGAATAAGATGTATCATTGAACTAAGCAGTATACATTTTAGTTTAAAAAAATAAACAGTATATCTTTAAGCAGGGTTATTAATAACAGAATACTTGAAGGTATATTTGTATCATATTATGAATACATGCTTTTCATTAACTTACTGCCTGTATTGATTTGAACCATAATGTGGATAAACCAAAAGGAGAAAAACAATAATACACAGGCCTTCAGTAGGAAAAACGGTAATATACATGTTGAGAGAAGGGTTAGAAAGGACGTCTTAGTAAAACATGGTCTGATTTTTATCAATCTAGAGTGGGAAGACTCTTATTCTCTTTTCTCCACATTTAGCCCAGAAATGCAGGTTGGGGGAATAGAAATGATGCCTAAGGCTCCTTGCTGACTCTTCAGATGGAACTAACATAGGAAAAGAAATTAGATCAGAAAGTATTTCAAGAAATCCCAGTCACCTCACTTTGTCATCAAGCTTTATAACATCGAGCAGCTTACCTCACTCCTTGGGTTTGTTTCCTCATCTTGAGTTTGTCATCTTCAAGGTTTCTTGTGACTGCTTACGTTACATGGCTTTTCTATGCTAGATTTTCTCGTGAAGCTCACTGAGCACTGAAAATAATTCTAAGAATGTATTTTTAGGATTGTTATAAATGTTCAGCTTCTTTTGTGACATCTTTGGACGCCATTGGGTGAATGAGTTCTAGTGTGTTGGTCATTTTTAGTCATTTTTTATATAAGGAGGAAGTCAGTGGTATGTGGTATTTATATTTTGAAGGAGCAATCTAGAAAACAAAACACAATCACAGTATCAGTAATGAAAGCACTGAAATCATTGCAGATCCTTACAGATGTTAAAAGGATAACAAAAGAATGTTAGAAGCAATTTTATGCCAATAAGTTCCATACCTTAGATGAAATGGACAAATTCCTTGCAAAACAAATTACTAAAACTGACAATAAGAGGAAATAGTAAATCTTAATAGCCTTTTATTAGTTAATAAAATTGAATTCATATTTCAAAATCTTTCTACAAAGAAAATAGTAAGGTCAAACGGCTTTACTGGTAAATTCTATCAAATTTAATGAAAAGAAAGAAAGAAACACAGTCTTATCTAGACTCTTAGAAAATAGAAGCTAGCATTACCTTGATGGTAATACCAAAGACATTATAATAAAATCAATATGGAATATAAACCAACATTATTTGAGAATATATGTGCAAAAAATCATTTAGTATTTGCAAGTCAAATTCGGTGGTGTGTAAAAAGGATGATAAAACACAACCAAGGGGATTTTTATACCAGTAATGCAATTTTAACATTCAAAAATTAATGTAATTTACTATTTTGACAAAAGAGAAAAACATCTTCTCAGTAATTACAGCAAAGTGTTTGGCAAAATGTAATATCTATTCATGATATTAGCGAATTGGGAATAGAAGGGAACTTCCTCAGCCTGATATTGGGCATCTACTAAAAAACCTTTACTTTGTTCATACTCATATCTCATGATGAAAGGCTGAATCGTTTCTACCTAAGATTGGGGAAGAAAACAAGATTTTCCACTCTTGACCACTTCTAATCAACGTTGTATTTGAAGTCCTAGTCACAACATGATCAAGAAAAAGAAAAAGACTTGAGATTGGAAAGGAAGGAGTAAAATTGTTTTTATTCCCAGATGACATGGTTTTATATATATAGCAAATGTTAAGTTACTAGGACTGATGTGAATTTGGCAAGATTGTAGGATACAAGGATAATATACCCAAACAGTGTAATTTCTATATAATAGTAAAGAACAATTAAAAATGAAATGGGTCTGGGAGCGGTGGCTCACGCCTGTAATCCTAGCACTTTGGGAGACTGAGGTGGGCAGATCACGAGGTCAGGAGATCAAGACCATCCTGGCCAACATGGTGAAATCCCATCTCTACTAAAAATAAAAAAATTAGCTGGGCATGGTGGCACTTGCCTGTATTCTTAGCTACTCGGGAGGCTGAGGCAGGAGAATGGTGTGAACCCAGGAGGCGGAGGTGGCAGTGAGCCAAGATCGTGCCACTGCACTCCAGCCTGGGTGACAGAGCAAAACTCCATCTTAAAAAAATAATAATACAAATAAAGATGAAATGGACAAGTACCATGCATAATAGAGTAAAATTGTAAAATACTCAGGTATAAGTTTAACCAGATATGTGTAAAATCTGTACTCCAAATTACAGAAAATTATTGGAACTTAAAAAGACCTACACAAATGAAGATATATACCGCATTCATAGATTAGAAGACTTGTTACAAAGATGTCAGTTCTACTCAGACTTATCTATAGCTTCCTCAAGACCTTCCCAATCAAATTCTTAACAAGATTTTAAAAAATTTAGCAAACTGATGGTTAATTCCATGTGGAAATGCACGGGTCTTAGAAGAGTCAGCATTTTAAAACAGAACAAAGTAAAAGTACAGCTCCTCGATTTAAAGATTTACCATAAAACATAACACTGTGGTACTGGCATAAGGTAGACTAAAATCAATGAAACAGAATAGAGGGTCCAGACTCATTCATTCATATATGTATACACATATATATGTATATACATATATATACATACGCATATATACGTATATATGTATATACATATATACACACGCATATATACGTATATATGCATATACATACACATATATATACATATATATGCATATACATGTACATATATGTACATATATATGCATATACATGTACATATATGTACATATGTATATACATATATGTATACATGTATACATGTGTATACACATACATGCATACACATATGTATGTATACATATGTATGTACATATGTGTATACATATATGTAAAATGTATATATGTATGCACATATATGTAAATATATATTATATATACATGTATGTATATATTTACATATATGTGTATTGTATATGTAAACATGTTTACATATATATTTACATATATATGTTTACATATATATGCTTTTTTTTTTTTTTTTTTTTTTTTTTTGCCAAAGGTGCCGTTGTAAAGGGAGCCTTTTCAACAAAACAGCTGTATTTCTGTATGGAATAAAAAGTCATTATTTTTCTATATGTATCATATATTTAAAAGGCATATAACGTAGGTCATAGATTTAAACATAAAACAATGGAACATCTAGAAGAAAACAGGAGAAAATCTTCATGATCAAGGATGGGTAAAGACTTTTAGTACACACAAAACAGGAATCATAAAGGGAAAAAATTCTATTTCATTAATATTGAAAGGTTTTGGTTTTAAAAATACACCTATGAAAAGGCAAGCTCACAGACTGGGAGAAAATACTATTAGAAAATACCTAACAAAGGACTTGGATCAGTATATAGAGAATTTCACAAATCTTTTACATAACGCTTTTTTTTTAAAAGCACAATTCACTAATAAAAATATATGAAAAAATAGGCAATACCACTTGTTAGCAAGGATGTGGAGCTACTGAAATAATCATATATTGCTGATGGGAGAGTAAAATGGTACATTACTTTGGAAAACTGACAGTTTCTGAAAACTTAACCCTGTGACCCAGCAATTCCAGGAAAACGTTTGTTTACAGAAATACACATTAATATTTATAGTAGCTTTACAGGAATGTCTGTCAACAGATGAATGCATAAACAAATTGTGGTATATCCATATAATGGACTATACTGCTCTGCAGTATAAAGGAACAAACTGACACATGCAACAACATGGATTAGTGTCAAAAACTTGGTGAGTAAAAGAAGATAGACGCGAGTACCTACTGTATGATCCTGTAGACATGAAATTCTAGATAGAATTTAGTTATAGAAAGAACAGTGGTTGCCTAGGGTGGTAAGAAAAGGGTGATTGACTGCAAAAGGGCTCAAGGGAGTGTTTAGGGGTCATGGAATGTTCTTTTATCTTGATGGTAGTGATGCTTCCATAGGTATATGCATTTGTCAAAACTTATATAACCATATACTTAATAATGCATCATTTGAAGGTAGTTATTCCTCAAAGTTGGCTTAAATTATTTTAGCATTTTTAGGCCAGGCGTTGTGCCTCACACCTGTAATTCCAGCACTTTGGGAGGCCAAGGTGGGCAGATCACCTGAGGTCAGAAGTTCAAGACCAGACTGGCCAACATGGTGAAATTCCGTCTCTACCAAAAATACAAAAATCAGCAGGGCGTGGTGGCGCACGCCTGTAATCTCAGCTACCCCGGAGGCTGAGGCAGAAGAATTGCTTGAACCCAGGAGGCAGAGGTTACAGTGAGCTGAGATCACACCACTGCCCTCCTGCCTGGGTGACAGAGTGAGTCTCCATTAAAAAAAAAAATAGCATTTTTATTAAAATGTGATACTTCTTTTGTTGGTGGTGATACCGAGTTTTTGCATATTTGACAATTGCATGATAATCTTTAAAGTATGTAAGAAATCTAGGAGCTCCAAAAAGACTCATTACTTTTTGCAGTCTAAGATTATATTTCTCGAATGTAGACCTTTTAAGTGGATGAGTTTTTCATGTATTTAAGAAAAGGTACAACACATACATGTATGACCTGTGTTCATTTCATAATATACTATTTCAAGTCTGTCATAATACTGATAGGGTGCTCTCTTTGCTTTGTTCATTTGGTAGTCAAACTGTGCAGAATATAAATATTAAACTTCCACTTGGTACACAACAAGATCATTATAAAACTGGAAAATTTTTTTGGAGCTTTTTGAAGGTTTTATCTGCTGCGCCCCCTGGTGGATTTTACTTCTCATTGGGGTCACATGAAAATACAGCCATTTACCTTCGTAGGAGGTGTCTTTATAAAAAACTGTAAAGCTTTTAAGTTAATCTTTATGTTGAAAAACTTCTCAGTAACTTCTGTTGATAACACTATGAGGTTTTTTGTTTTGTGATCTTCACAGGAGTTATTCAGTACAAGCTTTTCCATAGATAATTTTGCCATGTCTGATGGCTTTTTTCCAAAACACCTCTAAGATAGAGATTCCGGGATCCTGTATTGGAGTAGTAGTTTCTAATAGTTCTCATCCTATAATATGGTTCTAAATTTCTTGCTGTACAAAAGAGATTGGAGAATCGTGTCTTAGAAATAGTACGTATAGTTGGGATAAGCCTTGAACATATTATGGTGCCAGAAATTAAGGAAGTACTTAAAAAAAAAAAAAAGGTTGTTGGAAAGGCCGCATAGGAGCCAACCTGAAGATCTAATAAAGACCTAATAAAGCTGGAACAATTTGACTAACAAAATAATGATAGTATTGGATTTTAATTCATGTACTAAAATACTCATGAGTCCATGCTGATGTAAGTATTTTAATAAATAAATGGTGGAGAAGGCACTGGTTTTGGTTTTGTATTTTTTTTACAGGAGCATCCCAATTAATGTAGAAAGAAAGACGGGAAAAGAAATTTTTCATTAGGCAAATACCACGGTAATAAATGTGGCAGACAGGACCTGCTGATGGATGCCAAAATTAGGTCAGAGTTTGAGGAGAAAAGAGTATTTGCACAGTCTCAAAGTATTCCCTACCCCCTCTCCTCCCAGGATATTTTTTTAACTGCAAAGGAAAAGATGGTAGATTTATAGTGGAGAAATCTGGCAGCCACCACCTTGGCCAAGTGATCAAAGTTAACATCACTAGTAATAAGACATATTGATGTCATGAGCCCCTTGATACAGTGTACTGGAGGACACAATATCATTTCTGTGGTATTCTTGCCCCAAATGCCTAAATGCATTCTAATCATGAGAAAACAGGAAGCTCAAACTGAGGGAAGTTTTACAAAATACTGGATCATAAGTTTCAAGGTCATGAAAGACAATCAATCAAGAGTTGTCACAAATTGGAGCCAAGACTCAGGAGAAATTACAAAAAAGTTACAAAGATAATAGAGTTCTTGAATACCCCTCAGCCAAGTGGGGATGTTAACATCTCACAGAATTATAGTACAGTTATCAACATCAAGAAATTAACATTGGCTAAAGAATATTAAACCACATACATGAGTGAAAAAAATGGTGAAACTTGGAGAGTGTTCTTTTTCTTTTCCAGGATTCTCTCCTGGATCCCACATTACATATAGTTGTTTCTTTCAAAATATTATTGTTAGAATTTAGAGATACTTGCTTTGTTTTAAATCAGTTGGTGTATTAATAGGTAATAAGTTATTTGTAAAGTAGCTATTAAAAGAATTTCCTGATGAAGCAATAGTCTTGTTGCTTTTTTCTACTATACAATTATTGGGAATTGGCTAAAATTTGAGGAAAGTTTTGTTTTTCTACCATTCTGTTTATTTCATTTTCTCTTCATTCTGAAAAATTTTAGCATCACCTAAAACAGTTCACACTGCTTTAAGTTGTCTTTACTTTTAATCCCAACAGTTGAATAGCAGCTTGGTGTGTATGTATTAATAGCAATGCTTTCAGAACCAGAACACTGTGGTCTTTTCTTTACTATTTTGAAATTTCTTGTATTCTTTTTTTCTAAATGAGAGAAATATATAAGGGAGATGATTTATGTTTCATCATCTGAAAGTGTGATGAATGAATATGTAACCTTCTATTTCTATTAATATTATATTGCTGCAGTATTAATATGTCCAGTTGAAAATACTAAAATTTAGTGTAGCAACATGAGCTCTCTAAAAGCAAGTTCTTAATACTTTCATGTAGTAACATTAACAAGATTCTTGAAGTCACTTTTTAAAATGAGTTACCATCTGAATTTTACATTTATCCGTGAGAACCGTCAGAGTGCAATTGATCGAGGTTAAGTCTCAACAGTCTGTTTTCTGTATAAACAATCTACCAATTCCTTATTAGTAACTTTTTATGTTTTATAAACTCTGACTAAAATATCTAAGTTTTTGCCACCTTGCTTAAATTTTAGATAACAGTATATGACTTGAAGATTATTTTAATATTTTGTCTAATATAATGTCAATTGAATATGTAGGCATTTTCAACTGTTAAGGCATTCCTCCCAAAGTTGTCCTTCCAAAAAGTAGAAAAATAACATGAGTTTCAACCTGGCAAAACATATGAAAAAGAGTATCTCTGAGTCACAAGATGAGTCAAGAGGGTGAGGTTTGTTTTTCCTTGTCCATCTCTTTTAAGGGAATATGATCCTAAGCAGCAGGAAAAAAATATATTTAATGAAAATTGGCGCCAAAAGTTAGAATTTGTTCTTCAGTATTTAACTGGTACTAAGTGCAGATCTTCTATAAATATACTGAAACTAAATTTAATGGTGCTAACAAGATGGGTTTGATCTGCTTTAGAGATCTGTTCCTAATTTGTAGGTGATTGCTAATGCCGATATTTCAAGAATTAAAACTCTGTTTCATACTCTAATATCCTACTGTAGCACAGCAACACTGCTGGCAAGTGGAAGTGCTTAAATAACTGCCCCTCAGGTGCCAGTAATGACCAAAGAAATCATTTTGTTTGATACCTAAAATAACTATATTTACCATTTGTTCTTGAAAGCTGACTTTCGTAGATCTTGGCTTTAAAATTTTTTCCTGGCTTTGCTTTCCAAGCTGGCCATTTAAAAATATTCTGGATATTTAGGTATGGATTCCTCTAGTTGCTCAGCCTCGACTAGATTGTAAATACTGAGTATTTAGTCCATCTTACTCATCATCGTAATCGTAGCTGAAAGGAGGGGAGGGAGATGAGGAAATAAATGAGTGGTTGGAGAAAAGATAACTGCCCCCATACATGCTGCACTGGCTTCTTAGCTCAAGATCAGTTTTAGCTACATGGGGTATGTGGGAATGATGATGAATGGAAAGATTAGATAGAGCTTGTTCCCTCCTAGTCATATTAAAGGGGCTTTTTAAGAAGTCATTTATTGTCAAGGTAAAATGTGATCACTGGCACATTGCTTTGCCTTTGAGGAAAGTTTTGACTACTCATCCAGAGCAGATATCAACTACTTTATAATGTTTCACAAGATATTAAAACAAGTAAATAAAATTTAACTACTCCTTCTAAGGGCCTTTGCCAGGGAGTGAGATAATGATACAACTATAAGATAAATCATTAGTAACCCCTTTCTTTTATCAGAGAAAAATTGATAGGTGTCTCATAAATGGAGAATTCAGGCAAGGCCATTCCAGCAGGAGGTTTATAAGGAAATGGAGGTATAAAATCTATACTTTAGCAGAGATGTGCCAAGAGCATTGTAGCCAAAGAAAAGGAAATGGGGAAAGAGATAAGATGGAAATTTAAATTTGAGGCTAAGTATTGCCGAGGACTTTAGACTTTTTGTATTAGAAAGCCACTAGAAAATGTAAAGCACAGGAGCTAGCCGTTTGGCTGAATTTGCCTTTTAGAAAGATTACTGTTGGCAATGTAAAGAAGATGGATTGAACCACATATATTTATTTGATTTATGATTATGATTTTCAAGTATTCTTAATATTTTTTATTCATTTATTAAGACTGAAATGCTATCTTCTTGATTGGAGGAGTTTTCTGAGTAGCTAAAACAATCCTTTAAGTGCCTAAATTTCAGTTTCTTGATAAACAACTTTCTAAACTATAATTAATGTCCCCACTTCAATAAATTGACTAATAAATAGTTTGCATAAATATTATCATACTACATTTCTGCTTTTCCTCTTCCCATTAATCATACAGCCTAGAAGAAATGATCCTGATTTGTCCACTTAAAGTTTGTGGAGACATTATCTTTTCTTATCTACTCACAATAGATCACCTTTGTGATCTGTTATGTTTAAATTCCCTGTCACCTTTCCTAGTCTATGGTTGTAAACTAAGGCAAAACTCAAGATTGGAAGAAGAAAATAATTAACTAATCCTTGGTATATGTGTAAAAAATTAAGGCAAGCGTGGAGAGGGTAGCTCTTCAGCAAAATCTATGAACTTTGAGACACTGTTCTGAATGGTTTGCTGATTGGTACCTGGTTAGCTAGTAGTTTTAAATACTGATGGAATTTTAATCAATAAGTTTTACATTTGAAATACTTATTAATACTTAAAACATTATTAAAACCATAATTAAGCACCTGTTATATGTGATGCTCAGAGCACCAATGAAAAAGTCATGGACTCTGCCCTGAGGTGGAGTAGACATATAAATAAATAAGCGAAAAGCATTTGTAGGACTTTCATTATATTTTTTCTCTTTCAAGAGTAAGGGTGTGTCATTTTATAGATAGAAAATGGGGAAATAAGGTTTATTTGAACAGTTTGCAGTTATGTCACATATTCCATTAAAGAAGGAATACTCTTTAATAGAGGGATAAAATGCTTGTGTAGTTGATGTGCTTATGAAGTGCTTATATGATCTTTTTTATCAGATTATTTATATACATTAATGTGCTACATAATAATTTTTGGTCAGTGGCTGACCACATATACACAGTGGTTCCGTAAGATTATAATGGAGCTGAAAATACATGTACAGTCATGTGTCACTTAACAACGAGTTGCATTGAGTAATGCATCATTAGTGTAGCCTAAGTGTACAGAGTTTATAAAGTCTACAGTAATATCCTAGGCCCTTACATTAACTCACCAGTCACTCACTGGCTCACCCAGAGCAGCTTCTGTCCCACAAGCTCCTTTCATGGTAAATGCCCTATACAGGTGTACCATTTAAGTAAAATTTTCATACTATACTTTTACTGTACCTTTTGAATGTTTAGATATGTTCAGATACACAGATATTTAGCATTGTGTTACAATTGCCTACAGTATTCAGTACAGTAAGATGCTGTACAGATTTTGTAGCCTAGGAGCAATAGGCTGGACCATATAGCCTGGGTGTGTAGTAGGCTGTCCCACATAGGTTTGTGTAAGTACACTCTGATGTTCATACAATGATGAAATCTAATGATGTGTTTCTCAGTGTAACCCCATCGTTAAGTGACTCATGACTGACTGTATGTGTATTTTGGTGTTTGCAGCAGTATTTACATAAATTTTTCATCACAGCATTTCTGATACATGTGTTCTAGAAAACCTCAGATGCCATGAAATCACATCTGGGAAAAATATGGATAGAGTAGACCATTCAAATTATGCAGCTTTGTTTGTAACAGAGTATTAACATAAACAGTAATGATCTTAAAAATGCAAGTACAAATTAACTGTACAAATGAAACACCATAGCCCATCACTTATGAGCCTTAAACGGGGACTTGTGCTTCTTTTAAGGTATGGTGCAGGTTGAAGTTATTTGCTTTAGTAGAAACTACTTTTCTAAAATTCAGTAGTGAGCCAATGTATGCCTACCTTTATTAATAGTTGTGGGGGTGAGGGGGAGCATAAAAACAAAAGAAATTGTCTTCACAACTTCATCTGTGTCCTTAGTTTTCACCAGACAACATAACAATTTTAGAAAGACTTGAGGTTCTTAAAGCCCCTAAACTTGTTTTCTCTAAAGGAAAGCACCTCTTCACTATTGTTTTCTTAAGGTCTTCATATATTGAGGGGTTTTTTTTGTTTGTTTTTTGAGACGGAGTTTCCCTTTTGTCGCCCAGGCTAGAGTTCAATGGCGCGATCTCAGCTCACTGCAACCTCCGCCTCCCAGGTTCAGGCGCTTCTCCTGCCTCAGCCTCCCAAGTACCTGGGATTACAGGCGCCCTGCCATCACTCCCGGCTAATTTTTGTATTTTTAGTGGAGACGAGGTTTCACCACGTTGGCCAGGCTGGTCTGAAACTCCTGACCTCAGGTGATCCACCCGCCTTGGCCTCCTGAAGTGCTAGGATTACAGGCGTGAGCCACTGCACCCGGCCTTTTTTTTTTTTTTTTTTTTTTTTTTTAAGAGAAACTTGCCCTGATCCTTTACTGTGAAAAATCCCTGTGAACCAGTGAAATTTCCATGATTACTGACAATACTACTCTCCTTCCTCTTTACGAATTACGTGTGAACTAATTCATATTAGAACACCATCTTGTAGCTGTAGTTTTTACTTTGATAGTATATAGTTCTATTTTAATATAATTTATATTTAAAATATATGCTTTAATTTTTAAGTTCTTACAGTGAGGATGCCATATATTTAAGCTGTCAAAACAGCTTGTATTTGTACTCTTTTCTAGTGTTGTGGGCCATAATACATATATACTCATGGGCAGTATAACATTTGCCTTCTTAATTTTCTTTTTAAAAGTTGTTGTATTTAATTTATTTTTATTTTTAATTTTTTGAGATGGAGTCTCACTCTGTCACTCAGGCTGGAAAGCAGTGGCGTGATCTCAGCTTACTGCAACCTCCGCCTCCTGGGTTCAAGCGATTCTCCTGCTTCAGCCTCCTGAGTATCTGGGATTAGAGGTGCGTGCCACCATGCCCGGCTTATTTTTGTATTTTTAGTAGAAGTGGGGTTTTTACCATGTTGGCCAGGCTGGTCTGTAACTCCTGACCTCTAGTAATCTGCCCACATTGGCCTCCCAAAGTGCTGGGATTACAAGCGTGAGCCATTGCGCCTGGCCCGTTGTATTTAATTTAAAAAATATATTTGTAATTATTTCTATAAAGTCATGATCAAAATTACTTATGTGTATTAGTCAGATATTTTAAAGGAATGAAAATGATGTAATTTAGAAGAAAATAGCTTAAACCTGTTGTTTCAAGAATTTATATAAGAGACCTGACACTGAATTTTTATGGATTACTTACAAACTAATGTAAACATTTCTTTTTAGTTATTCTTTCTCTTTTAAAGTGTTGATAAGTGAATTTTGTTAGCTATTTGGTTGTTAAGTAAAAACTGGCTTATTTGCTCAAACTTGCAAAGTATCTCTGGAAGAATATTTAGGAAACTGGCAACGTTGCTTTCAGAGAAAGGAAATGGATATCTCGGGGTGGGAAGGGAGGGAAACTTTGAATTTTGAATACCCTTTGAATTTTTGAGTCATGAACTATTAGAAATAAAGTAAATTAAAATTTAACAAGAAAAATGAAAATGAAAGTACTTCGGTTTACAGAACAGAGGTTGATTGAACCTGTCTGGTAGAACCTCCGTGATCAGCTTAGCATTGTCAGTCCTGAAATAATCTTTTGTGACCTCCATGATCAGCTTAGCATTATCCGGCCTGGAATATCTTGAGACTCAGCATACAGCGGATGTATGTAATGGCAGGTGCAAACAAACAGAAAGGTAACCAAATACAAGTATTTATGCTGTACTTACTCTATTAGAATAAATTAGTTAACATAATATATACCTCTTTTTATCAAATTGGAAATTAAACTATTGGATAACTGTTAGATTTTTTTTCCCCCCTATAACTATTAAAATTTTTTTTAAAATCTTGCTACTGCCCATTAGAAAGGATTTGGGAACATTTTTAAAAAATTCTTGCTTCCTTTTTTGTTTGCTTTTAGTTGATGCGGATGAAATTAAAAGGCTAGGAAAGAGATTTAAGAAGCTTGATTTGGACAATTCTGGTTCTTTGAGTGTGGAAGAGTTCATGTCTCTGCCTGAGTTACAACAGAATCCTTTAGTACAGCGAGTAATAGATATATTCGACACAGATGGGAATGGAGAAGTAGACTTTAAAGGTAAGAAAGTAGTTATTTTTTATAACCACAAGTTATCTAACCTATTTGTATTCTTACAGCTCTGTGTAAAAAAAAAAAAAAAGTGCTTATATTCCTAGTGACCTTACAATAATAGATTATGTTAAAACCTCAGCGTCTGTGGCATATACACCTTAATGAACTAGGACATTTTACTCTGTGGTTCATAAATGATTAAGTCATTCTTTAGGATAATCTACCAAAAAGCAGGGGGGACTCAGTATTTCCTTTCTTTTTAGAAAATTAATCTCACTTTAGGGCAATACTGTATATTCTTATATACATTAGAAGCTGCAATTCCTTTTATTTATTTATTTAATTTTTTTGAGATGGAGTCTCGCTCTTTTGCCCAGGCTGGAATGTGGTGGTATAATCTCGGCTCACTGCAGCCTCCGCCTCCTGAGTTCAAGCAATTCTCCTGTCTCAGCCTCTTGAGTAGCTGGGATTACAGGCATGTGCCACCACACCTGGCTAATTTTTGTATTTTTAGTAAAAACGAGATTTCACCATGTTGGCCAGGCTGTGGTCTCGAACTCCTGACCTCAAGTGATCCACGTGCCTCAACCTCCCAAAATGCTGGGATTACAGGCATGAGCCACCGCGCCAAGCCAGTTTTTTTTTTTGTTTGTTTTAACAAGTAAATAAACATTTCACAAGGGATTTGTCAATAGATTTTATTTTAGTTTGGACAATTATAAGTGGAGGGATATAAAACTGATTATGATTTAGTGCTTATCAGGCAGTGAAGAAAAATGATCATTTGTCATGAAACTTCTAACAGCATATTTGATTCACAATTTTGAAACAGAAGGCTAAAGTTTTTTGTGTGTGTCAGAACAATTTATAGTGGGTTTTTTTTTAAAGCCCCTTGTTACAGTCATATTCTAAGAGGGAAGAGTTAAACAACTTAAATAATATGTTTTGAGTGTTCTTTTATCTTGCACTTAACAAATGTTTGTTCAAATTGATTGACCTTAGAGAACTCCAAGTTCAAATAAAAAAAATACAGAGAGACCTTGTTTGTTGAGGTTTCAAATTTGGCAATTTTATTTTTAAACGTTGCTAGTAGTACTTCTGTTTTGCAGCAAGGAAATATCCTTTTGTGGGTATGTAAGGTAAATATGTTTTTTGTGTAAAAAATTGGAAGTTCTGATTTGTGAACATTTTTAACTCTTATTCAGAATTCATTGAGGGCGTCTCTCAGTTCAGTGTCAAAGGAGATAAGGAGCAGAAATTGAGGTGTAAGTATTTTTCTTCACTGACTTCATTCTCTTATACTACCATCATTTCATACTGTATTATAGAATGCTTTTTAAAATAATGAAAAAGATGTCTTTTATTCCAGATCCTTAGACATAACTGAAATTTTACATTCTGGTGAAAATCCTTTTAGGACATTTCCAACTACTATATTTGAATAATGTGTCATTGCTGCTTTTAGTTGGATAGAAGGAAAACAGTTTCTTTCTGCTGAAAACAGCCATGTAAAACTACATATGTAATTTAGAGAAGAGATTTTTTTAGTGAAAGTGGGAAGAAATGTTCTAAAGAACCGGAGAGGTTGGAGTTGTTACTATATCCAGTTTTATCTGTGTAGAAACTGAAGCTTAGCAGGGATAGTTAACCTACTCTAAGCTCCACCAAATCTGCTCAGGCAGTCTCAAAAGCCCGTACGTTTAACCAACTATGTTAAACTGTGCCTAAGGACAACTCTATTTTAAGGAAGGAGACATCCTCATAGTCATAATTTTGATGTTTGTCAGTTTACTATTTTCTTTCTTACTGAAAGCATTTACTTGTGATTGCTTTGTAATTGGAATTGATTTTCCTTCCTTTTTTTTAGTTGCTTTCCGTATCTATGACATGGATAAAGATGGCTATATTTCCAATGGGGAACTCTTCCAGGTATTGAAGATGATGGTGGGGAACAATCTGAAAGATACACAGTTACAGCAAATTGTAGACAAAACCATAATAAATGCAGATAAGGATGGAGATGGAAGAATATCCTTTGAAGAATTCTGTGCTGTAAGTACAAAAGAGCTGGTTCTTCCGTTAGTTATGTTTCAGCAACATATTTTAAAAACCACTTAATAGAGAATTTCCATATTTTGTCCTAAAAACTTAAGTATTTGATTTTTCCTAATTGCCCGTATTGTTTTGAAATGTGTTCTTCATTGTAATTATTAACAATTATTATTCCCAAGGATACTACTTTACTTATTGTTGGTAGCCTCTCAAATTACAACTAGGTTATACTCTTAAGGTTCATTTAATCACTCATTGCTTCTGAACAGAAGCACAACCACAACCACTTAGCTTCTCTTCTCTACTTATGCCCTAAAAACAGAGAGTAGGCTTTTTGATGTGTTACAAGGATTTTAAACTGCAAGCTAGAGATACTAGAGAAAACTAGAGCATCCAGAGTAGAGGCAAAGATAACAAAGTTTTGAAATTTTTCTGTCAGTAATGATTGGATGCTTCCATAGAAAGATTTTCTTCCTCCTTTTTATTTTTAAATGTAAATCATATAAGGAAAAACAAGTGATTTTGATAGTTGTGTGTTATGTGAGAACTGAAGTGTAGCTACTTTGACCTTTAAGTAGAAGTTCATATTATCCTTAAGCAAAAACCATCTTTTTATTATGTTTTCAAAAAGTGGGGTGGCACTGTAAAGAATAGACTGCGTCTTTTTTTGGAAGAGTTAGATGGGTTTGAGACGTTTAAGACACTGAACTACCCCCAGGGGGCGCTACCGCAAGCCATTTCTGTCCCTTCCGTTTTACCTCCTTCACCATTGCCAAGGGTCACTGTGAACTGGCATTTGGTGGAGTGTGACATGAGACCAGGCTGGTTGTGCCATCATAAATAGCAGCCAGTTTTCAAAAGAAGGAAAGGAGAAATTCTAAGCCTTAGGGGAATAAAATAAATGGAAAATTCTTGGCTTCAATGGTATTGGAAGAGGGGAGATATATATATATATATAAATAAAATGTATATATCTTATGTATATTTTACATATATATAATATATAAATTATAAATATAATATAAATATAAGAAATATAAATATATAAATATAATATATAAATGAAGATTACTTGCATTTAGCAAATATAAAATGTAATAAGTATATCACATCAGTGGAAGGAAATTAAAATATATCTTTTATATATAGAAATAATGCTGTTATCTATATTGAAGACATAAGCTAAGTTTCGAGTTTATTTTCCAATATTTATTTTAGTTTATTTTTAAGCTTTCTTTTTTTTTTTTTTTGAAACGGAGTCTCACTCTGTCACCAGGCTGGAGTGAAATGGCAGAGTCTTGGCTCACTGCAACCTCCGACTCCCTGGTTCGAGTGATTTTCCTGCCTCAGCCTCTTGAGTAGCTGGGATTACAGGCACATGCCACCAGGCCCAGCTAATTTTTGTATTTTTAATAGAGATGGAGTTTCACCATGTTGGCCAGGATGGTCTCGATCTTCTGACCTTGTGATCCACCTGCCTTGGCCTCCCAAAGTGCTGGGATTATAGGCGTGAGCCACTGCGCCTGGCCCATTTTTAAGTTTTTGTAGACAGGGGTCTCGCTATGTTGCCCAGGCTGGTCTCCAGCTCCTAGCTTCAAGCGATCGTCCCATTTCAGCCTTCCAAAGCATTGGGATTACAGGCACGAGCCACTGTGTCTGGCCACCAGTATTTGTAATCAGTTGCTTTTTGCTTGTATTTTTAAGGGGCATAGTTTACGAGTGGAGAAAAATGTTCGTTGTGTTTTTAAAACCAACTTTTCTAAACATTGATCAAGCGCTTGTAACTGGCTTCATTGAGTTCTTTTTATGTTGACTTCTCAAGCTATAACAGTGAAAGATTGGAAGTTATTTTAAAAGATTGCATACTATATATGTACTTTAAAATTTTCAGAGTACTTAATGTATACAAATAATTCTTACAGATGATTAGTGACAGGCTTAAAGTTGGTGTATTGAACCCATGTATAATTTATTTTTACCTCCTCCCCAAACTCCAATAAAATGCAATGAATTAGAAAGGGTTATGTACTCACAAGGACAAAAATGAAGAGCAGAGAAGAGACAGCATCTAAATTTGGTAATTTAGAACGTTTAGAAAGTTGAATGGTTAACTAACCTAGCAGAATGATTCTAAGCTTTATCAGCTTGGAAATCTGAGAAACAAGCTGGGTTATAATGGAGAATCCGTGAAAGGCTCAGAAATTGATGGCACAAGCAACTGGAAGTGAGGATGAAAGTGAGGCTAAAAACAGAAAGACTGGTTAAAGTCTGTTTTAAGAAGGAACTGGAACACACAAGATCGCCTTCCCTACTCTGTTCCCCTGGACAGCTCTCTCTCCTGCACCCTATCAAGAGATTGGGGAGAGTCTCTAGGCTGGGAAACATGAGGCAGAGATGAGGTATATGTGTTGGGGAGCTAAGTGGCAGTAAGCATATTTGCATATTGGCATCTGTGCCCTTGTTCTGTACCTGACTTCCTGACTCCCTAGCAGCTGGACTTACACTGTCTAGGTAAGAGATGGGAAAGAGCCCTCTTTAGGAAATCTTATCTCCCCAAAGAAATGGTGCTACCAGATCATTCAAAGTATAGCTCTCACTTAACAGCCCCATCATTCACCCAGAGTTCCAGTGCCCTTTCTACAGAAGCAAAGCCAAGGATCTCACCAAACACTGAAGGAAACCTCTGTGTATGGAATATAAAGATGAAACCAGGTCCAAAAAAATAAGTTCAAAACAAACAGATTAGACAAGACCAGTAAAAATTTTAAAAGGAAAACTGAAACCTGTCATTATCCTTGGGGATATTGTATATTGAATTTTTGAAACAAAAGTTGGATAATATATAAAAAAGCTCTTGGGAATGTAATTTTACATACCTATTTTTGGAGTTGTAACACCCGAATGCCAGGATTCCAGAAGGAAAATGGAGGGAAATAAATAATCAAAAATGAATCAAGAAAATACTCCAAAGCCAAAAATAATATGTTTTCTGAGAGGGCTTATGGAGCATCTAGCATAGTCTGTAAAAATAATCTGGACCTGGGCACACTGTCATGAAATTTTGAGACAGTGGGAACAAATAACTGGTTCTGCAGATTTCCAAAGAGCTGGGGTGGTAGGGTGGAGTGCTGGGAGAAGGGCTTCATATAAACAACCAGGAGTCATAATGGCACCAGATTTCTTAGTAGCAGTGTGGGAAACCCACAAGAACATGGAGCATTTTGCCTGTGCAATTCTGAGGGACAGTTATTTCCAACTTAAAATTCTCTATACACTCAAATGGTAGTAGAAAGACACTTTTAGGTATGTAAGGCCTTCTCATTTTGGAAACTACTGGAGGATGTGCTCCCACTGCAATAAGGTCATAAATCAAACAAGTAGAGAGTGTAGGATCCAGGAAGCAGAGGGTCCAGCATGGTGAGAGGGAGGATCCCCAATATGATGAAGAGCGCCAGAGATGACAGGCCTGGAGACAAAAAGTCTAGAGTGCAGCAGGTTGGAAGGCTCAAAGAGTGCTTTCAAGACAATAAAATTGATAGAATTACATAATATTTTTAGTTGAATGTATTTAGAACAAAAGTTAGGGGTTGAATTATAATTACATAGAACACCCAGCAAAGGAATTAACTGTGTACCAAACAAATGTGCAGGAAAGAAAAAGTAATCATAATACATAGTTCTGTTTATCTGTATTGTATAGTTATAACAATGAAAAATGCTGATTTTTTTTTTTTTTTTGAGAGGGAGTGTTGCCTCAGTTTGTTGCCCAGGCTGGAGTCATGCCGCCTAATCTTTTTTTTTTTTTTTTTTAAGTATTAGAGACCTGGTTTCACCATGTTGGTCAGGCCGGTCTTGAACTCCTGACCTCAAGTGATCTGCCCACCTCAGCCTCCCAAAGTGCTGGGATTACAGGCGTGAGACACCGCACCTGGCTGAAAAATGCTGAATTTCTGATGAAAATAAAGATAAAGCCATTGGAATGGTACAGAGTTTGTGAAGTGTGTAGGGTAGGAGATAGAGGGAAGAGAAGTATGTGAAAGCTAAAAATCTTAAGAGACCTGGAGGTAAATAGTGCAAGTCAGCTGAAAACTTTAAATTATTGCCACTGCATAAAAGCAAATAGAGAATGAGGGCAGGGTGACAAACTGCTTTTTTTCCCACAGCAGGAGTTGTAGAATTCGTTGGCACTTTATGCTTTAGTTTTCAAATAAAGGGACTATTTTTTTAGTTTGAATTTAAAAATAATACAGATAACAAATACACATAACAACATGGATTAATCTCACAAGCATAAAATTGAGAGAAGCTAGACACGAAAGAGATTCCATTTATAAAATGTACAGAAACAGAAAATAGTAGCTACTGGTCGTGTGTGTGTGGTGGGGGGAGGGGGGGGTTGGAGGAGGGGAGATGTCTGGTGACTGGAAGATCTGGGTGCTGGTTATTGGGTGTTTACTTTGTGAAAATTCATCAAACTGTGGACATTTATGACCTATGCATTCTCTTTATGTAGATTAAATGTAATAAAACATTCCCCCCAAATGATACAGATACTACACTTACACATTACCATGTCAGTATTCACTGAGATGTGTATGACTACATGTATTTGACTCTACAGAAAAATAATATACAGACATGTTTATTCACTTGGTACTTTTTAAATTGTCTAGAACAGACTGAGAGTGACACGCATATTTGATTGTGAGGACAGTTTTTGTCATAATATCTGGTTATCGTGTGATATTAAACTACTGAAGTAGGGGCCAGCAAACTACAGAGCAAACCAGATCCTGCCCATAGCCTGTTTATGTCTGTCTTTGAACTAAGAATCGTTTTTACCTGAAGTGTTGTTTTGAAAAAAAAAAAAAAAGGAAAATGTGAAAGAAACTACATGTAGCCTGCAAGACTGGCCCTTGTACAAGAACACCCAAAAAGTAATGCCTGTTATCCTAGGAGAAAGAAACCATGAAAATTCTAACTGGAGGTCACTCAAGTTTTGTTGTTTTGGTTTTTTGTGTGTCTTTAAATTCACCTTCTGAATATAGCTAAAGTAATTTTTTTTTTTTTTTTTTGAGATGGAGTCTCGCTCTGTTGCCCAGTCTGGAGTGCAGTGGCGCGATATAGGCTCACTGCAGCCTCCAACTCCCGGGTTCAAGCGATTCTCCTGCATCAGCCTGCCCAGTAGCTGGGACTAGAGGCACACGCCACCACACCCGGCTAAGTTTTTGTATTTTTTTAGTAGAGACAAGGTTTCACCGTGTGTTAGCCAGGATGGTCTCGATCTCCTGACCTTGTGATCCACCTGCCTTGGCCTTCCAAAGTGCTGGGATTACAGGTGTGAGCCACCACGCCCAGCCCCCTAGTAATATTTTTTAAAATTTGATGAAGTAGTTAGACCACGAATGAGGAGTTTCTCAGACACTGTGAAGCTTGATTTGTTCCTGTCTGTTGCAGGTTGTAGGTGGCCTAGATATCCACAAAAAGATGGTGGTAGATGTGTGACTCTTATCAGAGAGTACCACCCAACACTTTTGCTTTCTTCTCCATCTCTGAAGATCTGCTCAAGACGTCCAGCAATGCTCTCTGTGTATTTAAATGGAAGTATTTTTCTCTGTGAAGCCACATTTTCCAACATGAGCCTCATGAAGCCAACTAAGTGTTATTGAACTGTAATTCTCTCAATAACTCAGTGTAGCACTTTAAAGTCTGAAGGACAGCAACATGAAAAGAGCATATCAATGTGGTGGAGAAAGGGAAGGGGTTGGCTTTTTAATTTATTTTTCTTCATCTTTTATAACAAGAAAGTATCTATATATACATATGTAAATATTTATATATAGATATATGTAGCTTTCTATATATGTAGTAGGTTGGCTTTAATTTAATATACTTGATTCAGAAACAAAACAATAGAGTACAAAAGTGCCAAGCAGAACATAAAACATCCTTACTTTTATTTCACACAGTTTTATATATAGATAGAAGACTGTACAATTTGAGCCGGGTGTTAGGCCAGCTATTTTCCTTTTCCTGTGCTTTCTCCTTTGAGAGATTGACAAAGCATTTGTTAACGTCCTATTATTTACCTTAATTACATTTTTGTAACAAAGGAGTCTGTAACTTTATTTATACTTATGAATATATCCAGGGACTACTTCTCATTGCTGAGCAGCTTTTAATACACCTCTGCTTGAGGAGAAAGTCTAGTTCATTGCTACTGCCAAGAGCTAGTTCTTGTGTTCATATAGTAACTGCACAGGGCTTATAGCTGCTTCATTCTGCTACTTTGTAACTAGGAGCCATTGCATTTATTAAATGTCCCTCAGTAACGTTAAGTGCTAGTTGTGATTTTATACATAAAGGCCAGAAGCTGTCTGAGGCAATCATGATTGATTGTATGTATCACTTACTGAAGAATACCTGAAGTGATCATGTAACTACTTATAAGGGATATCCATTTGTTTGATTACATGGGTAAATAATTTGTCATTAAACTTGTGTTTGAATCATGAATTCCCTTGTTTCAAAAGACTTGCAGCTAATCTAAAAAACTGGTGATATTTAATATGCATGTATGTATCTAAACACCCACATATATTTGTGGTTTAAGTGTGAGAAATCTTGCTAATCTATATGCCACAGAAGAGCAAAATTGTATCCAAATTTATGCCACTTAAATTTCTTTACCACGAGGGATAGAGCATGCATACTGGTTTTTTTTTCTTGATTTGCCCATATAATTGGTAATGGATAACTTAATAAATTTGTGTGATATAAAAGTAGTGTATCATGTTCTACTGTTTGATCTTATCCCTTCCCATTTCTGCAAAGGTACTGTTAGCTGGAAGAAAAACATTTTGGTTAGCTTTGTATGACAGTAGTCTTTCCCTTTATAGTTTCTCTATAAAAACTGGTTTTAAAATCAGTGGAAAAGGGCAGGTTGAATCAAGGTGAATCAATCTGAAATTGAGCACACCTGCCTGCCATCGCTGTTCCTTCAACTGAGTGCTGCACATCATGGGCTCTGTCTGTGAGAGAAAAATCCCGGTGCTTGGTGTCCTTGCATGACATGGAGTTTTGCATGTAGATCAATTTAAAATGTACCTCTTGTTTACATAATTTGCATAATTTTAAAAGATAATGTTGCCAAACTTTGGAAATGTTAATGTTCAGACTGAAAATCTCCACTACATGTAACTTTCTTCCTCTGGATCAGTGGCATGGCTTATAATCCCAGCCAGTGGTTTGAACTGTTCCAGTGTCAACTGCCATGTGCTCTGCTTCAAGGGGGAACTAGCCTTTTGTGAATTTTTTGTACATAAGTATTTGTTACAAATATTTTAGCAAATGCTTTCTATTTCTCTTGCTTGTGCATATCTTGGCTGGCGTTACAGAAAAATAGTGTAAACATTATTTCCTTACCGGGGAATGAGGGTTTTTTCTTTTTCTTTTTTTTTTTTTTTTTTTTTAGTTTGTGTGTGGGGGTGGGTAAGGGAGGGGATGGTTTATGTTGAATGTTTAGTTTTTCTTCTGCATGATACGTCATGTTGTGGGATCTTTAGAAAACTTCATACTGTATGAATAAGAAAATAAAATATTTGAAACTTGCTTGAATGTATTCAGTGGTCTTTGATGGTTTCCATAGCTATGAGAATTTTTTTTCCTCTCAGGCTTTTAAATTCTTAAAAACAGTCTGGTAAAGTGACATTTAATCTCTATAAAAACCTACAAATTCCTGTAGTACTCTCCCATCACCTCCTGCCATGACTTCCCTTACTGCTACCCCTCTCTCTACTCCAGCCATGTTAGCCTCCGGTGGTACCTGGAGTCTTGGGTTTGTGTCTCTTAGGCCCTTGCGCTATCAGTCCCTTTTTGCCCCTTTCCTTTCCCAGTATCTCATAGCTAATGCCTTCAGGTGTTTGTTCAGTTACAGCCTAGCTCAAAAGGAACTGTCCTGGCTACCCTATTAAAAAATACAGATACGCCTGGCTCTTCTTTCCTCCTCTATATTTTTCCTTCTACAATGGCATTTATTCTTTTCTGACACAGTTTACTTACGTATTTTGTATTCCCTGACTACTGAATAAAATGAAAGCTCCAAAAGGGTAGTGATTTGTCTCTTGTTCACTGATAGCCCCAGCCCAGTTGTCCAGAGTATTACCTAGCTCTTAGTGTTTACCCAATAAATAATTAATAAATTAATGTGATACCCTGTTTATGCAGGTTGTGATTTTATAATAAATGCTATTCAGTATTTTTAAAAGGTAAAATTGGCATTTCTTGAGATTACATTTACTTGGTAACTTTGCTTTCATTTATTCAACTTTACAGTCCCTACTACATGTCCATCACTGTAATAGGCACTTGAGATGCTCTGGCAAATGACATCCCTGGGCCAGATAAGTTGGGGATGTTTTATATCCAGAACACCTGTATCACCAGATGTGCACTAGTTACAATGGGTTCTGTGACTTGTTAAAACATCCCAGGAGTAAAGGTTTGTTAGACCTAAGCAAGTAGATGGATTTAAGGCCCAGAGCTCCTTTTCTTTTTTTTGAGACAGGGTCTTGTTCTGTTCATCTGGGCTGGAGTGCAGTGGGATGATCACAGCTCACTGCAGTCTCAGTCTTCTGGGGTCAAGCAATCCTCCCACCTCAGCCTCCAGAGTAGCTGGAACCACAGATGCATGCCAGTACCTGGCTGTTTTTGTTTTGTTAAGACAGGGTGTTGTTATGTTGCCAGGCTGGTCTTGAACTCCTGGGCTCAAGCGATCCTCCCATGTTGGCCTCCCAGTGTTGGGATTACAGGCTTAAGCCACCACACCCGGCCCTTTTTTTAAACCTACTTCTAACAGTCTTAGAAGTAGACAAGATGACTATCCAAGGAGCATGAGCTTTCTTGCATACCATTCCTAGTTCTAGGTGGCATGAGAGTTGGAGCCCAGCTCTTCAGGAGCGAGTGACTAGGAGGAAACTCCATGGGTCTCTTGCCAGCCACGAATACCTAAGAAAATGCTCTTCTCTCAGGCCCATCTCCCAGGCAATGTATCAGTGAATACATATGTAAAGTGTATGTCAGAAAATCGTACCAGATACTGAGTATCCAAAATATAAGCCTTAGGGTGGCAGGCAGACACAATAATTACAATATAGAGTGACAAGCGCCATAGAAACAGGTAAGGTTGGAAGTATTAGATTTAGTGTCTTGGCCTTAGAGAAGGGTTTAATGAAGTTATTTGACCCAGGTTAAGATCAACTGCCAGTATGATAGTCAAATTTATTACCTCTATTCCTTCTTCATACTTTCCCATCCCAAGGATTATTAATTGGGTTCCCCTAACATTTTCTCTCCCTTTCAAAAGCCCCAAGTAGTACTACTACTACTACTGGGGAACAGGAGATACAAACGCTTAACTAAGCGGCGGGCGGGGGTGGGGAGGAGGTGAAAGCAACTCCTTAAACCAACGTTCAGCATTCCAAATTTTAGCAGCTGCCAGGGAAATATATTTGCTCTCTTGTATTACTGACAGTTGTAATTACATAGGAAATCTTCAAAAGGGGAAGTAATTTGGATAATACCAAAACGTTATTTCCCTTTAATACAGATAACCCATATTTTCGCAGTTGAAATGATGCTTTTAACTTCCTGCCTCCTCCATTCCTTGAAAGTCGATTCAAAACATTTATGGTCACCTAGCAATGGTTCAATTCAGTCCAAGTGCTTGGAAAACCTGATTACAGGCATGGGCCCATTCCCCAGGAAAGTAAATGAAATAGTCACAATTTTGAATTTAACTTCCTGGGGAAAGGATGAAGGTAGGCAAGTACCTCTGAAAACCTGTACAGACTCCAGAATAAAAAAGTCCCAAATCTTTTTCAAAAAGGTATGAGTAAAAGGATCTGATATCATTGTACATATCCTTGCTCCATGCTGCTGTTGCCAAAGGATAAAAAAATAATTTGAGGTGGGACATACTCAGCAATTTCCAGTTGGATTCCCAGTTGAGTATTTTGCAAAAAAAGCATTAATGAATGAAATTTTTAAAAATATCTAAGTATATCCGATCCCACATACTGTACAAACTAGCTTAGAACAGTGGGATATGTAACTGATGATATAAAGGAAACAAGCTTAACAATTTTTCTTTTAGTTCCTACATGAACTTTCTAATACTGCCATTACTGAAGTTTACATGTTTTCATCAAGGGTTTTAGAGATGCATAAGAGAAGTATCAAAGTTAAGTTTAATAAAGTAAGTTCCTTCCATTTTGTAATGTATAAAATAATACCATTTAAACAGGCAGAAACTAGCTAATCTGCATTTATAGAGCATAGTTTTTTGGGTGGGAAAAAAGCATTCTTTCATCATTTCACCTTTACTAGAAGAAACAGACTTATGATGGTTCTTACTATTATTTTTCAACTTTAGAATTATTCATTCAGTAGAAGCTGTATTTCAAGTACCCAACCATTCTGTTTTTCACTTTCAATGTAATCTTCAAAAATTACATGAGATATTCAACATACTTTATTATAAAATAGGCTTTGTATTAGACGATTTTGCCCAACTGTAGGCTAATGTAGTGTTCGGAGCCCTTTTAAGGTAGGCTAAGCTATGATGTTTGACTTTTGGTATTTTCAACTCACAGTGGGCTTATCTGGACCTAAACCCATCATAAGTTGAGAAGCATCTGTATACCCAACATTGGTTATGTATACTTTCATTAAATACTCATTTGAAAAATAAAGCTTTCTTCACATTAACCCTGTGATGTAGGTCTTTAATTTTTGAAACTGCAAGAAACTGCAAAACAGGTTCCAAGATGAGCTCTTACTGATGTATATGGTATAATACGGTATGGCCAAAACCACTGCTTATGACCTCTCAAATATTCACACATCAAGGCCAGGCGCAGTGGCTTATGCCTGTAATCCCAGCACTTTGGGAGGCTGAGGCGGACGGATCCCTTGAGGCCAGGAGTTCAAGACCAGCCTGGTCAACATGGCGAAACCCCATCTCTACAAAAAATACAAAAAATTAGCCAGGCATGGTGGTGCATACCTGTAGTCCCAGCTACTAGGGAGGCTGAAGCAGGAGGATCACTTGAACTCAGGAGGCAGAGGCTGCAGTGAGCTGAGATTGCACCACTGCACTCTAGCCTGGGTGACAAAGTGAGACCCTGTCTGCCAACAAACAAATATTCACACATCACCCAGTATTAAGGAAGGGTCATCATTCAGAGAGGTTTTTCTGAGATAATCTATTAAATTACAATTTATAAAGAAATGTTTATAAATTTGTATGAAGTTATAAATTTATAAATATAAAAGTATAAATCCATATAGAGCTGTTTAAACAAGAAGTTTCCCTCTGAGAGGATTACAGACTATGCAATCTGCTACATGTGATTTCAGATAAATGATAAATTATACCTAATGTGTTAAGTATAACAATCAATTTTTGATATTTAAATTATCCTAAAACCTGTTGAGTGTGAATCCTCTTAAATCTTTCTTTTCTGTTTATGCTTCTGGCTGAGAATGGAAGAAGGGACGGAGGCTTCAAATGACTGAAATTGTTCAGCTGGTTTCTTGTGACCGACCACTGTAAAGTATTTTTCACCAGAGTCCAAAGGCAAGATAAAAAGTCTCTGACTTGAAATCAGAATCGATCTGCTGATCTGCTAGCCACAGCTCGAATATTGCCATAAACCTTGGAAGGAGGATTTCCTGCAAAGGGGAAAAAAAAGTATATACACAAATAAACTCACATTTATAGCGCCTACAGTTGTCCCTCAGTGTCTAAGGAAGACTGGTTTCAGGACTCCCACAGACACCACAATCCTTGGATGCTCAAGTCTCTTACATAAAAAATATGCACATTAACTACCCACATCCTCCCATATACTTTAAATCATCTCTAGATTACTTATAATACCTAATACAATGCAAATGCTATGTAAATAGTACTGTATTGTGTTTTAAAATTTGTATTATTTTTAATTTGCCATTATTTTTATATATTTTTTTTCTGAGTATTTGATCTGCCATTGGTTCGATCCGCAGATGTGGACCTTGCAGACAGAGGGCAGACTGTACGTGAAAAAGGGTCTAGAACCCTAAAAAGAACAGAGACATTTTAATTGGAAATTACAAAAAAAAAAAAAAAAAAAAAACCTTAACAGAAATAATACCCAAATATTCTCCAAAAAATATTTTAAACTTCTAAGAGCGAAAGGCACTGAGTTGTTAAAATATTTCAAAAAGAAGCCAATCACTGAGGCCTGAGAACCAGAAAATCCCAATTTTCTGAGCAAGCCGCTAAGATCCTGCAACTCTTATCAGAAAGTACTGACTTTGCTGCAGGATCAAGAAAATGGGTTAAGTGGATCAATTAAATTGCCTGAAGCTGTTCAGCAGCTCTTCCTTTGTTAAACCTAAAATGTGATGTTCCCTGCTATTCTGGAATGGTTTTTCTCTGCACCTTATCAAGAAGGCAGCAAAGATTTAAGCAATATTACCCAATAAACACCTTCTCTTCTCTTGCAGACAAATGGAATCTAAGCAAAAGTATTTCTACTTCTGGCTGGGCGTGGTGGCTCACGCCTGTAATCCCAGCACTTTGGGAGGCTGAGGTGGACGGATCACAAGGTCAGGAGTTCGAGACCAGCCTGGCCGATATGGTGAAACCCCGTCTCTACTAAAAATGCAAAAATTAGCCAGGCAAGGTGGCAGGCGTCTTTAGTCTCAGCTACTCATGAGTCTGAGGCAGGAGAATCGCTTGAACTTGGGAGGCAGAGGTTGCAGTGAGCCGAGATCGCACCACTGCACTCCAACCTAGGCGACACAGCGAGACTCTGGCTCAGAAAAAAAAAAAAAAAAAAAAAATTCTACTTCCTTCTCTAGGCCCACCTTTGCCAACTCCCAAGGGTTTCTACTTGCGATCTTTAATATTACCCTAAATTGCTTTGCAAATGTGGTTTTGACTTCCTCAATTAACTTCCTATCCCTCCCAGAGAAAACACCAAAGAAAGAAACTGCTATTACCCAAGATTAGGTTGCAAATGGCAGTTCTTGCCATCTTGATATTTTGGAAGGAGCCAAGGATGTGAACTTTCCTGAAAGAAATAAAATGAGACAAATTAGTGGCTGGGATGCAATGACTCACACCTGTAATCCCAGCACTTTGGAAGGCCAAGGCAGGTAGATCATTTGTGGCCAGGAGTCTGAGACAAGCCTGGACAGCATAATGAGACGCCATCTCTACAAAAAAATTCAACAGTTAGCTGGGTGTAGTAGCACGTGCCTGTAGAGTGCAACATGCCAACCTGAGTGACAGACCAAAACCCTCTCTCTTAAAAAAAAAAAAAAAAAAAAAAAAGACATTGTAGACAAAAAAGCATTTCCTTACCTAAGTCCTGTACTCCAAAAATGCTGGAAAATCATGATATTTGAGTCAGATTCTTTAATGAGGGCAGTGGTTATGGCTGCACAACTCCATGAATATACTAAAAACCACTTTTTAAAAGGGTGAATTTTATGGTATATGAATTGTATCCCAATAAAAAATTATTAGAAAAGACAAAGAATTGTTTGAAAAAGAAAAATTTGTGAAGATTCTTGGTTAATGATGGCTCCCATCCTATGAGTGCTTTATGTGCCAGGGCTTTCTATGCATGCCCTCATTAATCCTCACATGACCTTCCTGTTTTACGGATGAGGAGAGAAGTTTATAAGAAATCAAAAAGCCTGCCCAAGACGACACACTGGCAGAGCTGGTTACTGAATACCCATAAATGCAATACTGTACTCAATTTCAACATAATTGGTTTTCAACTGCAAAGTTTCCTAAAGATTATCTAAATTTCTTCAGGGCTCTGAGGATCATTTAGACCCTTTTAATGGGCATTCTTTACTGAATGACAAAACTGACAAGATACAATTTTGCCTTTTTGAGTCCATCTTCCAAACTGTTTTCACTGTGCCCTGTACAAATCAGCTAAAGCTTCTATATCTTCAACCCCTGTTAATATTCCCTTCACCTTCTGGCTTCAACTAAGGCCAGATCTCAAATGGTGGCCAGTTCTTCCTCCACAAACCAGGTACCTCTGGGCCTGGGGGAGGAGCAGGTGTCTTCATGCCACATCCAGACCACATGCTCTCCCTCTTGCCTCCCTAAAAACCCTTTGGCTTTGGATCTGCTCTGAGGCCACATCACCCACCACCCTGCCTGGCTGCGGTCCTCAGCTGCCCCTACAGATCACCTGTGAAGATGTTAGCTCTTGGCTTGCTTTCTCTTGCTATTCCCCATCACCATGCTCGATCATGTCAATACCCATGAAGATGATAATCCCAACATGCCAGCCTCTCAGGTCCTTGATATCCTTTATGCCAACATGGGGTCTTGTTTTCCACCCTACTCCAGCCTCTTCCATCCATGGTCACACCCTGGACTTGGTCATTACCAAAAACTGCAACCCCCCCATAATTTCGATTTCAAACATCCAACTCTCCCTTCACCACTTTCTGTCATTCCACTCATATCAACACAAATAATCCTTCACCCCTACCCCAGGACCTCCCATCTATGGATCCTACTCACCTTCACTGCCCTTCGCCCCCTCACATCCCACCTCCCTTCCTCTGCTCACAATCATCCAATGACTTCCTATTCACTCCGAGTAAAAGCCAAAGTCCTTATGATGACCTCAGTGAGGCCCTATTATTTTTGACTCATCTGTCACTCTCCGCTCTCTCCCTTTCATCCTTGGTCAAGCCTCCTCGCTCACTGCCAGATGTGCCCTCAACTCAAGATCTTTGTGCTTTCCCCTTCCTCTGTAATGCTCTTCCTCCAGACACCTGCAGATGAACAAAACAAACATTTACAAATGCTCCTTCCTCAAACTCCACTAAAATGACAGGAAAGATGTAAGCCCAAAAGGAAGAAGAGAGTAATAACAGTAGCAAAGTCCAAAAAGGTGGAAAGCAGATGGAGGAGATGGAACTGACTGTGCAGACCGAAGTCAACTGATGCCTAAATCAGCAGCAGGAATATCAAGAAGCAGAACTCTGGGAAAGAGACTCCAAGAGGCAGGGGACAGGGAACCCAGGATGATGGCTGTGCAGCCAGAATGCACGCAGAAAGCATGGGGGCGTTTTTGGAACAGAACATCTCCAGGAGAGATTTCTCAAATATTAGATGCATTCGAATACATCAAGAGGAGATACAGACAACGTATAGCTTCTTACTGAATTAGTACGACGAAAATGAAGAAAGGACATAGACACATAAGAGTTACTTCCTCAAGTGAAAACAATGCTGCAAAAGAAAGATAAGGCAGTCACAGTATTTCACCTGGCTCAGCTATAAGTACACTGAGCACTGATTTCTGTTTTCAGGTAATACTGAACACGAATCTAACAAAAACCACAAGGGGACCATCAGGAGGACAGAGAAGAATAAATCGGAGTGACAGAAAGGCTGAGTGTGTGCAGTGGAAGTAAGGGGGTGAAAGACAGCTAAATCTTCATCTTTGATGGTAGAAAGTCAATAGTGAATCTGAAAAATAAGAGGCTGTATATGAACAAAATATCTGGAAATACAGAGACAAATAATTTTTTAAGATAAGCTAAAAGAGTTGAAATTGGTTCCCCTGAAAAGGGTGAAATGGAGGTAGGCAGTAGAAATTTTTGGCTTTTTTTTTTTTTTTTTTTTTTGAGACGGAGTCTTGCTCTGTCCCCCAGGCTGGAGTGCAGTGGCGCAATCTCGGCTCACTGCAAGCTCCGCCTCTCGGATTCTCGCCATTCTCCTGCCTCAGCCTCCCAAGTAACTGGGACTACAGGTGCCCACCACCACGCCCGACTAATTTTTTTGTATTTTTAGTAGAGACGGGGTTTCACCGTGTTAGCCAGGATGGTCTCGATCTCCTGACATTGTGATCCGCCCGCCTCGGCCTCCCAAAGTGCTGGGATTACAGGTGTGAGCCATCACGCCCGGCCAATATTTGGCTTTTTAAAACTATGTGTATGTTTAACTTTGATTAAAATTATTTAAAACAGAGCATGACAGATGAGGAAATAAAGACAACAAGAACAGATGGGAGTAGTTTTGCTGCACAAAGAACCAAAGTAATGGGGCAATAGTTGGAAAGGAATGGAGGCTTCAAGACACAGAGGCAACATCATTTCCCATCTGCTGTATTAAACATACCTGGAACCAATTGTTTTTAGTTTTCTATCTGGCTCACATTATACTTACTGTATTTTGCCAGGTTATTGGCAACTCATCAAAAATAACTTTTATAGGTACACAACAGCCCATCTAACAGCTTTATTATAATTAATATAAACTGTTAAACGTGGATTTCCAACTAGCCTGTCTACAGCAAAAGCAAGAGATAGTACATCTCTTAATTTCAAGTAGTCTGTAATTCAGTTTGTAAGAAAACACAAAAGATATAAGTAATTCAGTAGCAACATTATTCTCATAGCCACAAACTGAAAACAACCCAAAAGTCCATCTACTGTGACTGGATAAACAAGATGTAATACAGCTGACTTTTGAATAATAGGTTTGAACTGCACAGGTCCAGTTACACACAAATTTTTTTCAACACATATACTGGAAGATATTTTGGAGATGTGAAAAAACCCAGAGAGGAGCTAAGTATCGTAGAAATGTCAAAAAAATTAAGAAAAAGCTACGTCATGAATGCATAAACTGTATGTAGGTACTAGTCTATCTTATTTACTACCGTAAAATATACACAAATCTATTATAAAAAGTTAAAATTAAAACTTACGCACACAAACACAAGCCATATATGATGCCATTTGTAGTCAAGAGAAATGGAAACAAATGCAAAGATGCAGTATTAAATCATAACTCCATAAAATTAACTGTAGTGCATACTGTACGACAACTTCACAGCCACCACCTATTGCTCTTGTGGTGAGCTCAGGTGTTGCAAGTATCCACTTAGAATGCCATGTGATGCTGATCACATGTGATGCTGATTATCTCCCATAAGCAGTTTTGACTCTCCAATAAACTGTCTATCACAGTAGAAAGTGATTTCTCGCAGTTCTTGCCTATTTTTAATCTTAGTGCAATATTGTAAGCTTTGGGACCATAGGACCCACCCAACGTGGGTCCCACATAAAGTGCCACTAGTGATGTTGGGAGTGCTCCAAAGCAGCACAGAAAAGTCATGACAGTACAAGAAAAAGCTGAACTGGCCAGGCGCAGTGGCTCACACCTGTAATCCCAGCACTTTGGGAGCCCGAGGCGGGTGGACTGCGAGGTCACGAGATTGAGACCATCCTGCCTAACACGGTGAAACCCCATCTCTACTAAAAATACAAAAAAATTAGCTGGGCATGGTGGCAAATGCCTATAGTTGCAGCTACTCAGGAGGCTGAGGCAGGAGAATCCATTGAACCCGGGAGGTGGAGGTTGCAGTGAGCCGAGATTGCACCACTGCACTTCAGCCTTGGCGATAGAGGGAGACTCCATCTCAAAAAAAAAAAAAAAAAAAAAAAAAGAAAAAAGCTGAATTGCTTGATAGGTACTGTTGACTGAGGCCTGCAGTTGCAGTTGCCCACCACTTCAAGATAAATGACTATACCATAGGACCATTGTAAAAAAAAGAAAAGGAAATTCATGAAGCTGTCACTGCAGCTATAACAGCAGATATGAATACACCTGCAGTTTTGCCAAATACCCCTTTATCTTATAAAATAAAAATAAAGCCCCTAGGCGCCCAGGCAAGACAGAACAGACTGTGGCAATAAGATATCAAATTGTAAACAAGACCTAAGACCACCTGGGCAAGGGTTAAGTCATACACCCTACACTTAAAGAGTAAATGACATTCTAATTGCCACAGGATATTTTTTTTTCTCTAGCAGCTTAACAAGCACTGGCCTTGTGATAAACAATATTAAAACAATTACAGCTCACCAACAGCTAGATACAGATTGACCCCAGCTTCCCTCTTCCCACACTCTGTTCCACAAACAGTAACTACAGCTTTGATTGGACAAGAGACTGATCCCAGTAACATCTCCTGATAAGAGATCACTGACCATGGACTGGTACTACCAGCTTCCAGAGGCAGTGCATTCAGTTGTCATGTCCCTGTCCCTATTTCATCTTGTAACATACAGGATCTAATTGTCAGGTATTTTAAATGTTAAGTCTCCACCCCAAAGCGACCAGGGGTTGTACATTTACTCGGTATACAAGCATTAGGACCCCTCTTATATTCAGAGCTCCTCCTATAACCTGTTAAATAAGTATACTTGGCCAACGCATTCAGCATAAATTCCTGTCTCATCCTTTCCTCCTTCAGAGTGCCTGCTTTTGGTCTCTGCTGAAGGCTATACTTTCCAGCCTGTCAGAATGGCCACCCTGCAGACTGCAACCCTTTCTAAGAAATAAAGTTTCCTCTCCAAATTTATAGATCTTGTGATTCTTTTCTTGACAATCTCAAATTGGAAATGCAGCTTTTATGTGGGTGCAGGATTGTTCTAAGAAAGACACATCTATAGAGTCTAATATGATGGAGAAAAAAATTAAGTCATTATATGACAACTTACAGCAAAAGGAAAATGAAGGATCTAAAGCTGGAGAACTTAACGCCAGCAAAGGATGCTTCGATAATGTTAGAAAGAGGTGGCTTTAAAAATGTCAGGGTAACAGGAGAAGCAGCTTCTGCTCACCAAAGGGCAGCAGACAAGTTCCCAGATGCCATTAAGAAAATCACTGAGGAGAAATAATATCTGCCTGAACAGGTTTTTTGTGCAGATGAAAAACGTCCTGTTCTGGAAAAAAATGTCACAAAGGGCAATTATTAGTAAAGAAGAGAAGCAAACACCAGGATTTAATGCAGGAAAGGATAGGCTATCTTTACTGTTTTGTGCAAATGCAGTCAGGTTTATGATCAGGACTGCCGTTATCTATAAAGCTGCTAACCCCGATCCTTGAAGGGAAAAGGTAAACACCAGTGGCCTGTCTTCTGGATGTACAAGAAGGCTTGCACAAGGAGAGCTCTTTTTCTGGATTGATTCCATTGATGCTTTTTCCCTGAAGTCAGGAAGTATCTTGCCAGTAAGGAATGCCTTTTAAAGCTCTTTTGATGTTGAGCAATGTCCCAGCCACCCAAGAACCCCATGAGTTCAATACCGAAAGGCAACAAAGTGGTCTCCTTGCACCCACTCTCTAATTCAGCCTCCAGAACAGGTAGTCATAAAGACCTTTAAGGTTCATTACACACACTACTCTATGGAAAATAGTGTCAATGCTATGGAAGAGAACTCGATGGAAAGAACATCATAAAAGTCTGGAAGGACCATGCCATTGAAGACACTGTCATTATTATGGAAAAAGCTGTGAAAGCCTCATGCCTGCAGCTATAAATTCCTGCTGGAGAAAACCATGTCCAGAGGTTTTGCATGACAGTACAGGATTTACGACAGAGCCAAACAAGAAATCATGAAAGAGACTGTGGATATGGCCAAAAGTGAGGGGTGAAGGGTTTCAAGATATGGATCACGGAGAAATCAAGAGCTAACAGACACTATGCCAGAGGAATTAACAGAAGACGACTTGATGGAGGTGAGTGCTTCTGAAGCAGTGCCGGGTGATGAGGAAGATGATGTAGAAGCAGCAGTGTCAGAAAACAAGGTGACATTAGACAATTTGGCAGAAGGTTTCTGATTATTCAAGATGCTTTTGACGTCTTTTATGACATAGACCCTTTTATGACGTGGGCACTGAAACTAAAAACTGTGGAAGAGGATTGGTACCCTACAGAAACATTTTTAGAGAAGTGAAAGGGCAAAAAAGTCAGAAATTACAATGTATTTCTGTAAAGTTCCAGAGTATGCTTGCCTCTCCTGCCTCGCCTTCCACATCTTCCTCCTCTGCCACCCATGAGACAGCAAGATTAACCCCTCTTCCTCGTCTTCCTTAGCTTATTCACCATGAAGACCTTTATGATAACCCACTTCCACTTAATGAAGAGTAGATAGATTTTCTCTTCCTTATAATTTTCTTAATAACATTTTTTCTCTAGCTTACTTTATGAAAGAGTACAGTATATAATACATATAACATACAAAATATGTGTTTATCAACTGTTTGTTATTGGTATAGCTTCCAGCCAAAAGCAGGAGTAGTTAAGTTTTGGGAGAGTCAAGTCATACATACATGGATTTTCAACCATGTTAGGGGTTCAGCATCCCTAATCCCTGCAATATTCAAGGGTCAACAGTATACCTGTGCAATGAAATAGTACTTGCCAATAAAAAGGAACTACTGATACACCCAACAAAATGGAGAAATCCAAAATAACATGCTAATTAAGAGAAGTCATACACCAAAGCCTACATACTGTGTATTTCCATTTATATGAATTTCTAGAAAATGCAAAATAAGAGTGACAGAAACAAGAGCAATGGTTGTCCCAGAAAAGGGTGGGGGCAGGCAACTGACCATAAAGATGCACGAGGGAACTTTCAGGGTAAGAGAACTGTATGAGTGTCATGGGACTACAATATACATTTGCCAAAAACTCATTGAACGGGATACTTAAAACAATAGAATTTTATTGTATGTAAATTATGCCACAATAAACTTCTAAAACGTTGGTTTAACTAGTAAATTTTAGGTTAACACTTACAAATATACTTATAAATTTACCAGTAATAAACTTAATGACAGACTATATAATTTCATTGGCAAATCAGTTAGTTTTAGATTTCTAAATTCTTTTTTTTTTTGAGACAGAGTCTCACTGTCGCCCAGGCTGGTTTCGAATTCCTAACCTCAGGTGATCCACCCGCCTTAGCCTCCCAAAGTGCTGAAATTACAGGTGTGAGGCACCATGCCCAGCCGTTTTTTTTTTTTTTTTTTTTGAGATGGAGTCTCACTCTGTCGCCCAGGCTGGAATGCAGTGGTGCAATCTTGACTCACTGCAGTCTCCGCCTCCCAGGTTCAAGCAATTCTCCTGCCTCAGTCTCCCAAGTAACTGGGATAACAGGCATGTGCCACCACACCCAGCTAGTTTTTTTTTTTTTGTTGTTTTTTTTTTTTTTTTGAGACGGAGTCTCGCTCTGTCGCCCAGGCTGGAGTGCAGTGGCGGGATCTCGGCTCACTGCAAGCTCCGCCTCCCGGGTTCACGCCATTCTCCTGCCTCAGCCTCCCAAGTAGCTGGGACTACAGGCGCCCGCCACTACGCCCGGCTAATTTTTTGTATTTTTAGTAGAGACAGGGTTTCACCGTTTTAGCCGGGATGGTCTCGATCTCCTGACCTCGTGATCCGCCCGCCTCGGCCTCCCAAAGTGCTGGGATTACAGGTGTGAGCCACCGTGCCGGGCCATGGATTTCTAAATTCATGAAAGCTTTCAGGGCTACTCAGCCAGTCCATGACTTGATGATTTAACCGAAGATTTTTTTTTGACTTTATAATTGCGCCAAAGTGGTACACACTCGGAATGCTCTTCAGTTTTCAAAGAGAAGTATCCTATGATATCAAATGAAGTATCAAATGAACTTCTGACTTATGAGATCATTAATTTACAACAGGTTTATCTGGACGTAACCCCACCATACGGTGAGGAGCATCTGTATATGGATTTTAAATTAATTAATTTTTTATTTTTTGGATACAAGGTTTCACTCTGTCACCCAGGCTAGAGTGCAGTGGTGCCATCATGGTTCACTGTGGTCTTGACATCCTTGGTTCAAGCAATCCTCCCACCTGAGCCTCCTGAGCAGCTAGGGCTACAGGTGTGCACAATCACACCTAATTTTTATATTTTTTGTAGAGATGGAGATCCCTATGTTGCCCAGGCTGGTCTTGAACTTCAGGGCTCAAGCATTCCTTCCTCCCACCTTGGCCTCCCAAAGTGCTGGGATTATGGGCATGATCCACTGCGCCCAGACTATATGTGGTATTTTTATTTTTATTTTGTTAGAGTCTCACTCTGTCGCCCAGGGTTGAGTACAGTGGCACGATCGTGGTTCCCTGCAGCTTCAACCTTCTGGGCTCAGGTGATCCTCCCACTTCGGCCTCCCAAGTAGCTGGGACTACAGGTGTGGGCCGCCACACCCGGCTAATTTTTGTATTTTTTTGTAGAGAAGGGGTTTCACTATGTTGCCCAGGCTAGTCTCAGACTCCTGAGATCACGCCATCCACCTGCCTCAGCCTTCCAAAGTGCTGGGATTACAGATGTGAGCCACCATGCTTGGCCATATTTTTAAATGTGGTGTGCATTTGCACATTTCCAGTTCAAAATAGCTTCTCCCAAGGCTCCATATTTCTGACTCTAGGCTCAATCCATAAAAGATCAAACAATATAATTATATGCCTGGCTTCAGGTAAAGAGGGCCACCAACACAGTAGTATAGTTATCCTTAAAGTGTAAAGAATGTACAAAATTTAGGTTCTATATAATGAAGAGTCCTTCAGTATGGAGCAAAATTGAGATATTAAATGAAATTATTTCAGAATTTAGTCATAGGCAGAACCCTCCTCCTCTCAGTCAACTGTTCAGTTTCCCAACTTCATGGCATTATATAATCTCTGAGCCATCTGCCAGTAAGATCCCCAGCCTGGGCAGCTTCAACCTCAGACAGGGGTAATCCCAGCTTCACTTCTGGCACCTTTATTTTAAGCCCCTCTCATCTTGTTTATGTTCACATATAACTGCTCTCTAGTTTTGCCTAATGTACGATATTCCCCTCCTTTTATAAAAGGCCTTAACATATATATGTATATACATAAAGTAGATATATACTTCTAAAGACTCACAAGGGCATCTGAAATAGTGATTGCTTGTTCTCCCCTAGTGATTTAATAGATTCCCTTGAGTAAGTATGTATGTATGTATGTATGTATGTATGTATGTATGTATGTATTTATTTATTTGAGACAGAGTCTCACTCTGTCGCCCAGGCTGGAGTGCAGTGGCATGATCTCGGCTCACTGCAACCTCCTCCTCCTAGGTTCAAGTGATTCTCCTGCCTCAGCCTCCCGAGTAGGTGGGACTAAAGGCGTATGCCACATGCCCGGCTAATTTTTGTATTTTTAGTAGAGAGAGGGTTTCACCATGTTGGCCAGACTGGTCTCGAACTCCTGACCTTAGGTGATCCGCCCGCCTCAGCCTCCCAAAGTGCTGGGATTGCAGGCGTGAGCCACTGTGCCCAACCCGAGATATTATTTAAATCTTCACCTGTAATAATTTCTTTTAATAGCATTTCCTCATTGTTAAATGAGAAAAGAATATATAATTTCTTAAATTTTCTCAACTTAAGCCTCTTTCAAAGTTGGTGACCATCTATTCACCCAAAAGTATACAGATGATTCCCAACTTAACACGGTTCGAACTGGGATTTTTCAACTTTACAAGGGTGCAAAGGTGATACACATTCAGAATGCTCTACTTCAAATACACATACAACCATTCTGTTTTTCATTTTTAGTACAGTATTCAATATTCAACACTCTGTCATAAAGTAGAATTTGTGTCGGATGACTTTGCCCAACTGCAGGCTAATGTGTGTTCTGACCATGTTTATGATAGGCTATGCTAAGCTATAATGTTCCATAAGTCAGGCATATTAAATGCATTTTAGACTTATGATATTTTCAATTTATGATGGATTTATGAGGAGCATCTGCACTGACAAAGATTTAGCAGCAACATTATGCATAAAATACAACTGTTATGACTTTCTTAAAACAAAAGATCAAATATAAATTATGACAATAATTTTCTCAAGATCAGATACTTACACATCAGCCAAAACTATCCTTGTCCGTGTCACATTCTCTATGGTGAATTTGGTTTTTCCTCCTTTGCCAGCGATTCTTCCTATTGCCCTGGATAGATGGTCTCCCTTTAGGGGTTTAACTAAACAAGAAAAGCAAGATCTCAGGAGGCAAGCCATTCTAGTGTACCACCCATTCCACATAAAGTTTAATCATAAACTAAATTTCTCTAAAGGACACAAAGTGTATATATATATATATAAGTTGCTAAAAATACAGCTCAATTGATGCTATTAGAAAACTGAGAGTCACATCACAATACAAAGTCAGCGACACAAGAGCGCAGACCAACACACACTCACCATCTGTAATTTCAAAAGACTCTAGGAAGAGGTCATCCAACCTGATGAGGGCAAGTGCATCCTATAATATAAAAACAAACACCGTGAAGCCCCTTCCATTTGCACACCTGAAAAAGAGTAAAGTGCAAAGCACTATGGAACTAAAATCCACAAACTCTAGAGCTAGAAAGCTTTTTTTTTTCCCTTGGAGACAGAGTCTTACGCTGTCGCCCAGGCTGGAGTGCAGTGGCGTGATCTTGGCTCACTGCAATCTCTGCTTCCCTGGTTCAAGTGATTCTCCCACCTCAGCCTCCCAAGTAGCTGGGACTGCAGGCATGCACTACCACACCCAGCTAATTTTTTTGTATTTTTAGTAGAGATGGAGAGTATCGCCATGTTGGCCAGGATTATTTTGAACTCCTGGCCTCAAGTGATCCACCTGCCTCAGCCTCCCAGAGTGCTGAGATTACAGGTGTGAGCCACTGTGCCTGGCCTTTTTTTTTTTTAATGCCTAATCCATTGAAATGTTCACATTGAATATTTTTAAAGTCCCCATTTTAGATATCATGGAATTACTCACCTCCACCTGAAAGCCGAGAATAAAAGCTTTCACAAAATCAGCTGCTTTTGTCAGAGCACTAACATCCTTGGTTTCTTTACAAGTCTGTTAAAAAACAAAAAAGGGTACAAAATACCGTTGAGAATCAAACAGAAAATGTCCTAACAAAATACTGGAAATGTCCTTTCCCATTATTGGAGAATTTCCTTCACCACCACCTTTCCCTAATATATTCTGTATGACACAGGTTCTGGTCAGATAAGTGCTGTACTTTATTTGCAAAACAAAACGTTCCCAGCTCCAAAGCTTGGCTGTTCCACCCAAAGAGTGTCAAATAACTAACCGCACTATATGATCAGATTTTGGGGTTAACAGCAAGACTCCTCTGGCACAACCCAATCTCTCCCATTCTGAAGAACCTCTACCTTCTGTCCATCCCTTCAATGCCCAATGTCCTCTTCTCTTCTCTCTCAAGGCAGTCTTCCCTGGGATTCCTGACTTAATCTTCTTAGTTATCATTTATATGCTGATGTTTCTTAAACCAACAGCTCCAGGCCTAACTACCTGCATGCACTGATTGGGGAAATAAAGAATGAATGAAGCACTGAACCTGTCCTCAAAGTTTATTTGAGAAATGCAGAAATAACTGTTATTCATAAAAAGCCTACCACTGTAAATAACACGTACTATAAATAACATGCTTTACACACCATAACTCTAACCTTCACAACAACTTTGAATGTTAAGTGATATGACTACCTTCGTATGTGAGGAAACTAAAGTACTAAAAAGCAAAAAAGGTAAGATTTAAACACAGGTCTGATTTCAAAACTGTTATTTCCACTGTCCCATGCACATTCACAGTCTAGTTGAAGAGACCACGTATTCAACAAATGTAAAACCATATGGGCTTGTGCAATGGGAGAGTCCCCAGAGCTTTCCCATTTAAAACTAGACCCTAGTTCCAATCCTATATGTGACCTTAGACAAGTCCCATAGATACTTTAGGTCTTGAGTTTTCTCATCAGTAAAATGAGGAGGTCAGAGTAGAAGATCCTGAGTGTTCCCTACTAGTATAATAGAAAATTTCCCTTATTAGACTGATGACTGTGGCCAAGTTTCCTCACATCTTTAAGATGGGAATATCCTGAAGACTAAATGATGTAGAGCATGGTGTAATACCACTGTGTGTCTGGTATATGGCAGCATCAACAAATGTTAGTGGAATCCAAAGTGATTATCCTGCAATAAATAGGACAATAAAGCACATGAAAAGTTTAGGCACTGAAGATATGACTGAAAAATGGACATACCATAACAGAGAAAGAACTTGAGCTAGACCCGGAAAGATACTGGAACTGAAGTATAAAGAGAAAGGAGTAGGGAGGAGCGGACCTCTTTCAAAGGCCAAAGCCACCAAAAAGTATGGACATAAACAAACTTTATGATCCGTGAGAGACAAACTTGTGACTGAGTCTCCTACTTGAAAAGCAAGTTAAGTCCAAAACTTTTTCCTTTAGAAATGTTGAAGATGCTCACGCCTGTAATCCCAGCACTTTGGGAGGCAGAGGCGGGTAGATCATGAGGTCAGGAGATCAAGACCATCCTGGCTAACACGGTGAAACCCTGTCTCTACTAAAAAATACAAAAAATTAGCCGGGCGTGGTGGTGGGTGCCTGTAGTCCCAGCTACTCAGGAGGCTGAGGCAGGAGAATGGCATGAATCCAGGAGGCGGAGCTTGCAGTGAGCCGAGATTGCGACACTGCACTCCAGCCTGGGCAACGGAGCAAGACTCTATCTCAAAAAAAAAAAAAAAAAAAAAATTTTTTTTTGTTTTTTGAAGATGCCAGGATGTCATAAAAGCATTGTGATCTGGGAAACTTAATCTGGCACTGGCAGATGGATGAGTGGAGAAAGGAGAGACGTCAAACAATGAAGCAAGGGAAACCTACAACGAAACCACTCCTTGGCAGGAAACCATAAAAGCCTGAATGAGAGAATGGCAACAGGGACAAAGAGGAGTTACTCTATCATGTTCTATGATATTTTACACTTTATCAACTATTTAGAATAGTGCCTTTCTTTGTTCCATTATTATATTCCATTAACAGAGATGAGACTATACCAGTCCGGATGATGGTAAAAGAATCCTTAAAAAGGAAAATATAATTAATTTCGGTTATCGATTCTGGTATGAAATTGGCACCCAGAAAAGAAAGCCCAAAGTAAATTTAAATGTCTAATTCCCGGATTGATAGCACAGAATTTAAAATATATACATAGGCTCGGTGGGGCAGCTCACGCCTGTAATCCCAGCACTTTGGGAGGCCGAGATGTGATCACCTGAGGTCAGGAGTTCGAGACTAGCCTGGCCAACATGCTAAAACCCAGTCTCTACTAAAAATACAAAAATTAGCCAGGTTTGGTGGCAGGCACCTGTTAACAGTGAGCCAAGATCATGCCACTCACTCCAGCCTGGGTGAAAGAGCAAAATAAAAAGATATATATACACACACACACACACACACACACATATATATGCATGTTTCTTATCAAAATAATACATTTTTTAATCAAAAGAGCACCATTAAAACACAGTCATGCACTGCATAATGACATTTTGATCAGTGACCAACCGCTCATACCATGGTGGTCTCATAACAGTATAATGGAGAATATACAGAAACCTGATATATGGCACTGGATACCGGCAATGCAGATCAAGTAGATGAAATGACTGATATTCAGTAATGGTGCTGGGACATTTGGTTTTCCATATGAAAAAAATATATAAACAAATATACACATACCATCTAGGTTTGTGTAAGTACACTCTATAATATTCGCACAAGGACTAAGTCATCTGACAAAACATATCCCAGAACATATTCCCGACGCTGACTGTATATACTTCTTGTAAAGCAGCAAGTGCTTATATTCATTATTTACCTGCTTCTGTTTATGGCAATCTCTTTACTCGACCTTTTCTCAATTTGACATAGAACATTATAAAAGATACACAGAAGAAGAGCCAGTATTTTGGTGTGATCTCAGAACTAATTTACAAATTCAATTAATATTTGTATCGAATGCAGATTTTTAAGGCATTTGGGAAGTTCAAACTCAATATGGTAAATTTTTAAACTGGACAAAAACCATACAACAGAAAAGTCCCATTAAGTAAAGCCTATTCATGCCTTTTCATCTCTGTAGGAGAGAAAGCCTGGTGTATTGGGAAATGATTGAGATTTTCCTTACCCTGATTTCTACATTCCTTGATTTCAAGTTAAAGCGTATCTGAAGTCCCAAATGTTCCACAATAGGAGTAAATATCTTCATCCAGTTTTCTTTCAATGGTGTGTATCTGTTAGCTGGGACTGGAATTTTCCTTGTTTCTTCTTTCCCACTCTGTAAATAAAAGAACACACAACTCAGAAGGCTATGGAGGGACGGTGATGGAGTTTAAAATGACATCTGATCCACAAAGGGCCTCCTTTAACTGAACTAGTTACACTTCAAAGAATCACTTCTCTCTGAGCATCACGGCAGAACAGCCCCACCGCAGCTTCAACATTCTCCAGAGGCCATCGGCTTGATCCGCGTCTGGCCCTTGCCTCGTTGCTGTCCTAGGGTCCCAGCCACATACCAGGAGCCCGTCCCCACAGAGGGGTGGGAAGACGGGCCTCTTCGCCGGCCTGGCCTCCTCTGTGTCCATGCGGCCCGCATCCCCGCCCTCTCCTGCTGCGGACAGCTGTTCAGCCTGTCGTTTCTTCGCCCGTCGGCCACCCTTGCGGGTGACCTGGGTAAAGCCCTCCTCTGCCCTGGCGCTCTGCGTTTCCATTTCGGATTCCATCCCCGGAAATCTTAAAGCGCTGCCGGCTGAAACACGTGCGCAGCTGCACCACGCAGAAGCCAGCCTCAGCCAACCACCCCTGCAGCTCCGCCCCTTTCCTAAAACGTCACAGGCCGGGGACCTGCAGGATTTGGGGCCGGTGGGGGGGAAAACGGGGTTAGGCTGTCCTAAGATATGCCTGATGGTCTTGGGCTCACTCCAGCCGCGCAACTCCCAGCCCAAGTATTTTGTAATCTCTAGTATGTATGTGTGCGAAAGGCAGTGGGTAAAGGCGATAAACAAATTCGTGCTGTTGTGAAGGAACATTCTGTGCGATCGCAGGAGCGCATCTGGCATTATCCGGGGATAACTACAGCCAACATGCCAGGGCATCTGGGGCAGAATACGGAAAGCGGGAGGGACAAATTGCCAATGTTTGGAGTCTGGTTTCCAGGTTGCCGTTTTTGGGGGCTCTGGGTGTGGCGGTTGCCGTAGCTGAAATTGGCTGCACCATGTCGGCCTTCGAGAAGCCTCAGATCATCGCCCATATCCAGAAGGGCTTCAACTACACGGTGTTTGACTGTAAGTGGGTGCCCTGCAGCGCCAAATTTGTGACCATGGGCAACTTCGCACGGGGCACCGGCGTCATTCAGCTGTACGAGATCCAGCACGGGGACCTGAAGCTGCTTCGGGAGGTGGGTGCCGGGTCGAGGATCCGGACTGCCGTTGGGGGCGAGTGCGGATCCTGGGGTCTGCATTCCTCTTTGCCAGAGCCTTCGCCCAGCGTCCCCCAAAGCATGGCTTGAGCCGCGCGAGACCAGAGAAGCTGACCGCCGACTGAGGAATGTTTCCTATTTAAAACCTTTCTTCTCATCCGCGGGGTAGTTCCTCCGCGCCCAACCGTCCTGCCACCCCCAGTGCAGTCCAGCCAAAGCGGGCACCAGGATGCCTGCAGTGTGGTTGGAAGAGGCAACCTAACACATTCGACAGGCATCAGCTGAGTGCCTGGTATTCCCAGGGATGTGAATGGTAATGTCCCCCATCTCATGGAGTTTATTTTCTAGTGGGAGAGATACTCAGTTCAATAATCAAAGCAACGATACATAAATACAAACCGAGATGAGTTGTCTCACACAAAGGAACACGGTTACGGTTCAATGAGAGTGAAAACAGATTTGGGATGAATGAAAACAGATTTTGGTATGTGCAGAAGCTAACTAGGTCAAACTAGGAGTAAAGGACAAGGTTTCCAGGGCTTCTGCACATGCAGAAGCTCAGTGATGGGAAGAAGTTTATCTCCTTAAGAAACTAGAGGGATAAGCAGGAACCAGACATTGCAAGATCTGTAGGACATTCAAAGGATTTATGCCTTTTTTCTAAGAAAAAACGGACACAACTGAAAGGATTTAAGCAGGGTGTGGAAAGATTAGGTTTGCAAGGTTTTTTTGAAGATTACTAGTGAAAGAATTAGAGAATAATGATAGTAACTAGCATTTTATAGCTGTTTATAGTTTTTAAAAAGTGTTGATTTTGTTACCTGAAAAAATGATCAGTCATTATCAGATCAGGGTTGTAATAGACTACAAGTGCAGGGTAGGTTAACTCTGGGGATCAAAACCTATGGAGAGAATCTGCTTGGAGGAGGTAGGGATTAAACTGGTAGATAAAGGATGAATACAATTTGGACTGTTAAGCCTAGAATAGAAAGTATGTAAGACCCCATCCCGCTTTAAGTTTCCCTGAATGACAAACATGAAACATGGCTTATTTTTTTCTACCTTTCCTTCGTTCCTTGTATTGTTCATCACTTAGCTTCTGGTAACCAGTGGCTTTTTTTTTTTTTTTTTTTTTTTTGAGACAGGGTCTCAATCTGTCACCCAGCCCGGAGTGCTGTGGTGCAAACACAGCTCACTGCAACCTCCGCCTCCCCACCTCAGCCTCCCAAGTAGCTGGGACTACAGGTGTGTGCCACCACACCTAACTAATTTTTTTGTACTTTTTATTTTTTTATTTTTTATTTTGGTAGAGATGGGGTTTCACCGTGTTGCCTAGGCTGGTCTCCAACTCCTGGGCTCAAGCAGTCTGCCTACATCGGCCTCCCGTAATACTGGGATTACAGGCGTGAGCCACCAAGCCTGGCTACCTGTTGCTATTCCAATGTTCAGTTCAGATTATCTAATGTATGATGCCCTTCCTGATTTCTACACAAAGTAAAATTTCTTTACATTGCATTTTGGGTTGTTTTTGTTTTTTGTTGTTGTTGTTTAGGGATGGCGTAGCTCTGTCCCAGTCCGGAGTGCAGTGCTACTGTCATAGCTCATCGCAGCCTGGAACTCCTGGGCTCAAACCATCCTCCCGCCTCTCCCTCCCAAAGTGCTGGATCAGGTGTGAGCCACCATTAAAAAGAAAAGGTATTTAAAGGATTTATTCCTTTTTCTTTTCTTTCTTTCTTTTTTTTTTTTGAGACGGAGTCTGGCTCTGTCACCCAAGCTTGAGTGCAGTGGCGTGATCTTGGCTAACTGCAACCTCTGCCTCCCAGGTTCAAGCGATTCTCCTGCCTCAGCCTCCCTAGTAGCTGGAATTACAGGCACATGCTACCACGCCCAACTAATTTTTTTGTATTTTTAGTAGAGATGGGGTTTCACCATGTTGGTCAGGCAGGTCTCAAACTCCTGACCTTAGGTGATCCACCCGCCTTGGGCTCCCAAAGTGCTGGGATTACAGACATGAGCCATTGCACCTGGCCATTTATTCCTTTTTCGAAGAAAAATGGGACATGATTGAAATTTTTTTTTTTTTTTTGAAACAGGGTCTCACTCTTGCCTACGATGGAGTGCAGTGGCAGGATCAGGGCTTAGACCTGTGACTTTTTAAAATAAGAACAGGCCTGGTGCAGTGGCTAACGCCTGCAATTCCAACACTTTGGGAGGCAGTGGGGTGGATTGCTTGAGCCCAGGAGTTCAAGACCAGCCTAGGCAACATGGGGAAACCCCGTCTCTACTTTTTGTATAAAAAAAATACAAAAATTAGCTGGGCATAGTGATGCGAGCCTGTAGTCCCAGCTACTTGGGAGGCTGTGGTGGGAGGATCTCTTGAGCCCAGGAGGTCAAGGATGCTGTGTTCGCACCACTGCACTCCATCCTGGGTGACAGAGAGACCCTGTCTCAAAAAATAATAAAATGAAAATATATGATTTGTATGTATTTCAAAAGTACACTTACTCCATCAAGTGGAATAGAGTAGTTTGTCTTTTGTAGCGACTCTGGGGAATTTCAGCAAATTTTAAAAAGATAATTTTCTTTTGTAGCAAAAATAATATGTGTCCACGATAGAACATTTAGAAAATAGGAAAACGAAGAAAATATCACCCATAATCTCAATGCCAGGAATAACCACTAAGTGTATTTTCACGCCGGGTGTGGTGGCTCACGCCTGTAATCCCAGCACTTTGGGAGGCCGAGGCGGGTGGATCATGAGGTCAGGAGATCGAGATCATCCTGGCTAACACGGTGAAACCCCGTCTCTACTAAAAATACAAAAAATCAGCCGGGCGTGGTGGCGGGCGCCTGTAGTCCCAGCTACTCAGGAGGCTGAGGCAGGAGAATGGCTTCAACCTGGGAGGCAGAGCTTGCAGTGAGCCGAGATCGCGCCACTGCACTCCAGCGTGGGTGACAGAGCAAGACTCCGTCTCAAAAAATAAAAAAAGAAAAAAGAAGTATATTTTCACCTGAATCCTTTGGATATTCTTTTTTTCTACCATGAGTTGTCTGAGAACACACTATTTCAAGGTACTGTGTTTAACAAGGACCGAAGAGATTTAAAAGTTGAGTCCTTTCTCCTAAAGAGCCTACTGTCCAAAAAGAGGGTAAAACTAATACAAAAATACCTTTAAGAACTTACACTGGGCTGGGCGCGGTGCTCACACCTGTAATCCCTGCACTTTGAGAGGCCGAGGCGGGGGGATCACAAGGTCAGGAGAGCAAGACCATCCTGGCCAACATGGTGAAACCCCATCTCTACTAAAAAATACAAAAATTAGCTGGGCGTGGTCAGGTGCGTGCCTGTAAACCCAGCTACTCAGGAGGCTGAGGCACGAGAATCACTTGAACCCGGGAGGCAGAAGTTGCAGTGAGCCGAGATCGCGCCATTGCACTCCAGCCTGAAGACAGAGGAAGACTCTGTCTCCAAAAAAAAAAAAAAAAAAAAAAAACTTCATTGTGTTTGGCTGTTCTGGTGCAATGGAAAAAAATTTTTAAATATAGGTTAAATACTGGTCCAGTAACTCCCACTCCTTACTGTGCATCAGGATCATTTGAGTGCATTTTGTGGCTTGTGTGTGTGTGTTTTAAAACATTTGTGCCTTGGTCCCACCCCTAGAAATTCTGACACAGTAGTACAACTTTGTTGCATCTGGAGTAAGGTTTAGAAATCAGAGTATTTTTAAACTTCCGCAAGGTGATTTTAATGAGTCTCAGAGCTGAGAACCATTGAGCTAGATGGGTCATTTATTAAAATATTAGGAAACAGACTTGATGTATCATCGTAGATCTACCCTTAAGTCATGTGCTCCAAAACTCATGCATCGTTCTTTTTTTTTTTTTTTTTTTTTTAATTTATCACTGACTTGGAGCTCACAAAGCCCGTGCATCTAAGAAGAAAAGATGTAAAGGAAGCATATCAGCATATCAGTCTTTGTTGAAGTCTTCTTTATCTTAGTTCTAAAAGGATAGATAGGGAATGGAGGGCAGGGCCTCCGTGTTCAGTTGAGCAGTTTTTTGCACCACACAAAGGTGTCTGGCTGAGTGCTCAAGTGGGAGCTAAAAGCTCTTTTTCCTTCATCAAGCCTTACATGTGTGAGACTTCATCAGCCTATAAAAGGCAACTTTTTTCTCATTGGCACAAAGATACCATATGGACTAGGGATGGCCCTGAAAAATGGAAACACAGTTGTAGATGTTTATATTAAAAAAAATAGCAATAAGCTAATAAAATTCTGCTTTTTTAGCCCCTGTGCTACCGAATTTACTGCTTGTTAGCATTTGGTTGGCTAGATCTTTTAATGTTAATTAAGTATTGCCAGGATGTGGAGGAGGAAATACTGACAAGCTGTACTAGACCCACCCACATGCAGAACAAAAATAGCTCACACAGGAATTACTGATCTTGAGCTTCTTTAATCATTTTAACTTCTTATAGCAAGAAAGTGAACAGTTAGGTCAATTATGACCATCATTGATGGCCATTTTCAGTATCACATAGCAAAAATTGTTAGTATATATTGATTTTCTTTGTTGAACAATTTTTGCAAGATAGAGCTGCTTTTTTTTTTGCCAGCTAGTTTTCCAGCAAGAAAAATTTTGATTTACCACCAACTTCTTTTCATCTTTTCTTTTCTGTAGATAAACTATCTAATGGGGCAGAGAGGGAACCCGTTTGTGAACTATGAAAAATTAGCTTCACTAGTGTCCTCTTAATTTAGCTATTATTATTATTTCCATGAATGTCTGAGGAAAGAGGAAACATGGCCACTTTTGTAAGTCAGTTTGCCAACAGAGCTCGGCCCTTCTGAGCAAAGTGCAGTCCTCAGTGCACACAAATGATAAGTTTTAATACGTTTAATATGTTCATAATACGTTTAATACGTTGAAGATATACAGTTTGAGTTTAATTTGGTTCTTGCACAGCAGACCACTAATGACCATAAATATCTTTGTGTTTCTTTAAGAAAAGGACAAAGAACATGAGGGAAGCATAATATCATATATTTATATCTTGTAAAGACATGAATGAAGGTAAAAACCAAAGGGCAGAGATCTGAAAGTAGGTTTAATTCATGCCGTTGTGCCATTTACCTCAGCAATCAAGATCGGAACATTTCTTTGATACTTCCAATAACGCTCAGGTTTACAGAATGAGGACTCCAATAATAAAATGTTTATTTAATTGATTTACATATAAGCCTGGAGGCAGCCTAGTTTAGAGGAAAAAGTCTGGATTGTATCTGGCTCTTGGGACCTTAGGCAAGTCACTCAGTCCTCTGAACCTGTTTCGTCATCTTGAAAGTGGTGTTCTGAACACTTAGTTTGCAGTGTTGTATATATTAGAAAAGGGATGGTCTAGACTGGAAGAATATCTAAAATGTATCTGAAATGTAGGTGTTCAATAGATGGTTGCTATTTTCATGATTGCATGTCAATGACACCAGAAACTGAACAGTTTGTCAGAACCCTGGCACATGAAAGTATGGTAGGAGAAAAGAGAGAGCAAAGAAAGTGAACTCCAGCCCTGGTTTGTCTGTCCCTAGTGTTAGGGCTGAGAGATTCATGGATGGTCATTTATACCTTCATTCAACAAATGTTGAATGCCTGCTATGCGTTAAAAAAATTAGGCAAGGCCCTGCTCTCATGGTGCTCACATTCTAGAAAGGGGGACATAATTGCATGAATAAAATAATTTTGTTGATAAGTATAATGGATGATTAAACAGGGTGAGTGACAGTAATTTAGGGGTTTTTCAGATTGGAGGGACAAGGAAGACCTCTTTGGGAATGTGGCATTTGAACTGAAATCTGAATGAAGAGAAGGATAGAGGCATGGTGACCTGGGGAAAAGTAGTCCAAGCAGTGGGAACAGCAAATTCAAATGGCCCAAGTGGAAGAGACCTTGACAAGTATGAAGAACAAAAAGCAAGCTGTCTGGTGTGGCTGGAATTAGTAGAGAAGGCAGGAAACAGGAAATGAAGTCACACACACAAGACCAGATCCCAAAGGACTTTTTGCATTTTGTATACCATAGGCCTTCATGCCACTCTTGTGAGTCTGTGCTTCTCAATGTAGATACATTTTACTTCTTTCCTTTATATTTGTAATAAAGACATACTTTTAGAAGGGATGCAATGACAACTGTGAAAATGTATAGAGCTTATTGTGTAGACTGGTTGTCAGTTTGGTTTCTTTCCTTTGAAGGTAGCAATTCTCAGACATGTGCAGGTGTCAAAGAATCTGCACATTGCAGTGCTGTTTTTGGAACACCATAAAATATTGGAGTAGTCAGTTCTATCTCTGCACAGGGAAGAGATTTTCAGCAGAAAAATCTGACTATATATAGAGATAGATAAATAGATAGAGATTCCGATTTTTACATCACAAGTAACCACACAGTTTTTAAGTCTTCACTTCCAAGGTTTTATTTTTATTTTTATTTTTTTATTTTATTTTATTTTTTGAGACGGAGTCTCTCTCTGTCGCCCAGGCTGGAGTGCGGTGGTGTGATCTTGGCTCACTGCAGCCTCCGCCCTCTGGGTTCAAGCAGTTCTCCTGCCTCAGCCTCCCCAGTAGCTGGAATTACAGGCATCCACCACCACGCCTGGCTAATTTTTGTATTTTTAGTAGAGAGGGGGTTTCACCATTTTGGCCAGGCTGGTCTTGAACTCCTGACCTCAGGTGATCCGCCTGCCTCAGCCTCCCAAAGTGCTGATATTATAGGCGTGAGCCACTGCACACAGTCCAAGTTTTTTTAACTGGTGTTCATTTGCTAGTATTTTCTACCAGGCAAGCTAAGAAAATTATTTTTAAAAAAACTTTAAAATCTGAAAACAACACATGCATCAGCTTTTGTTCTTGGTGAATTTTCTGATTAATGTATTATGTTAGTAACAGAAGATCAGTGTGTTCCAGGAGTATAGTTTGAGATTCTCTAGTCTAAAGGGTCTAAAAGTGAAAGTTGGGTAAAAGAATAACAGGGAGGAAAGTTTTTGCTTCCAGTTTTTTATTTTTATCCAGCAGTAAAATTTTAGAAGACTGTAGGGAACCAAAGAGTGTAGGTTAGTTTTTACCTCTTCCATGGCCTAGGAATCACAGAAACCCTCATCAGAGGTTTGAGGGGACAGCGGTGGAATTCTGGGAAGCAGAATGCTTTAGCTGGTTGGTGGGAAGAAAATGGGAGACCAGTCTTCCCAGTGCTTCTCTGAGAAAAATGTTCCCAGAGAATTGGGTCAATAGATGATGCAAGTTCTTCACAGCTTCTAATCCCCTGTCTCCTGGAACCACATTGCTGTGCATGAGGACCACCAGCTTCTTACCTCAGAGGGTCTGCTTCCACCCTCTGCCTCAGAACATGGAAGCCATTATCAGTGGCTTAGAGCTGGCAAGACCCAGGTTCAGTGTGAGACCAAGGGGAGGAAAGAGTGGATAGCCGTCTCACCAGTTGGCATAGGTTGGAACTCAGAATTAATTTCACCATAGAAATTGTGCCCTAATAGTGATTAAGTGCTTTACCACTGTTAATATATTATTTCAGGTACTTTTATTTGAGGAGAGGGGAATGGTGAGGAAAACATAAATTGCCTGCAGTTAGAAACCATGTGCTTTGTTGACAAAATTTTGATCCTCTGTGTTGCCCCATTTTCAGATACTCTTTTTCATAAAATTGGGAAAAAATGGGAATAAATGAATATTAATTTTCTGCGGCAGTGAATAACTGATGCCATCTCAGTCCACTTGTGCATTAAAAAGAGAAACATTCTGTGGTTCCATGCTTCTCATCAATAGGGTCTTTTACAAACATGTTACTGTACGTGGCTGATTTCGTTTACTAGACAATTCTGAGGAAGGTATGAGTGCTTTTAGACTTGGCCACGTAGTAACTCCAATTTATCTAGATCACAAACAATAGGAAAGTTCAACAGTCTGGGAGTTTCCAAAGCCCTATACCATATAATGGTAACCTTTGAATCAGAGAAAAAAAGTTGTTATAGTTTGTGTTAAGTGACTTCTATTTTATTCGTGAAAATTGCTATGTATACCTTATATGGATAATATACCCTATATAGAAATGCCTGGATAAACATTGAAAGTGGCAGGGAAATTATTTTTAAAATTATTTGAAACAGGCCAACCTGGGAGGGATGAAGAGAACTGAAGAGTTACAAGGGGAGATGTCCTGGAAACTGGAGAACACTGCAAAAGGAATAAAGTTTATCCAGATGTATTGTTAAGTGAAACACATCAAAGGACAGTGTACCATGATCTGCCTTGTATTGAAACAAAACCATGTGTGTTTGTAAATGCGTAGAAGGCCTAGAAGGGTGGGGATTACTTCTGGAGAGTGTTAAAGGGACTCACTTTTTCCTTCCATCCTTTTGTTTTGTTTGAATTTTTATAGGGAGCAGGTATTACTTTTATAAACATTAAGAATTTAAAAATGTAAAAATTGTTAGAGACCAAGAGGAATAGTTTTGCCCCATTGAGGCTGACAGTCAGTGGGAAGTGTTATATGGCAAGAGTGTGATGTGGGACAGATATCAGTGGCCTCATCTAATTCCAGATTCCGGAGATCTCGGGAGCCAAGGCAGCAGGAAAAGCAGTTAGACTGTAGGAGGGACTTCAGTGACCTGGGCAGGTAGAGTTGGCGGCGGGAGGGGCCATGGAGAAATCAGAAACATCAGGAAGTAAAAGAAGGTGAATAGAAGACCCAGGGAGGCATAGGAGTAGTATAACGAATATGTATATTTTGGAGGAACCAGATAAGAACTGATATTTGAGTTGTTAGCTTTTTGAGGGACTGGCCAATCTCATTCATCTTTGTATCCTCTTTTGCCTACTTCAGTGACTTGCATGTAGTAGAAACCATTAAATGTTGAATGTTGTATGAGTTCGGCAAATCTGTACAGCCCTATGCTTTGGTCTCCTTTTATGACAGGAGGGTATTGTGTTAGATCCTTTCCAAGGACCTTTTTGGCTACATAGTCTTCTTCACCTGATTTCCATAAACCCCATACGTTAAATAATATATTCGTATGTGATTGTTTTACTAATGTGACTATATACAATACTTGGTGCAGTAGCCTTTTAAAGTAAAGAAACCTCAAAAGATTGGCTGATCCATACTAATAGTAGCGCCTTGGTACACACAAGTTTATAAATCTCTCTGCATTGAAAAGGCCCCAGAGAAAGTGGGACATAAACATCTTTAGTTTATAGGGTTCTGCAGGGAAAACTATAAGAGACACATAACATTTTTGTTCCCATAACCATCTGGAAAGATAATATCTTCATTATGTTCTCATTTCTGCTGAGGATCTTAAAGAATATCACATGAAATGCTGAAACTTTCATATTTGCAATAGAGATTGTAGAGCTGTCAGCATTTGAATGTCTCATTAGTGAGAGGAGAGGAAAGGCAAATTAACACTTTTTCTTTTTGACAGTTACATATTTTAAAGAAAAATGAGTAAAGGAAAAAGCAAGATTATTTTCATCAGAAGATGTTTTAATTGCCTTTTATATTGTCTTATTTAAATGCCATAATAGAGCCATAAATATGATATTAATAGATTATAAATATCTGCTTACATAAATAATATATCCTCTCTTCCTCCCTTCTATGAAGATTGAAAAGGCCAAACCTATTAAATGTGGAACATTTGGTGCAACATCTTTACAGCAGAGATATTTAGCTACTGGAGATTTTGGTGGAAACCTTCATATATGGTAAGATGATTTAGTCAGTATTCAGACAGATGAGATAGGCAATTTATTTGATAGTTTCATTACTCTTTCTCTGAAAGAGAGAATTTTAATTTTAAAATCTTTCTATGTTCCATTTTAACTATAAAAATATGAGAATTGTCTCTAATATATATTTCTAGATTTCATATTCAAAATCCATTAAAAAATACTAACCTATTTTTCTTTAGATATTTTGGATAATATTATCAATGCTTATTTTCACACACGCAGTTTGGTGCTAGCATTTAATGCCATGTATTTGTAAATAAAGGTCTGTTCCCCCTCCAACTTTAAAAATACAGTATATAAAAATGCATATGAATAACACTGAAAAAGTAGATATTATTTATATTTCAGCAAGAGATTTAGCACTGCAGAACGTTTGTTTTTTAAAGCTTTAACATCTAAGCACAACTTTTTAGAAACATATCTGTTGAACAAATCAAAATAAACTTTTTTTGAATGGGCAAAATCACAATTCTGCCAAATGCCTTTTTCGTGTTTTACCTAGAGTTGTTTCTTATTTAGAGTGGAATGAATTGAAATTCCTTTTTAATTACTTTGCAGGAAAATCTATTATTTTAATCATTTAAAGTATACAGCAGTGTTCTAAAATATTATGGAGAAAGTTCTAGAGTGTTCTAGAAAACCCGTCTTCCCTGCATCATGTTTTCTAACATGACCTTTCTTGAGTCTCACTTAGAACCTGCTACTGTATAATTACATTACTTATAACATATTTATCTGTCTTAGAATCATAACATTAAACAAAATGGAACTACTTCAATTTCTCCTTGCTTTAACTCCTTAATAATTAAATTAGCATGTATTCATTAGTTCTTAGATGCTTTGTCATATGCTTCGAGAGATACTGTGAGAAAGGCAAGTTTGAATGCTATTTTAAAAAATAAATATATTTCAACACAAGAGTATTCAAAATATTAGATAGTACCATTGACCATCTTTCTAATACAGTTTCCTAGTATAGTACAGATATTACCAATTTACTTTCATTGATAAATCTTATAATTTCATGTTAAAAAATAATGTTTTAAAGTCTATAAAATAGTAAAACAGTCATTTCAAGTAGAACCACAATCTTGTTTAATCTCTTGATTAGTTCATAATGATGATAAATGTCATTTCTAAACTAGGTTGAAATATCTCAAAAAATTTTTTTTGTCTTTGAGATGGAGTCTCGCTCTGTTGCCTAGGCTGGAGTGTAGTGATGCGATCTCGGCTCACTGCAACCTCCACCTCCCGGTTTCAAGTGATTCTCCTGCCTCAGCCTCCCAAGTAGCTAGGATTACAGGTGCCCACCACCACGCCTGGCAATTTTTTGTGTTTTTAGTAGAGATGGGGTTTCGCCATGTTGGCCAGGCTAGTCTCGAACTCCTGACCTCAGGTGATCTACTCACCTTGACCTCCCAAAGTTCTGGGATTACAGGCGTGAGCCACTGCACCTGGCCATAGATTTTTTATTAGTAAGGTTTTACTAATAAATCTTGGCCCAATAATAAATTGGAATTATATTTCATGTATAGTCACATTCATTTAAAAAATCTGTAAGTTATTGAAAACTAAATTATTAAGAGAAATGTAAATAGAAGTTTCCGTAGAAAAGCAAAAGAAGGGGAGAAATGGAGACGGGTAAGAAAAGGAATGTGTGAGGATCACCTAGTCAAGCCATTCATTGCCCAGTAGTGCAGTTGTGGTAATCAGTACTTTCCTGAATGCCTTTCTGTGAATTGACCTATTAGACGAACTTCAGCCTGTCTTGCAGTAATACATATTGTTACCAGTATGATGACACACTGAAAAATATGTCAGTAGAAAATCAGTGTGGACTTCAGTGGGAAAATAGTACATTATAAAGGAAGAAATGTGTACAAAGTAAACACTACTCATATTTTATCCTTTAAAAAGGTCATAAGATCCAACTACTGAGGCCTACTTTGGAAGAATTCTATATCACTTTGAATTTACATATATATATATTTAGATAGAAATATACTAGCTGCGTTTTAACAAAAACCTTTGCATATTTGGTGGATGGAATTTAACAATGAGTATGATGATTTAGTAAGGCCAGCTAATGGTGTCCATCTTCTATTCACCTCCCATATTTTTGTAACAGCCACTAAAACCCAGAATTGAAAAAAACTGTCCTGAGAGCCACGTCCTCAGATACATGGTTGTTTTTTTCCTTTTCTTTCTTTTTTTTTTTTTCTGAAACAGGGTCTTGCTCTGTCACCCAGGCTGGAGGGCAGTGGCATGATCTCAGCTCACTGCAGCCTTGACCTCCCTGGGCTTTACTCTATATTTGAAGCAGTATTTTTTCAGACTTCAGTGTACCACAGTCATTGTTTTGGGGACCCATCTGAAATCCTGATTCATTATGTTTGGGGAGGAGCCCATGAGTCCACGTTTATCAACAAGCAAACCTGGTAATTCATCTGTGGGGGTCTTGCATAGATCGTCTTTGAAGAACACTAAGTATGGTGAGCTCAGGATTGGAATTTCAAGTTGAATGATGACAGTTCTCAATGGGGGCTTGAAAGAAGTTGAATGGAGAGAAAATTTCAGAAGTGTAAATAAATGTATAAACTATCTTCATAGCAAAACCTTAATTTCTATACAGAAAAAATCTAACTATAATATATCTTTTTGAATTTCAGTAGTAGACTTATATGTTTGGGATATGTGGTGTAAGAAGCTGTGTTTGTTGTTTAGGAATTTAGAAGCTCCAGAGATGCCAGTATATTCTGTAAAGGGCCATAAAGAAATTATAAATGCCATAGATGGCATAGGTGGACTAGGAATTGGAGAAGGAGCACCTGAAATTGTGACTGGCAGCCGAGATGGTGAGTCCCTGTATTCTATGTATTTTGTTTATTTATTTTAATGGAAATCTCTATGCAGCAGTACATCCTCTCTGAGTAAAAAATCCCCTTCAGTCACCTTGACTCCCTAAATCTAACAGTCTTGCTGCTACTTTTTTAACAGACAAGTTTGATTGCTTATCTCTCGATTGTTTCAGACTTTTGGCTATTTTGAGATAGATTCATAGCACTTATTAACACTATTTTAGTGTTGAGCTGGTTCAGCTACTAACAATGATGGTTTCCTCTGAACCTTGAAGGATTTAAAATGTCTTTACAGGTTTTTGAGGCAGCTGACGATATAATGTGGGTGGCAGCTTTTCATTTTCTTTTTTTAAAAGGCAGAATTAGTACTTGTGAAAATTGTCATATTGACAGCTGCTTGAAAACTGAAGTTCTGTGATCCATCCACTAAGCATTATAGAGAGTTCCAAAGGCACCAACTCAGCTCTTCCACCCTGCAGTGACCAACAAGGGCCAGGTCTTTTGGTGTCCGAAGTGGTACTGCATGACTTTAATAGAGTCAGAAATGTTGTTGCTTCACGAGGGGTACATGAGAAATTTGGTACCTATTATAATTGATTTGGCTAGTTGTTTAATGGCCGCTCAAGACCATGAGGAAATTGCTTTAAAGGAAAAGTGAGATATAATTTTCTAGTGGGTACTCAAGAGCAGCTGTGTTTTAGAAATCACTTATTTTTTTTAATCATAAAAGCAATATTGAGTATAGAGGGAAAAATAACATTCAGTCTACCACACTACCACAACCATTAGATTTTTCTTTTCCTTTTAGGTCTTATATATAATTTTGCATAGTTATAAGTGTGAATATGAATTTGTATCTTAGAAACTTTTTTTATTTAATGTTTTGTCATATGCAAATGTTGCTGTTTCCACAGTTATCATTTTAATGACTATATAATATTCCATCATATGGCCGTACTTAACCATTCCCTTATAAGCCTTTGGTTTGCTTTTTTTATTTGTTGTCTTATGAGAGTGGCTTAAAAATAATGAGTAAATGAGTATTGTCATATGTGTAACTCTTTTGGAATAAATATATTTTATGATTTTTTAAAAAATTTATTGGGCCAGGTACAGTCACGCCTATAATCCCACAACTTTGGGGGCTGAGGCGGGCGGATAACTTGAGACCAGGAGTTTGAGACCAGCCTGGGCAACATAGCGAAACCCTGTCTCTTCTAAAATACAAAAATTAGCCAGGTGTGGTGGCACACACCTGTAATCACAGCTACTCAGGAGGCTGAGACACAAGTTTTGCTTGAACCTGGCAGTGGGAGGTTGAAGTGGGCTGAGATCTTATCAATTTGTATGAATCCTATAGAGAAAGATAATCTCTTATCTCTATATCTGGGATTTTTTTTTTCTTTTTAAAACAGGCTTTTGGTGGGTGCAGTGGCTCATCTCTGTAATCCCAGCACTTGGGAGGCTGAGGTGGGAAGATCACTTGAAACCAGCTTGGGCAACATAGGGAGACCCCATCTTTACAAAAACTAAAAATTAGCCAGGCATGGTGGTATAGTCCCAGCTACTTGGGAGGCTGAGGTAGGAGGATCACTTGGACCCAGGAGGTCAAGGCTACAGTGAACCATGATCGCACGACTGCACTCCATCCTGGGTGACAGAGCAAGACCCTGTCTCTAAATAAATAAATATTAAAGTAAAGCAGCCTTTTAATGATCAACTTTATTTTATCCCTGGAGATAAATCTAATGTTGTACCTCCACCTTTCCTGAGTTGTTTTCCTTTTAAGGATTTTTTTTTTTTTGCCCTTTTCTTATTCTCAGGTACTTGCCTTTTAGCCATTTTATTACATGCATTTGCATTTTTTGTAGGTAGTGACACTATTTTAGTAAGTAGTCCCATAACATGAATTAAAACAAGGGGGTTGAAATTAAATTGAGAATTTGTTAATTTTATTTAACATTTTCCTCTTCACTATTGCCACAGGAAAATTAAACTTAACTGTATATGAAATAGTATTCTAGGCCAGGCACAGTGGCTCACGCCGGTAATCCCAGCACTTTGGGAAGCCCAGGCAGGTGGATCACCTGAGGTCAGGAGTTTGAGACCAGCCTGGCCAACATGGCAATACCCCATTTCTACTAAAAAAGTACAAAATTTAGCTGGGCGTGGTGGTGCATGCCTGTAGTCCCAGCTACTTGGGAGGCTGAGGACGGAGAATCGCTTAAACCCAGGAGGCGGAGGTTGCAGTGAGCCAAGATCACGCCATTGCATTCCTGGGCGACAGAGTGAGACTCCATCTCAAAACAAAAGAAAGAAAGAAAGAAAAAGAAATAGTATTCTAGAACTCACATAAGAAACCATTAATTCAAAATTAGAGTGTATTCATGCCAATGGTTAAAATGGGTAATAAGGAAAAAAGTAAAAATTAAAACAACACTGGTATTTTCCCTAAAAAATAACACATTCATTTTAGGCTCATGATTTGAATTACGTAACATTCACATTTGCCTTGTCAGTCATCACTCGTAGATAACTTAGGAACACTTGTTGGCTTTTCTGTGTGTCTATTAATTTGGAAACCAAGTCAGATAGTTACATATGGGTGATATCTCTGATATTAAATACAACTTACCCAATTAGAAGTCAGAACAATGTGGATATTTTCAGATGTCATAACATCTGTCATATTGCCATGTACACAGGAAGCCATAGAAGAAGAATGTAGAAAAGAAACATAATCATTTACTTTTGAATTTTTGCCAACTCACTTTTATGCATGGCAGGAACTGTGAAGGTGTGGGACCCAAGGCAAAAAGATGATCCTGTTGCTAATATGGAACCTGTACAAGGAGAAAACAAGAGAGACTGTTGGACTGTGGCATTTGGTAAATTATTGAAGAATTCTTGCATTTGAATTATCAGATGGTAAAAAGCACGATGCTGCAAGAAATTTCACAGTAGTCTCTTTATGGTCTGTTTTGTGGATTATTCTAATAGTTTACTGAGGCAAATACACGTGGTGGTTAATGTCAGCCTCTGGGGCCTGAGTTTGAATTCTCACCTGCTACTTATTGGCCATGTGGCCTGGAGCAAGTTACCAAAGTTATCTGTTCCTTGGATGTTTCATTTATAAAATGGAATTAATAATAGAATTTACTTAGTTGTGTTGTCATGAAGAGTCAATGAGTTAATTACATGTAAAGTGCTGAGAATTGTGCTTATTATTATGTGTTCCTGTTTAACTAGATAATATTGACCTAATTTAAAGTCAGACACCATTAATGGGGATAAACCAAGCCTCAAATGCAAACAGTTACCTAACAAATCATACATTACGCTATATACGGAGTATGTTTATTTTCTAGAAAATAGTTTGCCATTACAAAGTTATTTCTTATAAATTTTGATAACTGTATTCCTTCATTAATTTACTTAAAATGAATATTGACTTTGGAAGACTAATTGACATTTGCCCTTTGATATGGTTTGGATCTATGTCCCCACCAAATCTCATGTCCAATTGTAATCCCCAGTGTTGGAGGTGGGGCCTGGTGGGAGGTGATTAATGGGGGCGGAGTTCTCATGAATGGTTTAACACATCCTCCCGTATACTTTAAATCATCTCTAGATTACTTATAATACCTAATATAATATAAATGCTGTGTCAGTCATTGTTGTATTGTTTAGGGAATAATGACAAGCACAAGAAGTCTGTACGTTTTTAGTGTAGATGCAAATTTTTTTCCAAATATTTTCGATCCATTGTTGGTTGCCTATAGATGCAGAACCCATGGATAGGGAGGGCCAACGGTAGAAGAGAGTAATAGTAGGAATATCCTTAGAGATGGCTCAGGACAATGGCCAGAGGTGTTAGGACGGCCTGAAGATAGTTCTAAGTTTTTGATGGTGTTTGCAAGGAAGAGATGAAATCCGAGCTTTAGGAAAATGAACTAGTGGTATTTAGCGGGAGTGATGAGTGGTACAGAGAATATGAGTTCAAGAGCTCTTTGCAGTATTCCAGGGAAGACCTAAGTTACAAGCACTGAGAAGGGAGCAGAGTGGATGATTCAGAAGATAATATTATGCAGAATACATAGAATTTGGGAATGTTTTTGGATATGAAGAACAAAGAAAAGGATAATGTCCAAGATGACTGAGTTTTCAGGCTGATTGTGGGGTGAATGATGGTATTAATTGAAAAAATTATACAAGGGGTGGGATAATTTGTAAAGGAAAATGGTAAGGTCATTTTGGGACATCATGAGTTTAAGATGATGGTGTACCATCTAGGTGGGGCCCACAGTGGAAATGCAGGGCTGGAGTTTATGAGAAAAACGAAGTTAGGGGCAATGAAAGCATTGGGATAGGATGCCCAGATAGCATAGCACAGTGACAGGGGCCTCCTTCTCACTTAACACTCTTTCCTCAGCAAGAGATACTTGGAAAAAAATCCTTGAATTAATTCCAGGAGGATGAGTTTAACCACAGATTATAAACTTACTTCAGGTATGATCATCCACACTACTAAAAATATGTCACAGTGTGCTACAACTTATTTCAGATTTCCTTGTAAAGATGGAATCACACCAGAGCAACATTTTTCAAGATAAATTAGTTTTAAAGTTTCTGTTTGCATTCAAATATAGTTACTGCCAAGAAAGCAATAGAGGTATAACTGTATTTATTCTCTGAGACCCCTTTGTGTTTGAGCTGTAGTTGGCCTGCTAGCCTTTGCAGATATAGTAGAAAGCATTTTCTTTTCTTTTTTTTTTTTTGAGACAGAGTCTCGCTTTGTTGCCCAGGCTGGAGTGCATTGGCGCGATCTTGGTTCACTGCAAGCTCTGCCTCCCAGGTTCATGCCATTCTCCTGCCTCAGCCTCCCGAGTAGCTGGGACTACAGGCGCCTGCCACCACACCCGGCTAATTTTTTGTATTTTTTTCTTTTTTTTTTTTTTTTAGTAGAGACAGGGTTTCACTGTGTTAGCCAGGATGGTCTCGATCTCCTATAAAGCATTTTATTTAAATTGAATTCAATAAACACTTTCACATATCCTTTCAGTATGGAATTACAGTGAATGAGCTTATATTAGTTAGTCTGCTTTGCATTGAATTGCTTTATTGCTATAAAGGAATACCTGAGACTGGGTAGTTTATAAAGAAAAGAGTTTTATTTGGCTCATGATTCTGCAAGAGTATCCAAGAAGCATGGTGCCAGTATCTGCTCCTGGTGAGACCTCAGGAATTGTCTGCTCATGGCAGAAGGCAAAAGGGGAGCAGGCATGTCACATGGCGAGAGAGGGAGCAAGAGAGAGGGGAGGAGGGAGGTGCCAGACTCTTTAACAACCAGACCTCACATGAACTAGAAGAGCGAAAACTCATTACCATAAGGACTGCACTGAGCCATTCACGAGGGATCCAGCCCCATGACCCAGCACCTCCCATCAGGCCCCACCTCCGACATTGGGGATCATACGTCAACATCAGATTTGGGGGGACAAATATCCAAACTCTTATCAGAAATTTAAACAAAACAAAAAACTAATGGATACCACATTAATAATCTTGATGTCCTCTCAGGATTGGTAAGATGGGATACTACCCAGTGTGATTTTTAAGATCTGATTTAATATAAGTTTTATGTTAGTTTCATAAGACTTTTTTAAAGCAGCCTTTATAAGGATGCATTTATAAGGATGTGAAATGTTGTATCTTGATTTCCAGGCAATGCTTATAATCAAGAAGAACGTGTTGTTTGTGCTGGCTATGACAATGGGGATATCAAACTATTTGATCTCAGAAATATGGCATTACGGTGGGAGACAAACATCAAAAATGGGGTAAAGTACATTCTGAGGCTTTTTGGTTTCTCTGAGCATGTTTCCATTCACCTCTGAACTATTACAAAAGGAAAACACCTCTAGTAACTCATCTGAGTCAACCCCTCTGCCAACGGTTCTTAACTTTTTGAGGCCAAATCCGTTTGAGAATCTAATGAAAATCCTGGATCCTCTCTTCAGAAAATGAGCTCACACCCACATGTGGTTTGCACAGCGTTGGGGGAGTCACCAGCCCCTTCAGCCTGTCTGCAGACCCCTGTGGGCCATGTAGTAAGATTTCAAAATAAGCAAGTAAAAGGTCTTTTTATGCCAATATCAGAAAGCCTGAAACAGTAGTCACCTCCCCAGCTCAGATTTTTGGTTCCTTAGTTGTGCACCTTTAGCAAAGAATGTGGTTTCCTCCTGTTTTCTACTGTTAGCCTTTACTTAACTGTTAAATAATGTAAAAAGTTAAATAATGATTCCCCAAAGGCATTCACTGAGCATGGGAACCCAAGATTGTTTTGTTGATCTTACTAATGGAAAAAAAAAATGGGTTTTTTGTTTGTTTGTTTGTTTGTTTGTTTTGAGATGGAGTCTTGCTCTGTCGCCCAGGCTGGAGTGCAGTGGCGCGATGTTGGCTCACTGCAAGCTCTGCCTCCCAGGTTCATGCCATTCTCCTGCCTCAGCCTCCCGAGTAACTGGGACTACAGGCGCCTGTCACCATGCCCGGCTAATTTTTCATATTTTTTAGTAGAGACGGGGTTTCATCGTGTTAGCCAGGATGGTCTCAATCTCCTGACCTCATGATCTGCCTGCCTTGGCCTCCCAAAGTGCTGGGATTACAGGCGTGAGCCACTGTGCCTGGCCAAAAAAAAAAAAAATGTTTTTTTTTTGAGACAGAGTCTCACTCTGTCGCCCAGGATGGAGTGCAGTGGCATGATCTTAGCTCACTGCAACCTCTGCCTCCCGGGTTCAAGCAATTCTCCTGCCTCAGCCTCCCAAGTAGCTGGGACTACAGGCGCACGCCACCACGCCTGGCTAATTTTTGTATTTTTAGTAGAGACAGGGTTTCACCATGTAGGTCAGGCTGGTCTTGATCTCCTGACTTCGTGATCCACCTGCCTTGGCCTCCCAAAGTGCTGGGATTACAGGCATAAGCCACCGCGCCTGGCTGGAAAAAAATTTTTATGGGAAAAGTTAAAAGATAAATGATTGTTGGAGTGCTTTCACATTATCTGACCATTTTAAAGCTGTTTTACTTAGTATAAAAGAGCCTCCTGAGTAATACTGGTGAGACTACCAATAATAAGTATTCTCTGTTTTCAGGTGTGTAGCTTGGAGTTTGACAGAAAAGACATAAGTATGAATAAGTTAGTAGCCACATCTCTGGAAGGAAAGTTCCATGTTTTTGACATGAGAACACAGCATCCAACCAAAGGTTTTGCCTCTGTTTCAGAAAAGGTAAATATGAGGGAAATGTCTTTCTATGAAGAAGAATGATAGCTTGGTTTAGACTGATAAGTAGAATTAGTCACCAAGGTTTCTTCCAGGTCTTTATGTGAAGGGAGCTATTTTTGATATATTCCTGTGAGATCTTGACAAGTTTTTCTGTGCAAAGAGTACTTCCCCAAAGTTTATCAACTTTAGACTTCTTGATTATAATAAAGATCTCAGGTAGGAATCTTATTTTGTAGTTTAGGAGCAATTAGAAGAAACCTAGCTGATATTAGGAATTTGATCAACAAAACCCAGCCTGGTGTTTCCTAATAAGTATATAATATTTGTGCTAATACCTGGTTATATATTTTTCAAAATAAACTATATGTACATGATGTCATTTCATTACACTTTGTTTTATATTCCAGTTTGCTATATTAAATGAAATTATTTGAATCACTGAGTACTGTGATTATAGTAAATGTTCAAAAATATTTACTTACTTAACTTTGCCTTGCATTTGAGGTAGCTGAGAGGGAAATGCGGTATTATGGCGTTAGACCAATAGATGAGGAAAGCAGGGCAAAGGGAAAATACTGGTTTAAAAAAAAGATAGTTTCTGGACTGGGGGGATTACAGAAAATTCATGCAGAAAGGTCCTGTCATTCACAAGAAATGGATTGGAAATGTGATTTGAACTTCCTCAAGTATAAAAAGAAAGAAAGATCAGTTACAGATTCCTTGTTTCCATAAGATTAAAATATACAAGTTGCTCAGGAAGTGAGAACTTACTCCGTTGCTTCTCTCTCTCCTGTGGATTCAGTAGGATTTCTTGAACCTTTCTATTTTGTCTCATTATTATTATTGTGTGTAAATTATTGTCACTTCCTTATGAAAACCAAATTCTTAACAAGATAGCTATAAATTATAATATTGGTTTGCTTTTGTCATTTCAGAATATATTAAGTATCTATCAACAACATAAATCACTTTACTAAACTGTTCCATGTATAATTTGCAACACATATTTCATTATCTATACATAATAGTGTCATCTCTGGTTTTTTGTTTTGTTTGTTTGGCTTTTTTTTTTTTTTTTTTTCTGGAGACAGAATCTTGCCCTCTTACCCAGGCTGGTGTGCAGTGGCATGATTATGGCTCACTGCAGTCTCAAACTCCTGGGCTCAAGTGATCCTCCTGCCTCAGCCTCCCAAGTAGCTGGGAGTACAGGCACACGCCACCATATCTGGCTAATTAGATTTTTTTTTTTTCATAGAGTCAGAGTCTTGCTGTGTTGCCCAGTCTGGACTTGAAACCTGACCTCAAGTGATCCTCCTGCCTCAGCCTCCCAAAGTGCTGGGATTATGGGCGTGAGCCACTATACCTGGCCCAGTTTTTTAAAATTATATTTAGTTAATCCAGTAATTGCTAAATCTGCCAAATAGAAGACTCTGGTGTATTTTAAGAGGTCATTTCCCCTCTTGCTTTTTGTGTTTTTCTCAACTTCCTGAAGAAGAAGAGAAGTTTAAGCTACAAAATAAAATGTTTCGACAGCTTGAACCTAATCACTGAGAGACTGTTACACACTCAAAATGTGTGTTTTGAGATATGAGTCTTTATCTGCTAATGGTAATTCTCTCAAAAGACTATTGAAATCAAAGGTCAAGACTAATCACTCACTAAAATGTGGTGTACCACGATAGCCAGCCCCACTGCTTCTACAAAGCAGCAGTCATTCATTCCCTCCCGCCTCCTTTCTCTCTCTCCCTCTGTCTCTCTCTCTCTCCTAAGTTCCCCCCAGTTAATGCAGTGGCGCCGGGATGGATTTACTGGCTGCTTTTGAGGTGCTAACAACCTGTTAACCTTCCAGTTGCTGGTTTTTAATCTTTTAGTCTAATGTGAATGATAAAGACCTTAGCTTATTATGACCATAAACATTGTCTGTAAGTCCTCATGGTCCTTATTTTGAAGACTGGACAGGTAAATGGCAATAAATTGAAAATAAGGCTCTGGGAGCTGTTAGTTAAATTTCGGTCTATAAATTTTAGTTAAAATTCAGTCTATGTACTTATTGCTGAGTTTTGCTGTGAACCTCAAACTGCTCTCAGAACTAAAGTGTATTTTTTTAATTCAGTCCACATTTTTCGTATATATAAACAAAAGTATATGTTTTTATATTTTGAGTGTTTTCCCCCTCAGAATGAACTAGAGGTATTTAAATATGTAAAATCTATTTTCATAAGTATTTGATACTATAAACTTAAATGGATTTTAATACCTGTCTTTTTAAAAATCCAGTAGAACTTTGTTTCATAAAGCAATAAAGAAAAATGATGCTTTTTCTAATTTCTTATGTGTTCCTATAAATCTCTATAGCCATTATAAAGAGATGTGCCAGAAAATAACCTTAATTACTTTTATAACCATTGAAATTATAGTTGTAAGAGTTTTTTATTTGCAGCGTTTCTCTTCCAGGGCACCATTTAGCATATAAACCAGTTGTATGCCTCTTGTTCTATTTAGGCTCATAAATCTACTGTGTGGCAGGTCCGACACCTGCCGCAGAACAGGGAGCTCTTTCTGACAGCTGGAGGCGCCGGCGGCCTTCACCTCTGGAAGTAGTAAGTCTGCCAGTGCACACTGCTCCTTTTAAAGTTACCTGTGGGTGTAAAGTAGGATTAGATTGAACTTTTTTTTCTTTTTTTTCCTGCTTTGACTTAGTTCATTTTGATATGATTTAAAATTTCATGGTGTTACATAACTTGTTTTCTAAGCATTTTGTATGAATATACTTTACACTTAGTAGAGTGTACACTAATCTTCTTTTGATACATTTTAGTATATCATTTTAGTTGTGTCTTCTAAGTATGAAAAAGTTGGCCCAAGACTTTTATCAGATACTATCTTGAAGTGATTAGAACACTCACTGCCTCTAAAAGATGGGGAAAGGGTTCCTTGCCTAAATTTAGATAACATCATTGTGATAGACCCCAACAGAGCCTGAGGCTGCTGATTGGTCTCCAGGAAAGATCTTATCACTGAATTTGCTTTCTGCATATCTAGGCAGGGTGAGTTACAATGAAAGCTTTTACTATGCACACCACTTTCTGAATCCCAAGGGCGCTAACATCACAGATACTAGATCATTTAAAAGGTCTGATATCATTGCTCAGGGTTGGCCTGTGAAAAGGAAACAAAACAAAACAAAACAAAAATTAAAGGTCTGATAAAAATTGTGAGTTAATGGTATTTCTGAATACTTTATTAGCTAAGCAATATGTACTTGGAGGGGAAAAATTATATCTTTCTTAAACATCACTCAGGGAAAAAACAGCAAGCCCATAAATGAAGGATATTTCAAAAATAAAGTTTCATTAATAATGTAAGAAGAAAAACACCATCCTCAATATATCTGGGACTTTCACATTTATAAAATTCTTCTCTATTAGCTCCTTTGAGAAGCTGGAAGGGGTTCTGAAAAACAGGGCTACAGTTGGAAAGTACTTGTTAAAGTACTGTGTGCAGGGATACCGCTGACAAAAAGCAGATCGAATGCTTTATCTTATATTTTCTGACAAAGTCTTGCTCTGTCACCCAGGCTGGAGTGCAGTGGCATGATCTCGTCTCACCGCAGACTCCACCTCCAGGTTCAAGGGGTTCTCCTGCCTCAGCCTCCCGAGTAACTAGGATTACAGGTGCCCGCCACGACGCCTGGCTAATTTTTGTATTTTTAGTAGAGACGGGGTTTCACCATGTTGGCCAGGCTGATCTCGAACTCCTGACCTCAGGTGATTCACCTGCCTCGGCCTCCCACAGTATTGGAATTATGGGTGTGAGCCACTGCACCCAGCCAGAGTGAACACTTTAGATCGAAGCAGTATGATTATGGCAAAACCGGGTCTCTACTAAAAATACAAGAACTAGCCGGGCGTGGTGGCACACGTCCCAGCTACTTAGGAGGCTGAGGCACGAGAATTGCCTGAATCTGGGAGGTGGAGGTCTCAGTGAGTCGAGATCGCACCACTGCACTCCAACCTGGGTGACAGAGTGAGACAGAGCGACAGAGACTTTTTCTGTCTCAACAAACAAACAAACAAACAAACAACCAATATGGTTTCTGAGTGAAAAGCAGAGGAAAAGTTTGAGTCGTTCTGGGAGAATGTGGGGTAGAGAGATCACTTGCTACTTTCCCTTCTTCTAGCACCTCTGCCTGTTGTTCTTCCCTGATTCTTCCATCCCGGTCTCCTCCCCACGTTAGACTCTGCCAGTCCCCTTAGTGAAGCCATGTGGTGGCACATCACTATTTTACTTGGTGACCAAACTCTTTAGGCTGCTCGCTTGAAGAACTAGTCCCAGTTTTCTTTGTAATCTACACATGGATTTGTATTCCATGAGGCACACGAACACTTTCGCAGCTGGAATTTTTTACTACAGCGGATTTAGTTCCGTCAGTAAAGTTAGGTCTGTATGCAAATTTGAAGTTTAGCGCAATGTAAACTTTACACCTAACCAGAACAGATGTCCAGTCTAATCTTCAAATCGGTTTGGAGTTTTACTGTCAAGTATTGTACCAGCAAAGGGAATTGGTTTAAGTACAATGATATTTAGCTTTATTTTCATTTGCCAGTCTGTCTTGGTAGTAATGCAATTAAATTGTAAATATTTATTGACCACTGAACGAACAGCTTCTACAAGAAATCATCTAGTTATTCACGACTTGTTTTTTGAATGAAAAACTTCAACATGCTGATTTTTTTTCCAAGTATTTGAATCATATACACATATTCTTTTAAAACTTCAACAGATAATATGGAGGGTTTTAAAAATTTTTTATGTTATCTTTTGAATACTAAATAACTGCAGCCTTTGCCAAGAGATATGTGAAAGGTGTCTGTATTTAAACCATTTATTCATCTGAATGTTTTATTTTTTTTCATCAAAATGATTTGTAGGGTTTGAGAGGAAGAGAAAATAGTAGATCATCCACCTGTAGATTCTTCTTCCCTTTCCATTCTGCTTCTGATTGGCTTTGTGCTTCTTACGTTCTTGGCCTTTGCCAGCATGTATGAAATAAAGATGTTGTCATAATTGATACTAGTAGGTTTTAAAAGGCCTTCTGAGGAGTGATACTTTTGTATTTTATTAGGAACACATCTCTATTGGGGAGGAGTGTTCTCTTTCCCCTTTTCAAATCTAGACCAAATAGGATTTATGACTTTAACCTTCTGCTTTTCTTACTGTATAAATTTATATTTTCAGCTGAAAAAAAAAATGTTCTCAGAACCACTTTTTTCTTGTTTGAAACAATTACATTTAGGTCTAACATCTCCACCCTGTGACGCCTTCCCATAGAAATGGTACACAAAAGGTCCTTAGGCTTGGGTCCGTGTAATGGAGCTCGAGGGTTAGAAGCTGGCATCAGTTTTTCATTCTGGAAGTGTTTAGATGAAGTTCTGCAAATGTTACTTACAGCCATTGCCTTTGCACATTGTTTGCCTGTGATATCCAGCAATCTATATCTGGAGAAAAATTACAATAAATAAAAGATTGCCAAAAGCACCAAGTAAATGTATTAAAGAATCCTAGATCAACCTAGAACTTTCATATTAAAAGAGAAAATACAGATACACGTTGAGCAGAAATGACTTTTAGAAGTTTTTAGTAGAACTAATAACCCTTTTTTATGACGTGTTTTGGGATAGGATTGAGGTTGAAATTGTCTCTTTATTTGCAAACAACTCAGTATTAGAAAGATTCTTTAAGTATTTATTAGTCCCAGTAACCAACTGAGAAATAGAGTCATTGAAGTGTATGTATAAAAATAAAATGGTGAAAGCTAAGATTTATGCGCTCTTACCATTTTGATCTTGTTTTCAGTGAATACCCTATTCAGCGGTCAAAGAAAGATTCTGAGGGAATAGAAATGGGAGTCGCAGGTTCTGTAAGCCTTCTGCAGAATGTTACGTTGTCCACCCAGCCCATTTCAAGTTTGGATTGGAGTCCAGATAAAAGGGGTCTCTGCGTCTGTAGTTCATTTGACCAAACGGTGAGAGTACTGATCGTTACAAAGCTCAATAAAATTTGACTTCAAGACTTTGGACTTGAGGCTGGGCACGGTGGCTCACTCCTGTAATCCCAGCACTTTGGGAGGCCGAGGCGGGTGGATCAGAAGGTCAGGAGATCGAGACCATCCTGGCTAACATGGTGAAACCCCGTCTCTACTAAAAATATAAAAAAAAATTTGCTGGGTGTCATGGCGGGCATCTGTAGTCCTAGCTACTTGGGAGGCTGAGGCAGGAGAATGGCGTGAACCCGGGAGGCGGAGGTTGCAGTGAGCCGAGATTGTGCCACTGCACTCCAGCCTGGGCAACTGAGCAAGACTGTCTCAAAAAAAAAAAAAAAAAAAAAGACTTTGGACTTGAAACCTTCCAGAGGAACACTCACACAATTTAAGATAGGTTCTGGAGTCCTCTGACCCTCATTGAACAAAGCTGGATTTGGCTGATGATAAAAGACCCCAGCCACAAGCCTCTGGGCCAGCCTCCAGCCTCTCTCGGGGCTTGTTTGCTGACTTGCTGCTGCACGTGGGTATCAGAAGCACCAAGTAAACTATCTCCAGGGCCAGTTCTTTTCTCTCCCTTCCATTTCTAAGTCAATAGTTGTCTATAATTAAACATATTTCAGATTTGTTCTGTGTCCCTGAAGTTCCATATTTTATCTTTATGCTTGTGTTATGTTTTAGTGTCTATAATGTTGTGGTGGGAATCATTTCATTTGGTTTAAAAGAGTTTGCCTTGGAAAAACTGAATTAACCTTCATAAATACATTTTGAGAGATTTCAGTGTGAGTAATTTTCTGGACATAATATTATTGTATAAAATATCAAAATGGTGGGCCAGGCGTGGTAGCTCACGCCTGTAATTCCAGCACTTTGGGAGGCTGAGGCGGGTGAATCACGAGGTCAGGAATTCGAGACCAGCCTGGCCAACATGGTCAAAACCCGTCTCTACTAAAAATACAAAAAATTAGCTGGGCTTAGTGGCGGGCGCCTGTAATCACAGCTACTTGGGAGGCTGAGGCAGGAGAATCACTTGAACCCAGGAGGTGGAGATTGCAGTGAGCTGAGATTGCGCCACTGCACTCCAGCCCTGGCGACAGAGTGAGACTCCGTCTCAAAAAAAAAAAAAACAAATATATATATATATATCTCTCTCTCTCAAAACGGCACGGTTGGTCTAGATTTGGGTAGCTATTTTCTGCAATTTAATTCATAAAACAAAATGCTTTGATTTTAAAGAGCTCTTTTTTACTTAAAATACAGGAACTGAATTGGTGAGACTTTTGGTTTTTGACTGTGGTAAGTGATGGTGAAATGTACAAGATTGTAGGGGTTTTGTAGTCTTATTTTTGGTCATACTTTAAAAATGCATTTTATGAATAAACTTCTGTTTTTGAGATCTACAGAAGCTTTGATTCTGTTACCTTAACAGTAGTAATAAAGTTAACATTGTCACATCATTTTGCTTTATAAATGCTTAATTAGTAGTTTTAATTCACTTTGTTTCTTTAATGTTCAACATATCTTTAGCTAAGCCTTTTGGAATTATTGACTTTACCACATTTTCATTAAGCCTACCCTCCCCCACCTCCATTGAAGAGAACGCAGCCACCTAAAACATTCACAATATGTAAAGTATATGTGATTTCAGGGGATCATGGAGAGTCACTTATTTGGAATATTAAGTTAAGAAAATTAAGGTTTTTTTTTTTTTAGTTTAGAAAATTTTTAGAAGTCTCTCTTAGAACACTTGTATTTGGTAATAGAGTCAACAACAATAAATACCTGTATTTTATTAAATCTAAGATGTCATCAATATCACTGATGCTATGCCATTCAAGAAAACGGAGCCAACTAAAACATTCATAATATGCAAAATTTATGTGATTTCAGGTGATCATGGAGAGTCACTTATTTGGAATATTACGTTGAGAAAATTAAGCTTTTTTTTTGTTGTTGTTTCCAAATTTTTTTTTTTTTTTTTTTTGAGGCAAATTTTTTTTTTTTCTTGTTCTGTCACCCAGGCGGGAGTGCAGTGTCATGATCTCGGCTCACCTGCAACCTCTGCCTCCCGGGTTCAAGCAATGCTTCTGCCTCAGTCTCCCGAGTAGCTGGGATTACAGGCATGCACTACCATGTCCTGCTAATTTTTGTATTTTTAGTAGAGATAGGGTTTCACCATGTTGGCCAGGTTGGTCTTGAACTCCTGACCTCAGGTGATCCGCCCGCCTCAGCCTCCCAAAGTGTTGGGATTACAGACGTGAGTCACCGCACCCAGCCCCAATGTTTTATAGAACAATGGGATATAATTATGAAAGTAAAAATTAAATTGAACTTTTAAAAAAGTTTATATCTACTTTTTTTTAATTTGCAAAGAAAAAAATGGAAAATTTGTGGAAATCTCTCCTAGGACACTTGTATTTGGTAATATAATAGAATCAACAACAATAAACACCTGTATTTCATTAAATCTAAGATGTCATTGATATCACTGATGCTAGGCTGGTATGATGAAACTGTGATAAAATCCTTTCTTTTTATCACTATTTGCTTTATATTAATTGAGTGTTCTTTTAATTTTATTTACACATAGTTTTTTTTCCATTGTGTATCACTTGTGTGCATCCTTAAAAAGAACCACATAAACAGGAGACTATTATTCTAGGTAAGGTAACTCAGGAATGGAAAACCAAACATTGTATGTTCTCATAAGTGGGAGCTAAGCTATGAGGATGCAGAGGCATGAGAATGACACACTGGGCTTTGGGGACTCGGGGAAAGATGGGAAGGGTGTGAGGGATCAAAGACTACAAATCAGGTTCAGTGTTTACTGCTCGGGTGATGGGCGCACCAAAATCTCACAGATCACCACTAAAGAACCTACTCATGTAACCAAATACCACCTGTTCCCCCCAAACTTATGGAAATAAAAAAATTAAAGAAAAATTTATACAAAATAAATTTGGTATGCTATTCCTTAGATTCCTTCATATTCAGAGTTTAATTCTTCTAAATCACTTTTTGAATTCAGAGCCATCAGTGTTCATGGTTTTCCTTATAATATTGTCCTTTGTGCATAAAAGTGTTTGTGATGTAGCATTTCTTTAAAACATGTTCCACTATTGCCTTCAGGGTTTTCTTTCAATTCACTGACACTTCTTCAACATGTTTTTGTGTATACATACATGCAGGCAGTGACAACTGTCAAGACTGCAGCCTGGCTGACCACGATTATTTCAGTTCCCTATTGCTGTATAACAAACCACTGCAGACCTTCATATCTTAAACACTAACTATCATTTATTTTGCTTAGGAGTCTATGATTTGGGCAGGGTTCAGCAAGGAAGGCTCATCTATGCTCCATATAGCATGAGGCAGGCAGCTCTACTAAAGGCTGGTGGACCTGCTTCCAAGATGGCACTCACTCATATTGCTTGCAAGTTGGTGCTGGCTGTTAGCTGGGACCTCAACCAGATCTGAGAAGCAAGGGCTGAGCTCGCCACATGGCATAGGGTTCCTGAGCATGGTGGCCAGGTTCCAAGGGTGAGCATCCCAAGAGAAGACCAGGCAGAAGCTATCTTGTTTTTTTAATGACCTATCTTCATAATTTACTTAGCAATCACTTTGCCACACTATTAGTTGAGGCAATCACAACCTCCTATCCCAAGTGCAAGGGCAGAGTACATACATTCTACTTCCTTTTTCTTTGTGTGTGTGTGTGTGTGAGACAAGGTCTTACTCTGTTGCTCTGTTGCCCAGGCTGGAGTGCAGTGGCACCATCATTGCTCACTGCAGCCTCAACCTCCTGGGCTTAAAGAATCCTCCCACCTCAGCTACCAGAATAGCTAGGACTACAGGTGTATGCTGCCACACCCAGCTAAATGTTTAAAATTCCCTGTGGAGATGAAGTAAATTCTACTTTTTGATGGGGTCTTGGCTAGGTTCTGAAAGAGCATGTGAGCTGGGCGTGGTGGCTCACGCCTGTAATCCCAGCACTTTGGGAGGCCAAGGCAGGTGGATCACCTGAGGTCAGGAGTTTGAGACCAGCCTGGCCAACATGGTGAAACCCTGTCTCTACTAAAAATACAAAAATTATCCGGGCGTGGTCATACACCCCTGTAATCCCAGTTACTTGGGAGGCTGAGGTGGGAGAATTGCTTGAACCTGGGAGGCGGAGTGTGCAGTGAGCTGAGATTGTGCCACTGGACTCCAGCCTGTGCGACAGAGTGAGACCCCCATCTCAAAAAACAGAAAAAAAAAAAAAAAAAAAAAAAAAAAAGCATGTGAGACTTGAAATACTGTGGCTAGTTTTGGAAAAGACAATCTGGTGTAGTGATTATAAGATGCATCCTAATTTCAAAGATGCATAAATGGGCAGAAGGATGTGCTCATTTGAATTGATGAAATACATTGCTTCAAATGCAGATACTCCTATCCCATCTACGTACACCCTTCCCTTCCCCTAATTTATTGCAGACATGACTAATCAATCATGCCACTCATTCTTCCTGAGCCTCAGAAGCTTTATCACACTCTGCTAGGAGCCACTACCAACTGCTGGCAAGTGAGATAAAATGGGTTTACTCTCCTGAATCTAGAGAATGATGCCCTGTGAAAAACAGGTAGCCTCCTGGACCAGGAGTCATTGGACTCTCCTCTCTCCTAATCCGTGGCTTTGTGTTTCAGTATGCCAAGAAATGATGAGGCTCTCCAGCACTAGACCATGTAAACCAAACTGATGCAAAAACCAAAATGGCGCATCATTCATATGTAGTGAGGGATGAACCCTTAGGTGCCAAAATGCCTAGGTTTGCCAAATGAGAACCTTGTTCATCTCCATTTATCTGAGATTCTGTGTAATTGTTTTGAAGTCTTTCTGTGAGAGTGGAATTAGAGACAGGTGTTGACAGTATTTAAAATAATGCATCCAGACCTTAGCGAAGCCTAAAAAAAAACAACCGTCTCAGAACCCTGAAGCTCTAGGCTATTGTGCAATTTTTACTGCAAATATGTTTCCATTCTTTAACTTACAGCACTTCGCTAAGTGTGGTGGTAAATTATAGAGTGTTTTAGTAAGGGATTTCTGGAATAATTCTTATGGGGTGGCCTGGAACCTTCCAGGGAAATGCTACTTTGTAATTAGTTTTTCTTTTTTCCTTTGGCCACCAGACTGTCCTCTAAAGTAAGTGAAACATGCAGGCTTCGGATATGAAGCTGGGTTGTGCAACCTGATTATAACAGCAATCTGCAATCAGGCGCTATGGCTCGTTTGAAAAATATGTGGGCAATTGGCTTTTAGCTATGCTTTTGTTGCTGTTGTTATTATTTAGTTTTTATTTCATAATCATAAACTTAACTCTGCAATCCAGCTAGGCATGGAAGGGAATAAGGAAAGCATGGAACTGCAGCGGGAGTACAAAGATTCTAGGATACTACGAGCAAATGGGGTGGAGGGGTGCTCTCCTGAGCTACAGAAGGAATGGTCTGGTGGTTAAGACAAAACACAAGTCAAACTGATTAGAGTTGTCCACAGTCAGCGATGGTGATCTTGCTGGTCTTGCCATTCCTGGACCCAAAGTGCTCCATGGCCTCCACAATATTCATGCCTTCTTTCACCTTGCCATAGACTACATGGTTGCCATCCAACCACTCAGTCTTGGCAGTGCAGATGAAAAACTGGGAACCATCTGTGTTGGGTCCAGCGTTTGCTATGGACAAGATGCCAGGACCTTTATGCTTCAGGATGAAGTTCTCGTCATCAAATTTCTCCCCATAGATGGACCAGTGCCATTATGGCGTGTGAAGTCACCACCCTGACACATAAACCCTGGAATAATTGTGTGAAAGCAGGAACCCTTATACCCAAATCCTTTCTCTCCAGTGCTCAGAGCACAGAAGTTTTCTGCTGTCTTTGGAATCTTGTCTGCAAACAGCTTGATGGAGATGCGGCCCAAGGGCTCACTGTCGATGGCAATTTCTAAGAACACGGTGGAGTTGACCACGCTGGTAGTACAGGGCTTCCGGTGGCGTTGGCATCTGCTAGCTATGTTTTTTTAAAAGGCAGGTTGGTTATGCTTACCCAGGAAACCTCTATCTCCGAATGTCTGGCCACTCTCACTGTGTTGTGGAGCCCCACCTCCCTGCTTTGGATGAGACTAGACTGCCAGGCGCCATTCTCAGGGCCATACCCAGCAGTCCCAATAAAACGGGGCTTAATGCTGCTCTGAGAGCTTGGGGGCACTGGGCCCATGCTGCACTCAGACTTATCAGGACCTGCTAACAGAAGTCCTGTGCATTGTCCAACCAGCTGAGGACTCAGGGCTGCTAGGACAATGTCCTCTATTATTCCACCCTAAGTACCTGCATATTGCCTGGAGTGGTGAGAAATTCTTTACTCATCCATTTTCCCTACTGGGTCTAGGATGGACAAATGGCAGTATGAAAACTGTGAATCTTTGTTACTGTGTAGGGATCTAGAGGCTAAACCCTTGTCCTCAACCCCAGAACCAGAAAAATGGTTATTAATCAGGACAGCACAGTGAAAGCAGATGCAGATTATCCTCACAGTGCATGGCCATTAATGCAGTTGTCCATAGGTTTTGTATATTTTACATCAAACATCAAGCTTGAATGAAGGAACAGGATTTTGACTTTGTGTTTTTAACTTGAAGCATGAGATTCTAGGTAAAAGGGCTGTGACCAAGTACAGCTGCATTTATACAGTCATGGTGGAGGAATTTTATGAAGGATTCTTTAACAACTGAACTTTGCTTATGGTGTTCTGATCCAACTCTATCCCTAAGCCAACTTAAAACCAGATCACTCAGCAATACCCTTTATACAACACTTTTTTATTTTAATTGAGACTGAGTCTTGCTCTGTCACCCAGGAAGAGTGCAGTGGCGTGATCTTGGCTCACTGTAACCTCCGCCTCCTGGGTTCAAGCACTTCTCCCACCTCAGCCTCCCAAGTAGCTGGGATTACAGGCATGTGCCACCACGCGCAGTTAATTTTTTTTATTTTTAGTAGGGATGGGGTTTCGCCATGTTGGCCAGGCTGGTCTCAAACTCCTCACCTCAAGTGATCTGCCTGCCTCGGCCTCCCAAAGTGCTGGGATTATAGGCATGAGCCACTGCCCCTGGCCCCTTAATACAACATTTAATAAATGTTGGGCCAGGCGCAGTGGCTTACGCTTGTAATCCTAGCACTTTGGGAGGCCAGGAGTTCAAGACCAGCCTGGGCAACATAGTGAGACACTGTCTCTACAGAAAATTTTTTTTTTAAATTAGCTGGGTGTGGTAGCACAGCTTATAGTCCCAGCTGCTTGGGAGGCTGAGGCAGGAGGATCACTTGAGCCAAGGAGGTTGAAGCTGCAGTGAGTGGTGACTGTGTTACTGCACTCCAGCCTGGGGAAAATGAGAGACCCTGTCTCAAAAATAAATAAATAAATAAAAGCAAATGTTGGTGGGTGATTAAAATGATAAAATAATGATAAAACAAGTAATTAGGAAAAAAAAGTCCATCTTAACCTCTGGCCTGTTTTTTGAAGGCATTGTTGTTGATTAGGGTTAGGTTCAGCTGCGGGTAACTGAAAACCCAAAATAAAGATTACGCATTATCCAGTGTGCCTGTTCCAGTTGAACCATCACATCCACATTCCAGACATCAGAAAAGTAGGAAAAGTAAGAAAAAGAACATCTTGCACTTTGAAGAGCACTTTTGCTTGTATCCATTGGTGATGATTTGGTCCTGTGTCTCGGTCTCACCTATCACAGTGAGACCGAGAAGCATAAACCTGATTGTGTGCAGTGTTATACCCGGCTACCATTTGGGAGTTCTGGTCCTGAGGAAGTAGGGAAATGGATGTTGGGAGGTGTAACTGGATTCTGCCGCCCTGACAGAGCCGTCAAGCACGGCCTCCCTGGCTGCGTCCTCCCATGAGGTGAAAACTAGGGCGCTACCAATGCGTGCTTCCTTAGGCCAGATCTGGGTCTTGGCACCCAATACTCCCTTTTGGCAATTGTATCTTCTCCATCAGCTCTTGTAAACCAGACACCATGGAATCCCTTGGTTTTTTAAGTTACTTTTATTATCCTTTATGTGCACCAATGCAAGCCCAGCCCAGTACAAAAACAGGAAAGGAAAACTCCCCCTACACACTCAAATTGATCTTCATACTACATTTCTTTTCTTGGGAATTTGTTTGTACTTAATAATAACTTCTTTCGAATCCCAAATACCTTTTCCACTCAGGGGCAGTACAAAGTCACGCGCAGTAGAACATGAACGGCGCAGCTTACCTCATGCGTGTCCATAAACTCACCAAAGGAACTTGAAGGGAGAACAGTGTCTTTATGATCCGGCGTGTCTTGGTACCTGCTTAAAGTCACTTTTGCTTGTGATTTAGCTGGATACACTTTGCATATATACATGAAAAATAATTTTTTTTCTGGGAATGTCTAAGGACTATCCAACACACAAAATGATTTCATCCTTTTCTGAATGAGAACAGCCCGAAAGTTTCTGGCAAATACGCAGGGTTCGTGAGATATGAAATTCAATTATGTCGTGGTACATAAGGTCCGCCTCTTCACGACTTTCAGTGGATTTTCTTCCCCTGGGAAGGAGGCCCCTCAGCCGCACGTTCCGAATCCCAGGCCGTCCTTGTACCTGAAGACCCAGTGGTGCGCTGCCCCCTTGTGGGAGATGTGGGCATTGCAGACCTTTCAACACAAGGAAACGGAATTTGTCTTTCAAATGCAGCTGGAAAAATCTATCCTGTTTAATTCCCAGGAGGCACGCAAGCCAAACTGGACCTTGAGAAAGACATTATCTTACAGAAATGTCTTCCAAAAATGTGATTGTGTTTATGAAGAAAACCCACTTTGTATATAACAACACTGCATAGCATGCCTATGCTTCTTTTTACAGAATGGGTTTTTTAACCAAAAGTTGGATCATTAGCTTTATTATAGATTCAGTCTTACTGGTAGCATCACAAGGCTAACTTCCAAGAGAAAATATTTGGCTTTTTATAAAGTGAGGAATTATTTTGTAAAGTAAATAGTACATGCCTCTATCTCCTACCAACCGTTTATTCTGTAAATTCTGATTTTAACGAAGCATTTCTCAGAGTAAGGACTTCTTTATACCATCACTTAACTTCCTGCAGGAATTCTAGAATTTCTCTCCATCTTCTTTGCACCAGATCCAATGTTTTGTTTTGTTTTGTTTTGTTTGAGACAGAGTTTTGCTCTTGTTGCCCAGGCTGGAGTGCAATGGCACGATCTCAGCTCACTGCAACCTCCGCCTCCTGGGTTCAAGCGATTCTCCTGACTCAGCCTCCCAAGTAGCTGAGATTACAGGCGCCCACCACCACGCCCGGCTAATTTTTGTATTTTTAGTAGAGACGGGGTTTCTCCATGTTGATCAGGCTGGTCTCGAACTCCTGACCTCGAGTGATCCGCCTGCCTCGGCCTCCCAAAGTGCTGGGATTACAGGCATGAACCACCGTGCGCAGCCATATAGCCACTGTTTTTAAAAGCCATTTCTGCACTACCAAGTTAGTGAGTAGCAGCCCTCCACCTGCCCACCTTTGGCGTATGGACCATGCAGCTAAAAGAAGCAACACAAAATAAACTGTGGTCAAAAGAGACTCACAGTTCTCCCTCACACCGGAGGCTGAAGACACTCACACTTCCTCCTTTTAAGTCTTCAACTTTTCTTCTTTATGACACCCAAGGCTTTCATGGCCAGTCAGAACGTCAGTGCCAGAAGAGGCCTTTGAGACCTCTGCACTCAATTTCTGCATTTGAAGACAGACCCAGGCCCTCATCTCCTGACCCCTCATCCAGTGATATTCTCCTGCACCTCCCTGAGGAGTTGCTCAACACTCTGATCCCTCCGAGAAGCCTGGGGTACCTCTAAATTTAACATGCCAGAAACCGAGAACTCTATGCAAACAACACCACTGCTCAGAGGTGATAAGGGTAAGCAAATAAACCACCAGGGAGAAACAGAAGCAGAGTTTTGGCTCTCACCACCCTGTAGATAAACAAGTGTTTGATCTGGGCTGAGCACATCCCTCATCTGGTGAGAGATAACATTCACACTCAGAGGGAGTCTGTGCTTGCAGCCAACAGGTTTGGAACCCTATTGAGCGCTGACCTGGCCGCACACAGACTGAACTAGGGCTCAGGAATGATGGACCAGGGGAAATTTTGTTACCACCCAGGGGGAAAGAGAGGGTCTTCCTGCATTCCTAAGAGCTCACAGGCTAAAGGGCCCTAAGAAAGCAGACACAGAAGACACAGAAGCCTCAGCTAAGGGGGAGTCCTGACGGCCACAGTCCCCACTAATCCACTATGGGCCACTTAGGGCTTGTTGTGAATTTTCCAATCTGTTCCGTAAAGCTTCCTAGGAAGAATGTCAGAAGCCTTATTCTCTTGCTCTCGGTTGAGGCTATGGAAGCTAAAGAAAGCAGTATATGCCAGGCGAGGTGGCTCACACCTGTAATCCCATCACTTTGGGAGGCCAAGGCAGGTGGATCAATTGAGGCCAGAAGTTTGAGACCAGCCTGGCCAACATGGTGAAACCCCATCTCTATTAAAATACAAAAAATTAGCTGCATGTGGTGGCATGCACCTGTAGTCCCAGCTACTTAGGAGGCTGAGGCAGGAGAATCGCTTGAACCTGGGAGGCAGAGGTTGCAGTGAGCTGAGATCACGCCACTGCACTCCAGCCTGGGTGACAGAGTGAGACTCCATCTCCAAAAAAAAAAAAAAAGAAAGAAAGAAAGACAGTGAATGAGGAGTAAACTTGGAGGGAAACCAGTGGCCTGTCTCTAGAGTCTTGATCAGGATCACATTTATAAAGATGATAATGTTGACAATAATAATAATAGCTGCTAATATTTGTGGAGTGCTTACTATATTGTTTCTCTCATGTTGTATTTTTAAATCCCCACCACAAAACTCTGGGGTAAATACTATAGTTTGTTGTTGTTGTTGTTTTGAGATGGAGTCACTCTGTTGCCCAGGCTGGAGTGCACTGGCATGATCTCGGCTCACTGCAACCTCCACCACCCAGGTTCAAGCGATTCTCCTGCCTCAGCCTCCCGAGTAGCTGGGATTACAGGCGTGAGCCACCATGTCTGGCTAATTTTTGTACTTTTAGTAGACATGGGGTTTCACCATGTTGGCCAGGCTGGTCTTGAACTCCTAACCTCAGGTGATCCACATGCCTTGGCCTCCCAAAGTGCTGGGATTACAGGCGTGATAATAAACTCTTAACCTCACCATTTTTGTATATAAGTGGAGGTCGTCAGAGCACTTTTTTCATCCATTTTGCTACTTGGACTTAAGGATGAAAGTCCTATTACAAACTGTTGTCACAGTGAATGTTGGCATTGGGAAGGGTGCTGGGGAGAACAGGGAAAGAGCACAGGAGCCTGAAAGGGGAGGAGGGGGAAGGGATTTCCACACACTCTCGCCACAGCCTGTTACCGTCTCCACGGCAGCAGAGCAGCAGGTTGCCTCCCCATGCCCACTCTCCCCTCCCGCCTCAACAACAGGAGCCCATTTTAATCACAGCACATAATAAAGACTGTATCTCCCAGTCTCCCTATCAGCAAGGTGTGGACACTGTGGAGCATGAGGATGGGCCTGTCGTCCAGAGGGGGTAAAAACAAAAGCATAAGGAGTCTGGCCCTGGTGATCTGGGAGCCACCATACCTGCCCTAGGCTGTTTACCTTGATGACTTTGACAATAGACAAAAATACTTGTTTCTTGTTTAAGCCAATAAGAGGTTAGGGCTTTCCCTTGTATTCATGAATGAATGTCTTCGTACATTTTGTGATGCTATAAAAGAATACCTGAGGCTGGGTAATTTATAAAAGAAAGACGCTTATTTAGCTCACAGTGCTGCAGGCTGAGAAGTTCAAGGGCACAGCCCCGGCTTCTGGTGAGGTCCCTCACTCATGCTGCCTCACAAGATGGTGGAGAACGTCAGAGGGGAAGCAGACATGTGAGAAGAGAGGGAAAGCCGAAGGGCGTCTGACTTTATAACAACCCACTCTCGGGAATGAATCCATCCCCACGAGAACTAATTCAGTCTCACAAGAGACAGAGCTCACTACTGGGAGAACAGCACCAAGCCATTTATGAGGGATCCACCGCTATCACCCAAACACTTCCCACTAGACCCCGTGCCCCAAGAGCACCACATCGGGGCTCAAATTGCAACATGAGCTTTGGTGGTGACAAACCAACCATATCTAAACCACAGCAGAGACCTAATCCTAACTACTAGCTGCTAACTTCTAAAAATTTTTACAGAGGGGAAACAGGCTCAGTGAAAGTAAGTAACTTTGTCCAAAGACATGCAAATATTACCCAGCAGAATTCGGTTTTGAATCTGTCTGTCTGATCCAAGACTTCATCTTTCCAGCATGGTCTATACTAACAAATGTAATTGGACATGCGTGTATGTGGTGCTTTATAATTTGCAAATATTTTCTTATATATTATGCAGTGTCTACAGTTTGGAATTTTTTGGCTGCAAGCAACAGAAATAGACTCTGAATAACTTATATGAAAGAGGACTCTTAGGAAGATTTAGGGTAGTAAATTAGACAGAGATCAATTAGAGAAGCAAAGCACTAGGGATTTCTTTCTTTCTTTTTCCTTTTTTTTTTTTTTAGATAGTCTCCCTTCTTTGCCCAGGCTGGAATGCAATGGCACCATCTTGGCTCACTGCAACCTCTGCCTCCCAGGTTCAAGCAATTCTCCTGCCTCAGCCTCCCAAGTAGCTGTGATTACAGGCACGTGCCAGCACCCCTGGCTAATTTTTGTATTTTTAGTAGAGACAGGGTTTCATCATGTTGGCCAGGCTGGTCTTGAACTCCTGACCTCAAGTGATCTGCCCACCTCAGCCTCCCAAAGTGCTGAGATTACAGATGTGAGCCACCGCACCCGGCCTCTTTCTTTTCTTTTTTTTTTTAATAACATAATGGGTTTATATTTACTATAGTACTTCTCATCAGGAGGATGTACTCAGTTAATATAAAGTTGTTTTCTTAACATTAAATCTCTTTTCTATGTCAATGTCTATATTGTTTTTTCTGTTTTTTTATTTATTTATTTATTTATTTATTTATTTATTTATTTATTTATTTATTTTGAGACAGAGTCTTGCTCTGTAGCACAGGCTGGAGTGGTGCAGTGGCACAATCTCAGCTCACTGCAACCTCCTTCTCCCGGGTCTGGGTCCCAGTTCAAGCAATTCTCCTGCCTCAGCCTCCTGAGTAGCTGGGATTACAGGCACACGCCACCATGCCCAGCTAATTTTTGTATTTTTAGTAGAGACGGGGTTTCACCATGTTGGCGAGGCTGGTCTTGAACTCCTGACCTCAGGTGATCTGCCCTCTTCGGCCTCCCAAAGTGCTGGGATTACAGGCATGAGCCACCGGTGCCCAGTCTATAGTGTTTTTTTAATATTAAATCTTTTCTGCATTTCACTTCAATATTAGATACACTGAATACATTTTTCTAAACATTTTTCCCCCAGAGATAAAAGTTTCCATTTTTGGCTATCTGGTATCTAAATACAATATTACCTTGAAAGACAACAAAACAAAAATCGAATAAAAATATGGAGAAAAGACTCCTCAATGATTCAGGAGGCAGTGATTATAACTGAACAGTGATGGTTTCCTAAGATTCTAGGCAACAACTTCCTTCTTCCTATTTCACATGCTTTGAGAATTCTAAAACTATGAAATATTACTTGTGTCAATTTCAGCCATCTTACCTCTTTGACTTCCTTTCTAAACAGCAAATACAAATTATAGGCTGCATTTTTCAGCGCATTATTTGTTGTAAAGAAAACTTTTTTTAATGTTTATATATGTATCTGTTTGCTCCCATTTCATGGAAACCATGAAGAATGTAAAACTCCCTTATTTACTGATTCTTGGAAACTGTCAGATACCAAAGCTCAGGTTTAGCCTCAATAGCACAAAGGTTTTCAGGGTGAGGTTTGATTCAGTAAGCCCTTCAAAGTCACATCTGCCCTGTCTCTTTTCTGCATATACCTTCAAGCAAGCACAAATGCCTGTAATGCTGAGAACCACACCTAACAAGAGAGTGATTGCATCGCAGGCTTCTACTGCTTCGACAACAGGCAGCATCAAAGGCATGACATGAGGACTAAGGACAAAGGTGTTGAAACTGAGGTCATGATGTTGGAATCTTGAGGGCTGAAGGTTCCAAAGACATGGTATATAGAATTCTATTTAACTTGAAATTTTCCCTTCCTGGAGCTCTGAATGCTGCAATTTAGAGGTTCCACGTGACACTGCCTTCCAGGAAGCAGCCGTAACAGGAATCAGCACTAGGGATTTCTTACCAGGATTTGATCTTACCTACCCATGGGAGCTGCTGACACAGTCTCTGTAAGGCTCTTGCCCTCAGGTCTGATGCTGAAGCTTGCAGTCCACAGGGCAGGCAGCTGGGCCAGGGAGATGGGTGTAAGGTGGGGGTGAACAAGAAAAAGCTGGAAACCACCCGCTGGAGACCATGAGGAGGGACGGAAACCGTGCCTCTGATTTGGGTGGCATGGGTCTCCTGCAGAAGTCAGGATACTTCATCACAGTGCTAAGCAGACCTGTCTGGCTCAGAAGTCGGGAAAGCTGAAGGAGGATCCTGGGAAGGGTAGAGCAGCTACAGGCCCAGCCCCTGCCTCCTGCTGACGCGGTGAGCCAGCGGAAAGTGACAATGTGTGCAAGCTACAAAAACTGGTGCTGCTTCACTTCCACCCTGCAAATCTCACTCCAGGAGCTTCTACATGGCCCACCCTAACTGGAAACATACAGGAAAGCGAATTCTGGGAAATGTAATTCAGCCTCGCCAGGTTGGCATTTATAAAGCCAACTCAGGTAGCATGTGGAACTGAGGGGAAAGCTCAAGAATCAGGTTTCGGACAGGAAAGAAAGCAAAGGAGCTCAGGGGTTTGGTGTGGCAGATGGGCACTCATGCTCTAAGTCTTTGAATTGCCTCCAACTGAATTTCCTCCTTGTATTGCTCAAATTCCCAGGGCAGAGTCCAGCTGGCTCATGTGGGTCATGTACTTACTCTTTGGCCAGAGGAGGGTGGACAGTTGGTTGACTGTCCAATATTGTTGCATGCAATGGGGGAGTGGTGGTCCCCCAAATGGAAATCAAAGCACTGTCATGAGAGTGAGGGAAGTGGATGCTGGGCAGGCAGACGTGGTGAATGCTCACTGCCCCATGAATGCTACAGAATAAGGAGGCAGGAGGCATTGAAAACCAATTTGTTTGCTGCTCATGTCAGCTTCTAGCCTTACTCTGAGGTCAAACTTTTGGAGAGTGGAGACAACATCTTTCTCATACTTTTCCCCATACCTAATCATAACAAAGGACTGAAGTTTAGGGTGAAGATAGCAAAGCAGCCCCAGAATCAGGGCTTCTGGTTACCACTCTTCTTTCTGTCAGGGGTGCGTGTGGTGTGCATGTGGTGTGTGTGTGTGCACATGCACTTTCTAGAAGGGTACAAAACCTTTCAGATGATCAGAGTGACTCCCTAGAGGTTACCACCTACTGCTTTAGGTTTGGTGTAACTCTGCAATTCTGTATGTTGAATCAATTGATATTTATCAAAGATGCATTAAGAAGCTGTGTAGTGTAGTAATTAAGTCTGGGCTCTGGAGCCCAGAATGCCTGAGTTAAAATCCTAATTCTACCCCTTCCTAGCCAATTGAGGAAGTTCCTTAACCTTTTTATGCCTTGCTTTCCTCATCTGTAAAATAGGGGTAATGATCATAGTTACCTCACAGGTTTGTTGTGAGGATTTAATGATTAGTGCATGTAATGGTCTTAGGGCTGTGACTGGCCTACGGTATGTGCTCAACACAAATTTAGTTACTATTTCCCAGCATTGCTTCAGGATCTGTGGAAGGGTGGGACACAATCTCTGATTTTGAAGAACTTAAAATTTAATTGGAGACAAGAGCGACATATGGAAACAAGAGCCAACAACTGTGGCATTAAGTGTGAAATTGTGTGGTGCCAGCATGTACAGAAATTGAGAAGGGGTCAGAGCAGTGAAGGACGCGGAAGCTAAGGAAGGCTGGACAGAGAGGAAGAAGACTTGGCCTGGGGTGGAGGGATGGTGGGACAGGCCAGGGGAGATCAGCTGGAGTGAAGATGTTGATGATGGGAATGCATGTGGCATGTTGGGAGAAAGAGAGACACTGATCACAGAGAAAGAGGCTGTGGTTGTGTTAGTAATGACTTTTTGGCTTCAAGATGCAGGAACCCAACTCACACTGAGTTAATACAAAAAGAGGAGGTATGAAACCATGAAGTGCAGGGATAAATTATCTTCTGGCATGGCTGAGTGAAATGTGCAAAGCTCAAATCATGCTGCCAGGGCAGTGTCTATTAGAGTCTTGGATCTCTTTCCTCTGGGTTGACTGTATTCTCAGGCAGGCTTTCCCTCCACAGTGGCAAAAATGACTGGGTGTATATCATCCCAGCTGAGCAACCCCAGTGGGCAGAGAACAATTTCCCCTCCATCAGTTCCTGCAAAAGCCTTGGGATTGAGGCTCATTGGCCTGGCTGGGTTACCGGCCCATCCTTGAGCTAATTGTGACAGTCAAGGAGAATGGGTGCTCTCATTATTCAGGCCCAATCATGAGCCCACAAATTTCAAACAACAGAGAGGGTATTGCGGTAGTTCCCACAGCAAAGTCAGGCTGCCGCCATGAGAAGGGGAACTGACACTGGGCAGGCGAGGACAGCAAATGCCTTTAGAGCGCTCAGTTCCAGCCTGGCTCTTCATGAACTCTAGATCTTTGGACAAGTCATTCCACCTTTGCAGGCCTCTACCTGCAACCCGAAAAACGGGCGGTGGAGAGTCTGCCAGTCAAACGGGATAAGGTCTGCATAGGCTCTCTGAAGAGACAGAGCCGCCTGCAAATCTTAAGAGCCATTGCTAAGAGGAGACCAGCCTGATCAGACAAGAAAGAACACTTAGAGCAAGTATATGTGTGTGTGTTTATGTTGTTTTGTTTTTTGAGATGGAGTCTTGCTCTGTCACCCAGGCTGGAGGGCAGTGACTGGATCTCCACTTGCTGCAACCTCCGCCTCCCGGCTTCAAGCAATTCTTCTGCCTCAGCCTCCCGAGTAGCTGGGACTACAGGCACGTGCCACTACATGCAGCTATTTTGTGTGTGTGTGTGTGTGTGTGTGTGTGTGTGTGTGTGTTTTTAGTAGAGATGGGGTTTCACTATGTTGGCCAGCCTGGTCTTGAACTCCTGACCTCAAGTGATCCGCCTGCCTCAGCCTTCCAAAGTGTTGGGATTACAGGCGTGAGCCACCGCACCTGGCCTTGTTTTGTTTTTTGAGACAGGGTCTCACTCTGTCACCCAGGCTGGAGTGCAGTGGTGCAATCATGGCTCACTGCAGCTCCTCTTAGGCTCAAGCAATCCTTCCAACTCAGCCTCCTGAGTAGCTGGGACTACAGACATGTGCCACCATGCACAGCTAATTTTTTATTTTTTGTATAGACAGGGTCTCCCTATGTTGCCCAGGCTGGTGTTGAACTCCTGGACTCAAGCAGTCCTCCTGCCTTGGCCTCCCAAAGTGTTGGGGTTACAGTCCTGAGCCATGGCGCCCAGCCAGAGTAAGTATGTGAGAAATAAAGTGCCTAGGATGGGTGTCACAGAACCCTGAAGAGGACATAGGAACAAAGACAAGGGACTCCTCAAGGGCAGGGGAATATGCCCCATGGTGCCATGCTGGGCAGCTAGTGTGGGTGCTGAGTAACTATTTGATGTTAAATATGAGGGTATAGGCCAGGTGCGGTGGCTCATACTTACAATCCCAGCACTTTGGGAGGCCGAGGCGGGTGGATCATGAGGTCAGGCGATTGAGACCAGTCCGGCTAACATGGTGAAACCCTTTCTCTACTAAAAATACAAAAAATTAGCCGGGTGTGGTGGCACGTGCCTGTAGTCCCAGCTACTTGGGAGGCTGAGGCAGAAGAATTGCTTGAACCTGGGAGGCGGATGTTGTAGTGAGCTGAGATCGCGCCACTGCACTCCAGCCTGGGAGACAGAGTGAGACTACACCTTTAAAAAAAAAAAAAAAAAAAAAAAATATATATATATATATATATATATATATATATATATATATATAGTTATATAGTTATATGAGGGCATATGTTACCAAAGGATAAATAGCTCACAAAAGAGTCAACACAGTAACAAATGCGGGCCTCAGCCCTTGGAGACTCTCATTAGTTACCAGCAGGGGAGACCAGGCTTCAGTTTGGGGTCCCAGGAACTCTCTCTCCTCATGGTTCTGTTATGAGCAACCTGGGAAAGTGAGGGGAAAATGGGGGTTGTTAAGTAGTGCAGCTCATGTCTAACGGCCAATCTGCCATGAGGAAAGGGCACGCTGAGAAGGGCTGCTCCCTTGGGCTGGGTTGTTATTTACAAGGCCTAGCAAGACCAGAGGCGGTGACCCTGGTGCTGATCCTTAGGGAGGAGTCTCTGAAGTCAAGACGGAAGCCAGTGGAAACCCAGAGGGTCAGGCACTGACTCACGAGGCCTGCTTCACACCCAATAGGCAAAGCCCCTCAAAAGAAGCCGTTCAGATCCACATGCCCGTGGTGCCCCCCACCTCAGGTGACCATCTGTCCTGGGATGCTGCTGGCCTTTTAATGTGAAAAACAGAAATTCCCAGGAAAAGCAAGATGAGTTGGTTGCCCTACCCCACCTTTATGAGCTGAATTGAATTGTCCTCTGTAGAGCCTCCCAGGAGAGGCCCAGAAGTGTGTCGGGGAGGGTGGGTACAGAGGGCAAACAGAGACAACTCGGACCTTGCCTGCCCATGCTTTGGGGGCATAAAACAAGGAAAGAAGCCAAGTTGTCTGCCTTCTGGTGGTTTGTCATTCACTTAAATGCAGGTGACCCTGTTTTGGCATTAAACATGGAAGACTTGGAAGCTAAGAGCCTGCAGCAAAGTCAGGGAAGAAGCAAAAATGCTGCCCACTGATATTTATGGGCCCCAAAGCAGGTACTTCTAATAAGGATGAGGAGGAAAGCAATAACACAATGTTGCCATGGAGAAGTGGAGGCTCTTGCCCCTTCCTCGAGGAATAGGGCTTGCTGTATCCATATGTTTGATAGATTCAAAGTCAACTAACCTTTTCTGAGTATCTGCTATGTGTCAGAGGAATGCACACACACTTATAATTATTACAACTCTAGAAAGTAGAGATTATTATCCTCATTCTGCTGAAAAGGAAACCAGGCTCTGTTTTGTTTGTTTTGTTTTGTTTTGTTTTTTCTTTTTGAGACAGAGCCTCACTCTGTCACTCAGGCTGTACCAGGAGTACAATGGTGCCATCTTGGTTCACTGCAACCTCCACCTCCCAGGTTCAAGTGATTCTCCTGCCTCAGCCTCCCAAGTAGCTGGGACTACAGACACGCATCACCACACCTGGCTAATTTATGTATTTTTAGTAGAGACGGGGTTTTGCCACGTTAGCCAGGCTAGTCTTGAACCCCTGACCTCAGATGATCCACCCGCCTCGGCCTCCCAAAGTGCTGGGATTACAGACGTGAGCCACCACGCCCGGCCCAGGCTCTGTTACTCCTGGCCTCAAGCGATCCTCCTGCCTTGACCTCCCTAAGTGCTGGGAAAAAGAGCCAATGTGCCTCACCTCATGTGCTGTTTTCATTTACCAGGAAAAGCGGGATTTGGTGTGGAACTCGGAACTTACTTGTCAGGCACTATCTACAACACCCATCACCAGCAGGGTAGGTGTTCCTGGTGTAGGAGAGGGCACTGTGAAGGGAGGCAACATGCCATTACAGTGGTCAGCCAGAAGGATCCCATGAAGGAATATGATGAGAGTCATTCCTGCCCAGTCCTCACCAGGGACAGGTGCAGCTGCCAATAGAGGCCCATTCATCTTTAGGAGGCTATAGTCATCACATTTATTCAGTAGCAAATATGGATTGTTAGGCTAAACAGACCATAATTTAGAACGGCAGTCTCTTAATTGTGCCATTGGTATTCATCACTGTAATAAAATTGTCTAATTGAAAAAGCTATATTGACAAACCAACAAGCAGTACATTGATTTAGTAGCAGTTTTGAATTATTAAGTCTGCAATGTTTTATTCCATAGAACGTTTATATTTTTCATTAGATAGGTCTTCTCTTAAAAGGGGCTGAGGGGTTATTTTGGAAAACTCTTCAGACTGAAGTAAGGATTGCTTCAAGTATGGGAAGATTTGTGGATTCTGAAAAGCCATTTGGTTTTCTGTATGTACTGGATGTGCGTATGTGTGTGTGTGTGTATTTGTGTAGACTAATTTCCCTAGATGATCTGAGCCAAAAATGAAAATTTAAAGTTTGTTCTACTAGTCCTGTGAACTGAGGTCACCAATTGGGAAAGAAAGGATGAGGAGTCAATGTACAAGCCCACCTACCTGGTTGCACTGACCCATGCAGAAAGAACAGCCACTGTGGTAGTGAGCAAGGGCTCTGCGGTGACAGTCTACAGCACATGATGGGGACCACAGCAAGTACTCAATGGGACTGGTGTATTGTTTATATGATTGAAAGGGGTGCTGTGTTATTTAGAAATAGTATTTACCTGCATGTAGCAAAGACCTGGAAAATAATGGGTTAATTCTCCCATATAATGAAAGTCAAGCTGTAGGTAGTCTAAAGTTGCATAGTGTCTCTCCATGATTCAGGCTCCATTCTTTTTTCTCCACTACCCCTATCCTCAAGATGATTTCATGGTTCATGATGACTGCAAGGACCTTGCCATCAAACCACTGAGAAGGTTTGAAGAAGGAATAAAGATAGAAGGGTGGAAAGTGGCACATCTTCCAGTAAGTGGCACTGCAGCACACCCCACACGACACTTTCATTCATAGTTCAGCGGACAGAAGTTAGTCATGTGACTACACTTAGCTCAGAGTGAGACTGTGAAATGTTGCCTTTGGCTAGGCATACCACCGCTCTGAAATAAAATAGGGATTCTTTCAGTATAGAATTTGGGAAAATTAATATTAAGTTGGCATTAGTAGTCTCTGTCACAAACACATTACATTAGCATGGCTTTTGGTGGAGACAAATTGGCAACATCCATCAAAATGTTAAATATTCATACCCCTTGAACCAATAAGTATAAATTTACTCAGAAATATGTGCACATATACAAGTATATATATGCTTATTATAGCACAGCAGTATTAATAATATCAAAATATTGGAAGCAACCTAAAGGTCTATCAATGGTAAAATTGTTTAATAAATTGTGGTATGTACCACAGAATACTATTCGGCTATGAAGGAAGAATGAGGTGACTATAAGTACTGAAAGGCAAAATGACATATTATTAATTAAAAAAGCAAGTTGCAGAGTAATAGTGTATTTCCCTTAGTAGAATTGTATTATACACATCCCTGGGGATGGGTCCGAATCTTTGCAGGCAGAGGAATGAACTCGTGTAATTTGAAAGAGGTCCCAGAAACTCTAAAAGAAAATAATAGTAATGAGTGCAAACCGAATCCCCAGTACAAATACATGAGTGAATTGTTACCACATAGAAAGTGGTAACAATATTATTTTCAGAAGAGCTCTGCTTGTACCAAGCTTGCATCAAAGTATTGGATGGGTCAATCTGACATAAAGCCTTCGTAGCACATCTAATGGTGAAACTGGCATGGGAAGGGCGTCAGTGCCGCTTCTGGGTGAATGGTGAACAGGACTCTGAAGTAATATTCCACTACAATGGCAATATAATCAGATTATAACTTTTTTTAAATACGTTGAGCTCTTACAAGAAACAAAGGGAACTTTCCAATGTCAACAAAACAAAATAAAACAACATGCAAACATGCATAGTAAGCTAAAGCTAGCATTGAGTGGTAAGCAAACTGCAAAACTTGGAGGAGAAATGCCAGTGTCAGTCACAAATGAGGGATTGAAAGCTAAGCTCTGAGGCTGCTGCCAGGCCCTGTGTCCTAATTAAGGAGGCTAAAGCTGTCCCTTGTTGTTAGCATACGTAATTCCAGAAATATATAAATTCAAATCCCTTTTGAGGAAGGTGTCATTAATTCAGGATTTCAGGATTCCTATAGACTATGTGAAACCAAATGGATAATTATGATGAAAAAATCCCCAAATATACAAAGAAACAAAAGACATAATGATGATATGAGTTAGGACTAAGTTTAGCCTCACACAGCAGAACAAACAAATAATGGTGGCTTAGACACACACAGTTTTATTTGTTTTCATCTAAAAGACGTCATGAGATAGGTGTCCAGGACAGATTCATCAGAAATTCATCAGGGACCTGTTTCTTTACAGTTTATGAATCATCTCAGATCTACGTTATGCTCCTTGTTCTTGTGACCCAAGATGGCAGCTAGAGCTCCAGATGCTCACATTCCAGGCCAATTGTGGAAGGAAAGGGATGAAGGGCAGGCCTATTTAAAAAAAAACAAAACCAAAACATTCTGAAGTTTGCACACAGTACTGCCACTTAAAATTTATTGTCAAAAATTTAACCACAATGATCACATCTTGATGTGAACAAAAACTAGGGAGTTTTAACTGGCCAACAATAAGCTTGACTAAAAATTAGTATTTTCCTTACTAGCAAGGGAGTTGGGGAATGGATGCTTGTTGTCAACTGAGTCTCTGACACAGTAAGTGTGTAATGAGCTAGAAAATGGCACCCCTGAATATCTCAGTCCTAAGCCCTGGATCCGTGTGTTATGAGAAAAATTTGAGACTGTAACATCCCCTATCCCTCCCAAGTTGGGAAGGTGCCGAAAGACCAAAGAATGATTTAGGGAAGTTGTGTTTGGCAAGTAGATGAGTTTATTGAGACATACAGGGCAGGGCACTCCTGAGTGGCAGCAGCACAGCTCAAGAGATCTGTGCCACCTCCCTTCTCTAAGCTGCTGTTAAGCTAATTTTCGGGCTCTTTGCCTACTGTGTTTGTGTGATGGTACTGTTTTCTTTGGTAGGTTCTCACATACTCCCTGGGATGTTTAGGCTCTCAGGGACACCTGCTCCTCAGCTGGGTACCATGGCCGTGACTTACTATCTGGCCTTCAGGGTTCAGGCAGCGGGCATATACTTTTAAGTAACCTGGTAGGGCAGCCTGTCACACTGCACTGTTAGTTAGTATCACCTTACATGGCAAAAAGGACTTTGCAGGTGTGATTAAGTTAAGGATCTTGAATGAAGAGATTATTCTGTATTATCCAAATGGGTCCTAGATGTAATCACAAGTGTTCTTATAAGAGGGAGGCAGAGGAAAGTGTGACTACAGAAGTAGAGGATGTTGGCTAAGCAGGGTGGCTCATGCATGTAGTCCCAGCACTTTGGGAGGCTGAGGTGGGAGGATCGCATGAGCTCAGGAGTTCAAGACCAGCCTAGGCAACATAGCAAGACCTCATCTCATTTTACAAAAATAAATAAATAAATAAATAAATAAATAAATAAATAAATAAAGTAGAAGATGCAACAGGTTGGAGTATGGAATGATGCAAGGAAGGGGTCATTGGCCATGGAATGATGGAAGCCCCTAGAAGCTAGAAAAGGCAAGGGAACATCATTCCTACAGCCTCCAGAAGAATCAGCCTTGACTTTAGCTTAGCGCTTTTGGACTTCTGACCCCAAACTGTATGAGAAAGAGTTTGTGTTGTCTTAAGTCACCAATTTGGTCGTAATTTGTTATAGAACTCACTAGGAAATGAATACATATTGAATGTCAGCTGAAACTAAAAACAGATATAGACCCACACCCCACAGATTCTAGACATTGTAATTATTAGACACGTAGCATTTTAAAGAAAATTCAAAGATAAAAAAAATTTACTTAGAAAATGTGCATGGAAGAGACTATAAAGTGACCTGGAAAATCAGAAATGGCATTCATTTTCTCATTTGAAATAAAATGAAGAAATGAAAAATTATAACATCTCTCTCTCTCTCTCTCTATATATATATGTATACATAGCATTGAGTGGTAAGTAGATATATATATATAAGTATATATATATAAATTATATATATATAAAATTTTTGTAATTAAAAAAATAGAGACGAGGTCTCACTTTGTCACCCAGGCTGGAGTGCAGTGGTGTGGTGTGATCACAGCTCTCTGCTGCCTTGAACTCTTGGGCTCAAGGGATCCTCCCATCCTAGCCTTCCTAGTTGGGACTACAGGCACACACTACCACACCTGGCTAATTTTTAAATTTTTTGTAGAGATGAGGTTTTGCCATCTTGCCCATGCTAGGCTCAAACTCCTGGGCTCAAGTGATCTTCCTGCCTTGGTTTCCCAAAGTGCTGGGATTACAGGTATGAGCCACCACACCCAGCCATAACCTAGATATTAATAACACAACGGATTGGTTAAAATTGGTGAGCTATCAAAAAAATATGAGAAATTATTGTTAGGGCTAGATAAGGGCTAGATAGGGAGATAAAAAGTATGACAGAGAAGTTAAGCAATACAAAAGATAGAATGAACAAATAGAGGAGAGACAACATTTGACATATCATGGATTATAATTTTCCAAATATGATGACAGCCATGAATCCACAGCTATAGGAAGACCAACATATACTAAGCAGACTAAAATTCCACACCTAGACACATTCTTGTGTAATAGAACAAAATACTAAAGGCCAAAAGAAGATCTTAAATAAAAGCCAGAGAAAAGGATCACCTACAAAATAAAAACAAGTTGGCTGACAGGAGACTCCTTGACAAGGGAAACTAGACAACAATAGAATAATATCTTCAAACTGATTAACTTACTGTGTTCCAGGAAACGTACTTTCCCAGGAAAAGGGGCTAAATAAAGACATCTTCAGAGTAGCAAAGAATGAGATAATTTACAACCAATGGTTCTTAATTAAATGAAGTTCTAAAGGATGTAATTCAGGAAGAAGAAAAATTATTCCAGTAGGGAGTTCAGAAATATAAGCAAAAATGAGGAACAGAAATGTTACTGAAATGCTAGGGGTTCAATCTGGGTCCTGTTGCTCACTGCACAGAAAGCCAATCACTGAGACAACAAGCACTGCCAGGGAAGAAACTTTCATCAAGGTGCTGCAGCCAAGGAGAAGGGGAGGTAAGTCTTAAATCTGTCTTCTCAACTGACTAAAATTAGGGATTTATATAGCAGGGAAGAAATGTAACTATGTGTGGGAAAACAGGAATTAGGGAGCAGTAAGGAAGCAATCATGACAGATGAGGGGTCTGGTGTCTTATTATCTGGATGTGGTGATCTGGTAAGTTTCATTTCCTTGATACTATCTAGGAGGCCTGAGGATCAGTTTCCTGAGAAAGGAACTCAGATAAGACAAATGTAAATTTCAAGCTTTAAGACCAAGAGGGTCAATTTCTATGTCTATCCAAAGACCATAAGCATCAGTTATATGGGGATATTGGGCCAGTTTCAGAAATACCCAGTAAACATGAGGGTTAAACTGAGGTAAATGCAAACAAATATTGTCTGGATGTGACTTATAGTAACAATAATAACAATAATAATGTACAAATACAAACTGAAACCAAATGAGATATCATTTTGCTCCCACTAACTTAGCAAACACTAGGAAGCCTGACAATATCTATTTTTGGTGAGTATGTGGAGCAACAAGGACTCTTACAACATGAGTGAGGAGTGTAAATGGGTATAAAAACTTTGGAAAATAATTTGACATTATCTCATAAAATTAAGCATGCTTTACCACCATGCAGTACCCCAGGGAAATTCTTGCACATGTGCACCCATTGGCAAGTTCAAGAATGTTTATAGCATCATTGCTTGTAACAGCAAAAACTGGAAATAACCCAAATGCTCCTCAATGGGAGAATGTATAAATAAATTGTGGTCTATTTATACAAATGGACTCTGTGAAAATGATTAAAGTACAGCTAACTGATACAACATTAACAAATTTTAGGTAAATAACATTGAGTTAAAAAAAGTGACAAATTGTATATAGAAGATTGACCCCATTTTATGGAAGCTCAAAAAACAAACTAAAACTAAAATTTTAAGGATATTTACCTATGTGGTAAAGCTATTTTTTAAAACCAAGAGAATGATAAACACAAAATTCAAAATGATGGATCCTGCTGGGGTAGAGAGGAGAGGGGATGAGTAGAGGCACATAGGTGACTTAAAGGTATCAGACAAAGAGGGACAGTTCTTAAGTTGCATGATAGGTTCACAGGTATTTATGTTATTACTGTGCTTTATAACTGCTGTGGTTTAGATATGGTTTGTTTGTTCCCACCAAACCTCATGCCCAGTGTGGTACTGTTGAGAGGTGGGGCCTAGTAGGAAGTGTTTGGGTCATAGGAGTGGATCTCTCATGAAAAGGTTAATGCCCTCCCTTGAGAGTGAGTGAGCTCTCACTCCATTAGTTTCCAAGAGAGCCGATTGTTAAAAAGAGCCTGACACCTCTCCTCCCTGCCACTCCCTTCAGCCTGCCACTGCTTCCTCCTCTTTTTCCATGTGATCTCTGCACATGCTGGATCCCTTTCACCTTCTGCCATAAGTGGAAGCAGTCCAAGGCTTTCACCAGAAGCCAAGCAGGTGCCAGTGCCATGCTTCTTGTAGTCAGCCTTAGGTATTATTTTATAGCAACACAAAACAGACTAAGACGATAACATATGTGTCTTATACGTACATTGTATATATCAAGTATTACATAAAAAATAATAAAGAGTGGGAGTTGCGAGGCTGGCTTCCAAGTCAGAGTGTCTGGTTTTCAGTCTGGTCACTACTGCTTAAGTGGTTGTGCAACCTTGGGTAAATCACTTAATCTTTTTAAGTCTCAGTATTCTCATCCTTAAAATGGGAGCAATAATAGTTCCCACTTCATAGTTACTGTGAGGCTTATATAAGATAATACTCAGAGCACTTAATAAGTGTTCAGTAAATGTAAGGAGGAATTATTATTTTTACTTCTGAATTTACCCTCACAGTGGTCATTGTGTGTAATCAAGGCCATTGATTACCATCTGTCAGGGTGTCAATCCACTCATCTCCACCTTCACCTCCCCAGTGTATCTCACCTTTTTTGCCTTCATCTTTACCTTCTTCCTTCCACTCCCACCTCACAAGTAATCTCACAAATATAAACATGAACAGCATCAAGGGCTTGTCTGACAGACCATTTAAAGATGCTCTGTCTTTAAAGATGGTTGCCAAGAAGAGAATCTTAAGCATGAAAGGCCAGAATTTTCCTTGCTTTAGGGCTCAGCAGATCTGGCTATTGCTTCAGAATGTGTTTGGATGGCTTTCTTTGGTCCTTAATGAAACTCTGAGTGAGTAATATCTAAGTGATGCATACTTAAGGGCTCCAACCAGGATAGTCAATTGGATGAAATAAAATCAGCAAATATCCCCTCTAGGAAGATTTGGATGCTGATGGGATCTGAATGGGTTGTGAAAATCCCTCCTTTGGAGCTTGGATTCCCAATAATTAATGAACGTATAGTTGGCTAGGGCATTGTGAGAAATCCGGCTAGAATCCTGGCAGCAAAATCTTGAGCTGAAAGTGTCTGTTTTCATTATACCCTTGGGACTGGAGAAAAATAAGTACAAAGTTGCATTTTCCACTACTTTTTCTTTTCATTTTAGTTTCAGTACAGCACAGGCCAACTGCATTGGCCTTAGGGAATAGGTATTTTGCAGTATGTTTTGGAGTGCTTCCCTTTGTGTTCTTCAGAATTGCAGTTGGTTTCCTTGGCTAGAAACAAAGATGAAAGGAGGTGCTCATATCTAGCTGCCTCCATTCCCCGCCAAACCCTAACTCTCTAATGAAATGCAATCTACAGCATGATGACTAATGTAGTAATTCTGCCTGTGGCTGCTGGCTCCCAACCCTTTCTCAGGTTTTTGTCTTCCCTGGATGCTGTCATTGGATCATGTAATAGATTGATTTGTGTCCCCCTAAATAGATGTTGAAGTTCAAACCCACAGTTACCTCAGAATGTGGTAACTGCTTGGAAATAGGGTCATGCAACTTAATAGGAAAAGGGCAGTCCATTTAAAATGAGGGCATAGGCTAGGCCCTATTCAGCGTGACTGATGTCCTCATAAAAAAGGGAAATTCAGACATAGAGATAGACATGCACAGAAGGAAGATAATGTGAAGACACACAGGGAGAAAATACTCATGTAAAGATGGAAGATTGGAGCGATGAATGTACAAATCAAGGAATGCCTGAGGTTACAAGAAGCTAGCCTTAACCGCAGAACCACTTACTGAACACTTGTTAATACCACTGTGTGATGGGCTTTTGTATGAACTACCTATATTAGTCAGGGTTCCCTAGAAAAATAGAATCAATAGCTAAATGTGTGTGTATGTGTATAAATTTATTATAAGAATGTGTAAGAAATTGTAAGAAATTATTATAAGAAATTGCAAGAAATTGGCTCAGAACTGGATAAAATATGTTATAAAAACACATTTTTTTCCTCATGCACGTAAAGATATCCATTGTCCTGGATCTAGCTTTTTTCAGTTTACAGAATATCTCGGGGATCTTTCAACCTTAGTCTGGAATTGTGTCACTCATTTAAAAAAAACTGTCTTTGGGTGAACATTTAATTAATTTTTAGTATTTTACTATAATAAAAGCACAGCAATAAATATCCTTGTGTGTATGTTTGTTAGTTTTCTTGTTTTTTTTTGTTTATTTTTGTTTTGTTTTGTTTTGTTTTTGAGATGGAGTCTCACTCTGTAACTCAGGCTGGAGTGCAGTGGCACCATCTCGGCTCACTGCAACCTCCGCCTCCTGGATTCAATCGATTCTCCTGCCTCAGCCTCCTGAGTCACTGGGATTACAGGCACCTGCCACCACGCCCAGCTAATTTTTGTATTTTTAGTAGAGGCGGGGTTTTACCATGTTGGCCAGGCTGGTCTCAAACTCCTGACCGCAGGTGATCTGCCCGCCTTGGCCTCCCAAAGTGCTGGGATTACAGGTGTGAGTCTCCACACCCAGCCTATATGTTTGTATTTACTTAATGGATACATTATTACATTTCACACACATGTAGGTAAAGCTCATTGCTTTTAAACTAAATAAAAAATGGTTTAAAAATTGATTTAATTATCCTTAAGCCATGAACCAAAATATTCTCTTTTCCTCGGCCTGTCTCATTCCTTAATTTGCAGATGGACCACATCATCTGAACATGGGCCAATTTTTACACAGGCCCAAACACATACAAAAGTATTTCAAATCTTGGTTGATTGGTAGGAGGCATGACTAAAAATCAGACTGGTTAGATATGCTGGAGGAGATTTTAGAATGAGAAATCCCAGAGCCTCAGAATTTTATAGCTTAAAGGGATCTTAAGGTTCAGGTAGTTTTAGATGAGGCCCTGGAAGACAAACTTATCTGTGCTTGATCACTGAAAATAATCACTGGTCTACTGACTGATGGATAGATTTTTTTTTTTTTTTTTTTGAGATGGAGTTTCAGTTTTGTTGCCCAGGCTAGAGTGCAATGGAGTGATCTCAGCTCACTGCAACCTCTGCCTCCTGGGTTCAAGTGATTTTCCTGCCTCAGCCTCTCAAGTAGCTGGGATTATAGGTGCCCGGCACCATGCCTAGCTAATTTTTTATTTATTTATTTTTTTTTATTTTTAGTAGAGACAGGGTTTCACCATGTTGGCCAGGCTGATATTGAACTCCTGACCTCAGGTGATCCACCCACCTTGGTCTCCCAAAGTGCTGGGATTACAGGCGTGAATCACTGCACCTGGCAGAGTGATGGATAGATTTTAAGTTTAAGGTAGTAGTTGGAACTGCACTGTCCAATACAGCAACCACAAGCACTTGAAATGTAGTTTAAGTTGAGATCTATTATTAGATCACACTAATAGTGTAAACTATAAACAGGATTTTGAAGACTTAATACTAAAAAAAGTAATGTCTCAATAATTTTTTATATTGGTTGCATGTTGAATTGTTAATATTTTGGATCTATTTGGTTAAATAAAATATACTCTTAAAATTAATTTCACAGTTTTATTTTGATTTTTTAAAATGTGACCTTCAGAAAATTTAAAATTACATGTGTGGCTTGCATTTTATTTCTATGGAACAGTTCCAGGTTGGACTATTTGGGAAGGGAAAACCTACTTATTTGAAGACTCAAAGGGAAGACTTAGGTCAGAATAGGGAATAAATTGATTTTCTCTATTTAACATCTATTTCCTGTTTAGGATGAGAAAGTTTATTTTGAGGCTATTACATTTCATAATCTTCCCAGTATGTGTTCCTGTTTGAGGATGAATGTGGCATGCCCTTATTTTCACACTAGCTTTTACATTCCTTGCATGAATCTCTTGGTGATCGATTCATCAGACAATATGTCTGATTTAATATTTATCTGACCAGTTACTTCAGAAGAGAGAGATAAAATAGAACATGTTCAAGAAATTGAGAGGTTATTGTGCCTTTGCCAGTCATTCAGCCTGAGTCACAGGCTCATCTGAAAAAATACAGGAGGGGTCCCCAGGTATAAATTTAAAGATAAACAAATATTGCAATGTAAATGATTTTGTCACACAGCTACAGTGCAAAAAACTCACATTGCTTGTGTGTGTCTGTGTGTGTTTCTAACAGCTTTATTGAGATGTAATTCATATCCCATACAATTCACCCATTTAAAGTGTTTTTTTAGTATTTTCAGAGTTGTGCAGCCATCACTACAATCACATTTAGAACATTGTCATCACCCCAAAAAGAAACTTTGTAACTCATTATCTGTCACTCCACACTTCCTCCAAACCTCCCCAGCCCCTGGCAACCACTAATCTGCTTTATGTCTCCATAGATTTATCTATTCTTGACATTTCAAGATCCATTCATGTTGTGTCCTTTAAAGGTTCATTGACGTTGTAGCACATGTCAATACTCCATTCTTTTTTGTCATTGCATAATATTGTGTGGTTATACCACATTTAATTTATCCATTCACCAGTTGATGGACCTTTGGGTTGTTTCTATTATGTGGCTGTTATGAACAATGCTGCTATGAACATTCACCTACACACTTTTTTCTTTTTGTATCATTTCATATGTTTCATTTCTTTTGGGTACATGCCTAGGAGTGGAATCGCTGGGTCGTATGGTAACTCTATGTGTAGTTTGTTGAGGAACTGCTGGACTGTTTTTCAAAGTGATTGTACCATTTTACATTCCTACAAGCAATGCTTGAGGGTTCCAATTTCTCCACGTGCTCGCCAACATTTTTTTTCCTCTTGAGCATAGCCATCCTCATGGGTGTAAAGTGAAATCCGCTTGTGGTTTTGATTTACATTTCCCTGATGGCTACACATGTGTGTTTATAACACATTTTATCCAGTTCTGAAAGTCCACTCACCAGGCTGGTTATTCAGTATTAGTATTGGGGCTCCCTCCCCTCTGTCATTAGAGCATACCTTACTTCCAGATACAAATGTGGTGGGGGCCTACCGCTTAGTCCTTGTTGGCCACATCATTACCACTGCCCCTTTCCTCTGCTTGGTTCTACCATCAACAGCTTGTCTCCCACCGCGGACCATGTATTCTGCTTTCACACCCGTGGCTCTTACTGTGGACTCTCCCAGCACACCTCAGCTAGTGCCCCCATCTTGCCATTGCATGCAAGTGGAGCACAGGACCCGGCCTCTTGCAGAGACTTGCACCCCTCAGTCACTTCCTCTCAGGTGTGAAAATGAAACTTTCCATTACGTTCTCAGAACCCCTTTCCTTTTATGAAATTTAGGCCCACTGATTCTTCGAGGCTATACTTCAGAAAGCATGACTACATGTTATCTCTAGAGTAAGGAAGTCCAAGGCTTCCATGCATAAACGCTTACTCCTTGGTTTACGATAAGCTGAAAGCAATAGAGATAGTGTCTTGGATAGAATTCCCTAGAAGCAGAGTCCAAAACAGGGATTCAAATGCAGAAGACTTATTGAGGGAGTGTTCTTCAGAAACAGAATTAAAAAACTTAAAGGGGCGGCATGAAAGCAGGATAGGGAGAGGGAAAGAGAGCAAGGACGTTGCCTCAGGGGAAGCCTCACGTTGGTCTGATCCATAGGGGTAGACTCTAAAGCAGTGTTGGCCAGTAGAACTTACCATGATAATGGAAATGTTCTATAGAATCTGCACTGTCCAGTAGAGTTGTCACTGGCTACCTATGGCCATTGAGCACTTGCAGTGTGGCTAGTATAACTGAGGAACTAAATGTTTAATTAAATTTGATGTAAATTTAAATAGTTAATATGGCTAATGGCTACCACATCAAACAATGTAGTTATGGAGTGTAAACCTCAAGACAAAATTGAGGGAAGGGGATTGTCCTCTTGTGCTCTCAATGGTTGTGGGCTGCCTTGGCCTTGGTGGGAGGGTGGGGTGGGGCATAATTTCTGTAGTAAGTGTGTTGGCACCAGACATTCACACAGCTGGGGAGGGTGCACTGGGCCAAGCAAAGCGGGTAGGGGTGCACCACAGCACCTACTACAGGTTAGGTCTCAACAGGGTCATCCTGACATCCTATTTTAATCCCAGTTCACGATTTCTCCAAGAACTAATTATAGCCATAGAGTAACCTGAGGCCAACAACCAGCCATGCGCTTCATGCAGCAGAACAGCCTTCCCAACCCCCAAAGCTCACATCTCTGGCAATTTCTCTACTGGTTTGCTGGTCCCAAGAGGAGGATCATGATGTTTTGCATAAGCATACAAAGGAATGCAGAGATAATTTTTCTGTGGGCTTCTTAGTATTAGCTTTTTCAGCCATAGAGAGGAATTTATTTGAATCAACAATATTTACTACAGTCTCTCAGATGACTAGCCTCAGAGCTCTAAAAAAGAAGAAAAAAGAAAACGTTACCCTTCCTATGCTAAAATGTCATGGATTTGAAGTTATAAATGAGGAAACTCAAATTCATGTTTTATTTATAGCTATTAAACTTGATTCATGGTGTTGAAAAAACAAATTCAGCTTAATTTATGCAGGAATTAACTTTGGTGGAGATTAATTTTGAATCTGTAGCTCCTTCCTAATGTATATCATCTCTATTTGGCTTGCAGACAGAGAAAATAGTGAGTAAAAATAGAAATAAAAGCAACAAACTTCCAAAGAGAAATCCTTCGAATCCTTAAAATGAAAATAAAAAGATGTTTTAAAAATCAGAATACTTTTGGAGTTAGAATTTGGAATTAATTTAATGGTCCTTTCCATTGAATTTGGACATTTGGTACAGAGTTTTATATGGAAATACCTAAAATGGGTTGGGTACAGTGGCTCACACCTGTAATCCCAGCACTTTGGGAGGCCGAGGCAGGTGGATCATTTGAGGTCAGGAGTTTGAACCAGCCTGGCCAACATGATGAAACCTCATCTCTACTAAAAATACAAAAATTAGCCAGGAGTGGTGGCAGGCGCCTATAATCCCAGCTACTCGGGAGGCTGAGGCAGGAGAATTGCTTGAACCCAGGAGGCAGAGGTTGCAGTAAGATGAGATCACGCCACTGTACTCCAGTCTAGGTGACAGTGAGACTCCATCTCCAGAATAAAAACAAAAACAAAACCAAAGCCTAAAACAGAAGAAAATAAAAAATAAGACATTGGCATTTATTTATATGTATCTCTCTCTATATATGCGTGTGTGTGTATTTTAGAGACAATGTTTTTCTCTGTTGCCTAGGCTGGAGTGCAGTGGCACGATCACAGCTCACTACAGCCTTGAACTCCTGCGCTCAAGTGATCCTCCTTCCTCAGCCTCCCAAGTAGTGAGGACTACAGGCATGCATCACCATGCCTGGCTAATTATAATTTTTTTTTTTTTTTTTTTTTTTTGTAGAAATGGTGGTCTTGCTATGTTGCCTAGGCTGATCTCCAACTCCTGGGCTCAAATGATCCTCCTGCCTCTGTCTCCCAAAGTGCTGGGATTACAAGCGTGAGCCACCATGCCTGGCCAGTTTGGCACATATTAATACAGGGCTTGATAGTAAGGAATTAAGAACTCTGGAATGTTTAAACTAGTATTATACTTCCGTTATCTATGCCACATCTGTGTAGACTACCAGGTGTGTGTGTGTGTGTGTGTGTGAGAGAGAGAGAGAAAGAGAGAGAAAGAGAGTGAGAGAGTGGGAGGAATAGGAGAGTGTGCTTCAAGGTGGTTAAAAAATAGGGCTCTGGATTCTGCTATTTTGGTCCTTTTTCACCCAAGAGTGGGCAGAACCCTGTAGGTCTTGTCCTCTGTACCACTCTAGGAACCAAGGGTGGAATCTGATCTGTGTTTCCAGGTTGTCTGGATTCCTTGGCAGCTAATGGTGTGGTAGTCTGATTAAAGAATTGGAAACATCAGCCTCCTGAATGTAGAAAGCACTCGTTTTATTAATTTATTACTTCACACTGCATACTGTCATAAGGATTTGTGATAAAACTTACAATAAAGGGAAAAATGCCAGAGGTAAAAATAGAAGAGCCTATGATGCTCGTATATGGGTATGTGGCATATATATGTGTGTATATGATGTATGTGTATAAAATGTGTGTGCACATTGGGAGAGGAGACAGGTGAGAATGAGAGAAAGATGGGTCCAAAAAAAATCAAAGGGAAGCACAAAATATAGCTTTGAGCCTCTTGGAAGTCAAGGGAAAATGGGAACAATAGATCTCGTGCCTAATACAAGAAAGTGTATCAGCTTGCCAAGAGGAATTAATTTTGTTTTTGTTTCAGAATGTCATCTTTATTTTAATTTTTTTTATTATTATTTTTTGAAGTAGAGTCTCTCTCTGTCTCCCAGGCTGGAGTGCAGTGGTGCAATCTTGGCCCATTGCAACCTCTGCCTCCTGGGTTCAAGCAATTCTCCTGCTTCAGCCTCCCGAGTAGCTGGGATTACAGGTGCCCACCACCACGCCCGGCTAATTTTTGCATTTTTAGTAGAGATGGGGCTTCATCATATTGCTCAGGCTGGTCTCAAACTTCTGACCTCAAGTGATCCACCTGCCTTGGCCATCTTAATTTTTTTTGTAAAGAAATAAAACTATCTTTATTAAAAAACAAAAACAAATAACATAGTAGATAATGTCTTCCTTCCTTTTCTTTTCTTAGACCTCACCCATTTTACTTGCTGATGTTACCTGCCAGACCCTGGCTGACACTTGCATTTATGGCCCCTGATGCAGGGAATGCTGTTCAGAGCTCTTCACGCCTGCCTCTTCCTGTGCAAACCCTCAGGCCAGTCCAAGGGCCAGTAGGCAGGTAGAGAAAGAGACGGTGAGGTGGCCTCCACCCTTCCTATGGCAGATGACACCCTCTCTCTGCAGTTTATTAAGATTTCCATGACTCTTCTTTCCTCAGCCCCCTGCACCACTGTCACCCCAGCAGCCAGCGCCCAAGACTCCAGGTCATCTCTGGTGATGGGGCAAGGGAGGGTGTCTAGCAAGAAGGCAGCAAAAAAGTCTCCCCTGTACTTGTGGTCTTGTCTGCCAGTTTTTAATTTAAAAAATTGCAGGGGCATTCTACCAGGCCATGTGTTTTACTGGACAAAAGCAGAGAGTCTAATATTAAGTTGTTGTCCTGCAGATTATGTGTCCAAGTGAGTGATTTGGTTTGCTTCTAGCCTGTGTCCTTGGCAGTTGCATTAGTTCTGAAAGGGAAAAGAAATCTCTCTCCTTCACCAGCACTCCACAAAAAGCAAGGCGGGAAGCTTAGCCAAGTGCACAAATCTCTACTGTGAACTTTTCTGCCGCATGTGGGGAATTACTGGCCCTTGAAAGCCATCGCAGACAGATAAGAAGCAAGGTTATAACATGATTTGACACAGAGTTTTGAAGAGTCTCACTTAGAAATGTGGAAAGTGCAGCTTTAGAAGCACCATTTCAGGAGATTAAGATTTGAAATCGTGTTGCTCTATCTTGCCGTTTTCTTTTCACAGGCTTTTCCTTAGGTTTTGCCGTGGAGTCCTTTTTTCCCTTCCTTTCTTTCCCCAGTGTACACTCGAAGGTTTGCAATGCTTCACGCTTGAAGACTTGAGAAAAACTGAGTCAATTCAATCTGACCGACTTCATAGTCACTGGCTTCATGTGCATTTGCTTGCTGTGAAAAGAAAAGCATGTGAAGAAAAATATATTGCCACTGAATGAATGGATCTGTCTCAAATATAATTGCTCATTTTTACCTGTCCCTTATGTACAAACTCTTTCCAGCCACAGCTCTTCCGAATGGGCCGCACCCTCCAGGCCACTTCAGTGCTACACGCGGCCACACCAGCAACATTTTGCCAATGCCAGTGTCCTGGGTCTCTTCTCGATTCCCTGAGATTCCTGGAGCTGCTCACAAGGCTTGAGGCCCTGGGCTCTTGGCAGCTGAAACAAAACCTGAGAGAAACTCACTGGGTTTTGCAATCAATGTGCTGAAACATCTCCAGCAAGGAGCCACATCATCCCATTTCTGGTCACGCAGATGCTGGAGCTACTGGGCTCCTGCCCCGGGTTGATGGTCTTAGAGAACTTGAGATCAGATTCTGGTCCAGAGGGAAGAGCAGATTCAGTTTCCTGAGAAGAAACCAGGAAGCAGTGGCTAGCCTCATATTTTCTGGAGCAATCCTGCTTTTGAGCATTCTTATTTTGTGGTCTACAAGAATTATTTTGTCCATATTAGAGCATGTGGCAGGGTGGGCATGGGGAGGTGGAGAGGTTGGGGAAGATGTAGGTGTAGCAACTGACAGAAACTGATGTTGGGGAACTGTTCTGGGGAGGCCACTGTCACTATCAGGATACTGTGTTATTAAGAGGGCCACTGACAGGAACGGAAGTTAAGTCTGGTTTATCTGTTTAGCCCATTCTCAGTCTTGTCAGCTAAACAGAAATCAGGGCTCTGGTGTGTTGGTGGAGGAAGAAGAATGGGAGGATCTGGAGCTGGCAATACACATGAGGGCCTGAAGCTTTGGCAGCATTGCAATGGGTGTGATGCAGAACCAGAGGCTTTCAGGTGGCACTGGGGAGCTGGGATGGAGGTTAAGGGAGAAAGGAAGACCCAACAAAAGGAACGAGTAGGAGAAACTTTGCCTATTCCACTGTTTTGTTTAGGCCAACCTTAATCCCTGGGATTTAACTTCTGAATAATGAGTTTAAAAAGAACAAATAATATATGAAGATACTGATGCCAATGATGTGGCACATTGCTAGGGCCTTGGGTCAGTTCCTAGCAGTTTTGCTAGCATGCATGTTAGCAGGTGACAGGATAACCACCGTGACCCCAGAGGGTTTTGACAATCTGGACCTAATCTGTCTTTCTCAATTCATCTTTGTTTACTTTCCCATCAACCCATGCTCTTGTCTTTCTGAATTCTTCCCCATTGCCAGACACCCTGCATTTATACCGCTGTGCTGGGAGTATTCTCACTGCTTGGTAGACAACCATTTCTCTCTATTCTCTGGAAAATTCTTATTATCTATTCTTCACATTCCCTTTTGAGTTCCTTTTATATGATCTTTTCTAGCTCTCTAGATAAAATTAATCTTATCCCTCTCTGAACTTTTGTTTTTATTATATTATAACATATGTAGAATTATAACTCTTTCATCCTTGGTGTCTCTCTGCTAGATCATGTATGCTTTAAGGGAGGAGACCAAAGTTAAATCGAGTTGCCTTGCCTAGCATTAAACTAAATGAATGTCTGAGATATGCGGTACTCTCTCAGTATTTGGTAGGTGTTTCTAAAAGGGAAAGAGAATGGGAGTAGAGAAGCTCTGTCTCTGCTATCAGTGTTATGTGTTGGTATAAACATGTGTTCATTTAAACACACACACACACACACACACACACAGAAATATAGAAGTATTAATACTTACTCTGTGCCAGTTCCTGTGCTAAGAAATTGTACATGGATGTTTGTATTTAATCCTCACAAGGGTCTCTAATGCAGATAACGGTATTATCTCTATTTTAGAAGTGAGGAAATAGAAACAAGTAAGGGTTTAAGTGATTTATTATCCAAGGTCACATAGGTCACATAGCATCGATTCAAATTCAGTCTAACTCCAGAGCCCAAGACTTCATCTGTTATTATTAATTACCTCCGTTTGTCGCATCTCAGTGGAAACCGTCTCTCTTTTTTTAGCTGCTTGACTCCCACTTTAGGAGCTGAAAACTCCACACATTTTTTAGCCTCCCTTGCAGCTAGGATGCAGGTATGTGACCCAGGCTTGACTAAATGGATGTACCTGCTATTGCCTTTGAACTGGGAGCTGGTAACAGATAGAATCAGAGACAGCAGCAAATCCAGAGGCACGGAGGTGGAGCAGCACATTCAAAGTCCTGTGTCTGTGGCTGCCAGTCAACCTGTGATATCTGTGTTTAGCGTGAGGGGAGTGATGGTGGTTTCCCCATTAGATGGGTTAAGTGGTGTGATTTTAGTTGTCCACCTGCTGCCTAGCTTCCCTTGTCTGGCCTCCTTTTCTAAGCCTGGTTCCAACACTGTTGAAATGCCTTGAGCTATTGAACAACACAGCAACACATGCTTTTCTCTGCTTAAATCAGCTAGAGTTATTTTCTGTTGCTTGCGGTAAACAACTCTGACTGGTATAATATCCAAACTCATTATCTTGAATATAAGACTCTCACATACATTATTCTTACCTGGAAGAAAAAAAACACACAAGTAACCAGAATTTTGTGAATGTTCAACAGAGCAGAGGGTGAATGTGACAGATTGTGTATCATTAGGAACAATTTCTAGTTTATCCATCTGACTACTTACTTATGATTCATATGGCAATTTGCATGGATGGTTATAGGACTTTTTAGTATATTCTTACAAAACTCACGTCCAAAAAAGGACTTTTACCTTCCAGTATAATCTGACTCTGGGCTTTATAAATTTCATAATAAATTTTCCCTTTGAATGATCAGAAAGAAAAATGCTAAATATCTTTCTGGCTCATTATAGGCAAAATGGCTTCCTGAAATTGTAGTAGTTAAAAAATAAGATCACAGAGGAAGTTGAATTGCTGAATTATTTAATGTAAGCTGACTCATTAGAGCCTTAGCTTCTGAGATGGAAGAAAATATGATAGTTTACATAAAGGTTACTGATAAATTCCAAGATGAAATTCACTTTGAAGGGAGTAGAATGTTGCTGGGAGTAACTAATCCCTGTGGCATAATGCAATGAAGGAGTTGAGTTTACAGTTTGACAGGGGGTTATGATTACAAGGCATTTCTGAATTGCGGGAGAGGCCACTGCTTCAGATGGTCAAGTGGTCTACTGAGATGTCAGATATTAGACAGGAATAAACTTTACAGAGGCCAAGGCTTTGACCTTAGTAAGTCTAGACATGCTAATGTAATTATCATCACTCTAATCAGATTATAAAGTAAACACATGCTCTATAAAGCAAAGAATCTCATGGGGTTGTTATTTAGAAGATGAAGAAAAGCTGCTTCCCATCTCTCTTGGGAAAGCAACGGGAAGCAAATGAGTGGTTGCAGCATGAGGGATGTTGGTTTGATCAGTGGTTCTCAACTGGGGATGATTTGGCAATATGTGGAGACATTTTTGGTCTATTACAACTGTGGGGGTGGGGAGGCATCTGGCATTGCTACTGGCATTGAGTGGGGAGATGTCAGGGTTGCTGCTGAACATCCTGCCATGCACAGGACACCCCTATAACTAAAGAATTATCTGGCCCCAAATGTCAAAAGTGCTGAGGCTGGGAAACTCTGGGCTAGAAGTAAGAAATAACTTTTTGAATCTGAAGTGATGTAAATATAAGAATAAGGTTATAGGCCCAGGACTACTACGGACCATGTGAAACACCTGCTTCAGGGAACAAAATTTGAAAGAGTGCCCCACATCTCAGTAATAAAGAAAAATAATATTTAAAAACTCAAATTCAATGCAAAAAAATCCATGGTGGACAATCTATCAAAATTTTAAATAAAGACAGGATTCAACAGAGATAGGATTACGGTAGGGAAGTTAAAATGTTATTTATCTTGATTACTGAAGCTGTGGGCACCCCCTACCTTAAATTTTGTGCTCGAGGTAAGTGCCTCAGCTGCTTCACACTAGCCCTGGCCTGTTGGATCATCAATGGCAGAACACCATTTTAGCTAAAAGGTAATTTGGCTTGATTATTACAAATGAGGGGTGTTCAAGCCTGGTGAAAGTAAATGAGAAGATTCAGCTGTAGAATTTTAGACTTTAGTGAATATATTAAGTAAGGAAGCAACCCCCATGTTGAGCTGCATAGAAATTCCCTAATACGGGTTTTTAATCTCTGCGATTTATAGCCTGGCTTTGATTATCCAAGATTATCTTCATTATGAGTGGTAATGTATGGCTGGCATCCCAAAGAGACATGTGGCATTAACCGTGGTCTGTATCAATACGTTTCTGCTACAACTCAGCCTTCCAGAAAAATAACCACTGTATGACTCTTCCATTTTACTTACCAAGTAAACCATTACTTCTCATCCTCTCCTCTCCACAATCCCACTTCACCTCAAAACCAATTTAGCATTCTTTTCTGCGTCCTATTGATATTGACATTATTTTATATTACTTGCACCCTCCCCCCTAAAATGCCTTATATGGATTTTTTAAGGGGAGGATTTTTCCTCCCCTTAAAATTTAACTCAAAATATTTTTCCTTCTAATAAATTGGGGAAATTGTCTAAGTTCTAAGTTTCTGTATGGGGGATATAGAGTACTTATAAAATAATGCTGACCCCCTCAGAAATGCCAGATAAAAGTTTCAAAGATAATTTACTATTCTGGGCAGGGCAGCATAGACAGTTATAAAAAATTACGGTAATATTACTAATTAGGAGAAATGTAGTCTTGGATCTATACCAGAACAAACAGTCTAACCATCATAGATTGCCTTCCATTAATTTCCATCTATGAGTGTCTAGCCTATTAGAGTGCCTGCATTCAGCAAATGTGGTTGTACATAAAGTAACTAGATATGGGACCTACCACTTACCACATCTTATCACTGAATCTAACTGACATATGTATGATTGCTTTTGATCTATGCTATCTTTATCTCAATGCAAATCTCAGCTTCCTATCTGCTATTTTAAAAAATGCTTTCATCAAAGAATAGCAACAGGTTGGGCTGAATTATAGGGTTTGAGTTTAGCATTTTTTTAAAATTCTGTTAGAAACAAAGCAACATCAAACATGGGCTGCTTCTTTCAAACCGCATAGTCATTGCTATCTTGATGAGCTAATTTGTGCTTATTTCTTAAAAAGAAGAGGGAGGGAAAAAGTGTTAGATGGGTAGATAAAGAATAATTCTAATTTAATTTATATTACCAAAGCTAGACATATCCAAATGTTCTCTCTCTCTCTTTTGGTACAGAGGTGAATGGGAGTCTGCTTAATGCTTAAGCAAAAAGTACACTTGATTGTTTCAGATTTAGGACTTTTCTGAGCTGCTTGGATATACAAGGCCATAATTACCTTGCAGTGGAAAATTCAAATCCACCAGGACAGGCCAGTGTTGAGTATGAAGTGGAAAGAGTGTTGCCCTGGGGTAGAAGTCCTGCCGTTCCTTTGGGATTATGCATTTTGACCAAGGACAGGTCATAGAATATAAGTTCTATGTTCCTAGGTTTTCTTTTTCACAAAATGATGATAAAAATGCTTAGAAGTTCCTTTGCAATAAACTGTCCACATGAATATTAGATTTGTGAGCTACGTTTTGTTCTATAGCAGAAAAGAAATTATGTACCCTGGAGAATTTTAGTTAGATCTTCGGAAAGAATGGATGGAAAATTGAAACTAAATGGGGTGTGTATTCTCTTTTCTATATTGATGTTCTCTAAACAAATGTTATAACACCTATTTTATTTAATCTTACAAACATATACTGAACAAATGAAGAAGTCAGTGAATAAATCAAGAGAGCACTGCAAATACTAAGAATCGTTTCATAAAACTTTGGTCTTAGTCATACATAAAGTCTAGGCCACGTGTATATCTTACTGTGGTTTCTGCTAGTCACTGCTGATGAGAGTGTCATATAACAATTTGAATAGAAACATATAATTACTTAAATAAGCTATTCATCACAGAAGGCATAAACATAGCATTTAAATATTTTCTTTTTATCATTCTACTCCCTGCATTGCAATATAATGTCAGCTGTTTAAAAACAACCCCCTCCATTGCACTATTTTGTTTGCTCTTGTGTGTATTTGAATTTTTTATAATAAAAATGTTTTGAAAACCTCTTACCCCACTGTCCTATATTTTTGTTTATGTAAAGAAATCAGGGAGAGGCTCATCTTTACCTCTAACTCTTTAAGACAAACCCTTTAAACAGAATCTGGACCATCTCAGGGCTCCCAGAGGTCTGCGCCTGAAGTTGCATCTTCTGTTCAGGTCTCTGATTCAGATTATGTCTATAGGATGGAAAACAATTCATTAACATGTGTAGTAAGCCAGCACCTTCTGAACAGACAGTTTCACTTGCAGTGTTCTCATAGAATGCTTCCATGAGAAGCATTTTTTTTGGTTTGGGGGGCGCAGCTATTTCAAGCAGCTCACACAAAAAAATTGGGCTCTAAAAAATGAGTTAGAGGTTGCTTGTTATAATGAACTCACTTTTTTCTTTTTTATAGGTATCGGTAGAAAATCAAAGTGGGGGGTGATACTCACGTTTGCAAAACAGCTGTGGAGCCATGGACGGGGCATAGTTCTAGGTGCTTTCATTCATCACCTCGTTACTCTACACGGCAACCTGGGGTGGTTGGTATTATCAGCCCCACCTTACAAGAGAGAAGTGAGGCAGCTGAAGTTCTAACCCTATCAATTCTGGTAAAGAGCACCACAGAGAAACCAAAATATGGTTAAAAGCTTTGTGAGGAGATAGACAGCAGTATACTTATGACGGGCGACAGGATGACAGGAGTCACCTGCTCTGAGAGAACGCTTGTGACCCTGAAGCGCTCAGTTTGGCCCACCCAGGGCTAGAAGCTGCCTTTGTTATTCAAGGACTCTGGGTTTCACACAAATGGCATATCCTTTGGTGGGGGCTGAGAGCCCCTAGAAATGGATCATTACCATCAGAAGCGATGCCTTAGCACCCACATGTGCTACATTCATTAGAATAACCTGCATCCCCCCAGTCCCTGCAAAGTGAGATGGCTGGGTTCAAACAAGGTTCTGTAAAAGTTAGATGTTTGGGTCTGACAAACCATACTGATGCGAGTTTCATAAAATAGATCAACTCACTGGATAGACATCAACTATGTAAAGGAAGTAAGGTGTTGTGTTTACAATGACTCTTTTCCTAAAACATAGATTAAGCTTCCATAAGTTTGCTTTGACAGTGGTAAAATGCAATTGCCAGAGGTTGAGCCAGCTAATCAATGTAATCTCTGTGCTCCTTTAAACACAAGGAATTGTTCTTTTCATAGTTCAGCCCTGCTCCGATGACTTCGCTATTCCCCTTCGAATGAATGTGTAGGCTAAATACATGCAGCTTAACTTTGTGTGATACACACTATTAGATAAGCACAGAGGGTCAGGATCTCATTAAGATGGGGTGGGTTGGAGAAGCCATTTCCACTTGACATCATAATAGCATTAGACTGGAAAAGTTATTCAGATCCATGCAGAGGACACATGGACTTCATTCAAACCCAGTAAGTCTGGCTGTTTGAAACAGATTCCTTTAAGGAGTCTATCCTGTTTGTTTATTTGGTATGTAGTACTACATATCAAACCCTAGAAAAGGAAAAAAAAAACATTGGAAGTATTTAGTAAAGTGGAGCCAAAAGAGAAAGAGCAGAAAACAAAAGGTGCACCATGAAAAGAAAGGTAAAGACAAGGACAAAAAGTAGGAGAAAGTAAAAAAATTTCTGTTTAAATTTGTTAATTTATATTTTTAACCTACTTCAGGCCTGAAGTTCTGCTATAGCCCAGAATATTTATTCCAAAGATAAATGAGTAAGATTGACTTATTTATATAGTCTCTCTCTGTCTTTTTTTTTTTTTTTTTTTATGACGGGGTCTGGCTCTGTTGCCCGGGCTGGAGTGCAGTGGCAGATCTCAGCTCATTGCAACCTCTGGACCTCCTGGGCTCAAGTGATCCTCCCACCTCAGCCTCCCCAGTAGCTGGGACTACAGGACTACAGGCATGAGCTACCACGCCTGGCTAAATTTTTTTTTTTTTTTGTAGAGACAAAAGTTTTACCATGTTGCCCAGGCTGGTCTTGAACTGAGTTCAAGCAATTTGCATGCCTCAGCCTCCTAAAATGCTGAGATTACAGGTGTAAGCCACTGCACTCGGCCTATAGTCTCATTTTAAAGACATATTTTCTAGTAGCTTTTTCAACATTCGCTCAATGTGTCATTTTCATTACGATTGTTCATACTATGTGAAACCCAAATAGTAAGTTGATCTTCAAGCCTTAATAACTGATTTCAAATAATTTTCCAAATAGGCAATGATTTTTCTTACTGAAAACATTTCCTCCATTATTTTCAGTAGTGATCAATATCAGGGAGAGAACTTATCTACATCCTGAAACCAAAAAGAACTTAGGTCTGTTAAATTCTGATGATCAGCATAGATGGCCACAGTTTATTTAAATACCATAGATCTTTGGGTCTCAAAATGTTGTCCTGAACCAGGTGTCACTGTCACCTGGGAACTTGTCAGAAGTGAAAATTCTCAGCAACCTGCCCCACACCTGATGAATCAGAAACTCTGGGGTGACAGGGCAGCAAGCTGTGTTGCGGCAAGCCCTCCGTGTCCTGGTGCATGCTCGAGTTTGAGAACCACTGCATTTGTGTATTCTCAGTGGTGGTTTTATTTTCTAACCACGTTGTTTCACTGCATGGATAAGGTATACAAACCAGGTCAGCTGTATTCTAGGAAGTTCATCTATTCTGCAAAGGCTGAATACACCTTGCCCAATGCTGCCTCTGATGGGCAGTGGAAACCTGAAACCTGCAGAATATTTCTGGCAAACAGGTCATATTTTCCATCATTATTCAGTACTTGCTTACTAAGGATGAATTTCCTTAACATAAATTTGAACAAATTTATTCCTTGAGATGGTAGATCCACTTAAAAGGGTGTAAATGACAGTGCCAACAACAATTAAAAGTACTTGCTTCACCTAACTAAAACATGTGGTTTCTTGAAGCTGAAGCAGTCATTTTTAATGAGCTGAGTCTCTTCTTGGAATCACAGTATGATACAGAATAAAAATGTAAAAGGGTCTTTATTATGTCCTCACTCTTGTATGACAGAGTGTAATGAAGACACTTTCAAATAAAGGCTTTGAGAGTGTGCCATTCATAAACCCTCTCTGAAAGAGCTTCTAAAGGATGTACTTTATGAAGGACACTGAATCCAGAAGGAAGAAAAGGGATAAAAGAAAGCGTAACAACAGCAATAACAACAACAACAAATGTGTACTACCACAGCTACAGCATTTTTGGAGAGACAACTGTCTTTCCCTTCTTAAATTTCTCTCCACAATCCCAATGGTGGAAGTTTAAATTTCAGACACAGAACAATGTGCTACCATTGATTGAGCGTCTACTCTGTACCAGGCTGTAAAGGATTGTGATATCTATGTGAACATATTGTGTGAATCCCCAAATAGTGACTTGATCTTATCTCATTCATGCTTCATAATCAACCTATGGGGTAGGTATTGTTTTATACATTTAGAAGCTGAAGCTGAGAGAAGTTAAGGAACTGGCCCAAGATCACACAGCCAGGAGGCAGCAGGGTCAGGGTTTGACCCAGGCCTACCTGATGATATTGCTCAGGTGTTTAACTGTCAGTCTAGCAATGTCGAAGATAACTAAGACTCCAAATGCTAAGTAGCTTTTTGAAATAAGCTGTAGAGCTCTTCTATTTTTACTTATTTATTTTTTTTGAGACAGGGTCTTGCTCTGTCTCCCAGGCTACAGTGCAGTGGTTCAGTCTCGGCTCACTGTAGCCTCAACCTCCCAAGCTCAAGTGATCCTTCTGCCTTAGCCTCCCAAGTAGCTGGGACTACAGGTGCCCACCACCACACTGGGCTAATTTTTAATTTTTATTTTTTGCAGAGACTATGTTTTGCTATGTAGTCCAAGCTGGTCTTGATCTCCTGAGCTCAAGCAATTTGCCCGGCTCAGCCTCCCAAAGTGCTGCGATTACGGGCGTGAGCCACTGTACCCAGCCATGTAGAGCTATTCTTGACCTCATATTGCTTTATCAAAAAGAAAAGAAAAGAAAAGAAAAGAAAAGTACCCTTAAAATCTGATGACCTACAAATGGCCAATAACACATGAAAATATTCTCAGCATCATTACTTGTCATGGAAATGCAAATTAAAGCCAAAATGAGATATCAGTATACACTCAATACAATGGCTAAAATCTACAAACTGACCATGCCAAGTGTTGGTGAGGGTGTGGTTGAAGGTTCTGATTTCTGTCAGATACCCACACTACCAAGGTCAGTGGCAACAAGAACTGACACAGGTGTCAGTCTCTCCTCATGGTCTTCAACTGATGTGTGAAGTCCAGTCTATTCCTAACCTCCCCCACTGTACATCCATCTTCCCTCCTGATGGCCTGCCCTGTGAATTTCAAACTCCAGGACAAGATATAGAGACAACAACCTTAGAAAATAGCAAAACTTTTAACCAGCTTCTAACAATTACATGCTGCCAAACTCTTGTAACGAATCCCTAATTCTAGATATATCTTCTGGTGGTCCTGTTTTTCTGGTTGAATCCCGACTTGATACAGAATTTTCATTGGAGCCAAGTCTAACCCATGGCCTGCTTTTGTATGGCACTTGAGTTAAGAATTATTTTTACAGTTTTAAAGTGTTGTAAAATAAAGAAGGACATGTAACTGACACCATACGTGGCCCACAAAGCCTAACATGTTTATTTACTCTTTGGCCTTTCACAGGAAAAGTTTGTTGACCCTTGATGTAGGAAAGGTAGTCGTATAAAATGGTATGGCTACTTTAGAAAACAGTTTGACAGTTTCTTATAAAAATAAACATACACTTACCATGTGGCCCAGCTATTCTACTCTCAGGTATTTACCAAAGAGAAAGGAAAATATATGTTCATACAAAGACTTGTACCTGAATGTTCATAGCTTTTTGACTCATTTATTCACTCAAAAAAAAATCATGCTGTTCACACTAAGAAATAGTCTTGGAAAAGAAAGAAAACAAACAAAAAAACCCATCATTCTGTGTGAAAGAAGACAGACAAAATAGTGCCTATTGTGTAAATCTATTTACGTGAAGTTCTAGAACTGGCAGTATCAATCTACAGTAATAGAAGCGTAGTGGTTGGCAGCCATAGCTGTAGAGGGGATTGGCTGGAAAACGCAAAAGTGAACTTTCTGGGAAATGTTTTATAGCTTGATTGGGATGGTCTACATGTTTGTCAAAACTCATTGAATTGCACAGTTGAAATGTATGCAATTTATTGTATGTAAATTAATCTTGAAAAAACTATTTTAAAAAAATCTGATGACCTAAAGCACTTTCCTCCTTGGTTCCTCATGATATATTCTCAGCTTTCAATACATTTGGTGTGTATACACACCGCACTGGTTTTTAGCCTAAACTTCCTCTTTCAGTCACCTGTGTAGTCTATAACAGCAGTCCCCAACCTTTTTGGCACCAGGGACTGGTTACATGGAAGACAATTTTTCCATGGACTGGGTTGGTGGGGGATGGTTTTGGGATGATTCAAGTGCATTGCATTTATTGTGTACTTTATTTCTATCATTATTACATTGTAATATATAATAAAATAATTACACAACTCACCATAACGTAGAATCAGTGAGAGCCCTGAGATTGTTTTCCTGTAACTAGATGGTCCCATCTGCAGGTGATGGGAGACATTGACAGATCATCAGGCATTAGATTCCCATAAGGAGCATACAACCTAGATCCCTTGCATGCACAGTTCACAATAGGGTCCATGCTCCTATAAGAATCTAATGGTGCTGCTGATCTGACAGGAGGTGGAGTTCAGGTGGTAATGAAAGTGGTGAGGAGCAGCTGTAAATACAGAAGAAGCTTCACTTACTCACCTGCTGCTCACCTCCTGCTGTGCAGTTTAGTTCCTAACAGGCCACGGACTAGTTTCAGGAGTTGGGGACCCCTGGCTTAAGCAACAGAAATGTGTGGTCTCACAGTTCTGGAGGCCCAAAATCTAATATTAAGGTGTCAGCAGGATTGGTTCTTTCTGAGGGCTGAGAGAGAATCTGTTCATGCCTTTCTCATAACTTGTGGTTTGCTGGCAATCTTTGGTGTTCTTTCACTTGTAGAATCATCACCCCAATCTCTGCCTTCATGTTCAATGGCATTCTCCCCATGTTCATGTCTGTCTCTGTGTCCAAATTTGCTCTTTTAATAAGAATACCAGTCATATTGGGTTAGAGTCTACCCTAATGACTTTATTTGACTTGATTACCTCTGTGAAGACCCTATTTCCAAATAAGGTCACATGCACAAGTACTGGATGTTAAGACTTCAACATCTTTTGTGGGGACACAATTCTAGGAGTTGTTTACAAATTAATGTAGGGATATGGGGTTTGGACTTATAAATGTGGTGATCTCAACAAGTCCCACTGTCTTTCAAGCCACAAGTCTTTGGAATTCTCTCCTGTTTTTCCTGCCTACTATGTTATTTTGATCTAGGTCAAGGTTTATTATGTAAGCATAATTAATAAATTGATTAGGGTTTAAGGCAAATGTTTAGATAAAGACAAACGTTATGTACTCAATGTTCAGCTATACTGTTCATTCATTCATTGGTTTACAATTAAGGACATAAAGTAAATACCACCTATTTAGAAAGGATCCTTTATCTGAAATACTATGGTGGCTGTAGTTGCTTTGGCAAAGTCTATTTTTAAGACCTCCGAAGCTATAGTAGCCATAGCTCTACCAATAAACTGATGACAATTTTTTAAATCAATATAATTTTACTTCCTCTTTCACAATGGAAAGTTTCTCAAGGCTAACTTTTTTTGTGTACATTTTTATTTTTATTTTTTTTAATTTTTTGAGATGGAGTCTTACTCTGTTGCCTGGGCAGGAGTGCAGTGGTGTGATCTTGGCTCACTGCAACCTCTGCCTCAAGTGATTCTCCTGCCTCAGCCTCCCGAGTAGCTGGGATTATAGGCACATGCCACCACACACAGCTAATTTTTGTATTTTTAGTAGCAATGGAGTTTCCCTATGTTGGCCAGGCTGGTTGCGATCTCCTGACCTCAGGCAATCTGTCTGCCTTGGCCTCCCAAAGTGCTGGGATTACAGGCGTGAGCCACCACACCCAGACTCTGTGTACCTATTTTTAAATGAAATATTTATTCATTCTAAAATTTTCTAATGAAAGAGCAGAAACATTTTTAATCAATGAAATTGTGTCTGCCATGCTTCTTCCTTTGTATTTCTTACCTTTAACGTAATATAAATTTTTCGTAGAATATTTGAGAAATAGAATTTAAAAACATCACTCAAATATAATTACCTTATATAACTATATATTTTTTTCTGAGTTTCTCTACACGTTACATTTAGTTGTACTGATTGAACAGAACATATTCTTTTTCCTTCAAAATACAGATGTATTTCTTCTGGCCAACAATTGTGTTATAATAACATTTCTACTATATTTTTGTTCATGCTGAGAAAATGATGTCAGAATTCTTTATATTAACTAGTTTATATACATTTTATAGACTTTTTTTGTATGATAGCCAAAAAGATGAATCTGATCAATCAACTAACCAGTCAAAAACTAGATAGAATTATAGAAACATACCAGGCACAGAAAAAGACACGAGAGAGGCAGAAAAGAGGTCATTGTCCTTAAGAACTTCAAAATCTAGTTGAGTAATTTACAAAGGAAGTGCCAGATCTGGACACAGATTGGATTCCCTGCTGCATTTATCTGCACATTATATTTTTATGCCACCTCCTTTGAATTGCTATTAGATGACTGCAGCTATGGTCAAGGACACTGATAAAAGTGAGAGTGAAAAGTGAGTAATAGAGAAATCACCCTGGGGAGGGTCCCCCAGGGCAGTTGTATGTTGGCCACCATGGGAGAGATTCAGTGTGACTTGATCCTTTCAAGATTTTTGTCCCTAGGGCTAATAGGTACTTGGGGAATGAAGTGAACATAACACTAATAAGTTAGTGAGTTATCATTTATTACCTGATATGAAGGGAATAAAATATGTTATTGACATAAGACATAAAAACAGAGGTTTCTCCCTCATTTGGAATTCAAGAAACACTCATCAATAATGGTTGCTAATAAAAATAAGTTTCCACTACCAACCTTATAAAACAAAGCAAAATAAGCAAATAAAACCATAGAACACTCTACTTTTCCTTTACATAAAATACTTTGTTTCTGACTGCAGAGAATTAACTATGTTATCAATGAGATTAAGCCAATTTTTGGTAATTTAGATTTTCAAACCCATTATCTCTTATACACAGATGCAAGTATTTTACTCTAGGGATAGGGGCTTTACAGAAAATCTACCAAAGGATGGGGCCCTCTTCATTAATAGCTATTTATTTTCCAGTTAATAAAGATCATAGCATACACTGCACCACAGCACAGTACATTGTATAAATTACTACAAATGTCTCCACTTAAAGATTGCCAGGGCCAAGCATAATGGCTCACGCCTGTAATCCCAGCACTTTAGCCTGGGTTTCTGTGTTCTTCCCTTTTGGATAGCCTGAAAAAACAAACATAAAGGTATCAGAATGATCACATTATAACTGGGTAAGGGCCTGTGTTGAACTTCCCTTAGGCCTGAGTGTAGGTTTATGTACATCCCTGCCTTCTATGGAAACATAACTATGGGAAGATTGAAAGTTGGCCATTTTTGTCATCTGTTTCTGGGAGTCTTTCTTATGACACAGTGCTCCACAGAAGGAAGAAAATCTCTGTACATAGTTTGTGCCTCTTGTTTGCATCTTTCTTGAGTCTTTTTTCTTTTTTAATTGGCTGCCAATTCTCATTAGCTGCTTTATTTCTTCAATTCTTTATATATTTATATTACAGGAAAAGTAGAAACATAAGGTTCTTTGCCTTCCAAATATTACCGGTGTTCCTATAGTTATAAGGTTATGTAGGCCATTTTGTTAAAAAAAAAAAAACTGACTACTTAGAAAATTAGCCTGCCCTCCAACTTCTCTCCCATCTTCACTCTAGAGTCTATCATCTTTTAACAGGCATTTTCCTTTCAAGTGCTATGAGAAGGGGTGGGGAGCACATATTGACTACGAAGTGCAATCATAAATATTGCAAAGGATGTTAGACTTCATTTAATTGAGCAAAGTGATGGACAAAATGGAAAGTCATAGACAGTGAGGATATGGCAGACTCAAGAGCAGTTACTGTTAAAGAAGAGAAAATCTACGAGGATTATGACAAGGATTGTGTGCTTTCAAGAAAGGAAGATTTGTGTTTCAGGGGATTAAGAGAGGCTCTTGGGAAAATTGGTACAGCCTTCACATATTTCTGCAGAGATGAATCTCTTTATGACTGTGCTGCTAAACTGAATGAAGAATATCATATCAGGTCATCTAATAATTTTTAATAAATTTTATTTTAGAATAATTTTAGATTTATAGTGCAAAGATAATACAGAGTTCCTGCCTATCCCTTATCTAGTTTTCTCCAATGTTAACATCTTAAATTACCATGGTATATTTGTCAAAACTAAGAAACTGACATTGGTATATTACTATTAACTACACCCCCGATTGTATTCAGATTTCACTGATTTTTCTCCACGAATGTCCTTTTTCTCTTCTAGGATCAAATCCAGGCTACAGCATTGCATTTAGCACCTAACAATTTTGTCATAAAAATTTTATATAACAAAAATCCCAATCAACATTTGATTCAGTCTTTATTTATTTTAATAATTAAAGAGTTGCAGTTATAACCAGAATTTTGTTAAATGATAAATTTTTAGTAATATCTTAAATTTCAATTTTCAAATTGGAGTACAAATCAAATCATTTCTTATACAAGCTACTATGAAATTTTGCTTCCCATTTGTAAAAAAAAAAACTTTAATTGACTTCCATCATACTCACTCACCTTGGACAACTACAAAAATTGTTAGAAGTGCTTTATTAAAATATTTAAAACAACATGTTATGAGGATCTATGGATGAAAAGAATAAGTGAGTTTGATTTCTGCATAGTCAGTGGAACTCTGTAATATGCAGTCTTTGAGATATACAAAATAATTTAATAAAGCAAAATAGTTTTGATGCATTATAGAAGCCTCAGATGAATACCCCGATAGTACTGCATTATCAGATGTTCATTACTCTCTTGTTGCACAAATGTATACCTTCAAACAGGTATGCAGCATTATAGAAAAAAAAGAGTCTTTCATTAATTTCAGGAGTATTCAGAAATGGCTCTGGTTTCCTAATTAAAAGATAAATTGAATCTAACAGAAATGAGCTGCAAATGACTGCTAGTAAGCTTGAGAGTTAAATTTATAAAAAGCCTGTGACTTTTAATGTATTAAAAAGTGAAAGAAAGACTTGCTCTTGACTTCACTAAAAACAGCATGTCCTTAAAGATTGTAAGTACTGATAGGATTTTTCCACTAATAAGCAGAAGGCTCTTTTGACATTTTAATAAGATTATATTCTTATGTTCTTTTGGACCAAGATTAATATTATATTGTTCTTTGAGTAAGATATTTTTTCTTTGTAAATGTTTGTGTCTTCTAAATGCAGTCATTTTCAGAATTTAAAAAATTCACTTTATACAGGATCTATAATATTATTTAAAGATAAATTCCCCAGTAGGACTTACATACACCCAAAAAACGAAAACAAACTTATCCTGTAGAAATAATTCCTTGTACTTCAACAATGTCACTTTTAGACCATGCTCCAGTGGATAGGTAGCTTATATATTGGAAGTAAAGCAAATCTAAATTTTTTACTTTGATAAAATATTCTCATTATGTCTTAGAGAATTAACATTTTCCAAGAAGCCAAACTCACTTCTCCGTTATATATTTTTACTGAATGTGGCAGTTAGTACCATCAAATTGTTGTGTGTCATACAATTGTTACGGATTCAATTGAATGCCCCCAAAATTCCTATGTTGAGGCCCTAACCCTCAATGTGACTGCATTTGGAGATAGGGCCTTTAGGAAGTAATTGAGGTTATATGGCATGTAAAACTGGGGCCCTCATCCAGTAGGACTGGTATCCTTATGAGAAGAGGAAGAGAAACACTGAGATCTCACTTACTCTGTGCATGTGCAGAGGAGAGGCCATGTGAGGAGGACATGGTGGGAAGGTGGCCATCTGCAAGCCAGGAAGAGAGGCCTCATCAGAAACCAACATGACGGCAACTAGATCTTGAACTTCTATCCTACAGAACTGTGAGAAAACAAATTTCTGTCGTTTAAACCACCCAGCCTGTGGTATTCTGTTATGGCAGCCTGAGCAGGTGAATACAGCAATATATGTTTATTTCTCTGGAGCCTGAAGGGTTCGGCTAAGTTGTACTACCTGCTGATCTTGGCTGGGTTCACTCATGTACCTAGGGAATGGGCCATGAGTCAGCTGTGAGTTGAGGGTCATCTTGGCTGGACAACTCAGGTTTGTTCCATGGGTCCCTCATCCTCCTGCTGGGACACTGTGCTAGCTGGGCTTATCCTTCTTACTGGGATGGCAGAAGCACAACACGGCAAGTCCACATTTTTAAGCCTCTTCTTGTATCACATCTACTATTACCCCACTGGCCAAAACAAGTGAAGTGATCAAACTTGGAATCAAGGGGTGGGAAAATATACTCTTCCTGCTGATGGGAGGAACAACGAAGTCATATGGCAAAAGACATAGTCAAAGAGAGGGCTGAAAGCTCATCAGTCAATGAGCTGTTTGTTTAAACTATTTGATTTTTTCATAACAGTGGCCTAGCTTACCTACAATGCTGAAAATTCAGTAGAGCCTGGCCTTATAAGAAATCATATAAAAACATTTTCAAATCCTTAAATTTATAAGATATAGCACCTAATTATTGGCATAAAATTTAGGAAAAACATTACTGAGAACTGTAATCCCTCCACCCTGACTTCAGCCTTTTAATTGTTTTATAACTCCTACACTGGTGGGAGTTTAAAAAAAAAGGTTAATATGTGGTGTGAAACTTTGCATAGGAAACACACGATGTTTTAGAAAGGATTCAACAGCAATTCAGACTTGTACAAACTTTTTTTGTGAAATTATTCATGTGATAAACAATTTTGGCACTAGCTAGAATCATCAGTAGATAATTCTTCTGTATATGTGAACTCATTTATGTCTTAGATTTAGCTAATATGGAATTCTACATTACATTTTCTGATTTATCTACAAATCATATTTTCATACTAAGATTTATCCTTTAATTACATTTTCCATTTGATCTCTTCACTTTTACTACTTGCACCAGCAGCTAGATTTCTTTCTGGGGTCATTGTTCACACACACACACAAAACAATATTTATATTTTTCTAGAGCTACAACATATGAGATGCATAGAGAAGAACAGAAACCTGATAAAAAGGAGATGCTAGTTGGCAATCTAGGTACACTTTCTGTCTAAGTAGCTCTGAAAAATAGTTTTCCATTCATATTTTAGAAATAGTACATATTTGGCTCATATCTGCACTCACAGCACTCTGAGAGGCCAAGGTGGGTGAATCACTTGAGGTCAACAGTTCGAGACCAGCCTGGCCAACATGGTGAAACCCTATCTCTACTAAAAATACAAGAATTAGCTGGGTATGGTGGCACATACCTGTAATCCCAACTACTTGGGAGGCTGAGGGAGAATCGCCTGAACCCAGGAGACAGAGGCTGCAGGGAGCCGAGATTGCACCATTGCACTCCAGCATGGGCGACAGTGCAAGACTCTGCTAAATAATAATAATAATTTACAAGATTCAAGCATTTGAAAATTAAATTCAAATATGCCGAGAACTTCCGGAACATTTCCAAGTTGAATAGTTTAAAAGTAAGAGTTATTGTCCATATGATCTTTAGCAACATGCAGTAGCTAAGGATCAACTGAGAGTGTTAAAACACCTTACATTTTTATACTTTTCAGTGTACTCCCACATTCCTTTTCTTTTTTCCTCCAACAGTTCTCCCAACTGCTAGGCGAGGTGTCAGAGGCCTGGCATCAGAAAGTGGTTGACTCATGGGTTGGTAAAAGGATTTATCGACAACAGTATAGGTTTGAAAAGGAGTTTTATTAAATAGAAAGGATGCTGCAGAAGGGTGGAGCAGGCTGTCTCAGCAAGAGAGGACTGAGAGTGCCATGGTGGATTTTTCTTTAGGGGTACCTATGGACCTTAAAGCGGGAGCATAAGGGTAGTCTGGACCACGTAAGCCATGTAGGTCATGATAAATGATTACATTTGTAGATATTTTGGTGCCTTAATGTCAGCAAGGGTTGTACAATGAGTTTCTACATGCATGCATTCTGGAGATGTATAGAAATTCTCATTACTTACAAATTTTTGGGAAAGAAGCCTGGAACCAGATGCCTGCTTTGGATAATGGGGAAGTCTAATTACTTCTAAATTCCTCAGATAAGGTCACAGTCTTTGCATGGTCAGCTTGATGGCCACCAGGTGCTCTCTTCACTAACAAGAAACAAAAGTCTCACTTTTCCTTATAATTAGTAGGTCAGAAATCAACCATTTTATAGATTGATATAGGTTCAGTGCACTTCATTGAACCACACACCCCCACATTTTTGGTAAGATCCAGTCTCTGGACCCTGGATCAACTGGATCAAAGCTCTTTCCCTGAATACTCTTAAAAGTCAGTCCAGAAAACTCGGGTGTTTTTTTTGTTTGTTTGTTTTTGTTTTTTGAGACAGGGTCTCACTTTGTCGCCCAGGGCTTGGAATGCAGTGGCATGAACACGGTTCACTGCAGCTTTGACCTCCCAGGCTCAAGAGATCCTTCTGCTTCAGGCACTTCCCCATACCCCGCCCAAGTAGCTGGGACTACAGGTGTGTGCCACCATGCCCTGCTAATTTTTCTATTTTTTGTAGAGATGGGGTTTTGCCATGTTGCTCAGGCTGGTCTTGACATCCTGAGCTCAGGTGATCTGCCTGCCTTGGCCTCCCAAAGTGCTGGAATTATAAGTGTGAAACACCATGCCAGGACTTCAGGTTAGTCTTGATGTGGGAATGGTAGGAGGCAGTTTTGGAATTACAGCACATGTAGTTTACAGGAAGAGTTTACTTGGAGTAATAAATAAATATATTTATTTTCATTATGCCTATAAACATTGATTTTTTTAAGGGATGTTATTGTGTGGCAAGGCTTCAAGGGGTTTTTAAAGGAGTATGGCAAACCAATTTCTTAAATAAGCATTGCCTCTTCACAATTATCTTTTGAAATGGCTAATTCTAGAAAGGTTTTGAAATCTTGTCTTTAGTCCACTTTTTGATGTAAACCATTTGGGAAAATAAAGCACAGACAGGTGAAGATGAGTGAACAAATACAACTTTGCAGAGTTTTTAGAATAACTTTTGAGCTGACAACCTATCTTAAATTTTCCTACTCCACCTGCATGTTTCAAATGAATCAAATAGTCATGAACACCCAGACTAACAAACAAACAAACAAAAAGCAGCAAAAAGAGGAAGAAGCCCATTGTATTAGTCTGTTTTCATGTTGCGTGTTCTGTTTTCAGGTATGATAAAGACATACCTGAGAGTGGGTGATTTATAAAGAAAAAGAGGTTTCATCGACTCACAGTTCCACGTGGCTAGGGAGGCCCCACAATCATGGCAGATGGCAAAAGGCACGTCTTACATGGATGGCCATAGGCAAAGAGAGAGCTTGTGCAGGGAAACTCAACCTTATAAAACCATCAGATCTCATGAAACTTATTCACTATCATGAGAACAGCATGGGAAAGACCCATCCCATGATTCAATTACCTTCCACAACACGCGGGAATTGTGGGAGCTACAGTTCAAGATGAGATTTGGGTGGGGACATAGCCAAACCATATCACCCATTCATTCTCCTTATTGAGATTATTTAGACAAACCAAAGTGATGGTAACAGCATCAATTGCTCCTCTCATTCTTGGTTTCAAGATAGACAATTCTCATTATTGGGCTATCTTCCTAAGGATGTCATGGAACTTTAATCACTTCCGTTGAACTTATTTGCTGCTAAACTGTTGTTCTCTGGAACTTTGCTAATTCTTAGAGGAAAAGTTAAATCAGATAGAGTGGATTGACAATTGTCTTCTGAATAAGCAGGTCATGACACTCAGTGGGGCTAAGCCTTCATACAGGGATTTCCATCCCTCAGCTCCTGACTGTGTGAGAAAAGCCTGCTCTCCTGCAAGGATAGAAGATGGAAGGGGGTGAGGTGAGGCTAAGTGTTAAACCAGCTTTCACTTGCCTATTTGCTCTTAATACCCAACCAGAGAAGGGTGGGGGAGAGTGATTCAGCCACATTTGGCTCAACAATTAATAAGTGACATTAATTAATGAGTACATGCTTCCAACAGGGCCAAGTGGACCAATTCAGAGTTATCTTTGAATTCATGTTATATAGGAACAAAGCTTGATATTAGAATTCTTAACATTAGTATGGCCTGTGCTTTTCTTTTTAAAATTGGGGAGGATTATGGACAGTGACCATGGAAAACATTCTGCAAAGTAATATTATGAATACACAGGCTGTAACCTGTGGCACTTTTTTCACCCCAGGTCCTCAAGGTCAAAAAAACAAGACCAGAAGAATTCTTGTACGCAAACTATCCATAAAGCTAAACAACTGCCTGTCAGCCGAGGCTCGCTCTGCCTCTCATCTCCTGACTCCTCATGCTTTTTTCTTTTATTTTGTATTTCAAATTTATAGACAAGTTGCAAGAATAATAGGTTGGCACAAAAGTAATTGCGATTTTGGTAACTTTAATGGCAAAGTAATATAATGAACTCTGATATACTCTTCACCTGGATTTGCCAATTATGAACCAAACATTTTGCCACATTTGGTATCTCTCTCCACATATTATTACTATCATTAATACTACTATTAAAAATTTTCCTGAACTATTTGGGAGTAAATTGTAGACAATACCTCTCTATCACCAATCTAAATACTTCAGTTTGTATCTCCTAGGAGCAAGACTATGCTATAACATAACCACAGTACAATGATGAAATTCAGAAAATACTGATTTGAAACTATTATTCAATATGCAATCTATCTACAATGTTCTTCAATTGCTCCAATAATATTCTTTATAACGTTGTTTTTTTATTGATTTGGGAACCAATCCAGGATCACGCATTGTCTTTAGCTGTCATGTCTCTTACTTTTTAAATCTAGTTCTTCAGCCTTTTCTTTTTCTTTCATGACATTAACATTCTGAAATACATTCCAGTTTTTTGTTGTTGTTGTTTAAAGAATATTCAGCTGGCCATGATGGCACATGCCTGCAATTCCAGCACTTTGAGAGGCTGAGGCAGGAGGATCACTCATAGTACCAGGAGTTCAAAAGTAGCCTGGGCAACATAGTGAGACTCCGGCCCTCCAAAAACAAACAAACAAAAAACAAATAAAAAAAACCAACAAAAAACCTGGGCATGGCGGCACACCCCTGTGGTCCCAGCTCCTCAGGAGGCTGAAACTGAAGGAGCACTTTAGTCAAGGAGTTGGAGGCTGTAATGAGCTATGATCACGCCACTGCCCTCCAGCCTGGATGACACAGTGAGATTCATCTCTTAAAAAAAAACAACAAAATATTATTCCTTAATTTGAGTGTGTTTGATATTTCCTGAGGATCAGATTCAGGTAATACCTTTTTGGCAGGAATAATACATAAGCAATGTTATAGTCTTTCCTGGCATATCACAAAAGGAGGCACATGACATCAATTTGCCCCATTATGAGTGATGTTAACACAGAACTTGGTTCTATGTCTAGTTGGTTCTATGTCTAAGTTAGAACTTGGTTCTCTGTCTATGTTAACTTGGTTCTATGTCTAGCAGATTTATCTACTATAAAGTTAATTCAAAAATAATCTGTGATGATTTAAGGTGGTATAAATATCCTGTTCCCCATCAAACTTTCACACAATAATTTCAGAATCTATTAATGAGTCTCACCTAAGTCAATTATTGTTATGACATCTGTAAGATGGTGATTTTCTTATGCTATCACTCAGAAAATAAAAAGAATTCTAATATTTTATTCTGATATTGTTTGGGAGCCAATTTTGTTACTCATAATTTGAACACTAAGATTTAACAAACTTCCTAAATTCAACATCAGAAGTTTCTAATTTCTTCCTTTATAGTGATAACATAGTACTACTACTACTGTTACTAATAATGTTTATTAACATTTATTAAGTGTTTACTCTGTGCCTTGCACTAGGATTAACATTGAAACACATTGTCTCATTTGGTCCTCATAGTACCTAAGAAATAGATACCATTATTGTTTCTATTTTCCAGAAGAGGAAACTGAGGATCAGAGAAGTAACATTTTATTTTTCAGAGCAGTGCCCCCTGCCCCCAACCTTTTGTACTCCTAACACCATTTCAGTGTTTGGTTCCTGAAGGACTCAAATGACACAAGTTGTGACAGTTTGCATTAAAGCCTCATTATTAGGACAAACTGTCAGGTTCTGAGTTATTCTGAGTGATATTTAAGTCTTCCCAGGTCTTTAGTCTTTGTGGTGAAGTTTGTACCTAACTCCTTAGGACAACAGCACTACTCAAAGTATGGTCTATGGATAAGTGTGAGTCCGTGAGCTATTTGTTATTACCTCTCCACAAGATGAGTGCAGAAATTGAGAAGAATCACTTAGAGAATTTTATAGCGATTGTACATTGCTGAAACAATGGTGATCAGTGAACCGGTTATCTTGAATACGACAAAAATTAGTTTGGATGTTGCTGAACTCATATGGTGAGTCCCATGTTGTATGAACTGTGTACCAGTCATGTGCAGTAGGACTACATTAAAATTTGTGATATTTTCAGCTTAGTTTAGTAATCATATCCTAACAATGTATAAAATCTGGAATTGATTTATTTTATCAAAATACAATTTAAACGTAATGACAACTTTAAAGGATAAATTGTTGGAAATAGCAACTGATGAAGGACTAAATATGAATTCTGAAAATATGACATGATTTGTTTCATTTTAGTTAAAAATGAACATCCTTGGCTTGCTAAAACAGCTTTAAAATGTTCCCTGTTATTCCTATCAATGTAGTGATGGGAGACTGGTGCCGACTACAGTGTTAAAATAGAGGAGACATTTAAAATATATGCTATCCTCTGCAAGCTCTACAAGAAGCGCTGTCTTTAATCCAACTATACAGTAATCAGGAACGAGCCCATTTGCCACTTAAAAACTTTATTTTTTTTTTTTGCCTTTTAGAAATTTTATTGTGAAGTTTATATTTCATTTTATTATCTGATTTTAAGAATTGAAAAGTAAATAGCCCAAATAACAGTGTTGATTTTAATATATAATAAATAGTTTAGTTACCATACAATTGAAAGGTATTATTCAACATAATCATGAAATATATTTTCTCTTTTATGGTGACATGAATGTGAAAACTTAATTATTTTCCCCAACAAATTAGCAATTTAAAGCTCTTTGCCTTCCTTTTTTTTTCCAAGTGTAGTACATTTTTTTTATTTTCCAGTAAATCCTTATTTTCTGTGAACACTTGATATAATTATAGTTTTGTCATTCATTAGAGTACCAGGAATTTAACTAGCATTTGATAAGGATTAAATATAAATACTTTTTACATTGATATATTTATGCTTAAAAAAACAAAATGAAATCATTGTACTTTATAACTTGCTTTTTCTTTAACAACATACTATAGGATTTTTCTTTTATGTTGTTCTATTTTCTTTTAATAATTATGAATGGCTGCATAGATTCTCATCAATGAAACCATAGCTTATTAAGGCATCCACTCTATAGATCATTAAACTGCATTTAACACTCTATTTTTCTTCCTAATCAATAAAACCACAATTAATAACTCTGAGTTTAAATCTTGGGCATATTTTTAATTTTTGTTTTTAATATATATTTCTCTAAGGCCAATCAGAAGATCTACAGATATGACCACATTTTTTCTTTCTTTCTTTATTTTTATTTTTTATTTTTTTTTATTATTATACTTTAAGTTCTAGGGTACATGTGCACAACATTGCAGGTTTGTTACATAGGTATACTTGTGCCATGTTGGTGTGCCGCATTCGTTAACTCATCATTTACATTAGGTATATCTCCTAATGCTTTCCCTCCCCCTCCCCCCGCCCCAAGACAGGCCCCGGTGTGTGATGTTCCCTACCTTGTGTCCAAGTGTTCTCATTGCTCAATTCCCACCTATGAGTGAGAACATGCGGTGTTTGGTTTTCTGTCCTTGTGATAGATTGCTCAGAATGATGGTTTCCAGCTTCATCCATGTCCCTACAAAGGACATGAACCTATCCTCTTATGGCTGCATAGTATTCCATGGTGTATATGTGCCACATTTTCTTAATCCAGTCTATCATTGACAGAAATTTGGGTTGGTTCCAAGTCTTTGCTATTGTGAATAGTGCTGCAGTAAACATACGTGTGCATGTGTCTTTATAGCAGCATGATTTATAATCCTTTGGGTATATACCCAGTAATGGGATGGCTGGGTCAAATGGTATTTCTAGTTCTAGATCCTTGAGGAATCGCCACACTGTCTTCCACAATGGTTGGACTAGTTTACAGTCCCACCAACAGTGTGAAAGTGTTCCTATTTCTCCACATCCTCTCCAGCACCTGTTGTTTCCTGACTTTTTAATGATCACCATTCTAACTGCTGTGAGATGGTATCTAATTTTGGTTTTGATTTGCATTTCTCTGATGGCCAGTGATGATGAGCATTTTTTTCATGTGTCTGTTGGCTGCATAGATGTCTTCTTTTGAGAAGTGTCTGTTCATATCCTTTGCCCACTTTTTGGTGGGGTTGTTTCATTTTTTCTTGTAAATTTGTTTAAGTTCTTTGTAGATTCTGGATAGTGGCCTTTTGTCAGATGGGTAGATTGTAAAATTTTTCTCCCATTCTGTAGGTTGCCTGTTCACTCTGATGATAATTTCTTTTGCTGTGCAGAAGCTCTTTAGTTTAATTAGATCCCATTTGTCAATTTTGGCTTTTGTTGCCATTGCTTTTGGTGTTTTAGTCATGAAGTCTTTGCCCATGCCTATGGCCTGAATGGTATTGCCTAGGTTTTCTTCTAGGGGTTTTATGGTTTTAGGTCTAACATTTAAGTCTTTAATCCATCTCGAATTAATTTTTGTATAAGGTGTAAGGAAGGGATCCAGTTTCAGCTTTCTACATATGGCTAGCCAGTTTTCCCAGCACCATTTATTAAATAGAGAATCCTTTCCCCATTTCTTGTTTTTCTCAGGTTTGTCAAAGATCAGATGGTTGTAGATGTGTGGTATTATTTCCAGGGGCCCTATTCTGTTCCATTGGTCTATATATCTGTTTTGGTACCAGTACCATGCTGTTTTGGTTACTGTAGCCTTGTAGTATAGTTTGAAGTCAGGTAGCGTGATGCCTCCAGCTTTGTTCTTTTGGCTTAGGATTGTCTTGGCAACGTGGGCTCTTTTTTGGTTCCATATGAACTTTAGAGTAGTTTTTTCCAATTCTGTGAAGAAAGTCATTGGTAGCTTGATGGGGATGGCATTGAATCTATAAATTACCTTGGGCAGTATGGCCATTTTCACATTATTGATTGTTCCTATCCATGAGCATGGAATATTCTTCCATTTGTTTGTATCCTCTTTTATTTCATTGAGCAGTGGTTTGTAGTTCTCCTTGAAGAGGTCCTTCACATCCCTTGTAAGATGGATTCCTAGGTATTTTATTCTCTTTGAAGCAATTGTGAATGGGAGTTCACTCATGATTTGACTCTCTGTTTGTCTGTTATTGGTGTATAGGAATGCTTGTGATTTTTGCACATTGATTTTGTATCCAGAGACTTTGCTAAAGTTGCTTATCAGCTTAAGGAGATTTTGGGCTGAGACTATGGGGTTTTCTAAATATACAATCATTTCATCTGTGAACAGAGACAATTTGACTTCCTATTTTCCTAATTGAATACACTTTATTTCTTTCTCTTGCCTGATTGCCCTGGCCAGAACTTCCAACACTATGTTGAATGGGAGTGGTGAGAGCTGGCATCCCTGTCTTGTGCCAGTTTTCAAAGAGAATGCTTTGAGTTTTTGTCCATCCAGTATGATATTGGCTGTGGGTTTGTCATAAATAGCTCTTATTATTTTGAGATACATCCCATCAATACCTAGTTTATTGAGAGTTTTTACCATGAAGTGTTGTTGAATTTTGTTGAAGGCCTTTTCTGCATCTATTGAGATAATCATGTGGTTTTTGTCTTTGGTTCTGTTTATATGATGGATTACATTTACTGATTTGTGTATGTTGAACCATCCTTGCATCCCAGGGATGAAGCCAGCTTGATCCTGGTGGATAAGCTTTTTGATGTGCTGCTGGATCTGGTTTGCCAGTATTTTATTGAGGATTTTTGCATCAATGTTCATCAGGGATATTGGTCTAAAATTCTCTTTTTTTGTTGTGTCTCTGCCAGGCTTTGGTATCAGGATGATGCTGGCCTCATAAAATGAATTAAGGAGGATTCCCTCTTTTTCTATTGATGGGAATACTTTCAGAAGGAATGGTACCAGCTCCTCTTTGTACCTCTGGTAGAATTCGGCTGTGAATCCGTCTGGTCCTGGACTTTTTTTGGTTGGCTATTAATTATTGCCTCAGTTTCAGAAACTGTTATTGGTCTATTCAGGGATTCAACTTCTTCCTGGTTTAGTCTTGGGAGGGTGTATGTGTCGAGGAATTTATCCATTTCTTCTAGATTTTCTAGTTTATTTGTGTAGAGGTGTTTATAGTATTCTCTGATGGTAGTTTGTATTTCTGTGGGATCGGTGGTGATATCCCCTTTATCATTTTTTACTGTGTCTATTTGATTATTCTCTCTTCTTTATTAGTCTTGCTAGTGGCCTATCAATTTGGTTGATCTTTTCAAAAACCAGCTCCTGGATTCATTGATTTTTTGAAGGGCTTTTTGTTTCTCTATCTCCTTCAGTTCTGCTCTGATCTTAGTTATTTCTTGCCTTCTGCTAGCTTTTGAATGTGTTTGCTCTTGCTTCTCTAGTTCTTTTAATTGTGATGTTAGGGTGTCAATTTTAGATCTTTCCTGCTTTCTCTTGTGGGCATTTAGTGCTATAAATTTCCCTCTACACACTGCTTTAAATGTGTCCCAGAGATTCTGGTATGTTGTGTCTTTGTTCTCATTGGTTTCAAACAACATCTTTATTTCTGCCTTCATTTTGTTATGTACCCAGTAGTCATTCAGGAGCAGGTTGTTCTGTTTCCATGTAGTTAAGCGGTTTTGAGTGAGTCTCTTAATCCTGAGTTCTAGTTTGATTGCACTGTGGCCTGAGAGACAGTTTGTTATAATTTCTGTTCTTTTACATTTGCTGAGGAGTACTTTACTTCTAAATATGTGGTCAATTTTGGAATAAGTGTGATGTGGTGCTGAGAAGAATGTATATTCTGTTAATTTGGGGTGGAGATTTCTGTAGATGTCTACTAGGTCTGCTTGGTGCAGAGCTGAGTTCAATTCCTGGATATCCTTGTTAACTTTCTGTCTCGTTGATCTGTCTAATATTGACAGTGGGGTGTTAAAGTCTCCCATTATTATTGTGTGGGAGTCTAAGTCTCTTTATAGGTCTCTAAGGGCTTGCTTTATGAATCTGGGTGCTCCTGTATTGGGTGCATGTATAGGTAGTATAGTTAGCTCTTCCTATTGAATTGATCCATTTACCATTATGTAATGGCCTTCTTTGTCTCTTTTGATCTTTGTTGGTTTAAAGTCTGGTTTATCAGAGATTAGGATTGCAACTCCTGCTTTTTTTTGTTTTCCATTTGCTTGGTAGATCGTCCTCCAGCCCTTTATTTTAGCCTATGTGTGTCTCTGAATGTGAGTTGGGTCTCCTGAATACAGCACACTGATGGGTCTTGACTCTTTATCCAATCTGCCAGTCTATGTCTTTTAATTGGAGCATTTAGCCCATTTACATTTCAGGTTAATATTGTTATGTGTGAATTTGATCCTGTCATTATGATGTTAGCTGGTTATTTCGCTCATTAGTTGATGCAGTTTCTTCCTAGCATTGATGGCCTTTACAATTGGCATGTTTTTGCAGTGGCTGGTACCAGTTGTTCCTTTCCATCTTTAGTGCTTCCTTCAGGAGTTCTTGTAAGGCAGGCCTGGTGGTGACAAAATCTCTCAGTATATTTGTCTGTAAAGGATTTTATTTCTCCTTCACTTATGAAGCTTAGTTTGGCTGGATATGATATTCTGGGTTGAAAATTCTTTTCTTTAAGAATGTTGAATATTGGCCCCCACTCTCTTCTGGCTTGTAGAGTTTCTGCCGAGAGATCAGCTGTTACTATGATGGGCTTCCCTTTGTGGGTAACCTGACCTTTCTGGCTGCCCTTAACATTTTTTCCTTCATTTCAACTTTGGTGAATCTGACAATTATGTGTCTTGGAGTTGCTCTTCTCGACGAGTATCTTTGTGGTGTTCTCTGTATTTCCTGAATTTGCATGTTGGCCAGCTTCACTAGGTTGGGGAAGTTCTCCTGGATGATATCCTGAAGAGTGTTTTCCAACTTGGTTCCATTCTCCCAGTCACTTTCAGGTACACAATTCAGATGCAGATTTGGTCTTTTCACAAAGTCTCATATTTCTTGGAGGCTTTGTTCATTTCTTTTTACTCTTTTTTCTCTAAACTTCTCTTCTTGCTTCATTTCATTCATTTGATCTTCAATCACTGATACTCTTTCTTCCACTTGATCAAATCGGCTACTGAAGCTTGTGCATGCGTCACGTTCTTCTCGTGCCACGATTTTCAGTTCCATCAGTCATTTAAGGACTTCTCTACACTGTTTATTCTAGTTAGCCATTCGTCTAATCTTTTTTCAAGGTTTTTAGCTTCTTTGCAATGGGTTCAAACATCCTCCTTTAGCTCGGAGAAGTTTGTTATTACCAGTCGTCTGAAGCTTTCTTCTCTCAATTTGTCAAAGTCATTCTCTGTCCAGGTTTGTTCCATTGCTGGTGAGGAGCTGCATTCCTTTGGAGGAGAAGAGGCGCTCTGATTTTTAGAATTTTCGGCTTTTCTGCTCTGATTTATCCCCATCTTTGTGGTTTTATCTACCTTTGGTCTTTGATGATGGTGACGTACAGATGGGTTTTTGGTGTGGATGTCTTTTCTTTTTGTTAGTTTTCCTTCTAACAGTCAGGACCCTCAGCTGCAGGTCTGTTGGAGTTTGCTGAAGGTCCACTCTAGACCCTGTTTGCCTGGGTGTCACCATCGGAGGCTGCAGAACAGCAAATATTGCAGAATGGCAAATATTGCTGCCTGATCCTTCCTCTGGAAGCTTCATCTCAGAGGGGCACCCAGCTGTATGAGGTGTCAGTTGGCCCCTGCTGGGAGGTGTCTCCCAGTTAGGCTACTCGGGGGTCAGGGACCCACTTGAGGAGACAGTCTGTCCGTTCTCAGATCTCAAACTCCGTGCTGGGAGAAGCACTACTCTCTTCAAAGCTGTCAGACGGACATTTAAGTCTGCAGAACTTTCTGCTGCCTTTTGTTCAGCTATGCCTTGCCCCCAGAGGTGGGGTCTACAGAGGCAGGCAGGCCTCCTTGAGCTGCGATGGGCTCCACCCAGTTCAAGCTTCCTGGCCACTTTGTTTATCTACTTAAGCCTCAGCAATGGCAGACGCCCCTCCCCCAGCCTCGCTGCTGCCTTGCAGTTTGATCTCAGACTGCTGTGGTAGCAGTGAGCCAGGCTCCGTGGGCGTGGGACCCTCTGAGCCAGTCACGGGATATAATCTTCTGGTGTGCCGTTTGCTAAGACCGTTGGAAAAGCACAGTATTAGGATGGGAGTGTCCCAATTTTCCAGGTACCGTCTATCATGGCTTCCCTTTGCTAAGAAAGGGAATTCCCTGATCCCTTGTGCTTCCCGGGTGAGGTCATGCCTCGCCCTGCTCTGTGGGCTGCACCCAGTGTCTGAGAAGCCCCAGTGAGATGAACCCGGTACCTCAGTTGGAAATGCAGAAATCACCCATCTTCTGCGTTGCTCATGCTGGGAGCTGTAGACTGGAGCTGTTCCTATTCGGCCACTTTGGAACCTCCCCCAAAACTTTAAATATTACATACATGGTGCTTGTTCAAAATGCTTTTACATGCATTTAATATACGGACAACTGTTTCATGCATAACTTTTTATCAAATTACAGCCGTGGAATGACAAGTTACAAATGTTAAGACAATGCTCAATCGCTTATACTACACTTTCAATGAACAGTATGTACAGTTTCTGTTAATGCCTTTATTTTCTATTATGTTTGTTCTGATTGCATACATTGAAATGCAATTTTACATTTATTTGAAACTAATAAAAAATTTGGGCTTGTATTTTGCACATATTTTCCCCATTTTTCTACTAATTCATTTTTACTGTATTTTATAGAAGTACCTTTTACTGACAGATTGGAAAAATAAAGAACCCATTCTTCCCCACGGATAATCTAATAAAGAACCTGTTCTTCCCCACGGATAATCTGGGAAGCTGCTCTAAGAGGCTCATCTAGAGGCAGACAATAAAAGGGTAGAAAGAATGAGGGCCCTGAAAAAAGCTTCTGGGAAAGTAAAAACCCGAACAAAGTTTCGATAACTAAGATTTTTTTCCTGGTTAAATACACTCAACCTGTATTTGGGGTGAGTGTTAGCCGGGTACAAAGGTAGACAAAAGTTCCGAGTGCCGCCGCAATCGTCTCCCACAACATGGGTCTGAGCTACTCAAAATGAGATTTGCCTTTGGAGAAGAGTTAAGGAGCAGGGGGCGTGGCGAGCAGCGTGAGATCATCGGGAAGCGCCGCTCGTGGCGGGGGCAGAGCCGGCGCGTCATTGTCGTCATCGTTGCCCGACCGCTTTCCGGGAGACTGGAGTCGAAGGCCGTGAGGTATTTTTCTAAGGTGTAGTTTCAGTTTTTCTCCTGCTCCTGTTTAACTCCGCTTTTCCTCTCCTGGGATTCCCCTGTCATCCTCTGGGCAGACTGAGAAAATCGGAGTTTGGCTGCGTAGCCTTCCAGGAATGCAGTCTCTCACAGCTCTTCGTTGGGGCAGCATTGTTGGCAGGTCCCCCACTTCCGCTTGTTTTGGGGCTGCTTGCAGGCTTTGGCTTACCCCGGCCCCTCATTTCTCTCTTTTGCTCCGGTCTCTCTCTTTTTCTTCGTTTGTTAACCACCCCCTTCTCAAATCTTGGAAGACGAAGAAATTAAAAACAAAAATCAAAAAACATTGAAGTCTTCACAATTTTCAGCTGTTTTCAATCTTGCTTAGGGAGAGAGGCTAAAGTGGAACGTCTAGGGGAGTAACTTTACTGTGTTAGCTCCGTTTATCATTCACATTCACAGACTGCCTGCTGCTGCAGTATTAGCTCATCTGAGATAGTGGGCTAATTTCGACCTTTAGCTGAAATCTGTAGTGGGTAATCCAAGAGAGCAGTTTTTCTTGATGACCCGGATAAGTTCAGTGTAACTCAAACTTGTTTCAAAATAGCTTTAATGTCCTCAATGTTTGCTGACTACAGTTCAGTTTTGGCTTGATAAAGATGTATTTGTCGCAATGAGATGTTTGCTATCCACTTATTAACCTATTAGGACTGTCTGATGGTGGACTGAACCAAGACTTAACCGTGATTTTTTAAAAAATTAAATTTAAAAATTTTGTGGGTACATAGGTGTATATATTTATGGGGTACACGAGATGTTTTGATACAGGCATGCAATATGTAAGAATCACATGGAAAATGGGGTATCCATCCCTTCAGGCACTTATCCTTTGTGTTACAAACAATCCAGTTATACTTTTAGTTATTTAACTCTGTATTTTTGATTCAAAAACAACAGATTAGCCCTATTGAAGTACAGAGAAATGTTTGTGTTTGGTGGAAATGATAGAACTCATTGTTTTGTTGAAAGATAGTGACAAGTGTGAATAACGGTTTTTCAAAATAAAATTCTCAGTCAAAAGATACTACAGCTGCCTTCAGTTAGCTGTGTTGTATGTATCACAGTTCAAAAGTAATGTAATTTTTTTCTTAACTGCTTTTACCTTTTCAAATGGCTCTTCATATGTATTATCTCAGCTACTGTTTCCAAAGTTGACCCTTCAAGCATGGCTCTAAATAGTTCACATTGGATTAGAGTATTTGGTAATTTTCACTTTTAGTAAAATACTATCTAATGTATTGAGTGCTAACTGAGCCAGGCCCCGTTCTAATGGCTTTTATCTAGTTTATTTAATCTGTGCAACAACACTATATACTCTTATTTCAGAAATAAGATAATTGTAATAATCAACTTCCATATGTTTTGGAAGGTAATTTTGCTGCTTGATTGCTGTAATTTTGGAAATGCTTTGAATTAAACTTTGAATAGAAGTGAATTTAATTTAATGTAATTGTTCATCTCAATCTTGAGCAATATCCTCGTAATTTATATACTCTCCTATTAGACTTTGGGATAAATTTATTTTTAGATGTTAATATATTTTTTAGAAAAGGAAGAAGTCTATATTTACTCAGGAATTGTACTGTGGGACTGAAGGAGAGTTACAGACAACACTAACATGGAGTCACTGTTTGCCCAAGACAGCAATATTTATTGAGAACTTGTGTGTACATTTCATTGTTATTTTCTCCTAAGATAATGCAGTGCGAAAAAGTCATTACAGTAATTCATTACAGTAATAGAATTCTGGTGCAACAACAGCAAATGGCTCTCAAATTCCAAAAAACAATCATGTTGGATTTGTTCTTTGGCTTAGTTCATAACTGTGTATAATTATTTGGTGTAGAGATGGGAAGAGCCCTGGAATGTACATTATCGTATGTTTGTTTGGATCCATGTGGTGACTTTCTAGTATCTGTAAGCTCAAACTGTAATCTGATATTAAGAGTTTCCAAAATTACGTCTTAGGTTACTTTGATTGGTTTTAGTTAGTAAACAAATAGTTGCTAACTAACTAATACATGACAAGACATTATGTTAGTGATGTGGAGTTCAAAATGTGCCTCGACATGAATCTTCCCTTGAGCAATAGCCCAGTGAGTAAATAACCAATGGAAAGGTAGGAGGAGAGGAGTGACATGATCTGACTTAGGTTTGTTTTATTTTATTTTATTTTACTTTATTGTCTTTTGTTTTCTTTTGTTTCCTTTCCTGCCCTGCTCTGCCCTTGCCCGCCCTGCCCCACCCCATCTCGCCCCTCTTTTCTTTTGGAGTCTCACTCTGTTGCTCAGGCTGGAGTGCAGTGGCACAATCTCGGCTCACTGCAACCTCCGCCTCCTGGGTTCCAACGATTCTCCTGCCTCAGCCTCCGGAGTAGCTGGGATTACAGGCACCCGTCGCCATGCCCAGCTAATTTTTTGTGTTTTTAGTAGAGTTAGGGTTTCACCATGTTGGCCAGGCTGGTCTCGAACCCCTGACCTCAGGTGATCCGCCTGTCTCAGCCTTCTAAAGTGCTGGGATTACAGGCGTCAGTCACTGCGCCCAGCCTGACTCACGTTTTAATAGAATCTTCTCTGGCTGCTGTGTTTAAGAATAGTTTGCTGTGGGGTGGGGTAGGTGAAAACCAGGAGACTAATCACGGAGGTGTTGTAGTTCAGATGAGATGATAACATCTTAACTGGCTGGAAAGAAGTGAAGGTGGAGAAGCAGTTTAATTTTAGATGTATTTTCTAGGAAAAGCAAACAGAATTGCTTACAGATTGAAAGTGAATTGTAAGAATAAGGTTATTGTCAAAGTTTGGGGCTTGAGCAACTAGAAGAAGGGAATTGCCATTAACTGAGAAGTAGAAAACTGTGGGAGGGGCAGGTTTGTGGGAAGATTCGGAGTTCAGTTAAGGACATGATAAGTTTTTGATGTCTGTTAGTCATCTAAGTGGAGATGTTGAGTAGGCAGTTGAATATGTTCATTCTGGACTTCAGAGTGGTCATTGCTGGAAACAGACGTTTGGGAATTGTCAGTGAACAGATGGTATTTAAAGTTGTGAGACCGGAGACAGTCGTTAAAGGAGTAAATGTAGACAGAAAAGAGAAGGGGCACAAGGCCTGAGTCCTTAGGCATTTTAACAAGTTGGGAAAATGAGGAATAACCACCAAATGAGACAGACTGAGCAGCCAGTGAGGGACAAGGACAATTTTGAGTCTGGTGTTGTAGAATTTACAGTAGAGTAGTATGTTCAGTTTTGTCAGGTGCAGCTGATGGATCAGGTGAAATGAAGATTGACACCTTTGGATTTATCAAGAACTTAAGGAGTGTTATTGATAGATATGTGATAATGTTAAGTCAAGCAGATAGTTGCACACCAGTGTGATAACTGTATTACAGTTATATTCAGAGAACCTTGGGAGCAGAGGAAGAAGAGACCACTTTTGTTTGGGAGGTATGGACACCTTTATAGAGGAGGGAGCATTTGAGGTGGGTTTTAAAGGATTGATAAGTTTCACTAGGCCAAGAAAATGGAGACTGTTATGAAGAGGAGGTTGATATGATTTGGGTATGTGTCTCCTCCAAATCTCTTGTTGAAATGTCACTTCCAGTGTTGGAGGTAGGCCTAGTGGGAGATATTTGGGTCATGGAGGCAGATTGAATGTCTTGGTTTGTCCTTGAGGTAATGAGTTGAGTTCTCACTCTATTAGTTCACTCCTAGAGCCGGTTGTTTAAAAGAACATGGAAGCTCCTCTTTCTCTTGCCACTTCTCCTGCCCTGTCACATGCCTGCTCCCCCTTTATCTCACCAAAAGCAGATGCTGACACTATGCTTCTTGTGTAGCCTGCAGAACTGGGAGCCAAATCTAACCTCTTTTCTTTATAAATTACCCAGCCTCAGGTATTCCTGCATAGCAATGCAAAACGGAGGAACACGGGTATTCCAAGTAGAGGGAAAGGACTATGACAGGACCTCAATTCCCTTCCTTCATGGTCACATCTCCCAGTTAGCTGTTTTAAAGATGCTTTTGTCAGTCCTCTTTCCTCTGTGGCCACTTGCTAATGCCCCATGTTCGGTAGCTCCAGGCCTGCTGAATGTTGCTAAGGAAATCGGAGATTCTAGTCACGTGGAGTAGTGACAGGAACAGAAGTTGAGTGTGATGTTGGGGAATAGGGTAAAGATGGGAGTTAAGGCTGGAAGGGTTAGAGGAATAGATTTTCAGGGAGGAACAAACCTTATATGTTGTATTAAAGATTTTGTCCAGAGAGCATCCCACACAAATCCACTGATGGGATTTGTGAGGGATGTTCCTCCTCCATTCGATTTGAGTTCCATTCTGCCGAACTTTACCACTTACCAGCCCTGTGACCTGTTTCTGTTGTGCCATCTGTAAAGTGAAGCTAATATTAGTGCCCAGTCGTAGAGTTGTGAGAACTCTCTCTGCCCGCACTACAGTTTTTGTCTGCTTAATTCATCTCTGTCATCGAGTGCTTTCTTGAGGAAGCTTTCTGTCTTCCCTCAGATTGTCATGTACACTAGTTTATAGTCTCATAGCATGATTTATTTCTTCATATTACTGTTGTAATTTTATATTTCTGTGATTCTTTGATTAATGTCTATCATCCACACTAAACAGTAAGTGCAGAGCAGGCAAGTTTTTGCTCACTATTATCTTCCAAGTATCAGGGCTGCCTATCATGGAGGCTAATTAAATATCTATTGAATAAGAGAGTCCTTAGTGTCTGGCATGTGGTAAATGCTCAGTAAATATTACTCATTTACATGACATTTTGCAATAAGTGCTGAGGAGGTATCAGGGATAAATAAAGGAACTGTCAGGCAACTGACAGAGGACCTGTTGCAGTTGGGTAGCATTAATTTATGTCTTTTGTGAATTTCGTTAGGAATGAATGTTCAGTAGGCCTAGAGCTAGAATGGTTGGCTGGGGGCAGAAAGAGAAGATGAGAACTTGCAAAAGCATCTTTAAACCAGTTGACTGGGAGGTATGGCCATGTAGCAAGCAGGCCAGAGGAGGCTTTTGTACCATGAGAATAGAGGAAAATAGCCGCCTGGTGGCTAGACAATTTAGGTGTAGAAAACACATTTATATGGTTCTTTGAATGTAACAGTGGTAAAGAATATAGGTTTAGTTGTTGCTGCTAAGTAGGGGGAAATGACATTTTTATCTGGTATGTTTGAGAATAAAGTAAATTTCAAAATTTGAGATGATCGAAGTTTTTATTTATAAACTTAAGTATTATTATAATATGTTACATATTTTATTCTTTAAAAATTGTAATTCAGAGAGTGTAACAAAATGTACTTCCTCACTTTCTTGCTTTTTGTTTCCCAGAAGTGACCACAGTTAACAGCTTCTTTTGGATCCTTTAAGAAAACTTACATGCATATACCATACAAATATGCCTCCACATTCATATATCTTTTTTTCTTCAAAATAAATGGGATGAGCTGGGCGTGGTGGCTCACGCCTCTAATCCCAGCACTGTGGGAGGCTGAGGCAGGCAGATCACCTGAGATCAGGAGTTTGAGACCAGCCTGGCCAACATGGTGAAACCTCATCTCTACTAAAAATACGAAAAAAAAAAAAATAGCAAGGTGTGGTGGACGCCTGTAATCCCAGCTACTTGGGAGGCTGAGGCAGGAGAATCACTTGAACCCAGTAGGGGAGGTTGCAGTGAGTTGAGATCGCACCACTGCACTCCAACCTGGGCAACAAGAACGAAACTTTGACTCAAATAAATAAATAAATAAATAGGATGTATTATACATGCTGTTCTTCAACTTTTGTTCACTTAATATATCTTAGGAATCTTTCTAAGCTGTACCTCGTACCTTTTCACTACTGCAGAGTATTTTAATAGGTGGGCATATCATAATTTATTTAACCAGGTTCTAATAATGGATGTGTGGGTTGTTCTGTTTTAAAGTTTACTGTTTTAAAGATCATTGCAGTGGAAGTCCTTAAACATTATCTTGCGCTAAAATATACTTTGAGAAGTAAAATTGCTAGGTCAAAGCATGTGTACATATGTGATTTTGAAGCATAGTGCAGATTACCTCACAAAAATGCTAAACTAATTTATACCCTGACTAATAGTGAATGGGAGGCTGTTCTCAGCTCACCTTTGTCCATTTTAGTACTATTAATCTTTTTAATTTTTCCCTATTTGACAGATGAAAATGGCATCATATTTTAGCGATTTATGTTTCCTTAATTATCAGTAAGGCTGAGTAGCTTTCTTTATGCTTATTGGTCATCTGGATTATTTGTGAACTGTTGATTTTCTTGTTTATTTTTCTTTTGGGTTGTGTGTACTTTTTTTGTTATTGTTAAATTGATTCATAGAGGCTTTAAAAAAATCTTTGTGTTGCATATGTCTTTTTTTAGTTTTTTATTTGACATTAGTCTTGGGTGTTTGTTTATTTGTTTATTTTGCCTGCATTTTTAAGGGCCAGGTAAAAATACAAGAAATTAGGATTTTTTTTTTAAAGAAGGGAATTTGCTGGGCTCGATGGCTCACACCTGTAATCTCAGCACTTTGGGAGGCTGAGGTGGGCAGATCACAAGGTCAGGATTTCGAGACAGCCTGGCCAACATGGTGAAACCCCGTCTCTCCTAAAAAAATACAAAAATTAGCTGGGCATGGTGGCACGCACCTGTAAAAGGCAGGAGAATTGCTTGAACTTGGGAGGCAGAGGTTGCGTTGAGCTGAGATTGAGCCACTGCACTCCAGCTTGGGCGAGACAGCAAGACTCTGTCTCAAAAGGATTTTTGTGATACTCTTGAAATAAATAGACACTCTAGAATGTGAGCCTTTTGTTGGAAATGTTAGTAATACAAACTTCATTTGAGACTATATGTTCAGCAACTATCACAGATGTAGTGAGCACCCAGTAACCTTCCTCTCCCTCACTCCAGTTATATTTGGAATTGAAATGAGATGTAATGGAGCTGCTTAAATATTCTAGACGACACCTTCTCTTTAGTTATTCTCCTATATATGAACGGAGTTGTATTCTAAAAGCTAGTTTGTGAGTTAGCCATCTAATTTCACTATAGAAATAATGTACATAGGTTCTTATCTTTGCTCTCAAAGTTGTAATAATTTGTGGAGGCTACTTTTTTTTTAAGCAAATTCAAAATGTTACATAATTTTACCCCTCTATACTTCAGTGTGCATCCTCAAAAGACAGGGAAATTTTCTTATATAACTGTATTGCTATTATCATAGATGACAGAATTATCAATAATTTGTTGGTGTCATCTAGTACTTTGTCCATGTTCAGATTTCTTTCTCACAGAACTATCTTTTTCCACTTGGTTTATTTGAATCAAGATCCAAACAAGGTCTGTGTATTTCATTTGGTTGTTACATCTCTTAAATCTCTTCTTCCTCTGTCTTTCTTCCCCCACTTTTTTTTTTTTGCTTCATGCTGTTGACTTGTTATGGAAACCTGGTCAGTTATCCTGTAGAGTACTGTATTTCTCACTCCATATTTGTTTGCTTTCTTGTGGTGTTAATTTGTTCCTCTATCCTTTGGATTTCCTATAAAATGGAAGTTAGCTCTGTAGGCTTAATTGTTCAGATTCAGCTTTTTTGGGAGTTGGGAATGCTTTGCAGATGGTGCTGTGTATGTTATATTGCCTCACATCAGGAGGTTCATAATATGTGCATTTCACCTACTTTTAGTGATCTGTTGGTGGTCATTGACTAAACCTACAATTTCATTAGGCGTTGCAAAGTCGTGATTCTTTTTTAAGTTGTCATTTCTTCTACATTTGTTAGCTAGAATTTGAAGTCTAGTTCTGTTACTTGGGAACCTGATAATCAAAATAAGCTTGTTGTGGGAAAGTATTGTCAGAGCAACAATATTTTTGATGCTAGGAATGCATCTTAGTGCAATAGTCTTTTTTTTTTTTTTAAAAAAAAAAGAAAGGATGTGGGCCTTGCTCTGTTGCCCAGGCTGGAGTGCAGTAGTGTAATCATAACTTACTGCAGCCTCGAACTCCTAGACTCAAGTGATTCTCTCACCTCAGCCTCCTGAGTAGCTAGGACTACTGGTGTATGCCATCACGCCCAGCTAATTAAAAATATTTTTTTTTTTTTTAGAGATGGGTCTGTCTGTGTTTCCCAGGTTGATCTTGAACTCCTGGGCTCAAGTGATCCTCCTGTCAGTCTCCCAAAGTGTTGGAATTACAGATGTGAGCCATGGTGCCTGGCTGTGATTGTCTTTTTAATGTTTCAACTTGGTTTGGCTGTAGCCCCCAGATATTTAGTCAAACATGAATGTAGGTGTTGCTGTGAAAGTATTTTGAAGCTATGATTAAAATCCATAATCAATTAAGTAAGGGAGATTATTCTAGATCATCTGGGTGGGCCTGATTCAATCAGTTGAAAGGCTTTAGAAGCAGAGCTGAGGTTTTCCTTCCAAAAAAGAAGAAATTCCACTTGTAGACAGCAGTTTCAGCTAGTAGCCAAGAGTTCCAGCATGAGTTCCTCCCTTCATAGCCTGCCCTATGTAAACCAGTTTCTTGCCATAACTCTCTTAATATATATCTCCTACTGGTTCTGCTTCTCTAGTTGAAACCTGACTGGTGCAAAGGGTAACTCCTCTGATGCTTCTGTTCTCCAGCTAAATGGGATGGGAAGCGGTAGTAAGGGTCAGAGAACTTGCATTGTTTAGGGTAGCCATATAATTTTTTGTTCAAACTGGGACTTCTGAGAAAGAAAGGAGCTGAGTTGATGGCAAGCTGAAACAACAGGCGTAAGGTGGAACTGTCTTGGGCAAATTGAGAGTTATAGTCACCTTGTGTGTCAGCCACTGGGGATACAACATGAATATGACACAGCCCCTCAAGGAGCATGTAGTCAAAGGAGAAGTCAAGTAAATAAAAATACATTAAGAGATAGTGTTTTAAGTGACATGACAGCTTATAGTTGTTGTATTTGTCCAGACAGAGAGCATAGAAGGAGAGCATGCAGAGAAGTCTTCACTGGCCGAACTGGAACCTATTTTTTACCTCCAAAGATAAGCAGCGTTTGAAAAAAGTGGAGTTGGAAGGGCATTTCAGGCTTAGAGAATCACACAGGTGAAAGTTGAGAGTGAGAGAGCACGGCACATTTGGAAAACTGCCATCATGGCCACAGCTCTAGGATTGGAAGAGGGGAGCCATGAAAGATGAGGTTAGGCAGACAAGCAAGGGCCACATCATAATGGGCCTTGCATCTACGCTGAGGGGTTTGGAACTGTCTTCCATGTGGGAGGGAACTGTTGCAGAATTTTAAACAGAGGAGTACCATGACCAGACTGTTTAAAGCATATTTTGTAATATTCTAAAACTGGGAGTGGAGAAAAATTGATAATAGGGACACTACTCAAAGGCTGTTGAAATAATCTAGTCAGTGAGAATAGAGGAAAGCTTGTGGTGTAAGGAGATTAAGGGAGCCATATTGACAGGACTGATTGGATTTGGGGTGCCTCCCAGGTTTCTGCCTGGATTGGCCACCCTGAAGTGGAGAATTAAAGGAAAGAGGTAGCTGATGACTTCAGTTCTGTATGTGATGCTATGCACTCTTGTTTTCTCCTATCGGTACTTTGGCTTCTGTATAACCAGTGAGAGGAAGGACTGAGTGGCAGTAACATCTGTTAGGGTTACTGGGCAGCATCCCCGCAACCCAGGTACTCAGTCTCAGCCACACCTTACTGAGTGGTGAAGAGAAGCAAGTTTTCTCATGCCCTCTCCGTCTGTCTCTACCTCTGCAGCCAGTGTTTTAGAAGGAGTATGTGGAAGGGCAAGGAGTACCTATAGAACCCCGGAGGAGGGTGAGGAGCAGAGCTGGGTGAGTTCTTTTCTTCTTTGGAAATTTTAACATGTACAACTTTAGGCATGTTCTTTAACTTCTTTTGGCTCAGTTTATTCATCTGTGAGGTTTAGATGAACAAGTGCATGTGGAATGCTTAGAGTAGTGCCTGGCACATAATCAGTGCTATTCAAGAGTTTGCTGCTGATATCGTAGAGTCACTGCTTGATCCTGGGGTCAGAGTAGCTAAGGGGACAGAGGGAAATTTCTGCGCTTTTTCTGTGGAAGGAATAAATACTCAGCAGCTGCCTATAATAAAGTGTTAGTAGAAATCAATTGAATTAGGAGGAATTTCTCATAATAGAAGAGCCTTTATTTTTTAGTCCCCCTTGTCTTTATTTTTTTAGTTAGGGAAAAGGCAAGTGGCTCAGTTCAGATTTAATGAGGGCAGTTATTCTTACTTACTACCATGCTTTCAGTGTTCACCCTAACCTGTTCTAACAATAAATAACTGCTTGTTTATTGGGGCTTAGGGACAGGGAATAATTGCAGGAAAAATCTCTACTATGTTCTTCTGAAGAAAGGAAATATTTTCTCGTAGGAAAATTTGATGAAAAAATTCACATTTAAATAAAGACCTTTTTTTGTTTTTTAAAAATACATACAGTATTTGTTAAGAGCCAAAATACTTTATTAAGTGCCTTTATTTGTTTTTTATTAAAAATTTAATATGTGCTTTTTGAAATGTAAACAATGAAGAATGAAGAGTTAAAAAAATGAGTCTGCTTTGAACCTATTCCCTAATCCTTGTCTCTTTTCAGAGAAAATGTCTATTTTTTGTATGTTCTTTCCAGACCTTTTTCTACATGTATGTATATACAATTTTTTTTTAAAAACCAAATGGCATATATTAGGCACATTATGTGTTATATACAATGTTCTCTGTTCTCTGACTTTTTCCTTCTCATTGTGTGTCACTATATATAGATTTACTTCTTTATTTTTAGAAGACATGTAATATTCTCAAGGATGAATATGGTGTAATTCATTTAACTGTTTCCCTGTCGATGAATATCTAGATTATTTCCAATATTTTGTTATAGTTTATTTCAACAAATGTATTGACTGTCAGGCAGTGCTTGTGAACGGATCACAAAAATTCCTGCTCCCATGCAGTTGCCTTTTGGCAGTAGACCGGCAACAAATAAATATATGTTAGTTGATATTGAGGAATGTAAGGTTGGGGAGGAGATAGGGAGTGTGGGGGAGGGGTGTGCATTTTAAAATGGGGTGGTTAAGAGTGAGATACCAATAGATGACATTTGAGTGGAGATCTGGTGAAGGTAACATAATGAGCTCTGAAGGTATTGGTAAGGGAGGAAGAGAGGAATAGAGTATTCTAGGAAGGAGAGAAGCCCAAAGGGAGGTAGGCATGTGCCTGATGTCGTGGGGGAAGAACAATGTGGCTGGAATGAAATAAGCAAGGGAGAGTGGGAGATGAAGTCACAGAAGGTGACGGGCAGTCAGGGCAGATTGTGTTGAGCTTTTTGAACCCACTGTAAGGATTTTTAAAAGATAAATAGTTATTATTTTTTGATTTTAAAAATAGAGTTGGGGTCTTGCTGTGTTGCCCAAGTTGGTCTTGAACTCCTAGGCTCAAACAGTCCTTCCATCTTGACCTCCCAGAGTGCTTGGATTACAGGCATAAGCCACTGCACCCAGCCTATAAATATGTATTTTAATTATAGATATGGGGTCTTGCCATGTTGCCCAGGTTGGTCTCGAACTCCTGGGCTCAAGCTGTCCTCCTGCCTTGGCCTCCCAAAGTGCTGGATTTACAGGCATGAGCCACCAGGCCGGGCCCACTGTAAGGATTTTTGTCTTATGTCGAATGAGGTGGCAAGCCTTTGGAAGTTTCTGAGCAGAAGCATGGCATAATCTTATTTACATTTTGAATGGTCTCTCTGTATTCTTGATAATAGACTTTGGCCAGAAGCAAGAAGGCTATTTAGGAGGGCATTCAGGCATGGTTTGGACCAGGATAGTGGTTTGGTGGTTTGGACCAGGATAGTAGCAGTAGAGGTGGTAGGACATGGCTAGATTCTGGGTGTGTATTAAAGATGAAGTGAGAGAGAGTAGTCAAGGATCACTCTGAAATTTTGGGACTGAACAATTGGAAAGTTGAAGTTGCCGTGAAATGAAATGATGAAAACTGCAGTAGGCAAGGTTAGGAATTTGGCTTTGGGCACGTTCTGTTTGAGAATTTATTAGACATCCAACCAGAGATATTGAGTATGCAGCTGGAAATGTAAATATGAAGTTCAATGGAGAGGTCAGGTTTGGAGAAACAAATGTTGGAGTCTTCAGTTTACTAAAGCAATTTAAAACCCTCAGTTTACCTGGGAGTAAATTAGAGAAGAGAGTCAGGAACAGCCTCTGGGCACTTCAAACTTGGTTAAGGGGCTGAGGATGTGAGAAGGATGCATCGAAGAGACCAAGAAAGGAGCCAGTGAGATAGAAAGGAAACGGAGAAAACCAAGAGAAGGCAGTCAACAGTGTCACTCAAGGAGAACTGAGAATTGACCATTGAATTTAACCATGTGGTAGTGTGGGTGACCTTGCCAAGTGCAATTTTGAGAGAAAAGTAAGGTATGTTTGTAGGAGATTTGAGAAAGGATGGAAGGAAAGGAATTAGAGACTGTTAGTATAAGCATCTCTTTTGAGGAGTTTGTTGTAAAAGAGAGAAAATGGGGCCTTAGCTGGGGGGTGATATGAAGTCAAGAAATTTTTTTTTTTTTTGTTTCTTTCTTAGATGGAGAAATAAAACATTTAAACTTATGGGTAATAGTCCAGCAGACGGACAGTTTGATACATGACAAACTGGAGTAAGTTTAGAGACAAGTTTGAGGAGGACATTTTAATTTATAAGCACATGTGCAAGGATTTTTATAGGCTAGATTCTTAAAAGGATTTCCTGAGTCAAAGGGTATGTGCATTTTAAAAACCTGTACCAATTTATATTCCACTTTCAGTGTATACCCTTTCTAACACTGAACATTCTTAATCTTTAAAATTATTGCCAATCTGATAGGTGATGATATCTTCATTATTTTAATTTGTTTTACTGCTTTCTAGGAACTGTTTATTTAGTCTATCTAATTCTTTGTGATATTTTGTCAGATACTTTCTCCTGGCTGTCTCTTGCCTTTTAACTTTGCTTATGGTATCCTTTTACCATGTACGACTTTTCAAAAATGTTTTTATGCAGTTAAGTTTGTCAGCCATTTCCTATAGCATTTGGGTTTCATTTAGATGATGTAAATATTTGATATAATCTAATATGTTTATACGTTTACATTTTTAATTCATTTGGAGTTTATTTTTGTGTATGTTATGAAAAAGGTTTTCCATCTTTCTCTGTATTCTTAAACAGCTAAATACCATAGGAGTTAACTGTTTCTTGAAGGTTTGAAAGAAATTACCTGTAAAATCTAGGACTAGAACCTCTTTGTAGGGTAGGTCTTTGACTACTGTGTAATTCTTTTTCTGTGGTTAATGATCTGTATGGTTTATGTACTTCTTTTTAGTTTTGGTAGTTGATATCTTCCCAAGAACATCATTGTTTTCATTTACATTTTCAAATTTATTGGTTCAAAATTCTACATAAAGTGAGAAAATAACCAAGTCTTCTTTGCAGTATATCCCTATACTTATACCTTTATCTAGGCAATAAATGCTAGAGCTGTCCTTTCACAGATCTGGAAATTAGGTTAGCTATTTTCAGCGCTTATGGCTCTGTTCTTGGAGTTATTTCTAAATTCTTATTCTCTTTTGTTTGTAAGGTTTCTTGGCTTTGTTTCCTGTTTGCAGTCTGATCCCATTTGCTCTTTTTTTTTTTTTTTTGAGAGACAGTCTAACTCTGTTGCCCAGGCTGAAGTGTAGTGGCACAATCTTGGCTCACTGCAACCTCCACCTCCCAGGTTCAAGCAGTTCTCCTGCCTCAGACTCCCAAGTAGCTGGGATTACAGGCGTGCGCCACCACGCCTGGCTAATTTTTGTATTTTTAGTAGAGATGGGGTTTCACTATGTTGGCCAGGCTGGTCTCGAACTCCTGACCTCAGGTGATCCACCTGCCTCTGCCTCCCAAAAGTGCTGGGATTATAGCGGGAGCCACCGTGTCCAGCCCAATTTGCTCTTTAGCTTACACAGTTTCTACTGTTGAAGTCTGCTGGTAGATCTGTGCTTTTCTTGGTTTCCAGCATTTTTATTTTCATGTTTTTCTATTTCATCTGTCATATTGTAGGGATTTGGGGAGGGATGAGCGGCAAGTGCATATTTTCAGTTAACCTTTTGAAATTGGAAATCAGTTCTTTTCTGTGTAGTTTTGTTTTCTTATCGCCTTAACTGCTGGTTGCACAGTAGTTGGATAGTAACTTCACAACTCAAGTAGTAATAGATAGACTTCACTTTATTTTTTTAATGAAACCAAATGTCTCAGTGGAATATACTCATTCAGAAAAAATGTTGATATGTTGTCACTAAATATTTAAATAGTACTTTTCAAACTTAAAAGTAATCATAACATTTAGAACTATAAGGAACTTTACAGATCATTAGACCAGCTGCCTTATTTTATGGATGAGGACTTTGAGGCCAAGAGAGATTCAATGATTTATCTCAGGTGACAAAGTCAGTGATCAAGACAGAAAGCCCAAGTCTCTTTACTTCCATTCTGCAATGCTATTTGCTGTCATACACATTCATGCTGTTCTCCTTACCTATGTGATAAAGGAGGTATTTCTGTTAATACAAAAAAAATTTTTTTTATTCTAGAGATGTTACCTATGGCTTGGAATTGCTTCTAAAATTTGGACTTAGATACTTTAATAATACATTGATATAGGTGAATTTTTAAAGCATGGGCTGTCAGAGTATGCACTAGCACAAATGAAAACCATATTGTTTATTTCCCCCAAGTTTCCTCTTTTCTGCTTATGGGCTTTATATGATTTATAGACTCTTTGGATTTCTTATTAATATTTTAAAGAAGCTTAAGGAATATAAATATATATAGGCTTGAAAAATGATTTCTGTGATACGTATTTTAGACCTAAGATTTTTACTTTTTTAGTTGAATATAATATGCTCCTAGATCAACACCTATATTTAGAAGGACTAAAATACATGTTTTTCTAAAAAAAGTGCTTTGCTTACCATTTCTTCAGCAATCATTAGGGGATCTATTTATCAAACTTTAATTGCTTTGCTAATTCAACAGTTTTTAAGATGTAGGATTTTGATTATTGCTATCTCATGTTTGGTCATCATGTCTTTAGTTCTGTAAAAGTTCTGTAAAAATACAAAAAAATTACCTGGGCATGGTGGCAATGGGCCTGTAGTCCCAGCTACCCAGGAGGCTGAGAGGTGGGAGGATCGCTTGGGCCCAGCAGGCGGAAGTTGCAGTGAGTGGTGATTGCACTATCCTGGGCGACAGAGGGAGACCCCATCTCAAAACAAAACAAAACAAAAATGTTGAGGGTTTGGTGTGCATAGCATTAGTGGGCTTCGGTTGGTTCTTCTTCCACAGCCCCCCAAGAAACTTAAGAAGGGGACAAATTGGAATGTAGTTAATCTAGAATTAAATTTTAAAAAGATTTGTCTTCAGGTTTTAACTCTTAGTGCCTTTGAAATACATGATATGACCTATTGATTTTTTTTTTTGGAAACTAAAGAACAAGCTCTGTCTCTAATATGAATTCAAAGAATTTAATTTTTTCCAGTCAGCCATAATGGCAGGTGAAGAAATTAATGAAGACTATCCAGTAGAAATTCACGAGTATTTGTCAGCGTTTGAGAATTCCATTGGTGCTGTGGATGAGATGCTGAAGACCATGATGTCTGTTTCTAGAAATGAGTTGTTGCAGAAGGTATTTTAAAAATGTAATTTCCTAAAAATGAATTTCATAAAACAGAATGCTATTTTATGAAACATGTGGAAGAAGAAACAGATTAATGACCTATGCCCCTTTTCCCCTTTATTTCAATTTTATTAGTGTTTGGGTATTTTTAGGGGGGAAACAAAACAAAAGAAAACTCCAGCCTTAGGAAATACCTCCTAACTATGTTTTTAACTTAGTTTTGGAAAAAAAAAGGAGCACTCACGGTATTCTTTTTGACAGACTCTATCTTTGACCTTTTAAGTATTACAATGATGTTATCAGGGTTTCTGGAAACCCTATAGGACAAAAACAGTAAATTGACTTTGACAGTCTAAAACAAATCTCATTATGTTTCTTCTGTCTTTCGTATTGCCTAAGCCTGCTTCTTATACATAAATGCATCATGTACAATGTTTATATTGATAAATTACTTTTGACTTACAAAGCCCAGATCGTAACTCCCGAAATTAAAATAATTCAAAAGAATTTTTCTTGGGTTATGCACTTTCCTTGTCTAACTAAAGATGATACCCTAAGGTGAAAATGTGTGGACAAAAGTCACTCATTAAGAAAACTTCTTTTTACAAATTATTTTCAGATCATTTGGTTATTGGATTATATGAAGTGAAAAAAACTTCTTTGATACATTGTACTTGGTAAAAGTCAAATGTTATCAGATGGTGTTCAAAGTTTGTGTATTTTTTTTCTGTCTCACTTTCTCTCTTTCCCTCTCTCTTTCTTTTTTAACAGTTGGATCCACTTGAACAAGCAAAAGTGGATTTGGTTTCTGCATACACATTAAATTCAATGTTTTGGGGTATGTGTGTTACTTTGGAATTAATTAGAAAGCAAATTACTTATTGTGTGAAAGATGATTTATTTTTAAAATGCTAACAATTTATTTACAATTATACTTTATAACACTTTTAATAGATACTTATTTTTAAATCTAGATGCCAGTGAGCCACACATAGATTTAGTATTACATGGAAATTGAATAATTTAAAGTTTAATTGTTTGTAGGACTTTCCTTTTTTGTGAATAACTAGTTTCTTTAATTGGAATGTTTTAAATTAATACATTCACCATTTTATTCCATGAAATTTTTCTCTTGTAGTTTATTTGGCAACCCAAGGAGTTAATCCTAAGGAACATCCAGTAAAACAGGAATTGGTAAGATTTTAATTTCTTTTTATTTTATGTGTTTGTTGTTGTATTCCTGAGGTTTGTCACACTACCTTTGTCACACAAATTAGGGAGAACAGAATTCGAGTTGAAATTATGAAAGTGAGCCAGACCTTATTATCTTTGGGTTTTTTTTTCTCTTACCTTTTTCAGATAATTGGTATTCCATATATTATATAAATCTCGGAATGGGAAAATGTTACGATTCTAGTAATTATTTATAACTTACATATTATTTTTCTTATAAATTCTTGAAATCCTGTTTATCTCTAGAACTACTTTTTTTTTTAAACTTCTGTACAGTTCTTAAAAGTATATTCTAGTTGATTTACTAGCAAAGACGGGAAAGTTTCTCCCTCCCACCTTTTCAATTCCTCCATTAATTCATTTTCTCAGCAGTAAAGAATCCAGTTCAGCAACAAAGCTAAAAGCTTTTTTGGCACCAGCTGTATGTGTACTGTCCAGTAATTCTGCATTAGACATATTTACAACCTGTAATAAATCTTCTAGGTTTGTCTTTGTATTCCATTTAGATGTATAAGTACAGTATATAAGGTCTGGTATCTTGGAGTTTTTGCTGACTTCAAAAATTAAATCAAATCATTCAATTTGAAGAGAAAAATTAGAAATCAAACTTATGGTTACCTTCTTGACTTGGTTTTATGAATAAGAATATTAATAAATTGATTCTTTGTGTTTATAAAATATAAGGCAAATATAGATATGAAATACACTTGACATTGTATTCTTGTTCTCAAGTTTTAGGGTAGTTGATATGTATGTTATTTACAGCTTAGTAAAGCACTTGGTCCTTTACTTTTTAAAAATGAGTAAGCCAGATCTGTTGTCTTCAGTTTTTCAACATGTAGTCTAAGACATTTCCTTATTTTGAAGTTCTTGGGGGGGAAAATAAATTTATTTTTAAATAAAACAATTGTGAAAAATATTTAAAGCAAAAGTATAAAGCAATATGATATGCAGGTCTTGGTTTGACCAGTGATACGGCTTTAAACCTTTAAAATGATGGCTTGTATCATCTGTTTTCAACTTCCTAATATAGACTTTGCATACAATTTCTCTTTTTTCCATTAACATGAAGTTATTTGGAATACTTGATACTGTCTTTGTGAAAGGACAAGGTCATTTGTTTTCTTTCTACCTCAGAATCTACTTTTGAAGTAGTACATTAATATTCTAGATAAGGGTTGGTGAATAAAAAGCATGCATAAACCTCTTCCCCTTTTCTTTTTCTTTTTTTTTCTTTTTTTGAGATGGAGTCTTGCTCTGTCGCCCAGGCTGGAGTGCAGTGTCGTGATCTTGGCTCACTGCAAGCTCCACCTCCCGGGTTCACACCATTCTCCTGCCTCAGCCTCTCGAGTAGCTGGAATTACAGGCGCCTGCCACCACGCCCAGCTAATTTTTTGTATTTTCAGTAGAGACGGGGTTTCACCATGTTAGCCAGGATGGTCTCGATCTCCTGACCTCGTGATCTGCCCGCCTCGGCCTCCCGAAGTGCTGGGATTACAGAGCCTGTTCCCCTTTTCTGACCTTGCGTAGATGTTACTAATTGATCACAGACTTAGTGTATGATAGGAAACTTATTTGCCGTATGTATCACAAATGGGAAAAGTCAGTTTACTCATTCAACAGATATTTGAGTGCTTACTGGGAGCTAGGCATTATTTCCAAGTGAGAGATGATTCCTCTGTGAGTAATGCTGATCCCTGCCCTTGTGGCAGACACCAGACTGTATCTAATGGAGGGAGACAAATAATAAAGTAAACAAATAAGAAATATATATGAATATGTAGTATGTTGGAAAGTTATGGGAACAAAGAAAAAGAGTAGGGTAAGGGGGACTGGAGTGCTTGGATAGGACTGCAGTTTTAAATGCTGAAGTCAGGGCCTCAATGACAAGGTTAACATTTGAGTAGACTGGAAGGAAGAGAGGAAGTGGCCGTATGGGTAATTGAGGAAATATCCTTCTAGGCAGAGGAATAAGCAGGGCAAAGACCCCAAGGCAGGTTGGTGTGTGTGTGCTGTAGCTAGTATCCACCATCATAAGCACTGTGCTTTTTTATTCAGACAGAAATGGGACGTCACTAGAGAGTGTGGAGCAGAGTTGCCAGTCTTTCACAATGAAAACATTTTAAGATTCTGCATTAACTATGTTGATTATTTTAATAAAGCTTGTTTTTAAGCAGTGATCAGTCTTTTACTCTGCTGTTTTATGGCTGTCATCAACTTTATTTCTTCATTTGAAGCGTAAGATAGCCATTTATGCTGATTAATTGTCTCAGAAGATTCACAGTGGTACAGCAACATATTATGTTTCTCACCCTGTAAAGTCTGATTAGAACTGTATATTTTATTAGAAAATTTCATGTACTTACCAAAATTATAAAATTGAATAATTTGTATTTTCATTCTCCCTAATTGTTACACTAGATGGTAATGTGAAAAGATAGTTAAGTACTACCTCATGTATTTCCTGTTTAGAAAAATTTCAGGAGAATTTAGTTTGTATTTTGCAAGTATATGAAAGCTCCGGTTTTTTACTTTAGATACAAAACAGTTAATATGTAGATTTATGTTAATGGTGTTTTTCAAAAATGTATAACCACCTAGAAACTTTCAATTCGATGTTTATTTCTGGAGTAATGTCTTAGTGTGATTCTAACTCTTTGGAAACAGAAGACTTCTGAAATGACTTTTTAACATCTGTCTTTCCCCACCCTCCGACTATGAACTCCAGGCAAGCAGGGAGCGTATTTATCCTATTCATTTGCATTTCCTAGCACCATGCACTTTAATAGGCAATAAATACATATATGTTGAATTTAACCAAGGTGTACAGTATAATAAAATTCAGTGGTGGCGAATAGCTTAGTAAATCTATTGCCTTTGTTTTTTATCTTTAAGGAAAGAATCAGAGTATATATGAACAGAGTCAAGGAAATAACAGACAAGAAAAAGGCTGGCAAGCTGGACAGAGGTGCAGCTTCAAGATTTGTAAAAAATGCCCTCTGGGAACCAAAATCGAAAAATGCATCAAAAGTTGCCAATAAAGGAAAAAGTAAAAGTTAACTTTTTGGTTTTGATGTACACATATTCAAAAAGTACATCTTCCCCCCCCCCCCCCCCCCCGCAAAATAATTCTGTGGCAGGGCAAGGTTTAAATGTGTTTCTTATTAATATGTAAATTCACAGTAAATATGTAAAGCTAAATACTTTCCTCTCCAAAGATCATTATCTTTATTGATTAGCACTGAGGATTTTAACATTGTGATATATTATATATTTATAATTTACCATCTCTTGATGAGACTCTTATTTCTTTATATAGGTCAGTCTTGCAAGTACCATTTTATAAGCAGCTGTGAAATTTAAGTGAAATGTTCTTTGTAAACATTTGTACTATTTTAAATGAATAATGACCTTATGAAGTATGCTATCTGTAGGCTGAAATTATAGGTACATCTGTTTTCACTATATGATATTAAGAAAGCGTGAAATGACTTAAATGTTCATTTTTTTCTGTATAGATACTTTATCATGTTTTCATGATTTTAGGAATTACTGCTTTGTTGATATTCAAAGTGTGAAACTAAAACTTTATGGTTGTACTTTAATTCTTGGCATGTTGCCTCTATGTCCCATTTAAAATAAAATACATTCTCATTAACTTTAGATGGGAAATAAGGTTGTATGTTGATGGATGAATTTTGGCATGATGACTGTACTCTCAATAAAGGCTGAAAATGTTGTATAACTGACCTGTGTATTTTTATCTTTTGAGTAAATTTGCCTTCCAAATTAGGAAGATAGGTTTTAGAAGTCATCACAAATAGAGAAATTCTTGAGTTTTTGTTCCTGATGCATGGTGTCCACAGTTCTTTTCATCTCATTTTTTTTCAGATTTTTTTTATTTCATGTTTTTGAGGCTGTATCAAGTACATACAAGTGTTTTGGAACAACTTCTTAAGTTACCTAATGCCACTTAAGCAGATGAGAAGTCCAAAGGAGATTACACTGTGTTTGTATTGTGGTTTATTTTTCTGGAATATTAGTTACAGAGAGTACTACATAGTAAACCTTTTTTTAAATGTCTAAGCCCATGAATTTTAATTATATGCCCTTAATGCTTTCAGTGTTTGAATCCATATCATTATGTGTAGGAATGCCAAGTATAGTAAAGTACTTTAATTTTTGAAAAAGGAGTTGTTAAAATTTTCTGTGTGATTAATTCTCCATAAGTAACCTTGAATAAATGGATTTCTTGATTTATGATAGCAGATATTGGAAATGGTCTTAAAATGTAATGGATTTTGTAAAGCATGTTGAACTCTTTCTATGACACATGAAGAGGAAGTCACTGATAGACGCAGAAGGTCTTTTCTGTCTCTGATGTCAGTTTTTGAAGTGGAAGAACATTAGTGAACATTTATAGTTATTTTACTCCTTTTTTTGCCTTTGTCTCCAAATTTCTAGCTATTTTTAAAAATAACCTCTTCATGAGAGAAATGTGTTACTGTTAAGATCAAGTGTAGTGTACCTGTCTTTGTGTTATTTATTGCAAAGAAATTTATTTGGATTTCTGTATATTTTCTAATTTCATAAAAGAAAAACAGCTTAAATGAAAAATGTTATACAATTGCAGAAAATCATTATTGGTTTTAGCTAAGTTATTGGTTTATGAAAGTGCACCTCTACGTTCTGTTAAATTGTGTAACTTTTAAGTGAGTAATTCTTTCATTATTAGGTAGAAATAAAAGTTTGAGTATATTCCATTTTATTATGTATAATTTTAAATACTTAGCACGTAATAAGGAGCTGAATGGCTGTAGTGCATTGGGTTGCTTATTTGCTTGTTGTTTGTTTATTCTTTTGACAAATATACTTAATGACATTTATATTGCCAGATACAGTGCTAGGTGCAACGTTCCAAAGACGATAACTACGGCCTTTATCCTATCTTTATAAGGTGTTAAGAAAAAAATAGTCTTTTTATTCAATTCAGTTTCTCAGAGTTATGGGAAAATTTATGACAAATTGTGCTCATTAACCTTATTCAGAACCATAAAGGGTGATGTGTGTGGTTGATCTATTTGACTATGGTGCAGTTCTTGTTAAAATAGTTTGTTCCACATGATAGTCTGCTCTAAGTTTAGATGTTAATTACATCTTTTATTAATCTCTTTGGGAATTAACAAGTTGGAGAAGTTGCATCTATAGATATTTTTAAGATTAGAATTATAGTCTATTAATCTTGTACTAAATAATGAGATCTTGCATTTTAATATTATTTTAAGTACAAATTTTTTCTTGTTCATAGTTGTAAGGTGGGAAATCCTTTTAGTAAAACAGAATATGTTGAGTGAAAAATTGAAGCTTGAATTATGTTACATTCCTGGAATTAGGAAGTTATGTCAGGTTGATTAGTTTTAAGATACCCTGTAGATTAAAAAATCCTTCTACTTAGCAATTAGAAATGGATTGGCATTATTTCTAAATAAGGTATTTAAAATTGACCAGAAGTGTAGGAAAGACTTCAAAAATGGACAGCGTATTGAATGTAAATACTTTTTTCTTAAGTAGGTCACTGGAGAAAAAGATACTTTAGGAATCACTCAGTTTATCATACAGTTAAATTATAATTTTATTCAATAAGTTACCAGAAATTCTGGCTTTGCAAAGTGACATTAACTAAGAAAGATGTGAACAGTGACTCAGCCTCATGTAATAGCTAAATTTGGTATCTAAAGGGAAGAAAAAGCACTGATGTCTCATTTTCTCCCTTCATAGCATAGTTAGAAAACCTGCTCAGATAAATTCAGTGGCTCTTTTCCTGAATGATCTTGGTAGCAACGTATTTTATATCAATGTGACGTGAACATAATTTACAAATATAAACATCTATCTTTCCCTATATTCTGATCTAAAACTCTCCAGTTTTGGAAATACAAGCCATATTTTGTTCATATATTAGCATTTTATAGTTGTCATTAACAACTATGTTGGCAGAAAGTATACAGGATTTTATAATGGAATTCTGTAGATTTGTTTCATTTGAATAATTTGCTATTATATTACCTGTTAGCGGGCTTTCAAGAAAATGATTTGAATGTTTTTTGGTTTGCATATTCATTTTCCTATCAAAGTGGGTGTACAGCCATAGACTACTCTTTAGAATAGCCACCCTCTGACTTGATGTGCCTTTTTAAAGTGCTTATTTATGGCATAACTTTTTATTATTCCCTCAAGAAGTCTGAGATTATGGCATAATTTTTAACACAGCCAGAAAGATTAGTAAAGTGTTCAGAAAAGAGAGAGCTATAGTGATAGCTATTGGCAATTGAGGTTTAATTTTTAACTTTATATCTCCCAACTCCCTGCCCAGCTAGAAACCTAAAGCCACCAGCTCTGTGTTAGTCATCTGTTCTTAAAAGGTTGAAACGAGATGCTGGTTTTTACTCCCTCTCCCCACAATTAGCCTTGAAGTTTAGCAAATCTATCATAGCAGAATAACTGTATGCAAGATGTCAGTTTTGTAAAGTGATATATTTCAGACAGTATACAAAATTTGATGGGGGAAAAATAAGCTTTTATAAATGAAACATTTAAGAGACTCTTTTATTATTTGCTTTTCAGTTTAGTGTTGCCTTTAAGGTGTACCATTTCAGTTTGGCAGCTGCAATAAATGAAGAAAATTGAAGATGATAATTCAGCATTTCAAGATGCTTCTGCTGAAATGAATGTAGACCTATCCAGAGCTTGAATTTCAAGCTTACAGTAATACAATATTTTAAAGCCAAGTACCCAGGCAATTCATAGTGATATGATTTGAATGAGATTATTAGGAGGAAGAGAAAGAATGCCTTCAATTTCTTGTTATGTAGGTATTATCTATTGAGATGCTATGTTGAAAAATGTTATTGTAAAAAGAATAGAAGCTTGTTATACCCACTTTGTTATAGAGTACAATTTGTCTTGGACCTTACACAAAAAACTTTAGTTATTAAAATAGCAAAATTAGAATCACCTCTGATTTAGTGCTAGAGCATTGGATTGCCTATAGACCATGTTCTAATGTGTGTCTGGTATTTTTTTTCATTTGATGGCCTTTAATCTCACTAATAATGCATTCCTTACTTAAACAAATAATTTGCTTCCCTAGTTTTGATACTTTATTATTTTTCCCTTAAGAAAGAGATAATTATTTAAAAGTTGCTGGATTTTGTGGGTTTTGACATTTGTGACTTTTAACACTTGTGATTTTTACTATTTGTGAGTGACTTTTAGAGGTCCATGGAGTATAGAGTTATTTTGTAATTTTGCCAAGACATAATCTTAATTCCTGCTAAATTCCATGCAGGAAGGCATTATTCAGCTAATGATTTAGCTTGGCTAACCTCTTAGCATCCACAGTTTTTTTTTTCCCTCACTTGCAGTCTCATTCATTTATTCACTCATTCATTCAACAAATATTTATTGAACTCCTGTGTACCATGTTCTGTTTTAGGCATAGGAGATTCAGCAGTTATCCAAACATGGTTGTAGTGGTTGGGAGCTGTCAAACTTTTTATCATGTGATAAATGGCTTCTATGGCGTGAATTATGTTCCCCTAAAATTCATACATGGAAGTCCTACACCTCAATACCTCTTAATGTATCCTTATTTAGAAATAAGGCCATAGTAGATGTAATTCATTAGGGTGGATCTTAATCCAATATGCCTTTATAAAACCGGGAAATTGGGACACAACATGCACACAGGGAGAACACCTGTGAAGATTAAGGCAGAGTTTGGGATTATGCTTCTGTAAGCCAGGGAATACCAAAGATTGCCAGCAACCACCAGAAGCTAGGTGAGAGGCCTGGAACAGATTCTCATAATCCTCGGAAGGAACCAACTTTGCTGATCCTGTGACTTTGGACTGCTAGCCTTCAGAACTGCCAGACAGCACATTTCTGTTGTGTAAGCCACCCAGTTATTGATACTTTGTTATGGCAGCCCTAGGAAACACACACAATGGCCATTATTGAGTGGACACGATTGAGAAGATTAATAACTTGGATGTGAAAATGTGTGTAAAAATCTTTGGCACAAGATGAAAGTGTAATTCTGAAGAAAACCAGGAACCTGGGTAAAGTTATTCAAGAATACTTTTGAATTTGGGCAAAAATCTTGGAACTTACACCTTGAAATGTCAAGGGTCTGTTATACTCTTTCTGAAGCCAAAATGTTCAGACCTTTCTAACATACTGTCAGTTATGATTGAGTGTTGAGTATGCCATCTCTTAATCTTTATCTTGCTTGAAGAAATTTACTTAAAACCCTGTCGGGTTTCCATGGAGAGGAGATTTTCACCATGCCTATTATCATCTGCCATGTGATCTTTCCCTAATGTAATGCAACAGTCAGGTTCAAATAACGAAAATCCTGAAAAAAATCTGCCAGAATATGTGTATAATTTGTCCTCTTGGATAAGCACACACCACTTAAAAAATCGCGTATTGGATTCATCCAGATAGACATTTTTAAAAAATGTGTATGTGTCTATAAATTCTTAACTGTATAGTGTGATATTCAGTTTTCTTTATTTTTTTATTTTTTGAGACGGAGTCTCACTCTGTCACCCAAGCTGGAGTGCAGTGGCGGGATCTCAGCTCACTGCAACCTCCACCTTCTGGGTTCAAGCAATTCTCCTGCCTCAGCCTCCCGAGTAGCTGGGATTACAGGTGCCCGCCACCGTGCCCAGCTAATTTTTGTATTTTTAGTAGAGATGGGGTTTCACCATGTTGGCCAGGCTGGTCTCAAACTCCTGACCTCGAGTGATCCACCCACCTCGGCCTCCCAAAGTGCTGGAATTAGAGGCATGAGCCACGGCGCCTGGCCCAGTTTTCTTTCTTTAAAGTTAGGCATTAGACAAAATTAGTAGCCGGGCGTGGTGGCGCATGCCTGTAATCCCAGCTACTCGGGAGGCTGAGGCAGGAGAATCGCTTGAACCCAGGAGGCGGATGTTGTGGTGAGCCGAGATCGCGCCATTGCACTCCAGCCTGGGCAACAAAGAGCGAAACTCCGTCTCAAAAGACAAAAAAAAAAAAAAAAAAAAAAAAAAAAAAAAAGGTATTAGAGAACTCAGAGGCTGGGCGCAGTGGCTCATGTCTATAATCCCAGCGCTGTGGGTGGCCAAGGCGGGAGGATTGCTTGAGTTTAGGAGTTTGAGACCAGCCTGGGCAACATAGCCTCCATCTCTATTAAAACAAAAACCGAAACAAAACAAAAAAAAGAGCTCTAGTGAGAACTCAGAAGTGGGTTCTCACCCTTAATGATTTAGGGTCAAAGTGGGTTCATACTCTTAATAGTTTGGGCCCAGTTTTTTTTTTTTTTTTAAATATTGTAAATGTTGCTTTATTGGTTTTCAGCGTTTAGAATCAACTGATAGGTAAAACAAGAAAGTAAATGAAATTGACCTTGCCAGTATAAAAGTAAAGGTAGAATAGGCAGAAGTGAGTTAGAAATAGAGAACATATTAGAGGGTCATCCTTATGTGGTGAGAAACACAGATGCTGTACAAAACCGGTGGATGAATACGGTTTTACGTTTATTTTTCAAAGGTAATGGTGATTTATTCTTTTTAATTCTTCTATCAAAAATTGGAAGGGAGAAAGTAGTATAAATTAAATCCTGAGTTTTCAGGCTGGGGAGCTAGTAGATGATATCCAGTGATACAGCAAATGTAGGTGAGTGTTAGGAAAGTTATCACCAGAACTAAAGACAGAAAAGGTTTACAAGTGAGAGTCCCTCACACCAGCAGGAATGAAGTAGATAGTTTTGTTTCTGGTTTTTTCTGTTTCTATTTTTTCCCATCAGATTCTCATGGTGAATATTTTTTGTTGTCATAAACATAATTTCTTTGGTAAAACGAAAGAGAAAAAAAGTTGTAGTGACAAGCAACAAAATTCGTTCAAAGAAGCAGCATGACAATGAGGTACTCCTGTGAATACGAGTTATTTAGTTACTGAAATTTTAAGCAATAAAACATTTCAGTGATGGAGAAATAATATAAGAATACTTAAATGTGGTAGCAAATATTTCATTATCATATATATACATATATATAGTCTGTGAGCATTAACTATTTTTCCTAAATTTGGGCTCAGTTTACTTTTAGACAAGTTGCCTTCCAGATATAGTTAGAGAATAAGAACTCTTATTTGGAAGTAGGTCTCTTCCAAATCTGCCTTCCATGGTATTTTGAAACTTCTGAATCTTACCAAGATAAGTTTAGACACCGCAACAGTAGGGTTATCATATGTAAATGATAGTGTGATTTTTGCTTGAATGTCTTAATAATGCTAAATTGAAAGGGATTTTTATTGTACCTAATTTTCATCAGGGGAGGTTAGTTTGTAGGAAATGTGTTTATAATCTGTTGTCTCACTGGAACCTAACTGGATTATAATGGAAATTGAATATTACTAAATATTACACATTGTCAAAGATGTCGCAAAATGTAACATCATTTTAGAATTTGTCCTAAGAACAATTGAAATTTGGGTTTATAGAATTGGAATTGCCAGATTTTATCTATCACCTTTTAAAATTTGTAGACAACACTAATAAAGGCTAACCTAATAATTTCTTAATTATTGATACCACTTAAAATTTTATTTTAGCAAAAGTTATTTGAGGTTTCCCAGCTACATGATGTTGTGTAAATACATAACGTTAGAAATACCTGTAATTAAATTTTATTCTTTCAGCTAGGCATTTACAGTAACTTAACATAATTAAAATATATACCTTTTTTTTTCTTTTTTTCTTTTTGAGACGGAGTCTCACTCTTTCCCAGGCTAGAATGCAGTGGTGTGGTCTTGGCTCACTGCAACCTCCACCTCCCGGTTCAAGCAGTTCTCCTGCCTCAGCCTCCTGAGTAGCTGGGATTACAGGTGCCCACCACCATGCCCGGCTAAGTTTTGTATTTTTAGTAGAGACAAGGTTTCACCATGTTGGCCAGGCTGGTCTTGAACTCCTGACCTCAGGTGATCCATCTGCCTTGGCCTCCCAAAGTGCTGGGATTACAGGTGTAAGCCACCACACCCAGCCTAAAATATGTAACATTGAAAAAAAGATGTTAAAAGCATCTTTTGGAAATAGTGGTAATGTATGTGTAAGTCCTTTTGTGGTAGGTACTATGTACAACTTAATACATATCTTAAAGTTTGGTTTGCTAAGCTTAATTGTTATGTACTGCCTTGAAATTTACAGAAACTATTCTATAATTGTGTGAGATTTTTTGTTTTTGCCTGTATTCCTCTTCCCCTTTGTATATAATTAAAAAAATTAATTAGTAAACTTTATTTTTAGGGCAATTTTAGGTTCACAGCAAGTTCCTGTAGACCCCAGTCCCCACACAGCCACAAGCTTCTCCGGTAACAACATCATATATCATAATGGCACATTTATTACAACTGATGAACCTACATGGACACATCATAATCACACAAACTTTATCATTTACGTTAGGGGTCACTCTCAGTGTTGTACGTTCCATGGTTTGGACAAATATATAATGACATGTACCCACCGTTGCAGTATCATATAGTATTTTCACTGAGCTCCACTTATTCATCCCTCTCCCCACTCCCACCTCTGCCAACCACTGACCTTTTTACTGTCTTCATAATTTTTCCTTTTCTAGAATGTCATATGGAATCATACAGTATGTAACTTTTTCAGATTGGCTTCTTTCAGTTAATAATTGCATTTCAGTTTCCTCCATGTCTTTTTATGACTTGATAGCTCATTTCTTTTTAGCACTAAGAAGTATTCCATTGTCCAGGTGTACCACCAGTTTATATATCCTTCACTTACTGAAGGACACCTTGGTTCCTTCTAAGTTTTGGCAAATATGAATAAAGCTGCTGTAAACATCATGTGTAGGTTTTTGTGTGGACGTAAGTTTTCAATTCTTTTGGGCAAATACTAAGAGGTGCAACTGCTAGATTCTATGTTAAGAGTATTTTCAGTTTTGTAACTGCCAAACTGTCCTTCAAAGTGGCTATACCATTTTGCATTCCCAACATCAGTGAATGCAAGTTGCCATTGCACCTCCTCCTCACCAGCATTCAGTTGTGCTGTAATTTGTTTTTCAAGATTTTGTTTATAGGTTCTGCCATACGTTTTTGCAGAGATTTAAAAATATGATGTAAATGATCAAATGAGATGTAGAAAAATCTTAAATTTCTTAATAAGAAAATTGGAAAGGAGCTAGGGTCTGGCTCCTGAGATGCTGGGAAATAGAACGTTTCATTCGGAATAAACTTGGACTTTAACTTAAAATGCATCTTGAAATTCTTTGAATTCCCTGACTCATTGGAAGACATTTTCAATATATCCAACTTCCTAAAAGACAAAGAGTAAGAATCCTCTTCCACGGTTAGATATTTTTGTCAGAGATAAATAAGAAATGCTTCTTAATATGTGACTTGGAAAGTATAATTGAATTTACTGAGGTCTTGTTTTTGATGCCCTTCTTACTAATTGTTTTAAATATTTTTGCTTTTTATTATGATAAAGTGAATAAAGTGGAATAAGTGAGATCTTAAAATTCCCACTGGATTGTCGTTTTCACATCTGGAACCCAGGCGCAATGTTTACTTTTTTTGTACCAGTCTCTGTAACTAAAGTATAGGTTATTAAATTTAATAAATGATTTACAACTGAGTAGAAAGATTGTCCAATCATTCCCTCTGCTCTGAATAGTGTTTGTTCTGTGTGTGTGTGTCTGTTAATGCCATGTACGTGTGTGCATGTGGTATATATGCATTTATGGCAGCTAACACTGAGTCTTTGCCAGGCACTGTGTTCCTCATTTGTCATCTACACAAGAAGCCAATTGAGGTGGGTATTATTTTCTGTTTACAGGTAAAGCTATCAAGGCTCAGAGAGGTTAGGCCTTGCCCAAGATTATGCGGTTAGTGAGGCTAGGATGTGGGGCCATTCTGGAGGCTCCGCCTTAACCACTGTTTTCTTCCCTTTAAGCCTAATTACTGGCCGAGGAGCTACATGGAGGAGGTTTTACCGGAGGAGACGACCTAGGTCAGTCATGAATTCTATTTGCTGATTGGCCAAACTTGCTCTGAATTTTCAAACACTTATCTAGCTGGTTTCAGTTTGGGTTAGTGTGGTGTCAGTGTTACACCTGCATACCGACTTCATAATTTGGAGCCACATCACATTTTTTATGGTGTGCTCTATTGCTAGTGTCAGCAATAGAAAAATTCTGACTAGCTTTTTTTTGTTTGTTTTTTTGTAAATTTTGAGACAGAGTCTCACTCTGTCACCCAGGCTGGAGTGCAGTGAAGTGATCTCAGCTCACCGCAACCTCCGCCTCCTGGGCTCCAGCGATTCTCATGCCTCAGTCTCATGAGTAGCTGGGATTACAGGCACGCACCACCATGGCTGGCTAAGTTTTGTGTTTTTAGTAGAGATTGGGTTTCACCATGTTGGCCAGGCTGGTCTTGAACTCCTGGCCCCAAGTAATCTGTCCGCCTGTGTCTCCCAAAGTCCTGGGGTTACAGGCGTGAGCCACCATGCCTGGCCCTGAATAGCCATTTTTGATAATGTTTGGCAGTTTATCCTCCAGCTTAGACCATCTTAAAACTATTCAAGAAACATAGTATTGATACACCTGGTTATATTTCTCAAAAATAATTCTTACCTTAAACTTACGAATTCTCCCTCTCCCTCCAACTCCTGTTCACCGCTATGTAAAACTGCTCTTTATAGAAAGTAAGAAATCCCCACACCAGGAGACAATTGGCTAAATTACACTCAACTGCAAAAAAGTTTGCACTGTGCTTCCCCGCTTGTGATTATAATTAGCATTTTAATGAATCAGTTAATAAAAAAGCTGTGGTAAGCAAGTGTTTCCTGAGTGCCTACTAAGTGCTGATGCCCAGCTAGCCTGTGACAATGGGAGAGTGAAGTTCAGTGTCCCCACTCTTGCTTGAACTTACAATCTAAGGGAGGTTTTCCCTCAATCTTCATGCAACACAGAGGAACATTTTATAATGTAACTATCCCATTTAAAACTTATCACTTTCAACAATTTGGTTTTTCATGCTTTAGGCTTTCTTAAAGGTGTACATGTGTCTCTTTCATACCCATATATGTTTCTGTCTCATGTTAGATTTATCATCATTGCATTTATCAATCAGAACCACTGGATGGCAGCAAAAGAACATAGGAGATTTTCTATCGTGCCTTTGTGTACACAAAAATGAAGTGAAAGCTATTCTTTGTATTTCATGCATGGTGGAAAGAAAATGATACAGTGATTAAAACTTGACAGCTATCTACAGCAGATGAAACCCCAGCAGATCTCATGACTAAATATTAATATATGTTACCCTAAGTGTGAAAAGTTAAATTTATGCTTTATTATTACCAAAGCCATACTGTAAATTTCTCCTTTTTCAGTTTCTTTTAGTCACAAAAATGTCTTCCAAGATTTCTATGCAATAGTGGTATTTATAATGGTAAAGAAAAAATCCAAGTCAGATACTAAGAACTTGTGAAGAGAGACTTTGAATGACAAGGGACAATGGAAAAGAGTCCCTTTCCTTGATAGCCTGTTTTAAAGAGCATTCTTAGAGAAAAATCAGAGTTTGGAGAGACCCTGTTCATAGACAAGAGTTTTTCATTTTTCTTTTAAAAAATCACTTAGCAAGCAGATTTTAAGTAATATGAGCCTCTGAAGATTTCATACCATTTCTATAAATGTACAATGGCTTAGTTCCAAACTGAGTACCATATATAGCTCAATACATACAATAAATCTCTCAAACTAAAAAGGTGAAATAGTAATGAAGCAGCAATGAGGTAAAAAATACTTTTTAATTTGATTTCAGTGCAGAAATTTGAAATCTGTTTAGTTGAAAATAGAGCTTCCTATTTCTCCCAAGTATTTTTCAAGCTTATTTGCTTACTTTAAAAGAATCTTTTAATTTTTGGAAAAAAATATATTTAACTTAACTTAAAACCTCTAAATGAGTTACAAAAAATAAGTGCGGAATGGAGAAGTTGCTTTTGTCCAGAGAGCTGAGTTTTGAACGCAGCGAAGGTATTATCATTCTGGGGCTTATTCTTGGAGGGTTATGGAAGAGCAGAGTTTGTGTTTCTTCCCCTGTTGAGCTTGGGGCCTTCTGGGTTACTTGGAGCCTGAACCCTTCTTGATTTATTTCTTGTTGGCAACATTATCATTGCTTTTTGATGTATGTATGATATGGATCAGTGGGCTTTATGTAATTTGATTCTTAATGGAAATAAAGTTTGGGAAAAGAGGTAAGTCCTCCCCCAACGCCCTGCAACAAGGTATATGGCCATCAGAGCCTCGATGTTCACTTTCCTTTAATAGTACTCAAGATGCTTCAGCAGTATTTATAGGTACTGAGACCTGGACCCCCAATCTGAAACTATAGTTGAACATCATCCTGGGCTTGGACTCTGGCCATCAATATCTACTAAAACCAAGAACAAGGAGAGATAAGTAATTCTTATCCTCACCATTCCTTCTCTTTGGAGATTTATTTTATTTTATTTTATTTTGAGGGGGGGCTAGGAGGAGGAACATTTTTATTGTCTTAATGCAAGATAGATTTGTGTGAAGCGTATTTAGTTTCTTCAGAAACTATGTAGAGTCACTATGCTGAAAGAGTCTAATTTGCTATTTCTACTAGTTCAGAGTATTTGGGGACAGAGGTCTGTAAATCCTCTTGGAAATTTTCTAGAAAAGAAATTTCTATGCCCTTCTTCAGTAATGATCACTTGTAATTCCCCCCATACCTATCATTTTGTCACATTATTTCATTTGTATTAGCTATCTATTAACAGAAATTATAAATATAATGAGAAAAAAATCATTTTGAAAGTCAGTGATTGTAAAACTAAAGGGTAAAACCACATATAATTTGTATGTGTCTTTACAGACCATAGAGGCCTATCCATCAAGTTGCAGGATTTACTTTGTTCCAGATTTATTATTTTTATGGCTCTTTTAAATTTCACTGAATTTTGTGATCTAGCCTTAAATCATGATTCCTAAAATACATCTTCAGGTAAATATCTTGGTAGAATATTTTTTAGTATGAATTGTAGAACATCAGAAAGAACATTACAACACAGCTTTGACTTTTTCGTTCCGTCGGTGACTATTGACTTTGAAAAGATCACAGAAACTAGGCGTACATTTCTCCATCTATAAAGCAGGTAAAACCATGCTAATTTTCCTCCATTGCCTATACAAACTCAAATGAAAAGAAGTCATGTTTTCAGAAGAAAATGGTATTTAAAATGTTAGGTTGGTGGTAGTAAAATTAAGATGACATTTTACATCAAAACTGGGCAAATTGAATGAAAGTTTCTCTTCTAGTTTTTTCTCTATTTTGTTTTGTCTCGAATAAGATTTCTGAGTTAATAGATGAAGAGGTCATTAGGGGGAAGTTAGAGTTCTCAGATCTTGCATTTGTAAGGTTCTTTGGCTGAAACCTGACCCTAGAGTCTTACCAATTCTGTGTGGACAGCTAAGGTTTTGCTAGGTGGTTTGAGACCATGGCCCAATCCTTGAAGGAGTCAGGTAGTGAAAAATTTCTAACAAAAGAAAAGGACTTTATCTTATATGAGAGAGTGTCAGCCCTTCTGTAATTCATTTAGAGAAAGAAGCCCACACCATAAAGAACAGAGTCCCCATTTTTGCTACTAATGGAAATTGTCCCTCTTGACTAGAGCAATGCAGAGAGCAGTGGCTGTCAGCTCTAGCTCCACATCACTCCGAGAGCTTAAAAAATATCCCCATGACCAGGCCCCACTCCAGACCAACAAATCAGACTTCCTGGGGATGGCGCAGGCATCATCATTCATTGAAGCTCCTCAGCATATGGTATTGTGCTTCCGAGGTTGAGAACCACTGATCTAGAGACTGCAGTAGATAATAACTTGGCAAAAGGCTTACACAACAGAAACGTTTTTTAACGTCCATTACTTTGTCTTTAGTTGCGTTATCTTACTTTTCCAAAAGGGGATCTGTAAGTTGAAGACAAACAAAAAATACACTAGGAAAGAAGTGCTGAAAATGTTGTCAGCTAGCCATGGTCTTCCCTGGTACAATCCTAACTTTGCTGTGAAGGAAGGGATGCTTCCCTCTTTCCTTCCAGCCTATTTATTATGCTATTAAAGAAACATAAAAATGAACATAAGGTTCATCTGAACCATCTCAGATACTGCTAATTTCTTATAGACATAAAATAGTCTTCCTAACTTGAAATGAGCCTATTTCATGATTATAGGTCTTCAGAAATTGGTATTTTCTCTATTCTGTCTGAAATGATAAAAAGAAAAGAAACCCCAGACCTCAAAACGTTCAAAAAATTTAACAAAATTATTTGTATATACACACCAGTGAAAACACATTCAGAAGCTATTAGTTATAGAATCAAAATGCTCAATTTCATTGTATGCTACACAAAAGATTGACCTGGGAGACAGAAATGGATTCTGGACTTGAGTTGGCCTTAGCTAGCTGGGACCTTAAAACTTTCCTTAACATTCACTCAACTTTCATTTCCTCACTTAAAAGGGCATCTATGACTCTGGCAAGCCAGATACCTTATCTGTTACATCTACAATCCTTATCCAATTCTCAAATGAACCCTGCTGTAGAAACAAGTTCCAATTAGCCATAGACTTGCTTTAGAAATATTCCAACCACAGGTCATAATTTTTGCTGGGTGAGTAGAAAAGAATGTTGATGTCATTTACTATCAGTTGCATTTGTCCCCTTTTATGAGGAAGATAATGCAGACATTGGATTAAATTTCAAGGCTGTCTTAAAAAGACACATTACACAGAGAACTGGGAAATATTGTTTTCACTGATTATGTTACAGACAGTAATGTTTAACATGGCACATAAATCAGCAAAGTAAATGAGCAAGAGTCTGATATTTTTTAAAAGGAACTTTGTATTCTACTTGTATGTTTGATATATAGTTGGTGCTCAACAAATGTTTGTTAAATGGTGAATGAATTTGTAAGGTTAAAAAGCAATTTCTTAGTCTCAAACACTAACTTGAAGAGGTTCTAAAGATCAAAGTTTTCTGATCATAAAATACATTTTTTATTTAAATCAGATTTCTTAAATGGTTAAAATTTGAATACAGCAAAATTGGAAAAACTCATTATTGGACAGGAATGGCAATTTTGAATTAGATAGTGCTTGAGCTACTATACTTATGTAATGATTTTGAAAATTTAAAATAGTTACACAAGCTTTGAAATATCTTTAATCTGTTTTATTAAAATCATAATCTCAATGAACAACTCAAAGGTAAATTTTTCCTATGGGGTGTATATCTAGTATTCTTATGGTTATACCAGCAATGATAAACTTTGTGGCTATGAAGCACAGCTTTGATTGAAGTGAAAATCACATTAATATTCTGACATGACCATTTGTTTAAATTAATGCTTTCTAAAATAAATTAATTTGGTCAAATGAGTATTTAGTTCCTCTAGATTAAGTAATTATAAATTGAGGAACCATTTGGGAATACGAAGAATTAGGAAGCTTTTTGTTTTCCTAGCTCCTCTTATTTAAAATTAAAAATAAAGAAGATAATTATATTTAAGTGCATTCTGCCTTTAGTAATGGTAGAGAAAGTAACTTTGATTGACCCTTCTGCTGAGTACAATTTGAAAACAAGCCAACAAACAAATTAAGCACATCTTTCTGCTTAAAGATCCCAGAGAGCTAACAAGATAGTGAACGATCCCAAGGCCAGGATCTAGAGATGGGGCAAGGCTCAGAGAGATGATCCTGTAGCTGGGGATTCTTTTCCTCTTTTCCTGGAAATAGAGTCTGAGAGTTCAAGTGGGTGGGTGATGTTTTTTTGCGGGGGGACAGAGTCACTCTGTTGCTCAGGCTGGAGTGCAGTGGCATGATCTCGGTTCACTGCAACCTCCATGCCTCCCGGGTTCAGGTGATTCTCATGTCTCAGCCTCCCTAGTAGCTGGGATTATGGGATTACAGGTGTGCACCACCATGCCTGGCTAATTTTTCTATTTTTAGTAGAGATGGGGTTTCACTATGTTGGCCAGGCTGGTCTTGAACTCCTGAACTCAAATGATCTGCCCACCTTGGCCTCCCAAAGTGTTGGGATTACAGGCAACGTGTAATGGTTTTGATGCCCCATGAAGCTAAAGCAACAGGGATTGGTGTCGAGGGCCCACCCAAGTTGGGAAAGTGTCCTAGTAGTTCTTTTCCCCACTTTGAGTTGGGACCACAAAGGGTTGCACTTTAGAAGCATGGGAAGGCAAATGAGAAGTTGACCCTGGCAGGTGATCCAGAAGTGCTAGTATCCCCAGGCACCAGCTAAGGAAAATTAAATCTCTCCAGGAGAAACATAATATCATTATTTAAGGCCTCAAGTTACTTCTACAAGGAATTTTGCAAATGCAATATTCAGGGCATACTAAAAAAAAAATCTAGATAGGAGGCATGAGTGAAAGCTGACAAAAATAGCACAATGAAAATAGATTCACAAGGGCTCCAGACATTGACATTATCAGATACAGAATTTTAAGTAAATGTACTTTGGTGAAGATGGCAAAGAATGAGATTGAGAATTTTGTCAAATGTGGAAACTATAAATAAAAAATCAAACAGAAAATCTGGTAGAGAAAATGTAATGACAGAAATCGGAAGATCTCAGTAGCTGGGTTTAAGAGCAGATTGACACAACTGATGAGGGAATTAGGAACAGCCTGATGGGTTAAAGAAAATATCCAGAAGGAAATATGGAGATACAAAAAGGATGGAAAATGAGAATAGGGGTGAAAACCATGAGAATGAAGTGAAAAGCTCTACTTTATGAGTAATTATAGCTCCATAAAAAGAAGAGAAAGAGGATGGAGTGGAAGCACAATCTGAATAAATTAGAGATAAGAATTTTCCATAACTAATGAAATTCATCAAGCCACGGAAGCCCTACAAATCCAAAACAAGATAAATATAAATAAAATCATTTAGGTATATCATGACAATATTACCAAAAACCAAAGTTTAAAAACAAAATGCCAGATTAAAAAAAAGATTGCCTTTGAAGAGGGAACAATTTAACTCACAATTGACAGAAATGGTGGAAACCAGAAGACAATAGGATCATATTTTGAAGTGCTGAAAAAGAAAATTGCCAACCTTAAATTCTAAGCCTACTGAAAATATTTTCCTTTAATGAGGGTAAAGACCTTTCAAGCAAGCACTAAATTTAGAAAATTTGTCATTAGCAGACTCACACAAATGAAAATTCTAAACGTTATTCTTCAGAAAGAAGGAAAATTATTCTAGATGGAAGATTTTCCTTCTGTCTAAAGAACACCCAAATGGCTATATTGCACAGAAAAAAACTAAGAGCCTTTCCTCTGAGATCTGGAACAAGACAAGGATGCCCATTTTCACCATTGTTATTCAACACAGTACTGGAAGTCCTAGCTAGAGCAATCAGACAAGAGAAAAAAATAAAGGGAATCCAATCTTGAAAGGAAGAAGTCAAATTATTATTGTTTGCAGAGGATATGATCTTATATTTGAAAAAAACTAAAAAATCCACCCCAAAACTATTAGAACTAATAAATAAATTCAGTAAAGTTGCAGGATACAAAAATCAATATACAAAAAATCAGTAACATGATGCTGACAGAAAACAGTCTGAAAAAGAAATGAAGAAAGTAATCCCATTTACCATAGCTACAAATAAAATAAAATACCTAGGAATAAACTTAACCAAAGAAGTAAAAGATTTCTACAATGAAACCTATGAAACACTGATGCAAGAAATTGAAGAGAACACAAAAAAAGGAAGTGTATTCCATGTTCATGGATTGGAAGAAGAAGTATTTTTAAAATGTCCATGCTACAAAGCAATCTACAGATTCAATGCAATCCCTATCAAAATACCAATGACATTCTTCACAGAAATAGCAAAAAAAATCCTAAAATTTATATGAAACCACAAAAGTCCCAGAATAGCCAAAGCTATCCTGAGAAAAAGAACAGAACTGGAGGAATCACGTTATCTGGCTTCCTATTATACTGACCTAATGTAACCCAAAGAGCACAGTAGTGGCATCAAAACAGACACAGCTCGAGATCTTTTCTTACCTCCCGGTCTGGGACCAGATCCGCATCTACATCTGCAGCCCCGTCCCCACCTTGTGGGGACGGGGCGGGGTGGGGGCGGAGAAGACCGGACGGAGGGCGCACCTGGTACCTGGAGATGCAGATCCCGGATCCCACCTGGGGCCGAGGTGGTTCTAACCGCAGATCCCTTTCCTCAGGGTTTGTCACCGCTAGAAGAGGCTGGTGGACGACGGTGGCTGTGGTGACACGTCGACCTGACGCTCTACATGATGCGATTTAAAGTCATGTAGCACCTCCTTGGCCGGTACATGGCATCCCAGCTTCATTCCCTGTGGATGGGCGGCTACCTGTTCTCTGGCTCCAGTTGTCTCCTGTCCTGATAAGAGCCCTGGCCAGAAGTGCCCCAACCCGAAGCGCCTCTGCCTGCACGTGGCCGACCTGAGCACGGTGCCCATCACCAGCCTGTGCAGCGCCCTGGGGACCCTGGAGCTGCACAGCTGCGAGATCTCCATGGCCTGGCTCCTCAGGCAGCTGGACCCCACCATGCTGCCCCTGTTCGAATGCATCATGCTGGACTGCGTCCCTGCCTTCAGAGACGAGCACCAGCAGGGCCTGTCACGCTTCCAGGTCCTGCGCTTTCTGGTGGGGCGGCACCTACCGTGTAAGGGAGTTGCGGCTGGATGCCAGCCTGCAGGAGCTCAGCTACCTGCAGGGGCTTGAGGTGCTGGGCCGCAACCTCTCTGAGACAGCACCCTGCTGGCCATCAGCCGCTACCCGCGAGCCGTGCGCAAGATCAGGCTGACCTTAAGGGGCCTCTCTGCCCCTGGCCTGGCTGTCCTGGAGGGAATGCCAGCCCTGGAGAGTCTGTGCCAGCAGGGTCTTCTCAACACCCTAGAAATTCCCTCTTTCACGGAAATCCTCTCCTCCTGCCTCACCATGTCCAAGTTCAGAGTCCTTGAGCTGCAGTGGCAGGGGTGGGAGAGTCAGGAGGCCAATAGGACCATGTGTAAGGGGCTGCTTCACTGTATGGTCATTGTCAGGGCTTGCCCCAAAGAGTCCATGGACTGGTGGGTGTGACCACTTCATCTATCCCTGGGACCCATCCCACCGTTTATTGTTGAGCCTCAGACCCTCTGAACAGCACCTTGAAGAGGGCAGATAATTAGACTTGAGGGAACTGAAAGCCCCAGGTAGAGAGAACAGAGGCCTAGGGACCCAGACCTTTGGAATCATTGTTTGCCAGCTGTATGGCACTGGTCATGAGTTAGCCTCTTGGAAGCCTAGTTCCTACATGTGGAAACAAGGAAAACTACAGCTACCTCCTAGCTACATTGCAAAACCTTGCTCTAAAAGCTCCCAACCTCCAGAAGGCTGTCAATGAAGAGTCATTTTCAGGGTTGTCCTCAGGAACAGGACAGATGTAGAAGGGTGAGATTAAGAGCTAGGGGCACCCGAGGAGCTGAGCCCCCTTAAGAGTACCCCAGAAAGACTGCCTATGCATGCACACCAACAAGCCCATAGACCATTTATATCCTTACATGCATACAGGAGACAGGGAGAGACAGGGCAACTTCGACTTGCAGTTTGATGATCAAAATGCTCATAACGGTTCTCAATTGTATTTTCTGTGTTTTGTATTCTGCATTTTCCATGTTTTTCAAGACATATATTATTTTGCTATTAAGGAAAAAAGTCATTAAAAAAACAGACACATACACAAATGGAACAGAATAGAGATCCCAGAATTAAGTCCATACATCTATAGTGAACTCATTTTCAACAAAGATGCCAAGAACATGTATTGGAGAAAGGACAGTCTCTTCAATAAAGGTGCTGGGAAAACTATATATCCATATGCAGAAGAATGAAACCAGACCGCTATCTCTCACCATATACAAAAATCAAATCAAAATGTATTAAAGACTTAAATCTAAGACCTAAAAGCATGAAACTACTAAAAGAAAACATTGAGAAAAATCTCCAGATCAGTGGTCTGGGCAAAGATTTCCACAAGCACAGGCAACCAGAGAAAAAATGGACAAGTGGGATCACATCAAGGTAAAAAGCTTCCACACAGCAAAGGAAACAATCAACAAAGCAAACGGACAACTAACAGAATGGGAGGAAATATTTGCAAAGTATCCATCTGACAAGGGATTAATAACCAGACTACATAAGGAGCTCAAACAACCAATACGAAAAAAATCCGATAACCTGATTTTTAAAAATGGGCAAAAGATCTGAATAGACGTTTCTCAAAAGCAGACATACAAACGGCAAACAGGCATATGAAAAGGTGCTCAACAGCACCGATCATCAGAGAAATGCAAATCAAAACTACAAAGAGATATCTCACCCCAGTTAAAATGGCTTTTAACCAAAAGACAGGGAATAACAAATACTGCGGACGATGTAGGGAAGAGGGAACTCTTGTACACTGTTTGTGGGAATGTAAATTGGTACAGCCACTATGGAGAACAGTATGGAGGTTCCTCAAAAAACTAAAAATAGAGCTCCCAATGTTAGGTATATACCCAAAAGGAAGGAAATCAGTATATCAAAGAGATATCTGCACTCCCATGTTGCAGCACTGTTCACAATAGCCAAGGTTTGGAAGCAACCTAAGTGTCTATCAACAGATGAATGCATAAAGAAAATGCAATACCTATACACAATGGAGTACTGTTCAGCCATAAAAAAAGAATGAGACCCTGTCATTTGTAACAACATGGATGGAACTGGAGGAGATTAAGTGAAATAAGCCAGGCACAGAAGGACAAACTTTGCATGTTCTTACTCATTTGTGGGAGCTAAAAATTAAAACAATTGAACTCATGGAGATAGAGAGTGGAATGATTGTTAGCAGAGGCTGGGAGAAGTGTGGGGGGTGGGAAGAAGTGGGCGGGGGGTAATGGGTACAAAAATATAGTTATATAGAATGAATATGATCTAGTATTTGTTACCACAACAGAGAGACTGCAGTCAATGATAATTTATTGTACATTTAAAAATAACTAAAATAGTATAATTGGAATGTTTGTAACACAAAGAAATGATACCTGCTTGAAGTGATGAATACCTCATTTATCCTAATGTGATTATTACATATTGTATGTCTGTATCAAAATATCTCACATACCCCATAAATATATACACATAATATATACCCATATAAATGAAAAATAAAGAATACCCAGAAGAAGGTTTGGAGATAAAGAGAAGAATGAAGATCAAAAGAAAAAAAAAGGAAAATATATGCGTAAATTTAAATAAATATTAATTGAATACAACAGTAATAATAATATCTTGTGGGGCTTTAATAAACAAAAATGTATAAAATATATAAAAAGGCATATAAGTTCTTAAGGGCAGATATATGGAGTTAAAGTATTCTAAAATCTTGTCTATCAGAGGGTGAAAGCAGAAATTAGTATTGAATTTTGATAAGTCAAAGGATGCATATTGCTATCAAAAGACACTGCTAGAAGGACACAAAACTTCTAAATGAATAGAAGAAAAGCTGAAATAATGAAATTTTTCAATCGAATCTGGAAGGTGGAAAAGAAGAGAAAAGGAACCATGGAACAGTTAGGTTGAGCGAAAATTATTGAGTAAGATTCCAGACTTAAAATGTAAAAGAATCAGTCATTACATTAAATCTAAAAGAATCAGTCATCACATCAAATGTAAATGAACTAAAATCGTCAATAGTGTAACAATTTAAACCCAAATAGATGATATTTTCAAGAAACACATCTGTCTTAATCCATTTAGTGTTGTATAACAGAATACTTGCAGCTGGGCAATTTGTAAAGAAAAGAGGTTTGTTTGGCTCATGATTCTGATGGCTGGAAGGTTCAAGATTGAGCAGCTGCATCTGCTGAGGGGCTCAGGCTGCTTCAAGTCATGGCAGACAGTGGAAAGGAAGCAGGCACATGCAAAGAGATCACACAGTGAGAGGGAAAGCAAGAGACAGAGAGAAACTGAGGAAGGCAGACTCTAGCAACCTGCTCTCTCAGGAACTTATTCATTACTAAGGGGGTAAGAACTCACCACCGTTGGAGGGCATTAATCTATTCATGAGGAATCTACCTCTGTAACCCAAACACCTCCCAGTAGGCCTCACCTACCAACACTGCCACATTTGAGTTCAAGTTTCAACATGAGTTTTGTTGGGGAAAAACCATATTCAAACCATAGCCATATCGAAAACATAAGGATACAGAAAAGTTGAAAGTAAAAGATGATAGTGTTTGATGAACCAGGATGTAATTCCAATTTTGCATGTAATAACGTAGTCTCAAAATATACATAGTAAAAATTGACAGAAACTAAAAGTAATAGAACGACACGTGGGTGGAGATCTCTCAGTAATTGATAGAACAAGCAGAAAAACAATTGTCAAGGTATGGAAATTTTGAATAACACTATTAGTAAACTTGACTTACATGACATATAGAATATTGCAGTGAACACGTGTATAATTCTTTTCAAACACACATGGAAAATTTTTTAAAAAATTGAATATGGGTCTTAAAGCAAATTTCAAATATTTGAAATTAAACAGAATACATTCTGTGATCACAATACAAACTTGAAAGGTACCTATATAATTAACTAGAGAAAAGTTACTACAAAATCTGTTACTGTATTTGGAAATTAAGGATTATACTTCTGAAGAATCCATGAGACTAAGAAGAAATCACAGTGAAAAATTAGAAAATATTTTGAACTCAGTGAAGCTGTGACATATCGAAAATGATAGCATGCAACTAAAGTAATCCTAAGAAGGGAATTCATAGCCTAATATACTTACATTAGAAAAGAAAATATGAGTCAGTAATCTAACTTGTATCTCAAGAAGGTGGAAAAAATAACAAATTATACCCAGAGAAGGACAAAAAAAAAAAAAAAAAAGAAAAAAAAGAAAGAGCAGAGATGTGAGATAAAAATATGTACAATAGAAAAATATCAATACATCAGAAATTAATAAAATTAATAAAATCTTTAGCAATGCAGACCAAGAAGAAAATATGTAAGGTACAGATAACCAATGCCAAGAATGGAAAAGGAGACATTATCATAGATTATCTCAATAGATATAGAGTAAGCATTTGATGAAAGTAAGCATTTATTAATGATAAAATTTCTGGGTGAACTAGGAATACACAGACACTTCCTCAGTCTAATGAAGGGTAACTACAAAAAAGCCCACATCAAAAATCATACTTTCCCTTTGAGTTTAAGGACAAGACAGAAGTCTGTTATCACCACTTTCGTTCAAAATATTGTTGGGAGTGGGGTCCTAGCCAAAAAAGTAAAACGTATAAGAACTGAAGAAATTAGACCGGGCGCGGTGGCTCATGCATGTAATCCTAGCACTTTAGGAGGCCGAGGAGGGCGGATCACGAAGTCAGGAGTTCCACACCAGCCTGGCCATAATAGTGAAACCCCGTCTTTACTAAAAAAAAATACAAAAAATTAGCCGGGCGCGGTGGCGGGTGCCTGTAACCCCAGCTACTTGGGAGACTAAGGCGGGAGAAATTGCTTGAACCTGGGAGGCGGAGGTTGCAGTGAGTGGAGATCGCGCCATTGCACTCCAGCCTGGGCGACAGTGCGAGACTCGGTCTAAAAAAAAAAAAAAAGTAAGAAATAAAACTGCCTTTTATTTGAAGATAATGTGATTGTGTAAATAGACAACTTAGAAGAATCTAAGAATTCTACAGTACCATGTGAGTACAAAGCAGCCTTCTGAAAGCCAGGAAGAGCGCCCCCACCAAGACAAATCCGCTGCCACTTTGATCATGAACTTCCAGCCTCCAGAACTGTGAGAAATTTCCTGTTTGTTTATGTCACACAGCCTGTGATATTTTCTCATGGCAGCCCAAGCTGACTAATACAGCCTTTCTGCAGAAAACTATAAAAAATTATAGAGAGCCATTAGGGTAGATCTAAATAAACGGAATAGCACAGCCGTTTATGGATTGGAGGATAGTATTTCTCTCCATAGTGATTTACAACAGTGCTTCTCAGCCTTTGCTGTGTATTTGAGTTACTGGGGGATCTTGTTAAATGCAAATTCTGATTCAGGAGTTCTGGGGTGTGGCCTGAGAGTGTGCATTTCTAACAAGCTCCCAGGTACTGCTGACTCTTCAACCACACTTTGATTCCCAAAGATGTATAGGTTCAGTGGAATCTCATGCAGTGTCCTGGCAGTCCCTTGCACCCATACATAGTCATCTCCATATGTTTATATATGTATATATATATCAAGCTGATTCTTAAAAAATTTGCTCTCATTATTGCACTTTTAGATTCTTCTTCTTTTTTTTATTTTTTATTTTAAGACAGAGCTTCACTCTTGTCATCCAGGCTGGAGTGCAATGGCACAATCTCGGCTCACTGCAACCTCTGCCTCCCAGGTTCAAGAGATTCTCTTGCCTCAGCCTCCCAAGTAGCTGGGATTACAGGTGCCTGCTGCCATACCTGGCTAATTTTTGTATTTTTAGTAGAGACGGGGTTTCACCATGTTGACCAGGCTGGTCTCAAACTCCTGACATCAGATGATCCACCTGCCTCAGCCTTCCAAAGTGCTGGGATTACAGGCGTGAGCCACCGTTCCCAGCTTCTAGATTATTCTTAGCATTAAATTACTTTAAGTATCTTTAGAATGGGTAAATAGGTTCATTTTTAAAGCTTTTTATTATGGAAATTTTCAAACAGCAAACAGGGAGAACATATAATGAATGTTCATATATCTATCAACTATCAACCTATTTTCTACATTTTTATATATATATATGTACTTTAAGTACTAGGATACATGTGCACAACGTGCAGGTTTGTTACATAGATATACATGTGCCGTGTTGTTTTGCTGCACCCATCAACGCTTCATTTACATTAGGCATTTCTCTTCATGCTATCCCTCCCCCAGCCCACCACCCCCGGACAGGCCCTGGTGCGTGATGTTGCCTGCCTGTGTCCATGTGTTCTCACTGTTCAACTCCCACCTGTAAGTGAGAACATGCGGTGTTTGGTTTACTGTCCTTGTGATAGTTTGCTTTGAATGATGGTTTCCAGCTTCATCCATGTACCTGCAAAGGACATGAACTCATCCTTTTTATGGCTGCATACTATTTCATGGTGTATATGTGCCATATTTTCTTAATCCAGTCTATCATTGATGGATATTTGGGTGGGTTCCAAGTCTTTGCTATTGTGAATAGTGCCGCAATAAACATACGTGTGTATGTGTCTTTATAGTAGAGTGACTTATAATCCTTTGGGTATATGCCCAGTAATGGGATTGCTGGGTCAAACAGTATTTCTAGTTCTAGATCCTTGAGGAATCACCACACTGTCTTCCACAATGGTTGAACTAATTTACACTCCCACCAACAGTGTAAAAGCATTCCTGTTTCTCCACATCCTCTCCAGCAACTGTTGTTTCCTGACTTTTTAATGATTGCCATTCTAACTGGTGTGAGATGGTATCTCACAAATGCAAATGCAAATTTGATTTGCACTTCTCTGATGACCAGTGATGATGAGCATTTTTGCATATGTCTGTTGGCTGCATAAATATCTTCTTTTGATAAGTGTCTGTTCATATCCTTTACCCGCTTTTTGATGGGGTTGTTTGGTTTTTTTTCTTGTAAATTTGTTTAAGTTCTTTGTAGATTCTGGATATTAACCCTTTGTCAGATGGGTAGATTGCAAAAATTTTCTCCCATTCTGTAGGTTGCCTATTCACTCTGATGATAGTTTATTTTGCTGTGCAGAAGCTCTTTAGTTTAATTAGATCCCATTTGTTTATTTTGGCTTTTGTTGCCATTGCTTTTGGTGTTTTAGTCATGAAGTCCTTGCCCATGCCTATGGCCTCAATGGTATTGCGTAGGTTTTCTTCTAGGGTTTTTATGGTTTTAGGTCTTACATCTACCTTGAGTTAATTTTTGTGGAGAGTGTAAGGAAGGGATCCAGTTTCAGCTTTCTACATATGGCTAGCCAGTTTTCCCAGCATCATTTATTAAATAGGGAATCCTTTCCTCATTGCTTGTTTTTGTCAGGTTTGTTGAAGATCAGGTGGCTGTAGATGTGTGTTATTTCTGAGGCCTCTGTTCTGTTCCATTGGTCTATATATCTGTTTTGGTACCAGTACCATGCTGTTTTGGTACCAGTACCATGCTGTTTTGGTTATGTAGCCTTGCAGTTAGTTTGAAGTCAGGTAGTGTGATGGCCTTCAGCTTTCTTCTTTTTGCTTAGGATTGTCTTGGCTATGCAGGCTCTTTTTGGTTCCATATGAACTTTAAAGTAGTTTTTTCCAGTTCTGTGAAGAAAGTCAGTGGTAGCTTGATGGGAATAGCATTGAATCTATAAATTACTTTGGGCAGTATGGCCATTCTCATGATATTGATTCTTCCTATCCATGAGCATGGAATGTTCTTCCTTTTGTTTGTGTCCTCTTTTATTTCGTTGAGCAGTGGTTTGTAGTTCTTCTTGAAGAGGTCCTTCACATCCCTTGTAAGTTGGATTCCTAGGTATTTTATTCTCTTTGTAGTAATTGTGAATGGGAGTTCACTCATGATTTGGCTCTCTGTTTGTCTATTATTAGTGTATAAGAATGCTTGTGATTTTTGCACATTGATTTTGTATCCTGAGAGTTTGCTGAAGTTGCTTATCAGCTTAAGGAGATTTTGGGCTGAGACGATGGGGTTTTCTAAATATACAATCATGTCATCTGCAAACAGAGACAATTTGACTTCCTATTTTCCTAATTGAATACTCTTTATTTCTTTCTCTTGCCTGATTTTTGTGGCCAGAACTTCCAACACTATGTTGAATAGGAGTGGTGAGAGAGGGCATCCTTGTCTTGTGCTGGTTTTCAAAGGGAATGCTTCCAGTTTTTGTCCATTCAGTATGATATTGGCTGTGGGTTTGTCATAAATAGCTCTTATTATTTTGAGATACATTCCATCCATACCTAGTTTATTGAGAGTTTTTAGCATGAAGGGCTGTTGAATTTTGTTGAAGGCCTTTTCTGCATCTATTGAGATAATTGTGTGGGTTTTGTCGTTGGTTCTATTTATGTGATGGATTACGTTTATTGATTTGTGTATGTTGAACCATCCTTGCATCCCAGGGATGAAGCTGACTTGATCGTGGTGGATAAGCTTTTTGATGTGCTGCTGGATTCGGTTTGCCAGTATTTTATTGAGGATTTTTGCATAGATATTCATCAGGGATATTGGCCTAAAATTCTCTTTTTTTGTGTGTGTGTCTCTACCAGGCTTTGGTATCAGGATGATGCTAGCCTCTAAAACGAGTTAGGGAGGATTCGCTCTTTTTCTATTGATTGGAATAGTTTCAGAGCGAATAGTATCAGCTCCTCTTTGTACCTCTGGTAGAATTTGGCTGTGAATCTGTCTGGTCCTGGAGTTATTTTTGTTGGTAGGCTACTAATTATTGCCTCAATTTCAGAACCTGTTATTGATCTATTCAGAGATTCAACTTCTTCATGGTTTAGTCTTGTGAGGGTGTATGTGTCCAGGAATTTATCTGTGTCTTCTAGATTTTCTAGTTTATTTGCATAGAGGTGTTTATAGTATTCTCTGATGGTAGTTTGTATTTCTGTGGGATCGGTGGTGATATCCCCTTTATCATTTTTTATTGTATCTATTTGATTCTTCTCTCTTTTCTTCTTTATTTAATAGACCATTTGCTAGTGGTCTATTTTGTTGATATTTGCAAAAAACCAGCTCCTGGATTCATTGATTTTTTGAAGGGTTTTTTTGTGTCTCCATCTCCTTCAGTTCTGCTCTGATCTTAGTTATTTCTTGCCTTCTCAGCATTCGAATTCTTAGCATTTGGTCAGTCTTACTTTCTTTCTTATCCCCTCCTGCCTCCCACAATAGATTATTTTGAAGTAAAATTAGATATTGTATGATTTTATCAGTAAAAACTTCAGTAGAAATCTTTTTTAAGCATAAGCACAATACAGTGATCACATTTAAAGAAATGGAGACTACTTCTCAAAATTATCAAATATATAGAATGTTTTTGAATTTCTCCCCTTGTTTTATTTGTTAAGAAAACGGTTGTACAGTTTTGGTTTTCCTCCTTGATGTGGTTTAATATGTTCCGCCACCCTCTCCATTACCTGTAAAATGGTCATAGATCTAGAGGAGACTTGGTGAGATATGACATTTATTTATTTATTTTGCAAGACTGCTTCATAGGTGGTGGTGTAGACATTCTATGGTATCCCAGAGAAGGCACAGAACTTGTGATTCTATTTTTCATGACATTAAGATTTATCAGGCAGTTCCTCATCAACTTTTCACCTGCTGGTTTTTAGCAGGTATTGATGGTAACTGCTCAGATCTATACTTTCATTACAGGTTGCTAAATGGTGATATTCTAATTCTATCATTTTACTTATTTATTGGGTAGAATTCTTCTCCTAAAGAAGATTTTTCCCTTATCAACTACTGATCCCATGATGTGTCATTCCTGCAGAAAAGCCATGATAAATCCTTGATACTTTTCCTTTATTTGTCAGACTTAGAATAATGAGTTGATTCTCTAGCATCCTCAAAAGACAACACATTTTTTTTTAAGCATCATTATCAACTCTGGATTTTTCCCTTTTACTGTGCAGCAGAGTTTTGGTAGATATTATTCTCTTCGGTGTCCCAGTTGTCCCATCTTTGGCTAGTGTGAGCCTTTTCAACTTGCCATGTCCTTTTGGTATACCCTCAATGAGCCCAGTTCACTGCTTTGCGTTTATGTTCTTTTCTGGTCCACAGAGATTTTTATCTTTTTGTTGAGCTCAACTTTATATATTTGTTTTTCTATCTTTAGCTATCATTGCTTAGTTTATGGAACAGAGTGGCAAATCAAAGCAACAACTCAGTGCATCATTTTGATTGAAAAGTCTAAAAGAATTGTTGAAATGATCATCTGTGTGCAAGATACCTTAAAGAAATAAATAAACATTTTGGTGCATGATGACCTTGGATACAAGTTTTGTGATCATGAGTCACACAGAAGACAAAGGGGTCTAGGTAGGACTAGGATGAAGCCATGGTCTTGAGCGCAGTGGCAGAGCAGAAACAGCCATCAGAATTCCATGTTTGCTGTGTATGTTTCCCCGGATCAGCCATAGAACATGTTTATATTCTCATTCTAGAGTTTGAGTTAGTCACTCTCAACAAGTCATTTTGTCTTTTTAAAGTTTTGGCTTAGAGGACTCTTCTAGATCATGTTTATCTGTAGATTCTTAGTTGGGGAGACCTATGTATCTGGTGTAGGTAACAAGCAAAGCAAAATCCAGGAAAAACATCTCCTCAGAACTCTGTCTCACGAGGCGTATTTTTGTTGGCTTGTGTTTTACTTGACAATTACATCTCCGATATTTTAAGTTCTCAAATGGTACTGCAGAAATAATCCACTCACAGATTTTTTTAAAGAATCCTTTTATTTAGCTTACATTAACTATTGAATAGTTAATATTTCAAAAGGATGAGTGGTTTTAGTTAAAATGATATATTTTATGCTGAATGAAAGTGTCCAAAATATGTTTATGATCTAAAAAGACAAATATGTGTGTGTGTGTGTGTGTGGTGTTTGTAGTATTGTTTTACCCCATCTCTACAAAAAATAAAAAAAATTAGGCAGGCATAATGGTGCACACCTGTAGTCCTAGTGGCCCAGGAGGCAGAGATGGGAGAATTGCCTGAGCCTAGGAGTTCAAGGTTACAGTGAACTGAAATCACACACCACTGCACCCCAGCCTGAGTGACAGAGGGAGACCCTGTCTCAAAAAATATATAATAAATAAAGTTATACATATATATACACACATATATATACATATATATACATATATATGCGTATATGTGTATATATACACATATATACGTATATATGTGTATGTATATATGTATATGTGTATATATGTGTATACATATGTATATATGTGTATACATATGTATATATGTATATATGTGTATATGTGTGTATATATGTGTATATATGTATATATGTGTATATATGTATATATGTGTATATATGTGTATATATGTATATGTGTATATATGTGTATATGTATATATGTGTATATGTGTGTATATATGTATATATGTATATATGTGTATATATGTATATGTGTGTATATATGTGTATATGTGTATATATGTGTATATATGTATATATGTGTGTATATGTGTGTATATATGTATATATGTGTATGCATGTATATATGTGTATATATGTATATATGTATATATGTGTGTATATATGTAAATATGTGTGTATTATATGTATATATGTGTATATATGTATATATGTATGTATATATGTATATATATGTATGTATATATATGTATATATATATGTACACACACATACATATTTTTTAGAGATAAGGTGTGCGTTACCCAGACTGGAATGCAGTGGCGTGAGCCTCCTGAGTAGCTGAGACTACGGGTGCGTGCCATCATGTCCAGCTAATTTTAAAATTTTTTGTAGAGACAGGGTCTCCCTATGTTGCCCAGGCTGGTCTTGAACTTCTGGGCTCAAGTGATCCACAAGCCTTGGCCTCCCAAAGTTCTGGGATTACAGGCTTAAGCCACCACACCCAGCCATAAATAACATATTATTTTGGTTTTTAGTATAATCATTCTTATTTAACATCACAAAAATCTTCACTCTCCTTCCCAAATGTTTATGATTAATCTTTTAAATTGGAGCTAAGTGGCTGTGGTGTTATGATATAGATAGATAGATAGATAGATAGATAGATAGATAGATAGATAGATAGAAGTTTTCATAGATGAGCCACAGTTCCTGGCTCATGATTCCTGTAGCCCTTGTTACAGCCTTTTGTTAGAATGTTGGGTGCATTAGGGCTCAGGAACAGAATCTCTCTTACCTTCTCTTGCACTCCTTTCACCTGCCCCAAGGCAGGACTCTAGTCTTTACCCAACTTTCTGGCCGTGGGTCTTAAGAATCTCTTCAGAGAGGGTCCCATTAATACCCTGGAGGAAGGAATGCTGATGTCATGAAGCTTCCCTCAAACCCCAAGAGGACTGGGTTCAGGAAGCTTCTGTATAGCTGAACACGTGGAGGTTCCTGGAGGGTGGCGCCCAGGGAGGACATGGAAGCTCCACGCCCCTTCCCCCATACCTCGCCTGACCATCTCTTCATTGTTATCCTTTGTAACATTATTTATAACAAACCAGCAGACGTTAAATAAGTGTTTCCTTGATTTCTGTGAGCAACGCTGGCAAATTAATCAAACCCAAATGGGATCTTGGAAACCCTGACTTGAAGTCAGTTGGTCTGAAGTTCTGATGGTCAGAAGACTTGGACTGGTGTCTGGGGTGTACGGGGCAGTCTTGGGGACTGAGCCCCCAGCCTGTGGAATCTGATGCTATCTCCAGGTAGATGGTGTCAGAACTGAATTGCAGGACACCCAGCTGGCGTCTGCTCGTTGGTGTGTGGGGAAAACTCCTACGCATTTGGTCACAGAAGCCTCCTGTGTTGCTGTTGTAGTGGTGTGAGAGCAGAGGAAAAACACGGGCTGAGAGAGTTTTTCCCTACATAGCAGCAAATAAAGAAATAGACACGTTGATAAATATTATTTTCTGAGGTAGTTTTGAAATCTGAAAATTTTCTTTAAATTTACTTTAAATGTCTCTTGTGTATCACTCAGTTAAATTCTTTTTAAGTTTAGGATAGCTTAGAACTTTCTGTTGATAGGATAGATGCTAAAATTAATCCTAGACTGAATTTTTCTGACTAGAATCATAATTTAAATCTATTCACCGTGTGTTAGTTATTACAGTTAAATCTAGTTCAGTTGGTTTTTTAAAAATATCACTTTTACTTATGATTTCTATCTCCCTTTCAACCTATAAAATGACTGCACATGTCCCCCTTTATTAAAAATAAAGCAAAAAGCTGGGCGCGGTGGCTCATGCCTGTAATCCCAGCACTTTGAGAGGCCGAGGCGGGCAGATCACCTGATGTCAGGAGTTTGAGACTAGCCTGCCCAACATGGCAAAATCCTGTCTCCACTAAAAATATAAAAATTAGCCAGGTGTGGTGGAGGGCGCCCGTAATCTCAGCTACTCCAGTGGCTGAGGCAGGAGAATCGCTTGAACCCAGGAAGCGGAGGTTGCAGTGAGCCGAGATTTTGTCATTGCACTCCAGCCTGGGTGACAAGAGCAAAACTCTGTCTCTAAATAAATAAATAAAGCAAAAAAAAAAAAAAAAAAGAAAAGAAAAAATAAAAAAATCTAAATGAGAAACATCCCAGATCATCGAAGTCAGCATCTCTCAAAAGGCAGTTTGGGCACTTTGGGCACTTGTCAAAAGGGCTTGGGCTTCACCATAGGCCCCACTGGATCAGAATCTGAGGCTCAAGAATCTGCTTTTAAACGGTCTTCTCAGAGCATCCTTGTGCATACTAAAGTCTGAGAACCACTGATCAAGATGGAAGAAGGAAAGTGGATGCCACCAGGAACCTGAGATAAATCACTTGTTCCAAATAGTATGGCTGTGGGTTTGGGCTGACATTTCCTGGAAGCTAAGGAAAAAAAAAAAAAAGCCGGGCCGGGAGCAGTGGCTGACGCCTGTAATCCCAGCACTTTAGGAGGCCGAGGCAGGCGGATCACGAAGTCAGGAGATCGAGACTATCCTGGCTAACACAGTGAAACCCCGTCTCTACTAAAAATACAAAAAATTAGTGGGGCGTGGTGGCATGTGCCTATAGTCCCAGCTACTCAGGAGGCTGAGGCAGGAGAATCGCTTGAACCCGGGAGGTGGCGGTGGCAGTGAGCTGAGATCGCGCCACTGCACTCCAGCCTGGGCGATAAATCGAGACTCTGTTTCAAAAAAAAAAAAAAAAAAAAAAAAAAGAAAAGAAAAAAATCACTTTATCACTTTGGCTTATGTGGTTTTTAGCTTCTGTCCACAGAATTATACAAGTTCATCAGCAGAGTTCATGCTTCTCAGGAATGAAAGTCATGGTCTTTGTACAGGAAACATGGGGAGACTTTGTGGGTAATATTCTAAGCTCTGATTTTGTAAGATTAACATTACAGTTCTTTAAGTGCACCATCCATTCATGATCTAGAAAGGCTGATTGCGTTTATGATGAAGTCATTTCTGTAGCTGGTGAACATTGCCCAGATACTTTGCTTTATAGCAGTCTAAATTGTGAAGGGATGGAACTTGGACAATTTGGAAGAATAGTTAGTTGGCACATTCATCAGATTATTTTAAAATATTAATCGAGTATTTTGAGGGAGCATTTGGCAGAATGGAAGTGTGGTTTATTCATTACTAAATTCCCCAGTAAGTATCAAGTGAGAGCCATATGCTTTGCAATCAGATATGTGGGGGCAGAACCATCATTTGATTGTGAAAGCCTCATCTGGAAGAAGGTCCAAGTCCAGAGGGCAGGCCTGAAAAGCAGGGAGTCTATAGGTGGAGGCTGTAGAGCCAGGCTTCAGGTTTTAAAGAGTTTAGAGTCTTTGGACCAAAACTCTATTTAGCAAAGAGGAAATGACTTTTTCCCCAAAACTTGTAGGATATATGCCAACTACTCTGTGACTACCATAACATTTCTGGAAATGAAAGTCAGGGTGATTCCTGTGAAACATATATTCTTAAGAACTATATCTTTTTTATTTTTAAGTTCTGGGGTACATGTGCAGGATGTGGAGGTTTGTTACATAGGTAAATATGTGTCATGGTGGTTTGCTGCACCTACCAACCCATCACCTAGATGTTAAGCCCAGCATGCATCAGCTATTTTTCCTAACGCTCTCCCTCTCTCCACTCCACTCCCCTAAGATATAGGCCCCAGGAGAACTATATCTTAATAAGGTAACTCCAAATAACTAAATAAATTGATCTAGGAAGTGGAGTATTTTATGACCACTACCAGAAAAAACAAAACAAAACAAAATCCAAAAAATCCCAGAAAACCACACCTAGTTGTAATTGGTGCTGAATGACTCCTTTGGGCAGTAATAAGCCAGTGAGCCCAACTGCTGCTTATGACCTCTTGTAGGCTAAGTAACATCTCTGGGCCAGCCTTTCCCTTAGTATATTTTGCAGGTAACAGAAACCCAGTTAAAGTTAAACATTAGTGGCATCACATCAACAAGTAGGAATTTGTTATAAAGATTCAGAGAAGGAAAAGAACATGAAAGAAGTTGCATGATGTTTGCAGTTGACAGACTGGTCTCTTTTTGGGCCTCCCCAAAATTGTTTAGAGGCTCTGTGTGTGTGTGTGTGTGTGTGTGTGTGTGTGTGTGCATGTGCATATCTGTCTTGAGAAGTTGGTTTTACAGGAGTGGAGGTTTAGACTATTGGGCATTAAAAATTAATGTGAAAAAAGGTTAAAAATAAAATATGTGATGTCAGGTAAGGACTAAACTTCCTGGTTATGTTTTATATGAATTCACAGACATCAGACTTTGGAAAATGAGGTCTCACTAAATGGACTGGGTAGCTTTGATTGCACCAATGTTGACTGAAATCAGTTAATTTCCCTGTAACAGCTTTGTCTCTGCTTGAATTACTTTGCTAGTGGTTTTTTTTTTTTTTAATTGACACTTGCAGTAATGCTTATTTTATTTTATTTTATTTTATTTTAGATGGAGTCTCACTCTGTCGCCCAGGCTGGAGTGCAGTGGCGCAATCTTGGCTCACCACAACCTTCGCTTCCCGGGTTCAAGCGATTCTCCTGCCTCAGCCTCCTGAGTAGCTGGGACTACAGGTGCGCACCACTGCACCCAGTTAATTTTTGTGTTTTTTTAAGAGACGGGGTTTTACCATGTTGGTCAGGCTGGTCTCGAACTCCTGACCTCGTGATCTGCCCACCTCAGCCTCCCAAAGTGCTGGGATTACAGGTGTGAGCCACTGTGCCTGGCATAGTAATACTTTTTAATAAGTGTTCAAAATTTTCAAATTTTCTGGAGAGGGGATCTAAAACCAAGCATGAAGGGCCCCTGACTTTGTTTCCTGTTGCCAGGAGCGTGTATGCAGCCACCAGGAATATGACTGAGAAGACCCTCCCCCACTGCCCCCACACACCATTTGAAGCTTCATGGCACATGAGTGTCAGATCTATAGTGACCGTGCTTCCAACACCATGTGGTGGGTAACCTCTATTTCAAGTTGGATGAAATATGATTCTGAACTTGTTTGTTCTTAGTTTTGTATTAGGCAGCTTAACTGATATTAAGAGCAACACTTCATCCTATCTTTTAATTTTGCTTTTTACATTTCCCTCTGGTATTTTTAGTCATGAATGTTTTATTCTTGACATTAATGTAATAAATGAAATTGTAAATGTTCAAACATGAGAGAAATACAATTTATCAAATGAATGTGCCCCGAAATCCCATTGTAGCAGATGCTGTTGGTATCCCCATCTGTAGACACTCACACTTATCAGTTGCATTTACACCAGTCTGACTTTCAACCACCCACACCTGAGATGCTTTGCCTGCAGGCTTTCTTGGAGACCTCCCCACTGCCTGTGTTTGGGCCAGCTGGAAGTGCTGGGGAATTAATATCCCTTGGGGTCAGCCCTCAATGAATGATTGATGGGATGTGTGAGTACATACCTCAGCTTCCTTGAGTCTCGTTTGGGATAACTGAAGATAATGTTCTATATTCTCTCCTGGCATTCCCTAGTAGGATAAAGCTTCAGTTGCCTGCAGTATTGACTTGCTTGATAACATACCCTCTAATGCCTTCCTTTCCTTCCTGGTCTCACTTTTCCACTCTCCCGCTGAGGTTTCTTTTTTCTTTTTTTTCTTCAGGATACATGTGCAGAATGTGCAGGTTTGTTACATAGGTGTACGTGTGCCATGGTGGTTTGCTGCCCCTACTGACCCGTCCTCTAAGTTCCCTCCCCTCGCCCCTAACCCCTCAACAGGCCCTGGTGTGTGTTGTTCCCCTCCCTGTGTCCATGTGTTCTCAATGTTCAACTCCCACTTCTGAGTGAGAACATGCAGTGTTTGGTTTTCTGTTTCTGTGTTAGTTCGCTGAGGATGATTTCTTCCAGCTTTATGATCTCATTCCTTTTTATGGCTGGTAGTATTCCATGGTGTATATGTGCCACATTTTATTTATCCAGTCTATCATTGATGGGTATTTGGGTTGGTTCCATGACTTTGCTGTTGTAAATAGTGCTGCAATAAACATATGTGTGCATGTGTCTTCATAATAGAATGATTTATAATCCTTTGGGTATATACCCAGTAATGGGATTACTGGGTCAAATGGTATTTCTGGTTCTAGATCCTTGAGAAATTGCCATGCTGTCTTCCAAAATGGTTGAACTAATTTATATTCCTGCCAACAGTGTGAAAGCTTTCCTATTTCTCCACAGCGTTGCCAGCATCTATTGTTTCTTGACTTTTTAATAGTTGCCATTCTGACTGGCGTGAGATGGTACATCATTGCGGTTTTGATTTGCATTTCTCTAATGATCAGTGATGTTGAGCTTGTTTTCATATGTTTGTTGGCCATGTAAATGTCTTCTTTTGGGAAGTGTCTGCACATGTTTTTTGCTCACTTTTTGATGGGGTTGTTTGTGTTTTTCTTGTAAATTTGTTTAAGTTCCTTGTAAATTCTGGATATTAGACCTTTGTTGGATGGGTAGATTGCAAAAATGTTCTCCTATTCTGTAGGTTGCCTGTTCACTCTGATGATAGTTTCTTTTTTTATACAGAAGGTTTTTAGTTTAATTAGATCCCATTTGTCAAATTCTGGCTTTTGTAGCAATTGCTTTTGTTGTTTTTGTCATGAAGTCTTTGCCCATGCCTATGTCCTGAATGGTATTGCCTAGGTTTTCTTCTAGGGATTTAATGGTTTTGGGATTTACATTTAAGTTTTTAATCTATCTCAAGTTAATTTTTGTATAAAGTGTAAGGAAGGGGTCCAGTTTCAGCTTTCTGCATATGGCTAGCCAGTTATCCCAGCACCATTTATTGAATAGGAGATCCTGTTGCCATTGCTTGTTTTTGTCAGTTTTGTTGACAATCAGGTGGCTGTAGTAGATGTGTGGTGTTATTTCTGAGGTCTCTGTTCTGTCCTATTGGTCTATATGTCTGTTTTGGTACCAGTACCATGCTGTTTTGGTTACTGTAGTCTTGTAGTATAGTTTGAAGTCAGGTAGCATGTTGCCTCCAGCTTTGTTCTTTTTGCTTAGGATTGTCTTGGCTCTACAGGGTCTTCTTTGATTTCATATAAAATTTAAAGTGTTTTTTTTTTCTAATTCTGTGAAGAATGTCAATGGTAGTTTGATGGGAATAGCATTGAATCTATAAATTACCTTGGTCAGTGTGGCCATTTTCACGATATTGATTCTTCCTGTCCATGAGGATGGAAAGTTTATCCATTTGTTTGTGTCCTCTCTTATTTCCTTGAGCAGTGGTTGGTAGTTCTCCTTGAAGAGGTTCTTCACATCCCTTGTTAGCTGTATTCCTAGGTATTTTATTGCTTTTTGTAGCAATTGCGAATGGGAGTTCATTCATAATTTGGCTGTCTGCTTATCTATTGTTGGTATATAGGAATGCTTGTGATTTTTGCACATTGATTTTGTATCCTGAGATTTTGCTGAAGTTGCTTATCAGTTTAAGGAGTTTTTGGGCTGAGATGATGGTATTTTTTCAAAATATAGAATCATGTCATCTGCAAAGAGAGACAATTTGACCTCCTCTCTTCGTATTTGAATATGCTTTATTGCTTTCTCTTGCCTGATTGCCCTGGCCAGAACTTCCAACACTATGTTGAATAGGAGTGGTGAAAGAGGGCATCCTTGTCTTGTACTGGTTTTCAAAGGGAATGCTTCTAGTTTTTACCCATTCAATATGATATTGGCTGTGGGTTTGTCATAAATAGCTCTTATTATTTTGAGATATGTTCCATTAATACCTAGTTTATTGAGTTTTTGTTTTAACATGAACGGCTGTTGAATTTTATCAAAGGCCTTTTCTGCATCTATTGAGATAATCATGTCTTTGGTTCTGTTTATATGATGAATTACATGTATTGATTTGTGTATATTGAACCAGCCTTGCATCCCAGGAAAGAAGCCGACTTCATCGTGGTGGGTAAGTTTTTTGATGTGCTGCTGGGTTCAGTTTGCCAGTGTTTCATTGAGGATTTTAACATTGATGTTCATCAGGGATATTGGCCACAAGTTTCCCTTTTTTGTTGTGTCTCTGCCCAGTTTTGGTGTCAGGATGATGCTGGCTTCATAAAATGAGTTAGGGAGGAGTCCCTCCTTTTCAATTGTTTGGAATAGTTTTGGAAGGAATGGTACCAGCTCTCCTTGTACCTCTGGTAGAATTCGGCTGTGAATCTGTCTGGTCCTGGGCTTTTTTTAGTTGGTAGGCTATTAATTACTGCCTCAATTTCAGAACTCATTATTGGTCTATTCAGGGATTTGACCTCTTCCTGGTTTAGTCTTGGGGGGGTGTATGTGTCCAGGAATTTATCCATTTCTTCTAGATTTTCTAGTTTATTTGCATAGAGGTGTTTATAGTATTCTCTGATGGTAGTTTGTATTTCTGTGGGGTCAGTGGTGATATCCTTTTTATCATCTTTTATTGTGTCTATTTGATTCTTCTCTCTTTTCTTCTTATTAATCTAGCTAGTGGTCCATCTATTTTGTTAATCTTTTCAAAAAACCAGCTCCTGGATTCACTGATTTTTTTTGGAGGGTTTTTTTCTTGTCTCTATCTCTTTTGATTCTGCTCTGATCTTAGTTATTTCTTGTCTTCTGCTAGCTTTTGGATTAGTTTGCTCTCGCCTTTCTAGCTCTTCTAATTGTGATATTAGGGTGTTGACTTGAGATCTTTTTAGCTTTCTGTTATGGGTATTTAGTGGTATAAGTTCCCCTCTTACACCACTAAAGCAGTACTTTAGCTGTGTCCCAGAGATTCTGATACGTTGACTCTTTGTTCCTTTTTTTTTTTTTTTTTTTTTTTTTAGATGGAGTCTCACTGTATTGCCAGGCTGGAGTGCAGTGGCATGATCTTGGCTCACTGCAATCTCTGCCTCCCAGGTCCAAGTGATTCCCCTGCCTCAGCCTCCTGAGTAGCTGGGACTACAGGCACGCATCACCATGCCTGGCTAATTTTTTTTGTGTTTTGGTAGAGATGGGGGTTTCACCATGTTGACCAGGATGGTCTCGATTCCCTGACCCTGTAATCTGCCTGCCTTAGCCCCCAAAAGCGCCACTTTGGACGTGAGCCACTCACAGGTGTGAGCCACTGTGCCCCATGACTCTTTGTTTTTATTGGTTTCAAAGAACTTGATTCTGCCTTAATTTCATTATTTCCCCAGGAGTCATTCAGGAGCAGGTTGTTCGAATTCCATGTAATTGTATGGTTTTGAGTGAGTTTCTTAATCCTGAGTTCTAATTTGATTGCATTGTGGTCTGAGAGACTGTTTCTTATTATTTCATTTCTTTTGCATTTGCTGAGGAGTGTTTACTTCTGATTATGTGGTCAATTTTAGAATAAGTGCCATGTGGCACTGAGAGGAATGTATATTCTGTTGATTTAGGGTGGAGAGTTCCATAGATGTCTATTAGGTCCACTTGATCCAGAGCTGAGTTCAAGTCCTGAATATCTGTTAATTTTCTGCCTTACTGATCTGTCAGTTGATTGACAGTGGCATTTTAAAGTCTCCCACTATTATTGTGTGGGAGTCTAAGTCTCTTTGTAGGTCTCTAAGAACTTGTTTTATGAATCTGGGTGCTCCTATATTGGGTGCATACATATTTAGAATAGTTAGCTCTTCTTGTTGAATTGTTCTCTTTACAATTATGTAATCCCTTTCTTTGTGGTTTTTTTTGGTCTTTGTTTGTTTAAAGTCTGTTTTGTCAGAGACTAGGATTGTAACCCGTGCTTTTTTTTTGCTTTCCTTTTGCTTGGTAAATTTTCCTCCCTTCCTTTATTTTGAGCCTATGTATGTCTTTGCACGTGAGATGGGTCTCCTGAATACAGCATACCCATGGGTCTTGACTGTTTATCCAATTTGCCAGTCTGTGTCTTTTAAATGGGGGCATTTAGCCCATTTACATTTAAGGTTAGTATTGTTATGTGTAAAGTTTGTCCTGTCATCATGATGCTAGTTGGTTATTTCGCACACTAGTTGATGCAGTTTCTTTATAGTGTCATTGGTCTTTACATTTTGGTGTGTTTTGCAGTGACTGGTGCTGGTTTTTCCTTTCCATATTTAGTGCTTCTTTCAGGAACTCTTGCAAGGCAGGCCTGGTGGTAACAAAATCCCTCAGCATTTGCTTGTCTGGAAAGGATTTTATTTCTCCTTTGCCTATGAAACTTAGTTTGGCTGGATATGAATTCTGGGTTGAAAATTCTTTTCTTTAAGAATATTGAATATTGGCACCCAATCTCTTCTGGCTTATAGAGTTTCTGCTGAGAGGTCTGCTATTAGTCTGATGGGCTTCCCTTTGTAGGTGACCTGGCCTTTCTCTCCGGCTGCCCTTAACTTTGTTTCGTTCATTTTGACCTTGGAGAATCTGATGATTATGTGTTTTTGGGTTGATCTTCTCATCGAGTATCCTAGTGGTGTTCTGTGTATTTCCTGAATTTACATGTTGGCCTGTCTTGCTAGGTTGGGGAAGTTCTCCTGGATAATATCCTGAAGTGTGTTTTCCAGCTTGTTTCCATTCTTCCTGTCTCCTTCAGGTACTCCAATCAATCATAGGCTTGGTTTTTTATGAAGTCCCATATTTCTTGGAGTCTTTATTCATTCCTTTTCATTCTTTTTTCTCTAGTCTTGTCTTCATGCCTTATTTCAGCAAGGTTGTCTTCAAACTCTGATATCCCTTCTTCAGCTTGGTTGATTCAGCTACTGATACTTGTGTATGCTTCATGAAGTTCTCCTGCTGTGTTTTTCAGCTCCATCAGGTCATTTATTTTCCTCTCTAAACTGGCTATTCTAGTTAGCAGCTCCTCTAACCTTTTATCAAGGTTCTTAGCTTGTTTGCACTGGGTTAGAACATGATCCTTTAGCTCGGTGTAGTTTTTTTTTTTTTTACCCATCTTCTGAAGCCTACTCCCATCAATTCATCCATCTCATCCTCTGCCCAGTTCTGCGGCCTTACTGGAGAAACACTATGATCATTTGGAGGAGAAAAGGCACTCTGGTCTTTTGGGTTTTCAGCATTTTTTGTTGATTCTTTCTCATCTTTGTGAGTTTGTCTACTTTTGATATTTCAGACTGCTGACCCTTGGATGGGGTTTTTGTGGGGGCTTTTTTTGTTGTTGTTGATGCTGTTGTTGTTGCTTTCTGTTTGTTTGTTTTTCTTTCCATGGTTTGTTTCTTTCTTTCAAAGCCCTCTTCTGTACAGCTGCTGTGGTTTGCTGGGGGTTTGCTTCAGGCCCTGTTCATCTGGTTCACTCCTGCACCTGGAGATATCATGCAAGGAGGCTGGAGAACAGCAATAATGGGTGCTTGCTCCTTCTTCTGGGATTTCTGACCTTGAGGGGCACCATACTGATGTCAGTAGGATCGCTCCTGTGTAGGTTGTCTGACAACCCCTGTTGGAGGGCCCCACCCACTTGGATGGGATGGGGAACAGGACCTATTTAACGAAGTACTTTGACTGTCCATTGGTGGAGGGGGTGTGCTTTGCTTGGGGGAAACCCACTCATCTGGGCTGCCGGATTCCTCCGAAATACCAAGAGAAAGGCTAAGTCTGCTGGTCTACAGAGACTGCAGCCACCCTTCTCCTTAGGGGCTCAAGCCCAGGGAGATCTGGGTTCTGTCCCTGAACCTCTGGCTGGAGTTATTGGAGTTCCTGCAGGGAAGCCCTATCCAGTGAGGAAGGATGAGTCAGGGTCAAGCCTGAAGAGGCGCTCTGGCCACAGTCTGCCACAGCTGGTGTGTTGGGCGGTGGGGGACATGTCTTAGGACCAAGCCGTATAGCCTCCCTGGCTCCAGCAGGGGAAAAGTGTGGCCTGGAGCTATAGAAATGGGTGCTGTCCTTCCCTTGCCCAGGGAGCTTAGCGTGTTAGGCAGTTGTGAGTCCCAATGCTGGCTGCTGCTCCTCCCACGAGGAGCTCAAATGGCTTAGACAGCAGGCAGCCACAGCTGTGGTGCTGGTCGCCCCTCTTCCCAGGAGCTTGGTAGGCTTAAGCAGATTCCAGCTGAGAGGCTGTTGAGAATCTGTGCAGCTCTGGGGTTGGGACACTAGGTCCCAGTGGCATTGGTTCATGAGTAGGATCTTCCAATCCGTGGGTTTTATGAAGCTATTTGACTGTCATAGGAAGTGAGCTACTGCATCCTCTGCTTTAGTGTTTATGTTAGTGGTTCTCAAAGCGTAGTTCCAAAACCAGTGGCAACACCATCCCCTTGAAACTTGTTAGAAATGCAAATTCTTGGGACCCAGCCCAGACCTACTGAATCAGAAACTCTGGAGATAGGGCCCAGCAACCTGGGGTGTAACAAACCCTTCAGTGATTCTGGTTTATGTTCAAGTTTGAGAACAACTGGTCCGTGTTCTGGTGGAAAAGACAAAGTGAGAATGCCTCCATCTCCAGTCACAGGCTCCTGGTTGCCAAGGATGCCCTGATACTAGTTCCTAAAGGAAGACTGCTCCTTTCTGTAACTCAGACCTCTTTGTAGCACTTGGGACATAGATACTGGGAGGGAGCGTTCTTGTGATCAGGGAGCAAAGACTGGCTACCTTCAAGTAAAAGGCAACAAACTCTTTTGTTGGAAATATCATTGAAACCACCTGCCCAAACATGGCTCCGATGGGGTGAACAGTGATACTGACCTGTAGACATGCTTCCTCTGCCCACTCCCTAAAACAAATTAGAACAAGAAAAACAGCCACCTTCAATGTGTTCCAAGGATAGGCCAGGCACTATGCTACATAAGCTCTCTCTAAGCCCCAGTATAATGGTATTTGGAGGTGGGGTCTTTGGGAAGTGAATGGGTTTAGATGGGGTTATAAGGGTGGCACCCTGTGATGGGATTGATGATTTTTTAAGAAGTGGCAGAGACGAGAGCTGTGTGCCATGTGAGGACACAGTCAGAGAACGCAGCCATCCGTAAGCCAGTAAGAGGGCCCTCACCAGAACCCACATTGCTGGGAACTGACCTCAGACTTCCAGACTCCAGAACTGTGAGAAATAAGTTTCTGTTGCCTAAGCCTCCCAGTCTGTTGTATTTGTTACAGCAGCCTGAGCTGACTAATACAGTACAATTATTATCCCATTTTATCAGTGAGAAAATAGGTTCAAAAAGACCAATGAGAAAATAGATTCAAAAAGACCAAGAGCCAACTGTGTGAAGAGACCAAGGAACTTGTCCTGCTTCACCAAACTAGTGAGCATCAGAGTAGATTTGGTTATGGCCTGGGTGCCTTGTCAACCTGAAGGCCCTAGATTTCCTGGTTGGCTGAGGGTTTAAATTTCTCCCTTTATTTGGAAACTTAGTAGGGTGGACCTCTTACTCAAGGGACTTGGCCTTTGAGCCTTCCTCAATGATCCAGGTTTCAAATTTTCTGGATGTCACCTCCTGACTCCACAAAGTCCAATTTTAAAGGAGTCATATTATCCTGCTCAGTTCAGGGGTGCTCTGAAGCTCTTGCACAGCTCTCAGTTTCCTCCTTCTCTTGTTAGAGCTTGTGCCAGTCCCATGAACCCACCCTTTCTCCAGGAATTCCTCAGGCACCACATCACAGACCCTCTGCTCTAGGAAGGTAGCTCTCCCTCACCTTTCAAGACTGTTCTGTCTCATCTTGAGGCTGCTTTTATTCCCTCTAATCAGATGGAAGCCACCTGGTCTGTCCCTTAAATGCCGATTGCCATTGCTTTGCATGTGTGAGTTTTGCTTATCCTGTGCTGTGGTGAACCCCTATTCACCCCAGTAGGGAAGGCGCCAAGTTCAAGAGGTCAAAGAAGAGACCCTGAGCCAGCAAACAAGACGTGGACTTTTATTAAGGGCTTACAAACAGGGGAGAGAGTTCAGCGGCAGCAGGCTAGGCATGAGAACCACAACCACCTGCAAACAGCATGCAGTCTATATAGCATTTTCACCTAAAACCCTCCTCCTAACGACCTCCACCTGGCAACCTTCATTTACCCCAAAACTCAGGGCCTCAATCCCCTGAATGGTCCATCTTCCACGGGAGAGACCAGGGGCTCAGATCTTTATCATAGATAAAGAATGAATCTCCCGCTTGTCTACTCCTGGATCTCCTAGCTCAGAACACACATTCAGGTGCATCTGCCATACAGGGTCATTCTTAGGATATGCTTAAATTATTGCTCTCAGGTGTGTTTACCCTGTGCCCTGCTTCTCTGATGAGCTTAGCTCCTTTAAAAGCAAAAGAAACACTGGAACCTCTGTGTGTTGCTACTTGGTGAGTCTAAAGCAGAATCCTGAAGAGACAGGCCCAATTGGACAGCTTTGTCAACTGAGGAAAATTGGATGTGCGTATGTGTGTTGGGGGGCAGTTGGCGATGTTTGCTATAAAATAGCAGAGTGCTGCTATTTTGGATATATCTGTGTTTGCATTGACATTTCATGTTTGTGAAACCTCACAGCTTGATGTGTTAATCCACTACAATCATGGAGGGAGTGAAATGAAAACACTCAGAAGATTGGCAGACAGGAGAGCCAACTGTGTGAAAGGTACCAGAAAATTCTGCTTGTCTCCCAGAGCATTGCTAGAAGGAAAAATACAGGCAAGGACAGAAAGTCCCACAGAATGGGGCTATGGCGGCCACTCTGAGTTTGCTTGGGGTCTCTAATGATAGGCTTTTATCTTATTATAGCTGATTGACACAGAACTTATTCACAAATTAAGAAGTGCTCATTCCTTGAAATATTTTGGACCTTACACCAACTTTTTCTAGTGGGTTTTTAAAAAGACTCTATTATGTCAGTTTGGCTTGGAACCCAGGAGATGAGCTGGCACTCTTCAACGTTAATACAACATCATTTGTCACAGGATTTGCAGGTGTGACTCAGTTCCTGAATTAAAATATACAACAAAAGCTCAGGGCTGAGGAGCCAGCCTTTCACCAAGCCTGATGAGTCTACTGTAACTGGCATGCCCTGAGCAGTCTGGAGTCTCCGTGTGCTACTAGGTCTGAAATGTTTTGTTTGTTCGAGCATCTGACCTGTTAGCCTCACCCCCATGTAGGCTGCTGTCACCACTGGGCAGAAGCTTTCCCGGAGCTAGTTGGAGGTTATCCTACAGATATACTTTGGCATCTCCTGACTTTTGTCGTCGAGAGGGGGAGATTTTTGTTGATTTCACTTATTTGTTCATTTGGATGAACTCACAGTATCCACGGTAGTCAAAGCTTGATCCTTTTTGCAGATGAAGTGTATTCCAGAGGTGTCTGGGCATGTGAAGGTGGAGTCCTGAATATTTGTGATCTTACTTTGCCAAACCATCAGTTAGCTATGGGATTTGTCCTATGGAGAGCCAGAGCAGGCTGATGCCCTTCAGATGAAGGGCTCCCACCCCAATATACCTCCCATGACCTTTCTGTACATCTGAATTCTTGTGTAAAGATGACAAAGTGTTCAGACTTCAGGTAGAACAGGGTTTTTCAATCTTTTAAGTCATAGGACCCCTTTACACTTACAAATTGTTGAAGATCGCGAAATGCTTTTAAGTTGGCTATATCTATTGATACTTAGCATATAAGATAGGGGTCAGCAAACTATGACCCATGGGCCAAATCTGGCTCACCACCTGTTTTTGTAAATAAAGTTTTATTGGCACACAGCCAACCCCATTCATTTACATATTGTCTGTGGCTGCTTTCACAGTACAGTGGCAGAGTTGAGTAGTTGTAGCAGAGTCTGTGTGGCCTGTGAAGCCTAAAATATTACCTGTCCTTTGCAGAATAGTTTGCCAATTCCTGATATAAAAATTAAAAAATATATTTAAAATATGTATTAATTCATTAAAATATCAATAACAAAATCATGACAAGATAATTGAATACTTTTTTCAGTTGGAAATATGTCTCTATTTGCTAAAATAAAACAAAAAACTTAGTAAGACTCAGAGTGACATTGGTTTACACTTTTGTAAATTTCTTTGATGTGCAGCTTAAAAGAAGCAGCTGAATTCTCATATCTGTTTCTTCATCCAACCTGTTGTGGTATGCTGCTTTGGTTTAAGTAAATGAAGAAAATCTAACCCCTTACAGGTATATAGTCAGGAAAAGGGGGAGTATTTTGATAGTCTTTTCAGATATTTGTAGATATTCTGCTTTGACATTACCACAAGCCTTGACACGTGGTGATTTCTAGGAGGATGCATGTAAAATCTGGAACCGAACCATAGCAATGGCAATTTATACTGTGTTACATTAAAATGCACTGGTCTAATTTGCACTCTGAATGAATCTTATACCCATGTAAGATTTTATAACATAACACATTATTTTGAAAATAATAGTTCACTGAGTTTCGCAGATCTTCCAAATTTTGACACGTTTCATTTTGTATCATATCAAAACATCACATTTGTTAATATCACCATAGAGCTCATTGTCTTTAAGCTGTCAAACACTTGGTGGAGCATGTAAGTTTTCCAAAATTCTAATTTTTCCTTGAAACCTCAAATTTTATAATTGGCGTCAAATTCTGTCAGTTGTTTTCCTTGTACAGATAGGCTCATTATTTTTATTTTTGAGTCAATATCTGCCAAATACTGAAGTTTGAATAACTATGGTCTGTCTGTCAGCCATGTAAAATGTTGTCCCATTAAAAAAGAGGCTCATTCAGCTCACAGCTCAAACTATATTGCACCAGAGGATTTCCTGGAGACCACTAGCATGCTTCAGTATGCAGCAGAAGTGCTTATATGTACTTCTCATTTAGTCACCCAACATATTAAAAATATGTATACTCAAAGATAGCCACTTAATGAAATTCATACCTTTTACTGCCTCCTCAATGCCATTCTTAAGCAAAATTGGCTTTTTCTTCTTGGAAGCATGTGGTGGTAAAGAACAGAATGATCACTAGTGCAGCTTGCCTCAGCCTTGATACTGCTAAGGCACCAGCAGTTTTACTCCCCATACTTCCACAGTGTCAGTGAATTTCAACACAGTGAAGAAGACAAATAATGTCTCACTATTATTATGAAAATAGTTTGAGCCTTGTGGATCCCTGAAAGTGGGTCTGTGGATCACACTTTGAGAACTGCTGAGGTAGAGAAAAGGAAGGGAACAAACTAAATCAAATGCCATTAGTTTAAGAAGAGGCTGCTGGGTAAGGAGCCCCATGACTAAGTCATATTGGGGAATGCAGTATACGTATAGGTATTATATTGTTGGAACTTCCTAGCAATCATTAGGTTTGAAAGGCTCTGAGAAGTCCCCTAGAAAATAAACTTCTTTAACTTTGGATTTCCCAAACCTATTTGAGCAAAACATCCCTTTGTCAATATATGTGAATACTCTCTGGGAAACCATGATCCTTAAGGTATCAGCATGACTGTTGGGATCTCCTGAAAGCAGGCTTGATGGGCTGGGAAGTGGTGTGGCAAAGGGGGCTGGAGAACATCCGGAAACCGGGACCCTCAGAGACTGACTCCTGGCCACTCAGAGTGATCCTTGAGGCCACTCCTGAGTTGTCTGCTCATTTCTTTCTGGGCAGTATCCCTGACAACAAGGCCAGTGACTGGGCCACAGGAGAGAATGCCCATAGCACTAATCCTCCTGCCTTATTCCTGGAAGCTACTTCTTGTAAAGAATGAATGGCAGCAGATCTGTAAAACTGCATTTTTCACATAGCCCACTTCTTGTAGAGAATGCCAGCAGATGTGCAAATCTGCATTTTTCACATTGCCAAGTGGATTTTGAAGAACAGAACTAGGCAGAAAAGGCACCAAAACCTGCCCTGGATGGGGTGGGCATGCCACATGCTGCAAATGGCTTTCCTTCCAGACTCTGTGTTTATCGGTCTGGAACCATTCCTGGGGCACATCCCTCCTTTAGATTGTGACAGCTGGCCGTGGGAACCCACAGCACTCTCACTGTCACTTTCTGAGATGGGGCAGGCCCTGGGTATCATTCTTATGAGGATTTACTTTATATTGCCCATTCTTAGATAAGAAAACTCCCTTTCTGGAGGAAAAATATGGAGGAAAAAAACTTGCCCTCAGTGAAGTTAACTCTTTGAAGCTTTTTTTACCACTCCCACTTCACCCCCATCCTGATTAATACCTCCCATCCCACACACTCTGAACTCTCAGAGGAATCTTCCTAAGGCACAGGAAGCAGGAAAAGAGTCGGGCTGCTATTCAAGACCAGGTGTATTAGTCTGTCCTTGTGCTGCTAATAAAGACATGCCTGAGACTGGACAATTTATTTAAAAAAAGAGGTTTAATGGACTCACAATTCCACAATCATGGTGGAAGGCAAAGGAGGAGCAAAGGCACATCTTACATGGCAGTAGGCAAGAGAGCATGTGCAGGGAAACTGCGCTTTCTAAAACCATAATTTTTCATGAGATTTATTCACTATCATGAGAACAGCATGGGAAAAACCCTCCCCCATGATTCAATTACCTCCGACTGGGTCCCTTCCATGACACATGGGGATTATGGGAACTACAATTCAAGATGAGATTTGGGTGGGGATACAGCCAAACCATATCACCAGGTGAGAGGAAATAAGGGCCTCAGAGAGGCCATGGGTGAGCTGGTCGTGGGACTGTAAATTCTGCCCCTGATCCAGCTGTAAATGAGTGGGGGCTTAGCCTAGATCAGTTGGTAGGGGAGATGGGAGGGGAGATGGTGTCCCAGGGCTCTAATCTTTTACCCTTTTCAGTTGGAGTGCCCCTGCTTCTACCTTTTCTATAATCTGAATTTTGGTGTAAGACTTCATTTGAACCAAACATTCTACTGCTTAAAAAGATGTGCTGAAAATCACCAGAAAACAGACATCTTCTAAGGTTCCTTCCATCTCTAAATTTATTCCACACGCCTGAATAGTCTCAACTTCCTAATGCTTTCCGAGTATTTTCATGTGTTTCTTCTGCATTTGGCCTTTTGTCCATACTCAGTGACAAACTTTAGAAGGCAGGGAGTTTCTGTATACTTTGATGTTCATAAAAATATCCAGCATGGGTGCTGTGCACACAAGGCCTGTGATAACTAGTGATAAGTGTTACTGCAGCTGTCTGAGAAGGGCTTCTGAGGCTTGGTGGTTTAGTTATCTCTGAAAACCATCCAGCAAGAGGATAAAGGGTGCAAGGAAAATGGCAGTGAACTAGGCAGGAGACCTTTGTGCTACATCCTGCTCATCACTCACTCACCATACGCTCACATAGGCTTAGATACAGGCTGTCCGTGGTTTGATTTCCAGTGAGATGAAGGACTTGTTTGAAAGCCATGCTTCCAAAATGTGGGTCATGGAGAATAGTGGGGTTATTGTAGTTTGGTCCAAGCTGTCTGTCCAGCTTGCTGCAGGCTGAGCACACAATGTCTTGCACATATGTAATTATTTTTCAAATGTATTTAGAAGTGACTGTGACTGATAAAATTCAGGTTCATTTTAAAGTGTTACTGGGGCCGGGTGTGGTGGCTCATGCCTGTAATCCCAGCACTTTGGGAGGCCGAGGCAGGCAGATCACTTGAGGCCAGGAGTTTGAGACCAGCCTGGCCACCATGGTGAAATGCTGTCTCTACTAAAAATACAAAGATTAGCTGGCCATGGTGGTGCACACCTGTAATCCCAGCTACTCAGGAGGCTGAGGCAGGAGAATCACTTGAATTCGGGAGGCAGAGGTTGCAGTGAGCTGAGATCATGCCTCTGCACTCCAGCCTGGGCAACAGAGCGAGACTCCATCTCAAAAAAAAAAAGTGTTTTTGGATTCATAGTGGCTACTAAAAACATACATAATGAATGCTAACATTTATTAAGTGCTTACCAGGTGTGAATTAGAGTAAAGTGCCTGTCTCAGGTTGGATTTCCAGACACTGAGAAGAGGATTTGTATGCAGGGGATTTATATAGGATTTTGCCCAGAGAATGGGAAGAGGAAGGACAGAGTGGAAGAAGTCAAACAAGGGTGTTATTGCAGGTGAGTCCCAGTCTTAGCTCAGTCGAATGGGGTGCTCTGGAGTGTTAAGTACATCACAGGGTTGGTCCTCACGCATGGCAAAGGAACTGGGCCTTTCATATTTCTGCCCCAGTCAGTTGCTGGCTAAGGGCCGTCCAATGGGCTGATGGTGGTGTTGGGGGACATAAACTTTTAGGTATTTCTGGCTTTTTGTGCCTCAACACAAAGCAGCTTTAGTAGCTATCAAACAGTTCTGTGATGAGAGTTACAGGATGTTAGAAGAAGATGAAAAACACCCCCCACCCCTTCTACTCCATACATAGTAGCCAGGGAATGGGTATATAGAAACCATAAAAATGCTCCAAGGGGGTCTGGTGGGGTGCTGACAGTACCTGTGACAGTGCCTTAGCTCATTCAATCCTGATAACAACCTTAGGAGGTGTAAATTACCTCCATTTTACAGAAGGGGAAACTGAGGCACAGAGCGGTTAACAAACTTGCCCATGGTCACATAGCTGGTAGATGGCAGACCCAGGATTCAAAGCAAGAAGCCCATGTTTTTACCTCTATACTGTGTATTGCCCGCTGCTTCTCAAAATACAATCATTATCACGTGTGCAATCAAAAATATTCTGGGAATGAGTGGTCAAGCCTGGAGGTCCTGTGTGGTGGTCTCACATTCAATGAAATTGTAATCACTTGCCAGGGTTGTGCTCTGATTTCAAAGCAATCTCAAGGGCAATTTGGGTTTCAATCTTTTTTCTGTTTTTACAATTATTCTGACTTAGGCAATTTTAATCAAAATCAAAAGATCCAAAGAAAACAATGGCCAAAGGTGAAAGACATTTGAAGAACTACATGGCACTTCAGTTGGAAAAATAATTGAGAGATGGCTATTTGGGTGGGAAACAATGTAATTTGAATTTCTAATTCAGAAAAACTACTTAATTGGCAACACATGCTTCCCGATTGCAACAGGAAGAGAGGAGGGTGGCTTTCAAGTGGGGAGCACATGCGTGTGGTGCAAAAGGGCAGATTCCTATATATGGCAGAAGGCTTCCTTCTGTTCAGTGTTAAATTCCTGTCATTAATTCTCTCATTCCCTCTGTAATCCTGTGTTCTGAGAACAGTGGCACAAAGCTCCCATCATGGATGGCTTTGAGAATTCCATGAACTGAGAGAGCCTTCTATAGCTATACCATGTTTAATACAGTAAATGTGTGGGGGTGGGGGGAGTCGTGGCCTCGACTCACAGTGCTTCTCGATCAAGGACAGTATTCTTCCTCTCTCCAAAGGTTTTTGAAAGTGCCAGGGGAATCTTGTGTTGTCACCACAAATAGGTTGTCATAAGGTAAGAGTCTAGGGCTAGTGGAGTTTGGTTCTTGGAGGACCAGTGATGCTAAATATCTTGTAATTCATGGGACACTTCTGGCTGAGGAAGAAGTCTTAGTACTGATAACACTGACACTGAGAAAGTCTGGGAGGGGAAGTGATTGGAGAAAGGTAATCGTCTTCAAATATGAGACACAGTGGCCTCTGAAAGGACTTACACTTATTTCATGTACCTCCAGAAAACCACATGTGAAGTTAGAGGATGGGAGAACATCTCAACAGCTAAGGTTGCTCAGAATGTAGTTGCCCATGTCTTTGGTAGTGAGCTCCTTGTTACTGGAGGTAATAAAGTAGAGGCTAGTTGACCACATGTAAGGGATATTGTTGAAGCAATATCCAGCCTGGAGGAGAGGATGGATTAGATGATCTCTGAGAGTCTATCACCAAGATTCTAGGGTTCTGCTCACAGTTTATTATCAAATTCTAGGTGAGATTTGTGATGAAAGGAATTAATTGGAAAAATCATACAGTAAGGTCTGGTTTGAAAGATGCAGAGGTTGAACTGAAAAAATGTGAGTCTAGTGTTAAGAAAGAGAAAGTGTGTTGTATTGGAAAGAACTCTGGGGGAGGAGGCAACCAGCCTTGATTCCTGTCTCTAATATTCACTTGCTGTCTAGTGGGATCCTGGGCTCCTCACATTTTCTCTGCACCTATCAGATGATGCCATCAACTGTTCGATGCCCAGAATCTGTGATTCTGTAGTTTGAGAGCAGACCATGTTCTTCCTTATGATTCTACTGTGGCCTTCGATAAGTAACTTAATTTATCATTCTTTCCCAATATGTGAAATAAAATATATATATATGTATTTGCTTTTTCTAATTCGAAAGGAAATCAGTAAGATCAGGTAAAAGCTTAAATGCCAGGATGCCTTAAAAGTAGAAAGTATAGTAAAGTAAGTGCTGCTCTGAGATTTCTCCACTCAAACCTCACCCTATCAATTCTAGTGCTGGGGGTAAATATGTCTCAGTTGTTTGAAAACTTCGTGGGTCCTACTCCTAGAAACTCTTATTTTTGGAGCTCTATACCCCATCATATCAAACATATTAAAATATTTTCATATCCCTCATTAACTAAAATATAGTCATATAACTTATTCATCCTGATATTTTATAAGCATACAACTAAATATTTAATAATATCAAATTTTACATTTTAAAGACAATAGCTTTTTCCTTTTTTAGATGTCATACATTTTTAGTAAGCCCTTTAGAAGCTCATAGATACTAGTCACTGTAACTATTAATGATTGGTGAATGTCTTTAGAGAAAAGATATCAGGTTCAAATGGAGATTTATTAATAATTGGCAGAAAGAAAAAACTATTTTCTCATTGCTTCTTTCTGTACTCCAACAGGCTAGCCCTTTTAGGTCAAGATGGAAATGGGGACAGGAAGAGGACATGGGAGGCCATGGGACATGGCCAAATGACTGCAGCTCATTTGTAGGTGTCCGTGAAGAGTGGCGAGTGTGTGTGTGTGCATGTCACATGCGTGCATGTGTGGTAGCGAGAGTGACAGATGAGAGTGCTGAGGGGTAAAGGGATATGAGAGAATAGGACACCATAGGGTCAATGATAGGGTATGGTAGGCAGAGTTCTTAGAGAGCCCCTTCGTGTATGTGCCTGGTCTAATCCCCTGTCCTGGAGCCTCTGAGGGCCTGATCTAATCAGGTGACCCCTTTATAAGGAAATCCAGAGGTCAGAAATGAAAGAAATTAGAGAAATTTTCCTTTTGGCTTTGTTATGGGCTGAATATGCTTGTCCCCAAAAACTCCCTCCAAAATTTATATGTTGAAGCCCCAATTCCAAATGTGATGGTACTTGGAGATAGAGCCTTTGGAGAGTAATTAGGGTTAGATGAGGTTCTCCCTCATGATGAAATTAATGCCCTTATAAGAAGAGACACCTGACAGCTAGCACTTGTGCCCTCTTGTGCTTTCTTTCTTTACACCCCCACCCACTCCCAAGTTTGCATAAAGAAGAGGTCATGTGAACACAGCAAGATGGTTGCCACCTACAACCCAAGGGGAGAGCCCTCATCAGAAACCAACCATGCTGGTCCCCTGATATTGGACTTTCAGCCTCCAGAACTTAAAAAAAAATTCTGTTATTTAAGCCACAGAGTCTATGGTATTTTGTTGTAGCAAACTGACCTGACTAATGCAGCCTTGAAGAAGCACATGGTTGTGACAGGACCATTTGGTGGGAATAGCAGGTGGTCTTTAGGAAATGGGGCCTCAGATCAGATCCTCAGTTTGAGGATCTGAATTCTGCCAATTACCAGTGATCTTGCAAGAGGACCCTAACATCTAGATGGAAATGAGGCCTGGTGAGACCCTGGGCAAAGAACTCAGCTAAGTGATACCCAGATTCCTGACCCATGGAAATTGCGAGATATAAATGAGTGCTTTTTAAGACACGAAGTTTGTGATCATTTTTTACATAGCACAGAAAACTAATACATAGGACTTGTTGGAGGCCTGCCTTTGCTCAGGTGCAAAACAAGATTTGAGAGTAGGGTAATCAGTTTTCCCTTCCTTCTTAGTGCCACTCCGCTGAATGTTTGCATCTATATCATTCACAGTATATTAATCTCAGGAAAAGAAAGGAGATTTTCTGCCTTGGCCAAATCATTATCCTAAGTGTGGCTAGCAGTGTACTGATGGCATTTCTATGGTGAAGCATTTTGCATGTTGCTATAGTCTGAATGTTTGTGTCTCCCCAAAATTCATATGTTGAAATCCTAATCCCCAAGGTGATGGTATTAGGAGGTTGGGTCCTTGGGAGGTGATTAGGTTATGGGGTGGAGCCCTCAGAAATTGGGTTAGTGCCCTTATTAAAGAGTCTCAAGAGAGACTCCTCACCCCTTCTACCTTGTAAGGACCCAGGGAGAAAGCACAGTCTATGAACCAGGAAGTGGGTCCTCACCAGACACCAAATCTGCCAGAGCTTTGATCTTGGACTTCCCAGCCTCCAGAACTGTGAGAAATAAATTTATCTTGTCTATTAATATAAGATACCTAGTCTAATATATTTTGTTATAGCACCTAAATGGACTGAGATACATGTTTTCCCTAAGAAGGTAGCTCAGGATGGGCTTAATTAGGAATTGCAAGGCAAAGGGGGAAACTTTTATCAACTATGGCTTAAAGTAAAGAAGCAATGCCATAGGGGACCAATAATTCCTTTCCGGAGAATATTTCCAATTCCTTTCTCCTGGTGCTGACAGTTACTCTATATTTTTTTCAAATAAATTCTATCAGTCAGACTGCAGATAGAAGTGTGTTTGGTCACCAGGAGGTTGTCTGTTCTCCTTTCCTCCTGGAGAGTTGAAAAAGCTGAGAACTCACCTTGTTACTGTCAAGTTTCAGCCTTTTTGGACTCAGCATTAGGCTTAAAGAGAGCTGAGTTTTGACAGGAAAAAAAAATATCTCTGAGTCCTCCTTTTGGGTCAGAGAAAAAAAGTGTGTCCACAAACTGGGACCCTGGTGAGTGTGAATTGTGCAATTTTGAGGAAACTTGATCTAGTGTCTTCTGCATTGTGTTGCACTTGATTCAGGGTAGTTCCATCCTGAGAAGGAGTCTGTTCCTCATGACTTAGGCCCTCTTCATAATCCTTCTCTGAAAGCCTCTTCTCCTTTTCATTACGTGGTCATAATTATTTCTCTGTCGAGTGCATAACCTAACACCTCTCCATGCACACTGCCAAGATTTGAAACCATAATAAGCTGAATGCTCACCTTTGAAGCCATTATTTCAATCATTAGAACACAGTTTATTCCTTGAGAGGACATTAACATTTGAAAATGTGTCAACTAGAGTAAGAAATTCATCATGATCATGGACCACCTGCCAAGTCATTAAAATGCAATGTTCTGATTTTCCTGGATATTTTAGATAAATCTAACATCTGACATCAGTTTACATTTTTAAGTTCAGCTCCTGGTAAATTGCTTGTGAAGGCCAGACAAGTTTGAATTTTAAACAACAAACTAGAAAAAAAAATTCAGCCAGAAGAGGGCTAAGGGATCTGTTGAGAGCACCAGTGTGGACCAAAGACACAAGTACACGACAGCACCCCCTGCACACAATGCCATTTTCATCCTAGCAAGACCAAAAGCTGGCAACCATCTCTACATTTGGGCACCTATAATTTTAAGCAAAAATGAGTCTGATTGCTGTGCAGAATTTCTTTCAGAAGACTTTAATGAGATCATCTCTGCAGTTCACTTGGTAAGGAGTAAGACACAAATATTCCACATCTGTCTAGCAAAAAGCCACATTTCATCATTAATGCCGTTGAAACCATTAGCTGGAAAAATCTAGCACATGCACAGAAAGTATGGCTTGGAAAAGTGAAATATAAATCCCCAGGAAGTTGGAATGTGAGGGTTAATATTATGTCAACCCAGAGATTTTTGGATGGTCTTTGTTGTCAAGGTAACACTACCTCTTTCTAAAGCTCAGATAGGGAACCAGCAAAATAAGATGGTGCAATTAGAGTGAACTTAGCCATTCACCTTTCAGCTTCTAGTATTTGAAACGGCTAATATTTTTGGTCAGGTATTTTATAGCTCCTTGCTGGTGGATCCAATATCTTCCAGTTATCAAATACTGCATAGCAAACCACCCAAACCATAATGGCTTAAAACAACATTTATTTTGCTTATGAATGTGCAAGTTGAGAAGGGCTCAGCGGGGATAGTGGGATGGCAGTTGGGTAGCTTAAAGACTGGTGTTAGAATAATCTAAAGGCTTATTCACTGACATTTCTTGAGATTAATGCTGAAAAGACTAAAACAGCTGACACTGGCATTTCTTGGGCATCTTTCTGTTTGTTTTCTTTCTTTTAATTGACATATAAAAATTTTATATATTTATTGTGTACATGATGTTTTGACATATGAATACATTATGAAATTACTAAATTGAGCTAATTAACATATGCATTGCCTCACGTACTTAATTTTTTTTGTGGTGAGAACACTTAAAATCTACTCTTAGTGATTTTCAAAACTACAACACATTCTTATTAACTATAGTCATCATGCTGTACAGTAGACCTCTTGAACTAATTTCTCTTATCTACCTAAAACTCTGTAGCTCCATTAACCAACATCACCCCATGCCCTTTCCCACACCCAGGCCTTGGCAACCACTATTCTACTCTTTGCTCCTATGAGTTCAACATTTTCAAATTCCACATGTAAGTGAGATTACCTAGTATTTGTCTTTCTGTGCCTGGCTTATTTCACTGAATGTATTGTCCTCTAGGTTCATCCACGTTGTCGCAAATGACAGGATTTCCTTCTTTTTAAAGGCTGAATAGTTTTCCACTGTGTATATGTACCATGTTTTCTTTCTTTATTTACCCATTGATGGACACTTAGGTTGATTCCATATCTTGGGTATTGTGAATAATGATGCAATGCATTCCAAGAGTACAGATATCTCTTCAACATACCAATTTTATTTCCTTTGGCTCTATACCCAGTAGTGGGATTATTGGATTATGTGGCATTTCTATTTTTAGCTTTTTGAGTAAACTCCATGCTGTTTTCTATAATGGCTGTACTAATTTACATTCCCACCAACAGTGTGCAAGGGTTCCTTTTTCTCTATATCCTCTCCAATATATGTTATTTTTAATCTTTTTGATGCATAGCCATTCTGACAGGTGTGAGATGATATCTTATTGTGGTTTCTAATTTGCATTTCCCTGATGATTAGTGATATTAACCATTTTTTCATATACCTATTTTATTATTTGTGCATCTTCTGAAAAATATCTATTTGGATCCCTTGCCCATTTTTAAACTAGCTTATTTTTTTTCTTGCTATTGAGTTGATTTCCTTACATATTTTGGATATTAACCTCTTATTAGATGTCTGGTTTGCAGATATTGTCTCCCATTCTGTAGGTTCTCTCTTCATTCTGTTAATTGTTTTCTTTGCTGCGCCAAAGCTTTTTAGTTTGATTTAATCCCATTTGTCTATTTTCACTTTTGTTGCCTGTGCTTTTGGAGTCATTTAAAAGAATCATTGCCTAGATCAATGTCATGGAGATTTCCCCCTACGTTTTCTTCTTGGAGTTTCACAGTTTCAGGTCTTATGTTTTAGTTTTTATCCATTTTGAGTTGATTTTTGTATATCATATGAGATAAGGGTCTAATTTCATTCCTCTGCATATGGATTCCCAGTTTTCCCCAAAACCATGTATTGAAGAGACTGTCCTTTTCCCATTGTGTGTTCTTGGTACCTTTGTTGAAAATCAGTTGAACATAAATGCACAGATTTATTTCTGGTTCTCTATTCTGTTGGGATCTTTCTGTTCATATAAGACTGCTCTCTGTGGTGGCTTCAGAGTAGCCAGACTTCTTCCATGTTAGCTCAGAGCTCCCAAGGCGCATGTTCCAAGAGAAAGCCAGGCAGGAGCTGTCACCTTTATGACCCAGCTTTGGAAGACACATTGTATCACTTCCCCTGCATTCTGTTTGTTAAAGTTGAGTCATTAAGCTAGCATCACATTTGATGGTGTCAAATACTTTGCAGACATACTTTAAAAGCACTACGAATCTCTCAAATGTTTTTTTGAGGATCTATGCAAGACACATGTCAGGCACTGTTAGAAATACAAAGACACATCAGCTATGGTTCTCCCCACTCTCATTTGGGAGCTTGCAGTCCAAATATTAGGTCATGAAAAGTAAAATGACATTAGAAGAGTGAAATAACAACAAAAGTGATTACTTACAGAACTAAAGCAAACAGAGAGCTGGGAAATTTGAGGATCTTGAAGCAACTCTTCACTATGGAACTAAGGAGTTTTAGGAAGATAAGAAGGTAGCTGTGAGCAGAAGCTTAGAAGCTACAAATAGTAATAAGTTTATAAAACTTTCATGTGGCTTGTAGTCACATGATCAGTGTATTTAATTTACATGTGGGATTAAAACTTAACCCCCTCAGAGGATGAGAACAGTGGCCCAGGGCATGAGAGGTAGCCCTACTGCACCATGGAGACCCTGATAGGACATACCAGGTTGGAAAGACTGGAAGTAGGTGGACATGTTCTTCTCTACTGCTTTCCAAAAAGTGATGGGCCCGTGAGTCTGACCAGGCCAGGTTTAGATTCAAAGATAACAAATATATATATTTGTGACTGAGTTTTGCTCTTGTTGCCCAAGCTGGAGTGCAATGGCACAATCTCGGCTCACTGCAACCTCTGCCTCCCCTGTTCAAGTGATTCTCCTCCCTCAGCCTCCCAAGTAGCTGGGATTACAGGCACGTGCCACCATACCTGGCTAATTTTTTGTATTTTTAGTAGAAACAGGGTTTCACCATGTTAGCCAGGCTGGTCTGGAACTCCTGACCTCAGGTGATCAGCCCGCCTTGGCCTCCCAAAGTGCTGAGATTACAGGCATGAGCCACCGCACCTGGCCAAAGACAGCAAATATTTATCAATGTGCTTTGCCCTGTGCTAGATGTTTTTGCACACATTGTATCATTTAATCCTCAGAACAACAAACATATATATTGGCATGTAATATGGTTTCAGAGACTTAATATTAAAGAAGAATGGAGTAAATGTCACAGGCAAATAAGAAAGCTTTAGAAAACCTAGTTGTCACTTATTCTAGGGCTGTGCTTCAGAATTATGATGATTTTGCTCCCCTACTTCAGACATTTGGCAATGTCTGAAGACATTTTTGGTTGTCACAATGGTGAGGATGGAGGGATAAGGGGGGAGGTTTCTGTGGGCATCTAGTGGATAGAGGCCATGGATGCTGCTAAACATTCGACAGTGAGTAGGACAGTCCCCCAAAACAAAGAATTATCTGGTACCACATGTCAATAGAAATGAGAAAGCCTGCCCCAGAGATTTGATAGCATTGGAAAAGCAGAATAAAACAGATGCTCATGAAACTTACTACATCCACATGTAGACTTTGCTTTTGTTTCTTTAAATGTAGCTGAGTGGTTTTCAATTTTTAGTGTTCAAGCCTATATAAATAAAATCATGTGTGATGTGCTTGATGCATGGTTTAAGAATTTTCTCAAGAGTAATTTTCCCCATGAGACTTTGACTTGTGTGTTGATCTTAGAACTTCACTTGATATTCACAGCAGCCATGGAAGGAGCCAACTCCCATGATGAAACAACTAGGGCTTGAAGAGAAAAAAATCTGACTTGATCAAGATCTTTATGGCTAGTAAATAGCTAAGCCTGATCTCCAACCCAGATCTCTTTATATTCCACTGTTCTTTCTGCCTATCCATATACAAGATATTCAACAATTTAACTGACATTTGTTCAGACACTATGCTAGGCACTGCATACACAAAAAATTAATAAGATAATGACCCTACCAGAGTGATAAAGATTAATCCAGAATGGCCATTCAACATTCTTTTGTTTGTTAGTTTGCTTTTTGTTTTTTATTTTGAGACAGAGTCTTGCTCTGTCACCCAGGTTGGAGTGCAATGGTATGATCTCGGCTCACTGCAACCTCCGCCTCCTGGGTTCAAGCAATTCTCCTGCCTCAGCCTCCCTGGTAGCTGAGACTACAGGTGTGCACCACCACACCCAGCTAATTTTTGTATTTTTAGTAGAGACACGGTTTCACCATTTTGCCCAGGCTGGTCTCAAACTCCTGACCTCAGGTGATCTGCTCGCCTCGGCCTCCCAAAGTGACAACATTCTTTTGCTCAGCCATAAAATAAGAATAGAGAACTATAAAAAGGAACATTCATAAAATAATAAAATGCTTTTAGAAATAAAAGTGCGATAGGAATAATAATTTTACAAGAAAAGTAAAGTTGAGGAAATCTCCAGAAGGTAGGATAAGAAGACAAGGAAAGAGAAAATAGGAGAGCAAAGGCAAGAAAGTTAGGAGAGCACTCAGAATGTCTAATATCCAACTACTGGAAGTGTCAGAAAAATGAAAACAGAAAACAGAAGGGAAAATTATTAAATAAATATACAGAAATTTCCCAGATTTGAAAGAGACATTTTTGTACATTAAATGTGTCCAACCAGTATCCAAACAATGAATTTAAAAAGGTCACACCAGACTTCTTATCCTGGCCATGAGGGACTAACAGAGCCCACAATTGCCTTCATGACAAAAACAACTAGAAAATGGAACAAGTTGCCAGGCACGGTGGCTCATGCCTGTAATCCCAGCACTTTGGGAGGCTAAGGCAGGTGGATCAACTGAGGTCAGGAGTTCAAGACCAGCCTGGCCGACATGGTGAAACCCCGTCTCTACTAAAAATACAAAAATTAGCCGGGCGTGGTGGCATGCGCCTGTAATCCCAGCTACTCAGGAGGCTGAGAGATGAGAATAGCTTGAACCCAAGAGGTGAAGGCTGCAGTGAGCCGAGATTGCACCACTGCACTCCAGCCTGGGTGACAGAGTGAGACTGTCTCAAAAAAAAAAAAAAAAAAAAAAAAGAAAGAAAGAAAGAAAGAAAGAAAGAAAGAAAATAGAACTAGTTATGTGAAATAACTATTTTCAGTTATTGGACAATAGGAAGAATAGGACTGTGATCCCTGAGAGAAAAAAAACAAATGAAGTGAGTCCTGTGATTGCTCGGGCTTATGACTGGGAATGATCTCTTGAATAAAGAACAGAGAAGAACAAAGAGACTGGCAGCCTTGTTGAGTTGGAATGAGGGGAAGGAGTGGGTGGGTAGAAAGGTAGCTGGAAATTGTGGGGCAAAGAACTGAGAGAGGGGAGCAAAAGAGAAGGGTTCTAGAAATCCCCATAAGGATCTCCTTAATTTTTTGACACAAGAGTAGAGTGGAATTCTGAGAGGCTAAGAAGGAACAACTGCTGGGGAAAGCAATTATTGGGAAGCTGTCAACCAAAAATATTCTGGGAGGTTAATGGGGGTGAGACCCACTCAAATTCCTATCAGTCAGAGTAGAATGGCCTTGCTGAATACACAGACCATTCAGTAGTGACAATAGAAGTGCTATGTATTAGAACTACATCTATGCACTACTATGTCATTGCTATGTATTACTCTAGATCTGCTTTAAAAGGGCTTAAAAACAAGCTGCTAAAGGATAAAACTAATATGCAAGTAATTTAACTTCTTTCCAGAGCAAAGTCCAACACTCTTAAAAGGAATAGTACAAAGCTCAGCACTTAACAGTATAAAATTCACAATATCTGGCTTAAAAAATTACTAGACAAATGAAGAAGCAGAAAAATACTATAACCTATAACCAGAAGAAAAGGTCACACCAAGGCATGTCATAGTGAAGTTTTAGAACACTAGGAATGAAGAAATGATCCTGAAAATTCCCAGAGAAATACAAAAGAGAAAAAATAAGGACTAGGAGTAGAAGGGCATCAGACTTTTCAAGAGTAATACCAGAATCCAGATGAAAAGGAGCCTGGCATTAAACATTTTGTTGGAAAGTGATATATAAACTAAAATTCTAAATGTAGCCAAAATGTCAAATAAAGGTTAAGGTAAAAGACATTTTTCAGATATGCATTTTCTCAAAAAATTTATCTCCCAGGTACCATTTCTCAGATGCTCTACAGAATGAGGAAGCAAACTAAGAAAGAGGAAGACTTGAGAATTTAAAAATGGGATTCAACACAGGAGCAAGGCCAAAGAATCCCCAGGATGATGGCGGTGGGTGATTCCAAGATGGCATCAAGTCAGCAGGTCAGGAGAGCAGCCTGCCCAGATTGGGGCAGATCAGAAAGTTCAGGAAGACACTTCTTCAGGAAGACAAAACTGAAGGAATAGTTAATATGTCTGAATGTATTCAGAGAATATTTACACAATGGGGGAAGAGTTAAGGGTTGACTTAGTGGTAAGTTCATAGAAAACCATATAAATAAAAAACAAGACTATTATTAGCTCCTGAAAAGACAAAAAGTACAGGCAAAGAAAAGTAATAGCAATATATGACATAATTAATTGGTGATTTTTTTTTTTTTTTTTTTTTTTTTGAGACAGAGACTCGCTCTGTCACCAGGCTGGAGTGCAGTGGCATGATCTTGGCTCACTGCAACCTCTGCCTCCTGGGTTCAAGTGATTCTCCTGCCTTAGCCTCCCAAGTAGCTGGGATTACAGGCATGTGCCACACCCAGCTAATTTTTGTATTTTTAGTAGAGACGGGGTTTCACCATGTTGGCCAGGATGGTCTCAATCTCCTGACCTCGTGATCTGCCTGCCTCGGCCTCCCAAAGTGCTGGGATTATAGGCGTGAGCCGCTGTGCCCAACCTAATTGGTGAATATTATTTACATAGACATGATAATATTAGCATTTAATATCAATTTACTCAAAATTATGAAACAGCTTGTTGAGAGGACAGGGGATTGAAAGTATGTGTTAGGTTGAAATGGTGTTAGGGTAAATGCCAGAGACTGAGGGCAATGAAAAAAAGTTGAATCCTCATTTAGATAGTTGGAAGTCAGTAGAGAATTCTGAACTTAAATATCAAGAAGTAGTAGACTAGTACAAGCTTGTTATTTAGAGGCATAGAAACAAATGGAAAAATAATCTGCTACAAGATTTGGAAGTGTTTGCTTCTGGGAAGCATGGGATGAGAGGGTAGTGATTGCCATTTTAAAAGAAATCTTATGGAACTATGTGTTGTGACATATTTTCAATTCTAGGGCCATCTTTTTTTCTGTTTCTATTTTTAATGCTCCTTCTGTTTTCTATTTTTTGCCATACACTGTGTGTTTTCTTCAGTGTCACTTCAAGTTGAAGATAGTGGTATGTGTTTATATCTTCTGTGTTTATGTATGGGCAGCTAAGAGGCTATATCTTTCTCCTCTAAAGGGAGTGGTTTACAGCATCTCTTGGTTGGGGATTACCTGCCTGTGGAATTGAGCAGAGATGTTGCAGATATTCCTGTCTGAAAAATGCTGAAAGGGTCTCTTCCACTGACTCTATTGTTACATGATATGACATATGATATTGACATATGATATGTCAATATGTATATCCCTTGGACCCCCAGTTCTAACTCCTAGGTCCATTCTGGACAAAACAATAGTAGATGTTTCTACAAATAGGAGTTGGGTGTTTCTGAAACATATGTCTTCCAAGCTCATTATTGTCTGTTATGCGCATAGAAATTTCTAGTCATTAGCAAGAAGCTTGCACATTCAATAGCATTCAATAAGAATTGGTTGGCTCATTATCCACTTTCACACCCTGCACATTGCTAATGAAAATCTCATCCTTTTTGTTCACCTGAATCCTGCTTATCTTTCAAGGCCAAGCTCATATTATCATTCACTCAGTGAATTACTCATCTTCATCAAGTCTTTATGGATCACCTATTCTGTACAAGGCATTGGGGATACAGCAGTGAACAAAATACTCAGTTACTGTCCCTCATGGAGCTTACTTTCTAGTCTAGAAAGTAGACTTCAAACAATTAGTAACACAAGTGGTAAGTGTTGTGATAAGTGATAATTTGTGATAAATGTTTTTAAAGGGCAAGTATGGTATATCAAGAGATCATTGGTCAATGTAACTTGACCTTGTGCATGCTGTGTAGGGGAAGGAAGGTTAGAGAAGGTATCTCTGAGTTCAAGGTGTTGATGCTGAGAGCTTAGGATGAGCTGGAATAAGCTAAGCAAGGTTGGGGAGGGGCCTTGTAGACAGAAGGGGCAGCTTGTCAGAAGGCTCTGGGGGTCAAAAGGAGCAAGACAACTTTGAGGAAAGTCAAGGTGGCTACTGTACAGGGCTATTCACAGAAAGGGGAGCATGGAATCTGAGTAGATATGTAAGCAGGGCAGGTGATGCAATTCTGTGATAAGAATTTCTGATTTTATCCTAATAACAAGTGTACACCATTAGAATTTCTGATTTTATCTTAATAACAAGGGTACCTTGTTGAAGATGTTTAGGCAGTGACAAAGGAATGACATGATATTAGTGTTTTAGAACTTACTCTGTGCTATTTCAGTTGTCTGTGTGGCTGATGATGCTGTGCAGACCTCGTTGGAGACATTAAGTTAGAGAGAAGACCGTGCACCCAGGAGGCACTAAGAAGGAAGATTTAGGAGACATGTGTGATGATAGAGAGGAAAGTGTCATGATTTAGGCGAATACTGTATGTCCTGTTTTGTGATATTCACTGGAAATACTGCTTCCAGGATACAGATAGTTGGGGATAGCAGTGATTTGGATCTTTCAGGACTGGGGTTTTATCAGGCAAGTGGAATAGAATGAAGGCAGCAATTGACTATGAATCTTTTCCAGGGAATAATTGATAATGGTAGACTCTAAACTCCAGGATGAGTTAAGAAAGATGTGAAAGCAGGAAGGACTGATAGAAGGTGAAAGGATCATGGATTTCCTAATTTTCTGTAGGGAAAGACTTCTTGTGAGGGTACTCGAGCTAGTAACTTGAAGGGACTGGGATGTTTGAATTAATAATGTTAGAGTGATGCAGAGATAAGGGTGTGGTTAAGGAGGCAGTGGCTCAGTTGGTGGGAGGAGCAGGTGGCTGGAGATGAGATCAAGGCCCTGGGACACTGCATAAGCGTGTGTGGGGTGTGCAATGCAAAATTACAGTGGGCACCATTCACATCAATGACAATGTTCTTTATGTTCCTGGAGCTGGGCAGTGTGGTGACCATGCCAGGGGATGGACACACATGGTGGTGGATAAGAATTTCACACAGGGGTTGAAGTCACTGGGAAAGATAGCAAGAATTGGGTGAAGAAAAATGCTGTGAGTCAGGAGATCTGTAGATGACAGCAATGAAGAGGAGAAGAGGTGGCAGGACCAGAAGCCTGGATCCTCAAAGGATCAGGGATCTTGGCCAGAGGCCAGAGCAGTAACTGCCTGGAAGCAGCACTGGGAATAACATTACCTCCTGACTGTGAGGTTTGAGAAGAATGCAACAGAGTTTCAGAGGAAATTTGTGTTCAACAGACAGCTGATTCTCAGTATAGAAAAGGAAGGAAAGAACATTTGGAGGATAGGAGAGGTGCAGGTATTTGCTGATATTGGAGTAAGAGGTCTAGAGGGAACAGTGGAAGGATTTGGAAGGGAAGTTAGGAGTAGGGGTTTGGGTCTGGGGCAAGGAAACACTACACATGGTGTGGATGGTAGGAATGCAGAGGAGAGGTCATGGAGGGTCTGTGTACTTTGGGGGTAGATCAATAGGAGTGTAGTGGACAATGCCCAGGAGGAGAGTAGCCACTGGGCCAATGAACAGAGGTCCTGGCTTACCAGGTCTGGGGTGGTCACAGTCCAGCAAGAGCGGAGCCCCTTGGAGGAGTAAGAGTCCTCTTCGGTTCTCAGCTTATGTTCCTGGGGTAGTGAAAGGGAAGCTTCTTGGCTTGGGCAGCTAGGGAGAGGTGCCAGCTAAGTCACTTCCTCTACAAAGTGTCCCCTTTTTTTTCCAATAGAGAAAAATGTCTCTCTCACCTCTCCACACCCAATTTATCAGCAATATGGCCTGTGATTCTCTTGGCATTTCCACAACCTTGTAACGGTATCTTTTTGCTAGGTATTTGTTTACTCACCAAGATTAGAAACATCTTGAGGACAGGAATGATATCTTTTGTCCTTATCAGGACCTTGCATGGCACTCAGTAGATATCTGTAGGCTGGTTACTATACTGACATCCTGTGCGTTCTAACCCCATCTACAAGCTCTATTAGTCATAAATCCTTGAGTTTCAAGTCACAGAAACCTAACTCAAACTAATGTAAGCTAAAAGGTCATGGAAAGCTATCATGGGAACCCCATCTCCCCTCCCACCCCTGACTCTACCATGTCTCATTTCTGCACTTTGATTCTGCCTTGATTCAGTTCTTTCCAGTGGCAAAGATAGCTACTGTCAGCTACGAACTTACTTTGTTTTCACATTTTCTGATTAATTCCAGATTAAAAAAAAGAGTGTCTATTTCCTGAGGGCTCCAGCTATAGTCCTTGGGGTGGCCATGATTGGTCAGGCTTGGGTTGTGGTCTCTCCTCTGAAACCATCTTTGTGGTTAGGGCTTGGGATACTCTGGGCCTTGTCGTCACACCTGTGATGGGAGAGTCAAGGCTGTGTGGTAGCCAGCCCCACTAGACCAGAGAATCAGTGTTTGCAAGAAAGCAGAGTGGATATTTGCTACAATGCTGATTTCCAGCGATAAGGAAGAGAAAAACGGCTGCTGAGACTCTGTAGTCTCAAAGGAGGTATTAACAGTATAAAGCAGGGAGTAAAGAGGAAAGAAAAAACTTTTTTTTTTTTTAGCACGCGGTGTTTGCTAAGTACTACATTCTTTACAGGTTCTACTCTCATTCGATCCTCCCAGTGATTCAGTAAGGCAGGTAGGATAGGATCATTTTAAGTTTAAAGAAGAAGAATTGAAGCTTGGATAGCCTAGGCTGTGGATCAGATTCAAATCCTGAATTATCTGACATCAAAAGCCCTATGCTTTCCTTTAATCAAGGTTTCTCAACCTCAGCACTTGGACATTTGGGGGGGCCAGATAATTCTTTGTTTGGTTATGGGGGCTGTGCTGTGCATTGCTGAATGTGTAGCGGTAACCCTGGCGTCTACCCACTAGATGCCAGCAGCAATCCCATTTGGTTGATTCAATCAAAACCATCTCCAGATATTGACAAATGTCCCTAAGGGGCAGGCTGGGGGGTGGTGGGAAAATTATCCTGCTTGGGACCAGTGGCTCTAAATCATGCAGCTGAGTGAATTCAAAGTCGTGGTGCCTAAAAATGTATTCACCGGCAGCCGGGAAATACCATGAAGGATCATGTCTTTACATGGTCATATGCTTCTGTGTGTTTTATAAAACTGCAGTGCTCATGTGAGTGAGCGCTCTAATCCAGCAGGAGACAGTAAATTGTTGGTCAGATAAAGTCCTTTTCGTTGTCCTTAGTTTACAGAGACGTTTCCTCATTTGGAGTGCCCTTCCAGAAAACAGCCTCAGAATCAGATAGAGCTTCTAATATTAAATCGAGGGAAAAGGTGGTAAATTGCAAAGTGCTTGGCTCCATGTGACACAGTCTAGGTAAAATGAAAGTGGGAGGATCTCTGCTGTAACTGCCCCCAAAAGCAATTTGGCGTGTGTACAAAGTTGTGTTTCTGAGAGCAGTGGAGATGCCCCTTCTATGTGGAGAAAAGGTTAGCGAGGCTTGGGTGAATGGAGCCCAAGAGGAACTTGGCACCAGCTCCTGCTGACTTCATTCCTCCTGCCAGTCGGAGCTGATTTGTAAGGCTGTGTTTGGTGCCAGGGACTGGGTGGGAAAGGGGAAGTAAATTCAAACAAAAGAATGCCCCTGATGTGTCTGAAAAGAGGCTTTTAGCACCATTCTTTCAGTGCTCTCAACCAGACTGAAGGTGCAAAAATTTAAAAAGCAGCCCCAACCACTTAGGAGAATGGTAGAATGTATCCAACACAGTGATATTATCACATCTATTTGTTGGACAAAGAACTTCATTGTATAACAAAATAAAACATGTTTCTCCTTCCAGTTCCTGCTTTGTGACAAATCTTCAAAAATGAGCTTACAAAGGAGCAGCCTGGAAACTTGGCAAGGGTTGTTTTTAGACAAGCTCCTTCCAAAATATCTGATTGAAAGGGTTTTCAGACTGTTTTCCTGGCCTGCTGTGCAATTTGCAAACAATTTCTTTTTTGATCAGTTGTCGGGGGAGGAATTGATAAAAGTACTTGAAACTCATTTCTCACATGTATAGACAAACCTCTTCCAAGCTCATTAATGTCCGGCATGGATAGCAAGTACATATTCTTGCGTTCATTTTGGAGTCCACCTCTGAGCCTAGTCCTGGCCATGAGGAAGGTCTAGTCCTGGCTATGAGGGCTATCACCTGCTCCTCCTCCCTTCATCTACACAGTGAACCTCATGGACACCTTCCAATGATCTGGCGAATTCTAGTGGTTAAATCCTTTGTTTTCAGGGTATCATTAGAGCCTCAGATTTCCTTAGAAATGAAATACTCTACATGATCTGAAGATGAAATTAATTCTCCCCAGTATAAATCCAGTCAAGAAATTCTTCCTAAGGATGGTTACCAGAGTCTGGGAAGGGTTGTGGGTGATGGAGGGTTGGGGAGGATGGTTAATGGGTAAAAAGAAAAAACAAAACAAAACAAAGAATGAAATAGGACCTAGTATTTGATAGCACAACAGGGTGACTGACTATAGTCAATAATAACTTAATTGTACATTTAAAACTAACTAAAAGTGTATAATTGGATGATTTGTAACACAAAGGTTAAATGCTTGAAGGGATGGATACCCCATTCTCCATGATATGATTATGATGCATTGCATGCCTGTATCAAAACATCTCATGTACTCCATAATATACCTATTAACCTAAAGGCTATTATGTACCCACAAAAATAAAACATATAGATTAATGGGGGAAAAAAAGAAAGAAATTCTTCCCAGTCAAGAAATCTAGGTTCAGTATGTAAGGCTATTTTTCATGAGTGTAAAAACTGCTTAGCTTATCTCAAAAAGTTATATATTGTATGATTCTGTGTATATAACGTCTCAAAATGACAAAAAGATAGAAATGGGGACCAGATCAGTGGTTGCCAGGGATTAGGTAAGGGAGCCAGAATGCGACTCTAAAAAGGGTAGCAAGCTGAGCCTGTGGTGTGCACCTGTCGTTCAAGCTACTTGAGAGGCTGAGGCAGGAGGACTGTTTGAGCCCAGGAGTTTGAAACTAACGTGGGCGATCAAGAGAGACCCATTTCAAAAAACGAAAAATAGAGTAGCGCAAGGGAATTCCTTTGTGATGACAGAAGGGTTCTACATTTTGATTGTGGTGGTGGTAACACAAGTTTACCCATGGGTGAAAATGTCACAGGATTACATGCCCTCACCCCCCAAAAAGGAGTCCCTGCACAATGAAATCCGAGTAAGGTCTAATTGTCTAGTTAATTGTATGATGCCAATGTTGATTTCTGGTTTTGATAATGTACTACAGACGTATAAAGTGGCACCATTGGGAGAAGATGGGTGATAGGTACACAGAACCTCTCTGGATTATTTTTACTACTTCTTGTGAGTCTGTAAGTATTTAAAAATAAAAATTAAAAATATTTTAAAAATTCAAATCATATAGCTTTATAACATCTAGCATGGCAGAGATGACCCACAGTAGGTAATTAAAAAATGAATGAGACGGATTACTAAATGAACAAAAGATCTTTTCCATTATCTTAACAGAAGTTTAAAAGAGCGATGATAGGCCAGGCATGGTGGCTCATGCCTGTAATCCCAGCACTTTGGGAGGCCAAGGTGGGGTGGATCATCTGAGGTCAGGAGTTTGAGACCAGCCTGGCCAACATGGTGAAACCCCGTCTCTACTCAAAATACAAAATTAGCCGGGCGTGAAGCATGCATGTAATCCCAGCTACTTGGGAGGCTGAGGCAGGAGAATCACTTGAACCTGGGAGGCAGAGGTTGCAGTAAGCCAAGACTGCACAACTGCACTCTAGCCTGGGCGACAGAGTGAGACTCCCTCTTAATAATAATAATAATAATAAATAAAAGAGTGAGATAATAGATGACATTTTTGAGTACTTAACATGTCAGGCATTGTGCTAAGCACTTTAAGCATTGCCTCATTTAATTCTCGTAAGAACCTTGTTTCTAAAAAGTTTCTTCCTTTAAAAGACAATTAATTCTACATATTTGGTAAAAGTATAAAGGAAAACAAGAAAATTAATGACAAAAAAGTTTGGATAGTAGTTAACATAGTTGGGTAAGCAGAACAGTAACATTGCAGGGTTGAGGGCGGTGGAGGAGGAGGGAGGGACAAGAGTGGGTCTTTATGGCTGTTTGTTGTACCATTAGTTTTAATGTTGTACATATCCTTGTGTATGTGTGTGTGTGTGTGTGTGTGTGATCATTTATATGAAGTAAATCTTGTGGGAAAACATGTAAATATGAAAGCAAAATGGAACCAAATGCAGCTGGTGGTATGACAGGAGTTATTTTATTGACAAAGGCAAACCAACCAGAGACAGTTTGCTCCCAAGAGGGGACACCTGGCTTGAGTTGGTGGGTCACTGTGACTGCTGGCGCTAGAACCATTCTAGACTCTCATAAAGAGGCTTTGGGCATAAACTATCAGAGATGTGTCTCCCAAATGAATAGTGCTGCGGGGGAAATCAAAGTGATTTTCTGTGTGAATTCTTAATTCCTCACCAGCCCCTGGCCCACATGGGGAGACAGTCGAATCTCAGTGATCTGAGCTGATGGAAGGGGCTGAGCAGTCACACTTTCCTGCTGCAGTGCCTTTAGGATGTGGAGAGAAGAAGGAGCCCAGCAGAGCACACAAAACCTAAAGGCTAAGAACAGGAAAGGGACTTTGAGAGCACTGGGCCAGCCACTGCATTTCACAGATGAAGAAAACGAGGCATGCAGAAGCTGGGACTTATTCCAGATTTCACAGCTACTGAGAGCGCCCGTGTGTACCAGATCCCAGGGCTCCAGGCTGGGACCCTTTACTGTTCATGGAAGTTACTGATATTTTCCATAAGGATTGAAGGGCACTTACAGATACATGTGCAAAATAGTCAGATACAAACAATCAATGGGAAAAGAAAACAGGAAAGCAAGATAAAGTTTGGAGTCAAGTTTTCAGCTCTGTTCACAATGCCATGTGCCTTTAGCAGCCTTCCCTGCATGAATGTGAGCTCTAAGGAGAGGACTCCTTAGAGTGGCTCCTTCTCAAAGCTAGCATTGAAACAGGGAAGTCTGAAGATATTCGATCTTAACTTAGAAAAAAATTATAGAAGTAATATGTGAATACTTGCTTCCTGTAAAAATTTATACTGTACAGTTATATACTGTATTGAATAATAAGTTGAAGCACCTCCTGTAGGTAACCATTTCTAACCATTTGATTTGTGTTAGTCAGACCTTTTTCTGTGCATTTATATGTAGATACAAAACGTACATATATGTAGCTTTAAGAAGATGAATGAGTTCCAGCTATTTATCCTTGATTTGTTTTTTTCTCCTAAAAATGTGTCTTAGAACTCTTTCCATCTGGGTACGTATGGCTCTACCTCAATTGTCTTAGTGATTGCATTGCAGGACAACTGCTGTAACCATTTTTCTATTGATGGACATTAGGCTACATCCCAATAAAAAAAGATCAATAAATATGCTAGTGCATGTGGCTTGGCTTGGGCCATGTGTGTATTTCACAGGATCCATTCTCAGAAGTAGAATAGACCAATGTCCACACATTTGACCAGATAATGTCAAGCTGGCCACCAAAAAGCCTGTGCTGAGTTAAATTCCACCAGAATGTGTGTTATTCATCTTGCCATATTCTTTCCATAAATAAATAATATCAATCTTTTAAAATGTTGCTGATCTGAGAGTTAAAGGAGTGATATCGTTATATTGCTTTAATATTCATTTCTCTGATTCCTAGTTAGGTTGCATATTCTTTCTCATGTTAATTTGCCATTTTTGTTTCTTCTTAATTGCCTAATCATATCTCCTTTCCTTTATTTATTTATTTATTTATTTATTTATTTATTTTGGGGACAGGGTCTCTCTCTGTCACCCAGGCTGTAGTGCAGTGGCTTGATCATGGCTCACTGCAGCCTTGACCTCCCAGGCTCAAGGGATCCTCCCACTTCAGCCTCCCAAGTAGCAGAATTACAGGTGTGCTCCACTGTGCCCTGCGAGACGGGGTTTAGCCATGTTGCCCAGGGTGATCTCAAACTCTTGGGCTTAAGCAATCCTCCAACCTCAGTCTTCCATTTTCTTTAAAAAGGAAAGGAAGCCCAGCCTCCTTTCCCTTTAAAAGAAATTGTTCTTACCAATTTTTATGGTAAGAATGGGTAGTAACTTTATTATGATGCAACTATTTCTTTTTGGTTTGTTGCTTTTCTTTCAAGTTTGTTTATGGTGGTGTTTGCCTTAGAGATGTTTTAAATTTGTGAGTCATCAAATCAGTAGCCTTTCCTTTTATTATTGATACCTTTTTTTTTTGTATTTTGCTGAGGAAAGCATTCTTCAACATCATAAAATTCTTATCTTAAACTTTCTTTGATAACTTTTTAATATGTTGATCTTTAATCCAAACAGGATTCATTCTTACATATAGTACAAGGTAAGACTCTAATTTTATATCTTTTCTCCAAATGGATAGCTGTTTGTCCCAACATTAGGCATTGTCTAGTTACTTCTTTCTTTATCATGTATTAAATTTATATTTGGTTTCCGAAACTGTCTATTCTATTCCATGATTTAGTCTGATGCCAATATCACACTGCAGAATTCCTGTCATTTTTCACTGTTTTTTTTTTTAATGTATTTGCCCTCCTAGTTGAATTTTACATTCAGCTTTTCAAGTCTCATAAAAAAAGCCTATTGAAATTCTGACTGGCATTTCGCTGCTTTTATAAATTAATTATGAGAGAATTGACATTTTACAAAATTTAGTCTCATTTATTTGGAAATTTGTTTTCAGTAAAATCATTTTCTTCATAAGTTTATGCATGTCTTTATTTGGTTATTTCTAAGTATTTTATAGCTTTTATTGCTCTGGGGATTTTAAAATTGCATTTCAATTTCTATTAAGTTGTTTTTCTGATGTAGAAAATTATTGAGTTTCTATCTGTTGATCTTATTGTAATTGGCTACCTTACTGAACCTTCTTATTGGTTCTTTGTGTTTTTTGACTTACTTTCTTTGATTTTTAAAGAAAATAGATAAGCATATCATTTGAAAGTAATGGCAGTTTTGTCTCTTTTTCTCCAATACTAAGAATTTATTCACTTTCCTTATCAAATTGCATTGATTAGAACCTCAAGAATAATGCTGTGTATCATCCTTCTCTGGTATGAATTTTAATCAAATGCTTCTACTGTTCCACCCTCAAGTATGACATTTGCTATGTCTTTTTAATCAAGTTAACACATTTTGTTTACTAATATAGTGAGTTGCAGTAACAAAAGGTCTAAATTTGAACCTTTGTTGTACTCCTAGAATAAACCCTAGTTGACAATTTCAAGAATGGTTTATTAGTAAATAAAGGCCTGACTTTAAAATAATAATAAATGCAGGAAAAAGAATTTCAAATGTTTTCAATAAACACAGGAGGGAGCAAAGGAAAACTGGAATTGAAGCATGATAAGCATTTTGTCTTGTTTCAAGAAGAGCTTATTAATACAAATGTTTTTCAACATTTAATTAAAATATTTTAAGCACATGTATTTAGCATAAATTCAATCTTGAGAAAAGTGGAAATAGAACATGTGATTTCCAAACCACTAGCACAAAAAAGGAAACAGAAAATTTCTTTAATCAGTAAAAATAAGAGAAGAAAAAAGAAACATGCAAAGATTTTAAAAAAAGAAAATGAAAAATGAAAAAATAAGATAGGAATGAGAACAATAATCAGTTACAAAATATCAGTTATCAAAATGAAGGTGGTTAGATTAAAATAAACTATTAAAAGGTACAGACACTTAGAGAACAAGTTCCAGTTACTTGATGTTTTCAAGGAACACACAAAATGAAACAACATAGAAAGATTGAAAATAAAAGGATGGATAAAATTATTCCAGGCAATGTATAACCATGAAAGGTAGATGGGCCAATCTTAATTTCTAAGAAAATTGATTCCAACATAAAAACCATTATATGGTCAAAGGAGGATATAACATGCTGTTGAAAGGCATGTTCCATTGAGAAGATAAAATTATTATGAACTATGGTGAGGACATTTAATACTCATCTAATACAGTATTCCTGTCCTTTCCTACATTTCCCGGCCCCTTGCAGTTAGATGGGTCTGTGAACTAGTTCTGAATGGTGGGCTCTAAGCAGAACTGATGTGTGCCACCTCCAAGTCAAGCATTTAAGACCTGGTGTGTGACTCTCTATTTCTCTCTAGAAAGTTGTTTAACGTTAACAGTCAGGTTATTTAGATTTATTTAGCATTACTATACATTTATGGTTTATTTTTACCCATTATTTTAAAAAAATCCCTTCTCTTTCTTAAATTCAATTTCCATTTTAATATATGCTCATACAAATTGTAAGCCATTTTCTTGGAAAAGGAAAGGAATCCTGGCCTGCGTTTTAAACATTGAGTATGCAGAGATATGAAAATGTCTTTATTTTGTCCAAATACTTAAATGCTAGTAGAGTCTGGAATTTTTGATTCATCATATTTCACAAGAACATTGAAGACATTGTTCCATTGTGCTCTAGCTCCCAGTTCCTGAGAAACCTTATTCTTACGAATGTAGCCTACTTTTTTCCTCCCTATTGATGTTTAGGATTTTCCCTTAATCTCTGGAGTTCAGAGCTTCTTCCAGACATGCTGAAACTATTGTTTTCTTTCTTTCCTCTTTTGTCTCTCCATTCTTCCATCCCTCTGTTCCTTCATTCTATTGGCTATTGATTTCTGTTGAATGTTTGAAAATACTTCATGACAGTTCATATTTTCAGATAAATGTCTGTAAATGAACAGAACCAACAGCTCAGAAATGTTTTCCTAGTGCACATGAAAATTTCTTTTTCTCTTGGCAATGGATATAGTTCAGATGGGCGGTGTTGGGGTGGTTCTGGAGTGCAGAGCTGTTATGGGCCCTGGTAGGCTGTGCTTTCCTTTAGGATGACCAGTAGTTTGTCTTCGGTGGAAGTTTCGTTTCTTCCCCTGAGGCAGCACAAAATTATTGGGGAAATTACTTTGTTCAAGCCCCAGTGTCTACTCTGAGAGTCTGCTGCGTGAAAATTCTCACACAGCAGAGCAGTAGCTGAGGTCAAAAGACAGCATTAGGTGCTTTATCAGAACATGGACAGAGTTATTTTACTCTTTTAAAATCAGTGTCTAGGCCCATCTCCTAGTTCTTCTTTCATTCCTACTGCCTCTGATCATGGGCTTTTTTTTTTTTTTTTTTTTTTTAAGAGTCCTTTATTGGAGGGCTTCTCATTTGTCCTTATTTCCATGTGAATCTTTAGGTCTGTTTCCATCTGCTTTTTCTAGGAAATTCCCAAAGTTCTGATATCCTAGTGGCAATTCTCTTGGTTTTTCATTTCTGTTAAAATTCATTTTTGTTTGTGCATTTTCTCTACCATTTCAATGGAACTTAGGGAATGAGACCAGGTGAACACTTTTCTTCAATCAGCTATCTTAAACCTTCATTTGACCTTCTTATCTCAAATAAATCCAAGATTATTTTCCAGAAAAGCCATCTTTAAAATATTCTGCTTTATACTAAGCAGTCAGTTAGCTAGAGTTACAGAAGAAAAACAAGTTATTATTTCCCTCAAATTAAAATTATTATCCAGAAAATACAGAAACAGATAAAAAGAAAATTAAAAAAAATCTAAAAGTCTCACCATCATATGCATGATAACAATTTGATGTGAATAGTTTGAATTTTTTGTATACACACAGAAATGTTATCTTCCCTGTAAAATGGAATAATCATTTTCAATATAGCTAATATTTATTATGCACTTAGTATAGCTCAGGCACAGTGTTGAGATTTTATTTTATTTATACATTACTTTATATAATCAATTTTTAATCCAATCATTTCAACAGTACTTTATACCTGGGATTGCTATTAGTCCCTTTTTTACAGATGAGGAATGATGCTTACGGAGATTAATTATCTTGCTCACATTCATCTGATACTCCTAACTATGACATTGTATACTCTGCCATACATATGGTTTTATAACCTGATTTGGAAAGCAAATCTATGGATTTCTTTTCATGTCAATAACTCTGCATTTCTATCACAAATAGTAATTGCTCCATAATATTACATCATATCTATATTAAGTATACATGTAGATATATATGTACTCTACATCATACGTTAAAAAAATAAGTGTATATATATATTATTTCATATATATGTTAAGTGTATATGTATATACTTTTACTTTGCCAGAATAAGCAGTGTTGTACTAAGGACTATTCACCAAATTGTATTGAACACTTACCATGAGTTAGGCATTATTTGGGCACTGGAGAGAAATAAAACATGCTCTCTGACCATGTGGAGTTTACATTCTAGTGGTGGGACCTAGACATTTAAAAATAATTACATAAATGATTATTTAATTACAAATGTGAGAGATACAGGGTCCTGAGTATATGTTCAGCATGGGAGCTGCCTGGCTTGGGAAGTGCGTGGAGCCATTTCTGAGGAACTCACATGGCAGAGGAAAGTTTTATTATCGCCTGCTGGACATTTGGTGGGCTTTATTCCTCCATGGCTCAATCTGTGAGGTGTTGTTAAGTAGAATCCAATCCTTTGAGAACTATATTAACCTAACAGCACTCTCACTAAGAATCCCCAGGATTAAGATCTCCTTGCTGTGCACAAATCATCGGAATGAATTAAACATGTAATTGAAAGGCTCATCGTGTGCTACTCGAATGCTTTGCTGTACCAGAAATAAAATGAAAATGAAATCATTTTCTCTTTCAAATAAATATTATATACAGCAGGCTTCACTGGCTCCATTAGTACTGTCCAGTTGCACAGAGGCGATTATATTATTTATAACACGTGCAGATACTAAGAGGCTCCTTCAACTTCAGGCAGACAAGTACTGTAACATTTTTCCTCCTTACTCCCCAACCCAGGATTTCTTGCTGCCTCTCTCCCTTTCCTTCTAAAATCTACAGACTCTTTATTTTATTCTATTTTTATTTTTTACAGACTCCAGAGCAAGCAGCCATTTTCAGCGGGTGTTTCGTTGCTCAATATCTTGAACAAGTCAAAGCTAGCATGGTCATGAGGCTGGTCTATTTTGAGCAAGTTGAAGCCAGTACCATCACAAGATTGGTATGAAAATTGCTTACTATACTCTGGTTGGGTCATGATTTGTTTGCAGGTTACTTTCTGTCTTAGTACATTTTGTATTGCTATATGGGAATACATATAGGTTGGGGAATTTATAAAGAAAAAAAGGTTTATTTGGCTCACAATTCTGCTGGCTGAAATGATCAAGTTTGGGCATCTGGTGAGGGCCTCGGGCTACAGTGAACCCACATTTTTCTGGCACCTAAACATGAGCTTTTTTTTTTTTTTTAAACCTGTGGTGGTTTTAAAAGAAATGGCTACAAATTTTTTGACTCTTCACATTGAGAGGTTTGGTCTATATTCCCTCCCTTTAAATCTGGGTGGGCTTGTGACAATGGAGTTTGACAGCAGTGATGCTGTGTGATGTTTGAAACTGGGTTACAAAGACCATGTGCTCCGCCTTGTTTGCTAGAACATTTGCTCTTGGAACCTTGAACAACCAGGTAGGAAGCCTGACTGTCCAGATGCCGCCTTGCTGCATGGAAGCCCAAGCCACATGGACAGGTCACATGTGTAAGCCTTGTAGCTACCATTGACAGGTCTAGCTCAACACAAACTTTGAGGCACCCCAATTTAGGCAACAGACGTGCAATTGTAAAAGCTTCAGATGATTTCAGCCTTCAGCATTTAATTACCCCCAGACATTTGACTCTTTCCACCTGAAGCCTCAGCTTTATGAAACATAGGCAGACTATCCTTGTGTCCTATGCTAATTTCTGACCACAGAATCCTAAGCATAATAAAATCCTTATTGCTTTGTGCCACTGAACTTGGGGTGATTTGTTATGTAGCAGTATTTTGTAGAATTGAAAGGGATCTTGTTTGTTGACTAATCTACCTTCTACTAAATAAGCAGAATCTCATCTATTTCTAATTGAAAGCTTACACATTAGTGGTGAAAGTGCTAAATCCACCATTCAGAAAGGTTTTGTTTGGCCCCCAAAATTTTGAGTTTTAACAATTTTTCAATTTTATATAAAACGTGAATTTCCAGCTTTTCTGGGAAAATCAGACGATATGGAAACACTGGACCTTCCCCTGGTAAGAAAACAGTCCCATTTTTCTTAGTAGCAGCTACCTCCTTCAGTGGGCTTCTGTTCTCTGGTGCTAGAGGCTCCAGTACTCTCTCAGTTGCATTACTGGTTCTACTTACTGCCTGCTTACTATAGGTATTTGTGTTTGTAGATCAAGAGGTAGATGATACTATAGCTTATATTTGAGTATTGAAAGGTACTTGAGAATTCTTGTTCTGCTTTTATCTTCCAAAATTCAAATTTGGTTTGCATTATCATAATCTATTTTGCATGGACAGTAATTTTAGTGATGGCTATAATACCTTTTAATGCTATAAAATAGTACAGCTTAAGATAAGCACACAATATCAAATCTTATATTTAAACATTCATCTGTCATGATAAAGAAAGATGGAAGAGAAGTTACCTGCTTAATTAGGAAGTGAAAATAGCTCTATCCTACACTCAGTTTTAGAAAAGGAGGCTGTGCTTCAATTGCAGACTTACTGCTCAGTCTGTTCAGGACTTATGAATGATTTTTTTTTTTGTTTTCTGGAGGAAGATCCTTCTTTGCCAGAGCCTTTGCTGGAAAAGAATTTGGATTTTGGTATGGATTTATCCCTCTGTGTTTCCTGAGTTGAAATCCGGCTCTTTTGTGCAGCCATGATGTGTCATTTGATTTAGAAGGCCATTAGTGAAAGTAGCTGCTATTTACTTTGCTGGGGATAGTAGAATATTAATGTGACTGCTTGCCAAGTATCTTAAGGTGTAAGAGGAAGAGAAGAAGAAATATCATTTTACTGAATACTTAAAATTCAGACCAGAGCAGAATAACCCGTATCTATTTCCATTGGCAGTATAGCAGAGGGGAATGTCTTCAAATTTTTTTTCACTCAAATTTAAGGACTACACAATGGGAAGTGATTACTAAGGGAAGTCATGGAAATGCTTCCTTTGGAGATATTTATTTAAAAAAAAAAACACGAGGCTTTCTAGATAGAAGAAAGTCATTATAGCTTTGGAGTGGAGCAGAGGTAGTCATAAGGAGGCCAATGCAAACTTGATGACCTTTTGAAATTTCCACTAGAGCCTTAAGAGCTGCTATATACCTTGATCAGTGACCACAGACCCATAGTAGAAGGCCTTAACAAAATTGGCTTGGAATTGGATGTGTATTGGATGGTCATTATTACTACAGCTGATTGGCATTTACTGTTAGAATTGTGTTCTGATGAGGTTAATGCAATCTTGATACCTATTTATGGCTTCAGATTATTCCTTTGGTCCTGCCCAGCATGATGTAAATCACAACGGGGACTGTTAACCTCATAGGCAAAGTGCTGTGGTTTTAGCTTATGACTTTTATGTATAGGTCTCATATTTTAGGAAAATTATTAAAGTCAGTATGTGGATACTTGCTGAGAGGAGTTCCAGCAAGGGGTAATGGATGCTGATTATAATAATGTTTTTGGCCATAAATATTAGAAATTAGTCTTGAATAACTAATCTACTACTGGGTAAGTGATGTGGTTTGGATGTTTGTCCCCTCCAAATCTTATGTTGAAATGTGATCCCCAGTGTTGGAGGCAGGGTCTGGTGGAAGGTGCCTGGGTCATGGGGGTGGATCTCTCATGAATGGCCGGATGTCCTCCCATAGTAATGAGCTACCATGAGATCTGATTGTTAAAAAGAGTCTGGGGCCTACTTCCTCTCTTTCATGCTCTCTCACCATGTGATGTGCTTGTTCCCCCTTTGCCTTCTACAATGATCAGAAGCTTCCTGAGGCTTTGCCAGAAGCAGATGCTGGCACCATGCTTCCTGCACAGTCTGTAGAATTGTGAGCCAAATAAATCTTTTTTCTTTAAAAATTGGGCAGTCTCTGGTATTCCTTTATAGCAACATAAAATGGACGAACACAGTAAGCCACTGAGAATAGTCATAGAAAATCATAGGTGGACACAAATGACAGAGATTTCTTTCCATGAAACAATCATGCCATTTTTTATTATCAAAAAATGAAAGAATAATACAACTTTCTCCACATTCCATGAGATACCCTCCCCCTTTAGTAGCCATGTGAATTTTCTTTTTTTCACAGAAATATTAATTTAGTCCTTGACTTCTATTGATTAAATCCAGTCCCACTGTGGTACAGTCTGTGATAGACTTCCAGTAGGCTTTTTTTTTTTTTTTTTTCAGAAATAAAACACTTTATTCCCCAATTGTGGGAGTGTTACTAGCAGAAAACTAGCTGCCTGTCCCCTTGTCAGAAGAAAATCCCTCACAAAGTTATTGTCCTTCCAGGAGTGACACGCATTACATTCAATAACTGATCAGAGTAGGAATATGCAAAATTCCACAAGACTGTCCTCACTTCTGACACCAATTTTGGGGTTGAGGGGTCCCCAAGACCACCTTCAGGTTTAATAATTCACTAGAAGGAGTCACTAAAAGCTGTTAGGTTGCTGATTCAGTTTATTATAGCAAAAATATACAGATTACAATAATCTAAGGACACAGTCTCACAGGAGAGAGGAAAGTTCCATGCATAGAACTTATAGTTATCCTTTTCCAGTGAAACAGTGGACAAAATTTTCCTAGAAACAATGTGTGAGAAAACACATGAAGGTAAGCTCACCTGTGTTTTGGTATCCAGAGTCTTTATGTGGGGCTCCATCACATAGACATGATTGACTGCCCACGTGGCTGACCTTAGTTGCCAGTCTGTCTGGAGGTTGAGCTGGTACCTCATGATTCAGAGCACCCACAATAAATCACATTGTTAGACCATCTTCTGAGGCCCAAGGCCCTTAGATGAACAAGGACACTTTTATCAGGCAGGATACTCCAAGGGCTTAGGAATAACTTCCCAGGAGCTGTGGTCTAAAGCCAAACTTCTCTTTGGGCAAGGTTCAATTGTTTACTCTACAAAATAGATATAGCACTCCCCCCCAGCTCGGGACAACTCTTAAGGGACATCCTAGTTGCAGAACTCACTCTGGAGTCAGCTGAGGCCTCCTTTGAGACTATGGTGCAGCACAACTTTTTTCTCTGCCAAATCCTGTTTTCCTCCCTTCCTTTCCAAAGGTGTCGATTGACGATTATGTCTTAACAATTCACCTTCATGCTATTCTCTATCTCAGGATCCACCTCCAAGGGAACTCAACTTACAACAGTTAGTGCCACAAGTGGTCAAGAAAGCAGAGGCTGGGATGGGATTTTAGAGCTGGATCATTTGCTGCCCAGTTGCCAGTAAAGAGCCTATCACTGATAGAAGGTGGAGCATAGATAACTCCTGACACAAATCACAACATAGCAGTGCTATCGTTAAAATTTTCACTGACAGTGAATTAGAATTGCATCCCGGTGATCAATCAGGCACAGAGAAATTCCAGGAAAAATTAACTCCAAAGAGGTGGAACTGGGTGGCTACTGCTAAACTTAATGTTCTAGAAAAAGATGGCAAGAAGTGAGTGTTTAATTATCAACTAAAACTTAAGTGTAAAATCTAGAAGACATTCTCTGTAGCTTATAAACAAGCTCTCATCTTGTGGGGGTGGCAGTAAAGGGAAGCAGCACTAGGGTGACCAACTATCCTAGTTTTCTCAGGACTGAGGGGTTCCCAAGATGTGAGACTTTCTGTTTCAAAACCAGGAAAGCCCCAGGCAAATTGAGATAAATTGTTTACCCTAGGCGATATGGAAAACTGAGGATGAAGCCCAGTTTCACTGTAAAAATGACTGCATTCCAAAGAAGGTTTAACTCCCAACCAAGGTAGGTTGGCTAGGCCAAAGTTGGGAAAGAATCTTGCCACATAGGATGGAGACATCTAGGTTGATGCACCCCAAAATCTTGAATCCCCAGGTTCCTCTAAAACTTCTGAGACCAGAGGAGTGGCCCACTTTACCTTATTAAGGACCAATACTTCTCTCTGGTTTGAAGATAGTGCACAGGGCCCTCCCACCCATAACAATACCCCTCTCCGGGACATTCCCTACACCATCTCCTCAGTTTGTCACAATGTAATCAAGCTAAAGACATGCTGGGACTGAGGAGAAAGTAAAGGGATTAAGCCCTAGTGGAGCTGCAGGATCTAGCCAGGATGTACCAACAGCTGGGACAGTACTCATGGGACTGAATTATGAGGGTGCTTGATCAAGGAGAACATGGAAAACAGGGCTGGATAAGGGAGAGTTTGTTGATTTGGGAATGCTCTCCTGAGATATGGACTTTTGTTTCCTGGCAAGGACTCTGAGAGATGGTTTGAACATAATAATAAGGATGGCTCCTGGAAGTACACTAGGTGAGGTAGAAATGCAAGATTGTCATGGCATATGAGTTTGGAAGAAGGGATTAAAAGGCTCAAAGAAGTACATATGTTAGAAGAGGATATACCATAAAATTCGAGAAAACCAACCAGAGGACTATGTTGTATGGCAGGGCCCATAGAATGCAGCATTTTCCAAAGCAATAAGATAAGCATTTGTGAGAGAGGCACCAGCATCACTAAGAAATTCAATGGCCAGGTGCAGTGGTACATGCCTGTAGTCCCAGCTTCTTGGGAGGCTGAGGCAGGGGGATTGCTTGAGCCCAGGAGTTTGAGTTCAGCCTGGGTAACATAGCAAGACATCATCGCTAAAGAAAAAAAAATTCAATGTTAGGCCAGAGCTGAAGGTAGGAAATGACATTATAGAACTGGACTTTCTGGTAAAAACCACATTTTTCAGTGGCAAAAACCACAATTACTTTTGCACCAACCTAACAGCAAGAAAGATGATAAGCCTCTGAAACAACAGAGGCCAAGTGGCAGAGTTTAATTATCAGAGAAAGGTAGATACAATTATCTTAATGACTGGAAGGCCTGCCATGAAGAGAATGATGGAGATATTTAATAGAACTAGCATCCTTCAGGGAAAAACAGGTAGCCAACAATGGTACTACTCACATTGTATAAATTAAATAAATCAAGGATGAATGATGAGGGTGCTGAGGGCGATCATGCATTAAAAGTGACCATTTTTTCCCAGTTTCCTAACATGAGCATCCATTGCTTGAAGGAGGGATCAAGTCCTCAGGAGGATGTACCCAGCAAAACCACTGCAGATAGACACTGCAAATATCAAATGAGAGATAATTCATTCCCTCAGTCCTTCTTCAAAGTGGCCTCCATTCATTTAATCAAGTGGCTATGCACTGGGGAAAAGAGAATGCCAAGGGCTGTCAGATGTTTGTTCCAAGTTGACTTTGATACCTAGAGACTCCAAGTGTCAACATCTCTGTCTCTTCCCCTTCACCTCCTTGTTATAGTGACAGCATATAAATGGCAAGTCACAAATATGGTTCTGGTCCAAATTCATTTAACAGTGGGTCCATTGAGATGCAACTGATAGTTACTTCCCCACTCCCTGAATGTACAATTGGAAAAGACATGCTTACTTGGTGGTTGTCACAACATCTGCATAGATCCTTGACCTATGGGGTAAGAGCTATCATAATGGTGAAGGACAGCTCTCTGGGTGGCCTTGGACCAACACAGGTTTTCCCCTTTTCTAGCTTGTAGTTCCCAAGAATAACAGTGGAATGTATAGAAAGGCAACATCCTGAGGTAAGGAGAAACTGGCTACAACAGCCTGGGTCTGTTTCAGTCCTTCCTAGAAACAGGATGTCTTTCAACACTTTAGCCCAGCAATTCCTGTGCCCTGGGGTGTAAAACCCAGGGTAGGCTGCTTTACAAGGTCTCTTAGCTGCGGTGCAACTGGGGAAAGTACAGACCAGACTGTATCCACCCCAGACAGTTTTTCTAAGCCTCAGGCAATGAGCTCACAGTGAATGCTAGGCTTCTGTTATTCCTTACTGCCTATCCGTAGTAAACTGACTTCATGTAATTTGCTCTGTGTGAGAGTGCTGTGTCTCACTGGACTTAAGCAAGTAGTGAAAGTGCGGCCCCAAAAGCAATGGTTTGAAGTGGTAACCAGTGCACAGTGAACCTGCTTTACAAATGGGGAAAGCCAAATGGAAACCTCTGAAACTGCCCCCACCCCTGGCTAAGGTATCTTGGGGGAGGGAGAGAATGAGAGAAATTAGTGCCATCCTTGAAGACCTTAAGATGCAGGATGATCCCTGTCATATTCCCACTTAATTCACCAGACTATCCCCTGCAAAAAACTAGATAAATCCTAAAGGATGATAGTAAACTATTGCAAGTTCAACAATGTAGCAGCCCCAATGGCTACTGTGGTACTTTTGCTGGAGCAGATCAACATAATATTGGGTATATGATATGAGGTCATTCATCTGGCAAATGAATTCTTCTCCATCCTTCTCAAAGATGATCAGAAACAACTGGTATTCAGTTGCAATGGACAACAGCATACCTTTACAATTGGACCCCAGAACTATGTTAACTCTCCCACTCTGTTATAGTCAAAAGAGACCAGGAGTGTTTGGTCAAAAGAGTATGGATTAATGTATGCTCAATCTGCCTTGTTTAGCCAAAAGTCAGGTTATTTTTCTAGTAGCGCTAGGGGAAGAAGGAGCAGATGCCTTTTGAGGAGCTACAATTTCCATTACTGAGAATATCCTAGCATAAACTAAGTGCTTGCTTGTCATGGCCATTGTGGCGATGACTTATGTTTCTGATGGAGGTGCTTGAAATTGTCAGCCTTGAGATTCTCTGATTTTGAAAATGAGATATTAAAAAAAGTGAGGCTGGGCTATTGACTTTGGAAGAGCACTTTCAGGTGGATATTTTGAGTCAGGAGCCAAGAAGTAATCAAGTTCCAACTGTTTAATGGTATGGGCTTAAGTAGGTTAAATGGCATGTGTCTCAGAAAACAGTCCATCTCTTGGATGTCTACTTTAAACACATCTCAATCTCTTCAGGATATCTTTGGTTATGGCTGCTCATAACTTAATATCCTTTGGCTTTATCCCTTATTCCACTCACTGGTGGTGGTGACCAGTTTAGCAGAAGTTTCAGCCGGCCTCATGGCTGCAATTATCAGGTGTGTGGTGTGTTCTTCACTCTGCATCTTCTCTATTATAAGTTGGGGTTCCTTCAGGATTGCTTGTCACTCAGGCAGATGCAACCCAAAGTTGCACAAGAGGTTACAGTCCATGGGACAACCCTCAACCAACGAGAAATAGGAGATGATGGAGCTACGCTTTCTCTTTTCTTCCCTGGTGGACAACACAGGCGTCTCAATATGGTGCCCAAAGATCCAACACCCAGTCTTATGTAATGGTGGTCAACTCAATAAGGCGTCCTTATGTTAGCTATTTGCTCTTGCCAATTTCTTTCCTCTTGCTCCCTACTTCTACCTTCTGGATCACATTCCCAAATAAAGAAATTGCACTCAAGCCTTCATTTCATATTCTGCTTTTGGGGGGAATATGAGCTATGTTCTGAAATATGATTATCTCATAGATGCTTCCAGTCAGATGCTACCAAGAACTATGTTATTGGGATACAATCTCTTGTGTGTGTGTGTGTGTGTGTGTGTGTGTGTGTGTGTGTGTGTGTCCTTCTCTATTCTTATTTTCTAATCTACATAAAACAAGGCAAAACGGGTCCAGTTCCATTTCAAGAAAGAAATTCATTAAGGAGTAATAGTAGTGAACATTTTTTGGTTGATCCTTATATGTCAAGCATTGTGCTAAGTGATTTATACACATTATCTAACACCTTACCTTAATTCTATGGGAGAATAACTATTATTGTTCCTATTTACACTTAAGGGAATGGAGGCTGAGAAAATATTAGTAACTTTCTGTATGTGGCTTGGCTGGTGAATAGTGAAGCCAGGAGGCCATCTGATTCCACTATTTGGTGTCAGAGCAGAGTTCTTAAACACTAGAAATCCACAGATGCAAATCAATATTAGGCCCCAGGGAATGATTAATGGTGTTTGATTACCAACATTTAATGTGCAAGCATTGGGATGGGATTGCACACAGAGTCGATTTTTCTGAGGCAGCCTATAGAGAACAGGCGTCCCCTCCAGCAGGAGTGGAAGGTCTCATTCACCAGACAGGGAAGGTCAGCTCCTTTCTGGTTTTGTCCGATTGCTGGAAAAGGAAGAGTACTGTGATATTTATTTACGGTTATATATAATTTTTATGATTATTTATGATATTTGTAAATAGATGGCTCTCCCTGGTAATTTATGGAAGTTTCTTGGGTTTTTAATCACAGAGATGGCCTTAAAAATAATTTCAGTCTGTCACTGGAGGACAAATAAATGGTGTTTGCCATGTCAGGCTTCAAGTGGGAGCGGCTGGTAACACCTAGGAAACAAAACAAATAGGATTAGGTAATTTACAAAAGTGCTTCATTTTTCAAAACCTCACTTTCCTCACTTCTTCATGTTATTCTGAAGTATAATGTTTGTCTTAATTAGAAGAAATGGGTAGTGACTCGGAAGGCAAACAGATCCATTATTCTTCAAGAAATGTTCTAATCCTTCAGCCTGAGGTCAGGCTGTATGGATGATAGATACCCTGGGAGGGGAAGCATTTTTTTGTTTTAAACTGCTGCTGGCAAACATCTCCTTTTCCCCATCCCATCAGCTTCCAAAGCAACCCACAAATGTCTTTCCAAGGAGTATACACAAAATCCAGACTCTAGACCCAGCCCTGGTGCACGTGCTTGGGCTGAAATATTTTAGGGCCTTTGATGATAGCAGTCATACAAGCCATATCTGTTCTCCAGAACTAGGCTCAACCAAACAAGGGAAGGGTGGAATTTCCTTTTGATTATCTTTCAAAATGTATAGTCATTACTGCATCCCAAAGTTTAAAGTATACATGTAAAATTGTATGTGTCATATGACACAGAGTTATTCACGTGAACCAATTTTATTAGTTTCCAGAGATTCTGTCCCCAAATTAAAATGAAATGAGAACCACTGTGATGAGAACCACAACTACTGAATTCTGTGTCCTTGAGAAACTTACTTAGGCTTTCTGAGCACGTGCCAAGGTGACAGAGGATTCAAAGATGAACCAGATGCAGAACATGACTTCCAGAAACTCACAGAATAGTGGAGGGGGTGTTAGCAAATATAAGCAAATAACTAAAATATGAGATAGAGAAAGGAAAACTTCCTTTTGGTAGAGTGTTACAGGAGTTTAAAAGTGAGGTTATTCCAAGCTGAAAAGAGCAAGAGACGCTGTGCAGAATCCTCTGAATTTAGTCTTGAAGAGAGGTTTGGATTTAAACACCCAGGGATTGGGTTGGGAAAGCCGTTCTGGAAAGAGGGAACAGCCTGTGCCAAAGCTGAGGTGTGACAACACTAGTGTGTGTGGGCAGCAGTACAAGGATTTTGAGAGCAGGGGGAGTCCAGGCAAACCGGGGAAGGATGGTGGAGGGATGTGCCCATTGGATGGACAATTGTGGAGGACCCTCATGGATGACTTAATCTTTCATCAAATGAGGATGTGACTTGCCCAAGGTCACATGGCTAGCAGTTGACAGTAGGGTGGATTACAGCTGCAGTCCCCTGATTCTCAGATAAGTGAATTTTCTGCTTCCTTCTTCACTTTACATTACAAGGAATTTCTAGCTTTGCTTTATTTTTGGTCATCTATGACAGATATGTTGGAGAGCCCATTTCCTGAGGTTAAAGGCAGTCTGGTCCTGAGGGCTTAGCCCAGGAAATCTACCCATTTTGTGGCACACTATGAATAGGTTTGCTCTTACTTTCCTGCCACCCTCCTCTCACCTGTTAGGATACCAGTGGGGCCAGGGCTGAGCCAGTAAGGACTCCATAACAGGCACGTGGCCGAGGGTATGTGTGTGTGAGAGAGGAGGGTGTGTGATGTGTACGTGCGTATATGCCTGATGTCTCTGTACCAAGGCCAAATGTGAATTACCTTGGGGCTTTTGTTCACTCAGCTTGACATGGGCAAAAAGCCAGCACAAAGAATTCTACTTTGCCCTAAAGTGTGTTTACTTCTGGGCTTATCCAGAGCTCAGGAAACAGGGAATACTTCATTGACTACGAAAGCCCTTCCTTGAAGTGGGCTGCATGCTGGCTTAGTTGGGAGAGAGAGGCAAATAATTGGTTAAACTCAAACATTGGAAATGACTTTAGAAATCATCTGCTAAAAGCTTTCCATGACAGCACATGGCTTCCTGAAGCAGGCTAATACCTGCCTCTCAGGGTTAGTCTGCTGGTCAACAAATAGTAATTAAGAGCTTAGTATCTGCCAGACAGGGATGTTGTGAGGATAAAGTGAGGTAATGCCAGTCAAGTGCCCAGCACAGTGAGGGCACCCACGCAGTTAAGAAGTGGTGGCTTCTCCAATGTGGCGCAGGGTTCTGGAAGCCTAGGAACCCAACACACAAATATATCCAGGCAGTTACCCTGGCCTGCTACTCTGCAGTCCCCTCTCTTTCATGTTGTCACCTGATACCCTGATTTTACAAACTTAGCATCCAGTGCACCAAAACCAGGGATCAGATTTTAGTGTTTTCTGTTCAATCCTTCCTGTGTTTTGTTGTGTGTGTGTGTGTGTGTGTGTGTGTGTGTGTGTGTGTGTGTGTGCTGGGTAGGGGGTTAATCTTTGTTTTTAATGTGATTAATTAGTTCTTTTCCTTCTGTTTTTGACTGCTTTTGATTTAGTGTTTGTGTTAGTTTCCTAGGGCTGCTGTAACACATTTTCAAACCGGGTGGCTTAAAACAACTTCTCAGAGTTCTGGGGCTTGAAGTCTGAAATCAAGGTGTGGGCAGGGCCATGCTCCCCTGAAACCTGTCAGGGAGTCCTCCCTTGACTCCTCCTAGCTTCTGGTGTCTTTCAGCTGTCCTTGACATTCCTCTGTTTGTAGCTGCATCACTCTAATCTCTGCCTCCATTGTCACATGGCTTTCCCCCCAGTGCACCTCAGTGTGCTCCCATTGCCTTCTTATAAGAATACCAGTCATTAGACTTAGGACCCACTGTAATCCATTATGGCCCCATCTTAACTAATTAACCTGCAAATACCTTGTTTTCACATAAAGGCATTTTCTGAGATTTCAAGTGGACACAAATTTTTGCTGACACTATTCAGCCCAGTAGGGTATAGACAGTCCCCAATTTATGATGGTTTGACTTATATAATTTTTTGCCTTTATGATTATGTGAAAGCTATAGGTACTTAGTAGAAACTCTATTTTGAGCACCTGTACAACCATTCTGTTTTTCACTAGTGCAGTATTCAATAAATTACATGGGATATTCAATCCTTTTTAATAAAATAAGCTTTGTGTAGATAATTTTGCTGAACTGCAGGCTAATATCAGTGTTCTGAGCACATTTAAGGCCAGGCTAAGTTATGATGGCTGGTAGACTAGATGCATTAAATGCATTTTTGACTTATGATATTTTCAACTTATGTGGACTTATAGGGATGTGACCCTATTGTAAGCCAAGGTGAATTTATATTTGTAAAGGAATTTTCCAAGAGAAGAAAGGGTCCATATTGGATGATGAGTAAACATTATTGTCTTTCTTCTGCATCCTGTTTCTCTGAACTCTAGATTACCTGGGGTGACTATGATACAAAGCACTAAAGGACTGACCAGTGTCGACCAAGCATCCCTGGTTCACTGTGGTTCCTTTGCACTTGTCCAAAAGAAGTTATTTTTAAAAAGGTGGATTCCTGGCCTGGCTCTGACATTTTCTACCGATGTAACTTCAAACAAATCTTGTAATCACTTTGAGCTCAGTTTCCTCCCTATGAACTAAGAATAGCAATAGTGCCTGCCTGTGCTACTTCCACAGGGTGTTGGTGAGGAGCAAGCAAGAGGACATATGAAACATCCTTGCCCATTTGCTGATCAGCACCTCCATGCATCTAAAATGAGGGTGATCTTTCAAAAACACTCACCTAGGCTGGGTGTGTTGTCTCACACCTGTAGTCTCAGCATTCTGGGATGCTGAGGCAGGCAGAATTCTTGAACTCAGGAGTTCAAGACCAGCCTGGGCAAAAATGAGCCAGGCATGGTGGCATGCGCCTATAGTCCCAGCTAATCAGGAGGCTAAGGTGGGAGGATGGCTTGAGCCTGGGGGATTGAGGTTGCAGTGAGCTGTATTCATGCCACTGCACTCCAGCCTGGCTGACAAAGCAAGAACCTGTCTCAAAAAAACAAAAACGAAAACAAAACACTCATCTAATCCTTTCACTTCCTTGTTTAAATAATCTAATTGCTCCTTCATGTTTAGAATAAAGCCCAAACTTGTTCCTACAGCTTAAAAGGCCCTGTAGGATCTGGTCCCAACATACTTTTCAGTCTCAGAGCTCGCTACAAGTCTCATCTCTCCCATGTACCCTTCAGTAACTCTTCCGGCTCATACCTGCAAGCTTATTTTCCGGACCACTAGGTTAGCACTTGATTATATTTTGTCTGAAATTATTCTTTGATGGTTTCTTGTAGGAAGGTCTAATCTAGTGAAAGCTGTAGAAGCACAGAAAATAAAAGAAGAGAACTCTAGTTGAAATACGGATGTTTCACCTGCCTATCTCTCTCATTTTAATGTCCCCTCTTTGCTCTTTTCACTGACTTTCTCATCACATATTTGGTAGCCCTGAGGCTTTCTTGAGCACCGCTTAAAAACCATTGTATGGATTTCAGATTCAAGATGGCAGAAGTTTTCTCTCTCTCTGTCACTCAGATGGCATTAAAATTATAGTAATAATTTTTAAAAACTATAAACTTATAATAACCAGAAGAAATAAAGACATGTGGTGGTAGCAATGCTCTAATGGTTGATATCTTTCAAAACATCTTTGGAAGGTAGAAAACCTATGAAGAAATAATTGATAGAACTGAGTGAAGAAAGCTTCAGGGTAGGAATGTACACTTGGGTGTTAGCAAAAGGAGAACACCTATTGCTCAGTATAATTATAGAGAGGCTCTACCCGATGAGACAGTGGGCATCAGAGTAAGAGTAGAAAGTGGGGCTGAAAACAGAAGACTAACTGAAGATCCATGGAGCTGTTGACTCTACTCCTTCCATGTTTTCTGTGCAACCCAGGACAGCCCTTGTCCTTTAGCTGAATCTTCTCTCAATAAATTGAAAATAATCACTCGGGGAGAGGTAGTGTGGGGATTACTGTCCCAGAGTAAAGCTCTTCTCATTCTGGAATGGAGGGGTCCAAGTGTAATGACTGGTTTCCCACCTGTTCACTTGAAGCAAATTATGTCATTATGAGCCAAACCCTTGTGCACAGAGCTCCTCATTTGCTGTTCTGTTGCCACCTTCTCAAATATGAGAAGATATCCGAGGGTTATCAGAACACTTAAGCAAAGCCCATAACATAAAAGAGAAAGGCCAAGGTAAACAAGCAAAAGTGAAACTGAATGACGTGGAAATAATTCAAAGGACAGAGAAACACTTAAAAAAAAATCTAGTTTCTTCAGAGGGATTTGAGAAAATAATGCATCTATAAAACAGGTGAGAATGCAATGAAAAAGAAAAAAGGGATAAAATAAGAAAGATCTTAGGAAATATAAAGGATGATTGCTAACAAAATAAATTGATATAAGAACTAGAAGACAAAGGGAAGTAAATCACTAATAGCTAAGAATAAAAAGAAAAAGAGAGAGAAAGAAGAAAGGAAGAAAAGATAAATAATTGAAAGAAAGAAAAGATGAGAGAATCAATTTAGGAATCACATCCTCTGAATAATAGATTGGCTTTTATAGAAGTTCCTAAATTGGCAGAGGAAACCAGAGGAGAGGAAGTTATTAAGTAAATAAGAAAAGAAAATTTCTAAGTACTGAAGGGAGATATGAGTCTTCAGATTAAAAGGCCTACTAAATATTAGATGAAATAAATTTAAAAAGATCCATACCAATACAAATATTTATGCAGTTTTGCTTCATTGGAGATAAATTGATGATCTTGAAAGTTTCCAGACAAGAAAAGCAGGGGACTTAGAACAAGAATCAGTCTGGCATTAAACTTCTTAATAGCAACACTGGATACTAGAAAAATGGAGCAATGCTTTCTAGAGCTCTGACTGAATGTGATTTTTGTCCTAGAATTCTGTACCTAGACAAGCTATCAACAAGTTTTAGGTCAGAAAAAGGATCATTTTTTTCAAGTACTCAGAAAGATTATAACCATAGATTCTTTGTTAGGAAGCTGTTAGAGCACGTGTTTGAGAAGAAAAAATCAAAGGAGTGAACCAGGAAAGAGGAAGTCATGGAGATAATGCCTCCAACCCAGAAAAGCAGCAAAGAGAAATTCCAGCCTGACAGCTCGGTCCTGGGCACAGGGAGAAATTAGTACATATTGGAGAGAAAAGACAGGGGATGCTGTGTAAGAGATGTTGGCAGTGTGGGGGATGGAGGATTTTATAGATTAAATTGTATATTAAGAACTTAGGGCCAGGCATGGTGGCTCATGCCTATAATCCCAAGACTTTGGGAGGCTGAGGTGGTTGGATTATCACTTGATCCCAGGAGTTCGAGACCATCCTAGGCAACATAGGGAGACTCCGTCTGTACAAAAAATAAAAAATTTAGCTGGATATGGTGGCATGCACCTGTGGTCTCAGCTATGCAGGAGACTGAGGCGGGAGGATTGCCTGAAGCCAGGAGATAGAGGCTGCAGTGAGCTATGATGGCACCATTGTACCCCAGCCTGGGCAACAGAGTGAGACCGTGTCTTGAAAAAAAAAAAAAAGAAAAAAAAAGAACTTTGAAAATTGTGAGATTATTGTAACATTATGGAAAATAAGAAAAAGGGGAGAAAAATCAGAAACTTTGGGAAAACAACAACAACAATAAAACAGTATGAGAAAGGCCTGGTCCAAATATAAAGCAAACTCACTGTGGCATGATTTTGACCAATTAATGGAATGTGAAGAAGGATAATCCATTTGATCTAGATGCCAGAAGTATTATTCTCTGGTTTTCAGCTTTTAGAATCCACATGTACAAATCATGGAGGACTAAACTATGGTTACAAACAGAGCATAAATATTATTCATTTTGATAATATAAACATTGCAGGTTTAACTGACAGAGGTTGGTGAGTAGAAGTGAGGAAGAAGGAAAGAGTTGTGAATAGTTGATGGAACAAGACATGAGGCTTCAACATGCCACTTGAACTCGTAAAAATTGACTGGATGAATGGAAAAAGGGGCTGTAACTACATTGGTTGAGAAAGGGGAAGGGAAGAAAGGTGGGGTGGTATAGGTGAGTTAAACTTTCATCCATCATGGTGGAAGTCAGTAGATAATGACGAAAGGTAATAAATCAAGAAATGCAGCTATATATTTATTATATAGAGATTGGAAGTAATCACCAGGAGAAATAAAAATAGGAATGATTAAAAGTACTTGCCTCTAGGAAACAGGACTGGGTGGGGCCGGGGTGTACATTTTCATTATAAGTCTCTTATAGTGTTTGTCATTCCAACTATATGTGTATTTCTTATATAACATTTTTTTAAAAAACAGACAGCCATATACACAAAGAAAACTACTAGAGGACCTTTGAAACTTGCTTTTAGCCCTCAATTTCAATTATACGTAGCTGAAATTTCAGCTCAGCTGAATATAACTGTAATTAAAAATCTCAACTGCCTAATGGCAGCCAATTAGCTAGAGCTGTCAGGAGCCAAAAAGAATGATGGGCAGTTTGAAGACTTTGCTATAAGGCTTGGCCACAAACTGGCAAAGATTCCCGCTCTCTGACTCCTCCTTCATGTCTTCTAATCTAAAGGAGGCAGCAGGATTTATAGCAGGATCCTTGGCTTTGGACTTTCCTGCAGACCTCCATTCAAGTCTTGGCGCCACCGCTTATTGCCTGGGAGACCTTGGGCAAGTTATTTAACCTTTCTGAACCTATATTTTGTCAGCTGCAAAATGGGGATGCCACCTCCCTTGCAGAGTTATTATAAAGATTGAATGAAATAATGTAAGTAATGATCACACTATAGTGCCTGGCTCACTTTAGATAGTCAATATGTGGTAGCCATTAGGGAGAAACACAAAATTTTAGGTGGTGGAAATACTTGCTGTCCTGAAAATATGTAGGGCTTTTCCACTTGGCAGAATTTGAAGCATTGATGTAAAATCTTCTATCCCAACCCTTGCAATTACCTTGCTAGGAATAATAGGCAGCAGCTATGTTACCACTCCCACCCCTGGCAGACATAACTAATTGATCTCAGCATTTTTTTCCTGAAGGATGTGGCCTCAGGATCCTTTTTAGTATAGCCTTTGAGATAGTCATTGCCAATCAATCAGAACTGGTACTTAAGGTAAAAACTGTTTTTCATCTTTGACTAGATATATATGAGATCTGTCAGGATGATCAGTTCTTCCAATGGCTGGGTGACCATATAGTCACATGCAGGTAACAATGTGTTCTATATTGATGCACAGTGACTCCCCCATTGGTGCTTGAAATGTCATAGTTTTTGGAACTTCATGGACAACATTGTTGTAGGAAGGCTTTTACTAACTCTATGCCAGCTAGTTTCCCTCCCTGGGAGTTTGTCACTGTTAGTAGGTTAGGAACCTTTGGAGAATGAGGATAAAGACTTGGGGACTCTAGGAACATGAAGGAACTGTTTGGGATATAAGGGGATAAATGGTAAATGGGGCCTCAAATGCACTTGATTTCAAGGACTGCAACTTCCAGATGCCAATCAAATCCTTAGTTCTGTTAACTATCCTAATACTAGGTGGCCAAATGTCCTTGAATGTCTTTGCTAGGCTGCTTGCCTCCCAGGCACCCTTCTCCCCGGATACTTCCTACTGAAAAGCCCTTCAAATGGTTTTTTCCTTAAGTCTGCAGACACTTTCTCATTCACCCACCCATGATAGCTTTTAAGTCTCTAAATCTTAATGCTGATGCTACTATAGTATGGTTTCCTAAGAATCCATGCAGGGAAGATGGGGTTGGCAGAGGGAGAGTCCATATATGGGTTGGATGGAAACTCCTTAAACGTTTTGAGCCAAACAGGCTACACCTGAGTTTAGAAGAGCACATTGTTTTCTCCTCCACCAAGAGATTGCAAACTTTGGTCTCAGGGCAGTTGGCCTTCACTGATGTTGGCTTAAAATTATTATTTAATTGCTGCCTCCTTTATGCTTCATCTGAGAACTAAACAAAACCCAAAGCCAGCTCCTTGAGCGGTGACATTTAGAACCAGAGAGATTTCTCAGGGAAACAAATTTTAAGCTGCACTTGTGGATAGATGGAAAGGAAAGCACACACAGACACCCCTCCCTGTCTAATACACACACTCATAGCTAATTGATTCAGGGCTGTACATTTGCTTGGTTTTCTTTTACGCATCTACTTATTCTAAGCTTTCAAATGGAATATCTTCCAAGAAGGAAATAATGCGTGAGAAGAAACATACATGCACACACCCATCCCCCACCCCAATTTCTGTAGGGGCAGAGGGATGTGTGTGGGTGGGGAGAATGAGAGTGTGAAATCAAAAGGATGATTAAGAGAATTTGACAAAGAAAACGACTTCTTCCACCCATTTAACAGCCACATTAATTCACTTGGATGATCAAATGAAAAAGACAAAGAGAATTACAACCTTTTCCAGGCCAAGAAATAGTAATTATTCAGAGGAAAATCTTGGCAAAATGAGGAATAAACCAAGCAAAAAGTGCGAGAGAGAGGGGGAGAGAGAAAATGGGAGAGAGAAACACACACACACACACACACACACACACACACACACACACACACAGAGATTGAGAGAGAGAGAGAGAGAGACTGAAGAACAAAAAAGCCAAGTTAGACCACAGTGTTTGGGCAGGCTTTGTACATTTTGCCTCCTCTTAGTTTAAAAGGAAACAAAAATAGAAAGAAAAAAGTCAAAGTTTTCATTTTAACAGGAAATGGAAAACTGGTGGTTGTGATAATCCTTGGTCTCCCCTTCACAGTGGTTCTGTGACATTTTCCTGGTAGAAGTAACAGAGGTCAGCTGAGGAAAGGGTAAATTCTCAAGACTATGCGTATGGGAGCTTGTGTCATTCTATACGGACTGTTCCTATTTAAGTGTGGGTTTTATTTTTAAAAGCTCTGCTGTCCCCTGATAGAAGGAGGGTGTGGAAGTGGGAAGAGGTAACGTGTGAACAAGGTTAGAAGCAGAAAGAAAATGGAAGGAGAAAAAAAGATAAGTCCAATTTTCTTTGGAAGTGTATTGTATTGTTAGGCTTGCCTGGCTCTGTTCCAGGGACTCAATTGAAAGTGAATTTCTCTTATTGAATTCCAACCAGAGAGATCATAACCTCAAAAGGCTACTATTACCCAGAGGGCTTCAGATGGAATCATTTGTGCATGACTCTTGAAATGCAAGGAGTCACAATTGTCATTTGACAACACCGGACCGTCAGGCCAGCTCCTTTCAGGGCAGGGGAATTGTTGACATAATCTGGCCCCTGGTCCCGTTCAGAGGGACCAGTCTCTCCATTTCTTGTGCTTTTTTGCTCAGCAGGTGCAGCAGAAAAAAAATATATATATATATTTATATATATATATATCACGGATTTTCACAGAACCACAGCTAACCAAAAAAAAAAAAAAAAAGCTCTGGCTGATTTAAACATCAAATGCTTACCCTGTACAAGAAAATAAGGGATATAGGTCATGATACAGGTCTTCGGATCTTCGGAGTCCTTGGAACTAAGTTCATCTTTTTTAGCCAAAAGAGGCAGTGAAACTATAATAACCCCCTACAAAACTCATAGAAACCAAAATAGAGGCTAAATGAAGATACTAAGAGATGGGCTAAGACTTTGGGAAGGGAGGGGAAAAAAATCAAAGCTGCCTCTTTGATTTGTCTGGGTAGTTTCTTCTTTTGAACTGGCACAGCAAGAAGGCTTGCATGATGTGAACGATAACAGTGGCTTTTGAAATGTTTCCTACTCCATCTCATTTTCCTTCTTTTTATCCATTCCCTTCTTCCTCTTTAACCTTCTCATTCCATTCATTGCAGCCTGTATTCCTTCTTCTATTTCTCCCTTCCTTTCAGCATTAAGTAGTGGGAGTTGCTTCCGAAGCTTAGCTCTGATAATAAACCTCTTGTGTGGTGACTCCATTTATTCTTAGATACACACAACCTGTTTTGAATAGGGCTATGGAGAGAAACTCAAATAGAATTAACCATTCTTTTCAGCGGTTGTTGAATACCAGCTTTCGTTCTCAAAATCAAGTTTCAATGACTGGTTTCTTTTGAACAAAGTGCAAAGGAATTTAGAATAATAAGTGTAACAAGATGGAGAAAATTTTATTCACCAGTATTCTTCTTGAGAAAAGCACTGTATGCGTTTGGGAGAATTACTTTGATAAACCACTTTGGCTGGGGATTAAGGCCCCAAAGTATACTAAAGTAACAAAAGATGGTCACTAAACTGCCTTTGAAGGAGGATAGGTCCTGTTACTTGGGGAGTCCTTTGTTTTGCTGGATTCAGTGATTAGTGTGATAGGGTAGTCTGGAAGAGGAGGAGGAGGAGGAGCCTGAAGGAGGAAATTGGGGATGTTGAGGGGAGAGAATGTGGGAAAAGGAGAGAGGACAAGCAAAAGAGAAACCCCAAAGGTCTTCATAGCTAAGGTGTGTGTATGAGTTATGTTTAACTTTTTAATCACAAAAATCTGAAACATATTAAAGAATAGAATACTATAATGAACCCTGCCACATGCACATTCCTGGCCAAATTCTTATTACGTTTGTATCTTCAATGTGCTTCTTCCTCTCTCTTATTTTGAAGCAAATCCAAGAGGAACTTAGAAGGAAAGAAATGTTCAATGGGAGTTTTAAAGTTGCTTGCTGTGGTCTGTTTCATACCTTGTACAAGGCCTTCCATAAAGAGTCCCTTGGTCACTCATACTTAAGTGAATAGGTTGGTCTCTTTTTTTTTTTAAACTTTTATTTTAGGTTTGGGGGTACATGTGAATGTGTGTTACACGGGCAAACTCGTGTCACAGGAGTTTGTTGTACAGATTATTTCATCACCAGGTACTAAGCCCAGTACCCAAGAGCTATCTTTTCTGCTCCTCTCCCTCCTCCCATCCTCCACCTTCAAGTAGACCCCAGTGTCTGCTGTTTCCTTCTTTGTGTTCATTAGTTCTCATCATTTAGCTCCCACTTATAAGTGAGAACATGTGGTATTTGGTTCTGTGTTCCTGTGCTAGTTTGCTAAGGATAATAGCCTCCAGCTCCACCCATGTTCCTGCAAAAGACATGATCTCATTCTTTTTTTATGGCTGCATAGTATTCCATGGTGTATATTACCATATTTTCTTTATCCAATCTGTCGTTGATGGGCATTTAGGTTGATTCCATGTCTTTGCTATTGTGAATAGTGCTGCAATGAACATTCATGTGATTATGTCTTTATGATAGAATGATTTATATTCCCCTGGGTATATACCCACTAATGGGATTGCTGGGTTGAAGGGTAATTCTGCTTTGAGCCCTTTGAGGAAGTGCCATACTGCTTTCCACAATGGTTGAACTAATTTACACTCCCACTAACAGTGTATAAGCATTCCTTTTTCTCCACAACCTTGCCAGCATCTGTTATTTTTTTGACTTTTTAACAATAGCCATTCTGACTGGTGTGAAATGGTATCTCATTGTAGTTTTAATTTGCATTTCTCTAATGATCAGTGATACTGAGCTTTGTTTCATATGCTTGTTGGCCACATGTATGTCTTCTTTTGAAAATTGTCTGTTCATGTCCTTCACTCACTTTTTAATGTAGTTTTTTGTTTTTCTCTTGTAAATTTGTTTAAGTTCCTTACAGATGCTGGATATTAGACCTCTGTCAGATGCATAGTTTGCAAATATTTTCTCCTATTCTGTAGGTTGTCTGTTTACTCTGTTGATAGTTTCTTTTCCTTTGCAGAAACTCTTAAGTATAATTAGATCCTATTTCTCAATTTTTGCTTTTGTTGCAATTGCTCTCAGTGTTGTTGTCATAAAATTTTTGCCTGTTCCTATGTCCAGAATGGTATTGCCTAGGTTGTCTTCCAGATTTTTATAGTTTTGGGGCTTGCATTTAAGTCTTTAATCCATCTTGAGTTGGTTTTTGTATATGGTGTAAGGTATCCAGCCTCAATCTTCTGTATATGGCTAGATAGTTAACCCTGAACCATTTATTCAACAGGGAGTCTTTTACTCATTGCTTGTTTTTGTCAGCTTTGTCAAAGATCAGATAGTTGTAAGTGTGTGGCCTTTCTTCTGGGCTCTCTATTCTGTATCATTGGTCTATGTGTCTGTTTTTGTACAAATACCATGCTGTTTTTGTTATTGTAGCTTTGTAGTATAGTTTGAAGTTGGGTAACGTGATGCCTCCAGCTTTGTTCTTTTTGCTTCGAATTGCCTTGGCTATTTGGGCTCTTTTTTGGTTTTATATGAATTTTAAAGTAGTTTGTTCGAGTTCTGTAAAGAATGTCATTGGTACTTTGATAGGAATAGCATTGAATCTGTAAATTGCTTTAGGCAGTATGGCCATTTTAATGATATTGATTCTTCCTATCCATGAGCATGGAGTGTTTTTCCATTTGTTTGTGTCTTGTCTTATTTCTTTGAGCAGTGTTTTGTAATTCTCACTGTAGAGATCTTTCACTCCCTGGTTAGCTGTATTCCTAGGTATTTTATTCTTTTTCTGGCAATTGTGAATGGGATTGCCTTTCTGATTTGGCTCTCAGCTTGGCTGCTATTGATGTGTAGGAATGCTAGTGATTTTTGTATATTGATTTTGTATCCTGAAATTTTGCTGAAGTTTTATCAACTGAAGGAGCTTTTGAGCTGAAACTATGAGGTTTTCTAGATACAGAATCATGTGATCTGCAAACAGAGATAGCTTTACTTACTCTCTTCCTATCTGGATAGATTGGTCTTTGAGGGTGTTAAGAACACGCTGTTCTGCATCATGGTTTAAGCAAGTTGAAGACAGTCACAGCACATGTGGATCCAGAACCTGGGTGATGAGGAATCACCTGACAGATGGAAGGTCTATAAATATTACAGATTTCAGCAAAGAAGAAAAATATGACTTAAAAACAAAATGTTAAAACATCTGTAGACAAGTGCCTTTGGAATTTTTCTGCTATCCACAATTTTAGATATACCTTCAAGTGTCTATTTACTAAATGAAGTGGTTCGATGATGTGGACAGCGCACTTGATTGAAAGTTAGATTCTTTCATGACTCAATTATGAGCTATTGGTCAAATCACCCGTTACTCTGGCTTGGTTGTTTTATTAATATCTGGCCTGTCTAATTCTCAGGGTTGTTGTGATTAGCGATTTTGGGAAATGCAGGCAAAAATGTCTTTAAAGTAAGGCGCTTTATAAAAAATGAACTAGAGTGTTAATTTATTGAAAAGGGGCAGTGTAAGATTCTCCCATCTATACTCTGGGCCAAAAGAACTAACTTCATTTTTTAGGTTCTCAGGTTCTAACACAGGATTCCACATTTAAGATCTGAGGTCTTAACAAAAGAATTTACAGTGACACCCTTGGCTTCATCTTTGGACCACGCTTTCCTGGGGACTCTGATTCAATCTTTACTCAGAAGCCATTTCTTAATTTTAACATTGTTTGCCGCCTGAAGAGGCTGGGAATATTCAAAACCAGCAAGTCTTGGTACCCTTTGTTTTAATTGTTCTTCTTTGAGGTCATCATTTCTCTTGCATTTTACTGTAAGTGGTAAAAAGGAACCACGTACTATCTTCAGTATTCTGGCTGAAAATTGCCTTAGCTAGCCACTTCATTAGTTACATGTTCTACCTTCCACATTACTACAGGTGACAGTGTTGCTAAACTCTGCCACTACATAAGGTTGATGTTTTTGCCCATTCCTAAAAGGGTTCTCTCCCTTTATTTACTAGTAACCTTCTCAAAGTCCAAAATTCTTCAAATAGCCTGTTCAAGGCACTTTCAGCTTTTGCTAACATTCTCCTTCAAGTCCCACAGCTTTGTAGCTTCTGTCCACTGCCTGGTTCCAAAGCCACTCACATATTTTTGGTTTTTGTTACAGTGGAACCTCACTTCCAGGTACCAAAATATGTATTTTAATATAGATATAGATATAGATATAAACATATACAGAATATCTGTTCTGGTTCCAGACCACATGATTCTATATTTATATCTATCTGTAACTATATAGATATATATTAGTTATCTAGTGCTGAACAACAAATTCCAAAACGTAGCGGCTTAAAACAATAAACATTGTCTCATAGTATTTGTGGTTCAGGAATCTGGGAGCAGCTTAGCTGGGTTGTTCTGGCTCATGGTCTCTCACAAGGCTGCAAGCAAGGTGTCAGTGGAGCTGCAATCACCTGAGGCTCGACTGGGCTACAGGATCCTCCATGCTCATATATGTGGCGGTTGGCTGGAGGCTTCGGTTCCTTGCTATGTGGGCCTCTCCGTAGCCTGCTCATGACATGGCAGTTGGCTTTTCTTAGAGCAAGTGATCTGAGAGCACAAGAGAGCACTGCCACACTGCCTTTTGTGACCTAGTCTGAGTCACACAGTCACTTCTGCCTTATTCTAGTCATTAGAAGTGAGTCCTGAAGATCAGCCCACACTCAATGAGAAAGATTCCCAAGAGCATGAACACCAGGCTGTGATCCTCAAGGGCCTTCTTGGAGGCTGACTACCACATCTTCTACATGCAGGAACTGTGCTGTCTTGGAGATACCACAGCAAGTGAGATGTAATCCCTGCCTTTAAGGAACTCTTCAGGAAGTTCACATCGTGGGGAACATAGAGAAATAGGCCAGAAGTGTCGCAAGCACCATGACAAAGTTATGGCACATAGGCTATGTGGGCACAGAGGCAGGGGACTGTACTTAGACCAGGAATGAAGTCTCTTGTATGTGGGGTGCTAAGCCTTGAGCTTGCCAGGTCAATAAATGGGTGAAATTTGTGCCAAGAAGAGAGAAGAACATCCTCAAAGGGAGAAATGTGGCCTTCTGAGGTAGTACCAGTCACTTAATATGGCTAGAGACAGGGTGCGTAGTGAGAGAGGATAGATATTGAAGCAGGAGAGGGAGGAAGAGGCCAGGTTATGAGGGAGCTCATGTGCCAAATTCAGATGCTGGAACCTTGCCCTGAAGGCTACTGGGGGGATCTGGAGGATTGTGAACATTTGTGTAGTGTCTCCCATTGTGTCAAGTAGAAAATGTTGAATACAGTGACCTTGGTTTCCAAAAGTTTACAGTTTAGACTGAAAAGTAAAACCTATGCACCATTAACTGCATTTGAGGGTGTTTCCTGACAAGTATCCTGTGAAAAGTACAGACTAGAAGAAGTAAAGAAATAAAGGGAGATCAACCTTTTTATTTTTTTTTCTTTTTGAGATGGAGTCTTGCTCTGTCGCCCAGGCTGGAGTGCAGTGGCACAATCTCGGCTCACTGCAAGCTCTGCCTCCTGGGTCCAAGCCATTCTCCTGCCTCAGCCTCCTGAGCAGCTGGGAATACAGGTGCCCGCCACCACATCCGGCTAATTTTTTGTATTTTTAGTAGAGATGGGGTTTCACCGTGTTAGCCAGGATGGTCTTGATCTCCCAACCTCATGATCTGCCCGCCTCAGCCTCCTGAAGTGCTAGGATTACAGGCGTGAGCCACCACACCCGGCCTTTTTTTTTTTTTTTTTTTTTTTTTAAATGAGATGGAGTCTCACTGTTACCCAGGCTGGTGTATAGTGGGACGATCTCAGCTCACTACAACCTCCACCTCCTGGGCTCAAGTGACTCTCCTGCCTCAGCCTCCTAAGTAGCTGAGATTACAGGTGCCAGCCACCACACCCAGCTAATTTTTGTATTTTTAGTAGAGACGGGGTTTCACCACGTAGTCCAGGCTGGTCTCGAGCTCCTGACCTCAAATGAACCACCCACCTTGGCCTCCCAAACAGATCAACTTCTGAAGGCATTATCAGTGAGGTTTCATGGAGGAGGTAGAATCTGACTCTTAAGATATGCTTGGGTTTTTGTTTTTGTTTTGTTTTGTTTTGTTTTTGAGACGGAGTCTCGCTCTGTCGCCCAGGCTGGAGTGCAGTGGTGCAGTCTTGGCTCACTGCAGCCTCTGCCTCCTGGGTTCAGGCGATTCTTGTGCCTCAGCCTCCTGAGTAGCTGGGACTACAGGCATGCATCACCATGCCCAGCTAATTTTTGTATTTTTAGTGGAGACGGGGTTTTGCCATGTTGGCCAGGCTGGTCTCAAACTCCTGACCTCAAGTGTCAAGTGCTCTGCCCGCCTTGGTCTCCCAAATTGCTGGGATTACAGGCGTGAGCCACCGTGCCTGGCAGGGGTTTGTTAATAGAGATGGGGTGGAAGAACCATTCTAGATGGAAGCAGGAGAGGAAGAGTCATGATGGGACAATAAGTGGTCCAGTGTGGGTAAAAAAGGCTTTTGTGTGGGAGAATGATAGTAGAGGGAAAGGAAGAAACAGATTATAGAACACCTTAAATACCAGGCCAGGGAGTTTGAACCATGCTCAGGGAGCAGTAGGGAGCCATTGATGGCATTTGAGTTAGGAGGGTTTGAGTCAGGATTATAGTGGGCTAATCCTTTGTTTCACACAGGAAGATGCTGAAACAGATAAGCAACCTTTCCTTGAAACATTCAAGGGGGTCAGGAAGAGAAGGATCTGGAATATAGGCCTCAGGACTCAGAGTCTGGTGCTCCTCCTGCTCCCTGCTGTGCCCTCCTCCAGGAGGACCAGCTTAAAGCCCAGTCATAGTTTGGGGTCCTAGGTAGCAGGCCTTGAGTCCCACCAAGAGAAACATTCTCTCAGGTGTGATGTTTTCAGGGCTCTTCTGATCGTCACTTAGCATTTTGTATAATTAATGGAGCCCACAGATGTTTGGCAGGAGAAGTTAATCAGCTATTAATCACCAAAGAGCCTCTCTTAGCGTTTATGGAGTTGAAAGAATGTCTGTTCTAATTGAAATTGTAGTTGTTTACTGAACTTGAGTGGAGGGAAGGGCCAAGGGCAGACAGTCAGTGGGTCTCCCTTTAGCAAGTTTTGGCAGAGATGCCTTGGGGTTTGTTCAGCTGCTATTAAGTAAGGAAGGTGCAACTGTTATTTTCCTGAGTTTGTGAGTGTCTAGAGAAGGCTGACTTCAGCAAGGAGAAAAGAAAAATGTGGGCACATGGTATGTTGTGTTGAACCACATAGTAGGCGTGCCAGGGAGTTGGTGTTCTTGTTCCAGCTCTGTCTATGTGGTCATGCCACACTGGCTAAATCTGTTAACTTCCTGGGACTCAGTGTTCTTATTTTTAAAATCAGACGTTTTGACTAGGCTTAGGATTCCCAAAAGCTCTTTCTTATACCACAAGGCCCAATAGATGCTTTAGTGAACAATGGCACCCTGTGGAATGAATTTGGTAACACCATTTACTACCCAGGCCTCTTGGAGATTCATGATGGACACCAGAATATTAAAAGAGTAAGATGTGGTTAAACAACAAAACAAAAAATCTGTTTAGCCCAACAACTACCCAAATGTTTTTGATTACAGCACCCTTTGTTTATTAAACATCTAAAGGAACTAGCAGAATGTGTTCCTGAGTCTGACATCTGTCTGTATTTTTGGTTTTTGATTCAGTTTCATTACTAGACTTAGGCTTTCTTTTTAGAAGTATTCTTGAGGGCTCTTGGTAAACTTCATAACCAGCCTGCCTGTCTCTTGCCCTCAACATGGTTTCCTGCATCATAAATGCATTTGGGCAGACTCCTTCCTGACCTTGCTGCTGTCATGGTGACAGTAGATGAGCCCTGAAAACACCAAGCCTGAGAGAATTTTTCCCCTGCTGGGATTCATGGCCTGTTACATAGGATCCCAAACTATGACTGGGCTCTAAGCTGGTCCTCTGGACTGTGTCTCTCCAGGCTGTCTAGCTCTTGCCCTGACATTCACATCTTCATGTGGAAGTAGAATACCATGTCAGCCAGTGTTATCTTTTGCTATATAAAAGGTGAGTATTTGTAACTTGGTGGGAGTTGGATATGAAGATCATTTGAAAAGCTAGTTTTATCACTTTAGAGGATTTAATTCTGATTCCTAAGTGACAACTGTCTTAGTCCATTTTCTGCTGCTATAACAGAATACCACAGTCAGGGTAACTTATAAACAATAAATTTGGTTCATGGTTCTGGAAGCTGGGACGTCCAAGAATATGGCACCGGCATCTGGTGAGGGTTATCCCGTGGTGGAAAACAAAAAGCAGAAGTGGCACACAAGATGGGGAGAAACTGGACCAAACTTATCCTCTTATCAGGAGACCATGCCCTCAATAACTAAACCACTCCCATGATAATGACATCAGCTCCTTTATATAGTGGAGCCCTCATGGCCTAATCACCTCCCAAAGGCCTCAATTCCTTTTTTTTTTGAGACAGGGTCTCACTCTGTCACCCAGGCTGGAGTGCAGTGGTGCAATCTTGGCTTACCGCAAGTTCTGCCTCCCAGGCTCAAGTGATTCTCCTGCTTCGGCTTCCTGAGTAGCTAGGAGTACAGGCACATGCCACCATGCCCGGCTATTTTTTGTATTTTTACTAGAGACAGGGTTTCACTATGTTGGCAAGGCTGGTCTCGAACTCCTGACCTCAAATGATCCACCCGCCTCGGCCTCCCAAAGTGCTGCAGGAATAATTCAGAAAACCCAAGACCCTCGGAAGGAAGCCGGCCTGGCCTCAATTCTTCTTCTTTTTTTTTAAATTAAATTTATTTTTTTAAATTAACTGTAAGTTCTGGGTTACATGTGCAGAATGTGCAGTTTTGTTACAGAGGTATACATGTGCCATGGTGGTTTGCTGCACCCATCAACTCATCACCTACTTTAGGTATTTCTCCTAATGTTATCCCTCCCTTAGCCCCCCATCCCCCCAGGCCCCAATGTGCGATGTTCCCCTCCCTGTGTCCATGTGTTCTCATTGTTCAACTTCCACTTATGAGTGAGAACATGCAATGTTTGGTTTTCTGATCTTATGATAGTTTGCTGAGAATGATGGTTTCCAGCTTCATCCATGTCCTTGCAAAGAACACGAACTCATCCTTTTTATGGCTGCATAGTATTCCATGGTGTATATGTGCCACATTTTCTTTATCCAGTCTATCATTGATGGACATTTGGGTTGGTTCCAAGTCTTTGCTACTGTGAATAGTGCTGCAATAAACATACGTGTGTATGTGCCTTTATCGTAGAATGATTTATAATCCTTTGGGTGTATGCCCAGTAAAGGGATTGCTGTGCCAAATAGTATTTCTAGTTCTAGATCCTTGAAGAATCGCCACACTGTCTTCCACAATCGTTGAACTAATTTACATTCCCACCAACAGTGTAAAAGTGTTCCTATTTCTCCACAACCTCTCCAGAATCTGTTGTTTCCTGACTTTTTAATGATCACCATTCTAACTGGTGTGAGATGGTATCTCATTGTAGTTTTGATTTGCATTTCTCTGATGACCAGTGATGATGAGCATTTTTTTCATGTGTCTGTTGGCTGCATAAATGTCTTCTTTTGAGAAGTGTCTGTTCATATACTTTGCCCATTTTTTGATGGGGTTGTTGGCTTTATTCTTGTAAATTTGTTTAAGTTCTTTGTAGATTCTGGATATTAGCCCTTTGTCAGATGGATAGATTGCAAAAATTTTCTCCCATTCTGTAGGCTGCCTGTTCACTGTGATGATAGTTTCTTTTGCTGTGCAGAGCTCTTTAGTTTAATTAGATCCCATTTGTCAATTTTGTCTTTTGTTGCCATTGCTTTTGGTGTTTTAGTCATGAAGTGTTTGCCCATGCCTATGTCCTGAATGGTATTGCCTAGGTTTTCTTCTAGGATTTTTATGGCCCTAGGTCTCACATTTAAGTCTTTGATCCATCTTGAGTTGATTTTTATATAAGGTGTAAGGAAGGGGTCCAGTTTCAGTTTCCTGCATATGGGTAGCCAGTTTTCCCAACACCATTTATTAAATAGGAAATCTTTTCCCCATTTCTTGTTTTTGTCAGGTTTGTCAAAGATCAGATGGTTGTAGATGTGTGGTGTTATTTCTGAGGCCTCCATTCTGTTCCATTGGTCTATATATCTGTTTTGGTACCAGTACCATGCTGTTTTGTTTACTGTAGCCTTGTAGTAAAGTTTGAAGTCAGGTAGTGTGATGCCTCCAGCTTTGTTCTTCTTGCCCAGGATTGTCTTGGCTATGCTAAAAACTCTCAGTAAACTAGGTATCGATGGAATGTGTCTCAACATAATAAGAGCTATTTATGGCAAACCCACAGACAATATCATACTGAACGGGCAAAAACTGGAAGCATTCCCTTTGAAAACCGGCACAAGACAAGGATGACCTGTCTCACCACTCCTATTCAACATAGTATTGGAAGTTCTGGCCAGGGCAATCAGGCAAGAGAAAGCAATAAAGGGTATCCAAATAGGAAGAGAGGAAGTCAAATTGTCTCTGTTAGCAGATGACATGATTGTATATTTAGAAAACCCCATCTTCTCAGCCCAAAATCTCTTTAAGCTGATAGGCAACTTCAGCAAAGTCTCAGGTTACAAAATCAATGTGCAAAAATCACAAGCATTCCTATACACCAATAACAGGCAAACAGAGAGCCAAATCATGAGTGAAATCCCATTCACAATTGCTACTAAGAGAATAAAATACCTACAACTTACAAGGGATGTGAAGGACCTCTTCAAGAACTACAAACCACTGCTCAAGGAAATAAGAGAGGACAAAAACAAATGGAAAAACATTCCATGCTCATGGATAGGAAGAATCAATATCGTGAAAATGGCCTTATTGCCCAAAGTAATTTATAGATTCAATGCTATCCCCATCAAGCTACCACTGACTTTCTACACAGAATTAGAAAAAATTACTTTAAACTTCATATGGAACAAAAAATGGCCTCAATTCTGAATACTATTACAATGACAGTGAAGATTCCAACACCTGAACTTTTGAGGGACACATCAAAAGTATAACATTTCATCCCTGGCTCCCCAAAGCTTATGTTTTTCTCACGTACAAAATCCATCATTCCATCCGAGTAGACCCAAAGTCTTAACTTGTCCCAGCATCAACTCGAATCTCCAAAGTCAAGCCAGGCATGATGATGTGTCCTTGCAATCCCAGCTACTCAGGAAGCTGAGGTTGGAGGATCACTTGAACCCCGGAATTAGAAATCAGCCTGTGCAACATAGCAGGATCTTGTCTCTTAAAAAAAGCAACCCCCCTCAAAAAAACCCAGAGTCTCATCTAAATCAATAAGAGTGAGTCTCAAGGTGTGATTTATCCTGAGGCAAATTGCTTTCAACTGATAGCCTGTGAAATTAAACAAGTTATCTACTTCCAAAATACAATGGTGGGACGGCCATAGGATGGACATTCCCGTGCCAAAAGGGAGAAAAAGGCAAGAAAAAATGGGTAGCTGGTTCCAAGTAAGTTCAAAACCCAACAGAGAAAACAAGATTAAGTCTTAAAGCTGGAGAATAAACTCCTTTGACCCCATGTTCCATCTCCTAGATACACTAGGGTGGGGTTGGGCTCCCAAGTCCTCCCAGGCAGCCTTGCCCCTGTGGCTTTACTGGACTTATCCCACACAGCAGCTCTCATGAGTTGGAGTCTCATGCTTGCAGCTTTTCCAGGCTGGAGTTGTATGCTGGTGGCTCTGCAGTTCTGTGGTCTTGGAGACTGCCCAACTCCCATGGTATCAGTAGGCATTGCATTAGTAGAGACTCTCTGTATTGGCTCTGTCTCTGTGGCAGGTTTGTGCTTGGGCTTCTAGGCAGTCTGTGGCATCTTTTGAAATCTAGGGGGAGGTAGCCAGCCCCCACAGCTCTTGTTTTCTGCACACCTGCAGAATTAACACCACATGGATGCTGCCAAGGCCTACAGCTTGTACCTTCGAGAGAGTCAGGTCAAGCCATACCTGGGCCCACTTGAGCAACAGTTGGGTCAGCCAGAGAGTGCTGCAAGAGGATGTGGGGAGCTCAGTCCTGAGGTTGCTCTGGGCAGTGAGCCCTTGAAAGGCACAGGCCCTTCCTGGAAAGCATTCTTCCCTCCTGGGCCTCCAGGCCTGCAATGGGAGGTACAGCCTCTAAGATCTCTGACCAGCCTTTCGGGTCTTTCTCTCATTATATTGATGAATAGTATCTTCTATCTATGGTAATCTCTTTAGCAAATGTTCACTTGACCATATCCTTGGTTTGCTCTCCTAAGGACCCCTTTTCACTCTACATGGCCAGGCTGGGGATTTTCCAAATCTTTTTGTTCTGCTTCTCCTTTAATTGTAAATTTCATGTTTTAGTCATGCCTTTTCTCTTTTATCTGACCACATGCAGTTAAGAGTAGCCATGCAAGAGCCTGAATGTTTTGTTGCTTAGATATTTCTTCCACCAGATATCCTAGCTCATTGCTCTTAAGTTCTGCATACCATAAAGCCCTCAGACAGGGACACAATTCAGGCAAGTTCTTTGCAACTGCTGTAATGAGGATGGCCTTTACTTCAGCTTCCAGTACCTTGTTTCTCATTTTCATCTGGGACCTCATAGAGGTGATATTTACTATCCATATTTCCACCAGCATTCTGATCATGACCACTTAAATAATCTCTAAGAAGATTCAGACTTTCCCTATAGTTCTCTTCTTCTGAGCTCTCACCAGAATCACCCATAACACTCCATTCATGGCAATCTAGTTTTTTTCTAGCCTGCTCCTCCAAATTCTTCCAGTCCCTACCCATTACCCAGTTTCAAAGATGCTTCCACATTTTCAGGTATTTGTTTTAGCAACGACTCTACTCCTCAGTACCAATTTTCTGTCTTAGTCAGTTTCCTGCTCCTATAACAGAATAATACCGCAGGTTGGGTAATGTATTAAAAAACAAAAATTTATTTGGCTTATGCTTCTGGAGGCTGGGAAGTCGAAGGGCATAGCCCCAGTATCTGGTGAGAGACAGCCCTTGGCAGAAGGCAAAGGAGGAAGCAAGTACATGAGACAGAGAGTGAAATAGGGATTGAACTTACCCTTTTATTAGGAGCCCCACTCCTGTGATAACTCATTCTAGCAATAAGGGCATCAGTCACTTTTTGAAGGTGGTGCCCTCATGGCCCAATCACCTTCCGAAGGCCCTGCCTCTTAATATGTTACAATGGCAACCAAGTTTTTAATGCATTAACTTTTGGGGGACACATTCAAATCACATCAATTATCTTACCCTGCAAATTTACTATTTAATTCAAGATACCTCTAGCACTCTAATTCTTCAATTACACAAAGAGAACCTATGTATTTGGGAAAATTATCACAATCTTGTTAGACTACAGGGTCTTATTCTTTTAGCCACTTCTTGTCATCTCAGAATTTATTGTTACAATCCAAAGAATTACTGTAGTTTTGCAGTGGGAATATGCCTTTTTTGGAGACTGAACGTAAATTAGCAGAATGAGGCAGCACTCTGTGTAACTGTTAAGTTCTATTAGTCATGTTAGAGACCATTGATCTTGTGAGAAATTAGCTAGAGCTATAGAGATCCATGTGAAGACAAAGGTTTGCAAAAATATCCAGTGGCTCATCTTTCCTAACTTTTATGATGAATTTTAGGACAAGAATTCTCAAGGAGGAGAAAAAGATTATGAAATTGTCTGAGCCATAGGTAACAATATCTGGTTACTGATTTTTATTCAAGAAAATTCAAAGTCATATATAATTGCTGATAAAATATGCTGGAGCTATATATTTCATCCCTGTCTGACAAGGAAAAATATGTTTGACTATAGCCATATAGTTTACCTAAGCATGTGCCATCACAAACTCAAATTCTTAAACCAAATTTATTATTCACTTAGTTATATGTGTTGAGAAGTAAGATGAGTGGTCATACTGTAATGAGACTATCTATTAACCATGCAGCACCTCATAACTTTACATTCACATCTCGTTTATTTTTTATTTTTTAAATTTATTTTTATTTTTTAAATTTATTTTTTCCAAGATGGAGTCTTGCTCTGTTGCCCAGGCTGGAGTGCAGTGGCACTATCTTGGCTCACTGCAGCCTCTGCCTCCCGGGTTCAAGGAATTCTCCTGCCTCAGCCTCCGGAGTAGCTGGGATTACAGGCATGTGTTACCACGCCCGGCTAATTTTTGTATTTTTAGTAAAGACAGGTTTTTTTTACCATGTTGGCCAGGCTGGTCTTGAACTCCTGACCTTGCGATCCACCCACCTTGGCCTCCCAAAGTCCTGGAATTACAGGCGTGAGCCACTGCGCCTGGCCTACATTCACATCTCTTATGTTGCTTGAAGATTTTTTTTTTAATTTCTTGTGTCTATAGAATTCTTTTAGTCCATTGCCTGAGTGAGTAGTTCTGAGCTCATTTATCTTAAGACACTGAAATGATAATGTGATAATACTTTTTAACATTGTTGAAGCCCTGTTATATACCAAACAATGTATTCACTCATTTCACCCAGACTGTCAACTTGAGCTCTGTAGTGACTGCTGACTTGTCAGTAATAGGTCCTTGCTATAGTCATTTCACCTTCCTGAGATTCTATATCATATTGTCAAATAAAGGAGCTGGGTTAGATGGTCTCTGAGGTTCCTTGTAGTTCTAACTTTCTATGACTCTGAGAAAAGAAAATACCAAAAATACTACTTTAACTTCATCTCCAAAGAGCAGGTAGAATATTGGCCTTAATATGGTAATGGAAATGATTAAAACAGCCTTTGAAAAATAGCTCTTTCAAGGTCTGGTCTAATCGATCTGTCTCAAGCATCCATTGGAAATGATCTTGCCCCTGTATTTCTTGAAGCAAAGATGTCTTTGTCATCAAGGGCCCTGATATCATACCACACTTGAGTTCAGATTCCAAGCAACTGGCTTCGTGACTTAAGGAAGATTACTTAACCTATCTGAACCTTAGTTTCCTCATTTATGGAATGTGGCTAGTACTAGCATTTGTCTCACAGTGTTGCTGTTAAGCACTCAATGAGTTAATCTATGCAAATTGCTCAGCAGGGTGCTTGGCACAGAGCGAGCTCTCAACATATGTTGGCTACAATTCCTTTGTGTGGGTCTTGCTTAGGGAACTGCTCTTGGATTTGCCTTTATCTGGGAACCTTTAGCTCCCATCTTTGTGATCATCCAGAGTCCTCTAGGCTTCCTTACTTGACTACAGCTTCCTTAGCATCCATCTTGCCTTACGCCATCCACCCTTCACCCACACATGCACATACTCACATTTTTCTCTTGCTACATGCGAATTCTCTGTTTCTTGAAGGTACAAACATTAGCCTGACAGCATTTTCCTTGAAAGTGCTGGTTACCAGTCCCTCTCCTAGGTGATACTCTACTCCTTCTGATACTTCAAGTAAGCAAAATTGAGGCTTGCTTTATTCCTTTCAAAAGCATGGGGGTGATGTGAGGACGATGCTCACTTGGGGACACTCTCATCCAGAGGGGTGTGATCTGTGTCAAGAATAGATAGATGAATAGAAAGTTCATTGCAGTTGCCGTGTTATACCTTTTCTTTCAGTGCAATGTTTTGTCAAGGTACTTTTTTTTTTTTAAAATCCAAAGCTGGTAAGTTCCAAGCAGAGATCATTGGGGTCATGATGTTATCAGGCCTGGAAATCAGAAAGTTTTTCTCTTCCATATCTGGGGTTAGACAAAGCATTTGTTCCACCAAGAGAACAATAGAGAAATAGAGTTTTCTAGGGTGCTCCATTCTTAGTCCTCCTATGACCACAGCCTGCTCATCACTGGTGAGAGCTGGAGTATCTCTGCTAAAATCTAAGCCAGGGGGTCCCAGATATTGGAATGTTATCACTCAGCTAAACAGACATAACACTGTAGGGGAATAATAATAATCCTCATAGGTTAGGTTCTGAAGGAGTTCAGAAAATGATGCTTTTTCTGAAAGCAAACATGATGCTTTGGTGTGCTGATTACACTCAGCTGACGCATGTGGAGAAAGCAGATGCAGCAGAGGCTTTCTCTAAGTTCCCCTTGTCTTCCTAAAGAGGATCCTCCAAGAGGAACTCAACTGTCATGAATTCCCTCCCTGGGAATCTCATCGATCAGGGATGCTTGGCTGATCTCACAGAAGAGACTGGGGGTAAGTACCAGCCCAGGCTGACTTTGTCACAGGCTATCACCTATTCACTTTTTTCAGAATTCATTTGCTGTCTCCTAAATTGCCTACACCACCCACATCCTCATCCCTATGAAGAGGGTATATAAGCTTCTAGATCTCACTTACTGAGTTTTGGGGTATTCACTTTTCTTTCATATGATGCCCCTGTGCATGTGATAAATCTGTATACCTTTTCTCCTGTTAATCTGTCTACTGCCAGTTTATTTAGTAGACTCAATTATCAAACCCTCAGATGGTAGCAAGGAAGGTTTCCCTCCCCTACAGTTCTCTGTTGGAATGAACTCCTGCTATAATAGACAGATTAACAAGAGAAAAACAAGTTTATTAGCATGTATATTTCATATATACATGGGAGACATCCAGAAAATCAGTAGTTGTCGAATAAGTGGCTTTGAATTCCAGCTTATATAGCATCTTCAACAAAGAATAGTAAACAATTTTTTTTTTTTTTCTAGACAGGGTCCCACTCTGTGGCTTAGGCTGGAGTTCTGTGATGCAATCCTAGCTCACTGCAGCCTCAAATTTCTCAGTTCAACTGATCCTCCTGTCTCAGCCTCCTGAGTAGCTAGAATAGTAAATTTTTAGAGAAATAACAAGCCAAAGGAAAAGAACTTCGAATCTCTACAGGTGGCAACTTGGGAAAAGGCAAATGAATGGCAGATAAAGGCTGGTTAGTAAAGTTTGTTACTGTAGATTTCCTCTTGTACCATCTCTAGGCTGATGAGGGTCTAAAGCTGTCTTCAGTGGTAACCTTTGTTTTCCCTGGTAGAGAAATGGGCAGGGTACTTTTTGTTCTTGTAAATCTACTGCTTTTAGGCTCATAGAGGGAGAACAGAGATTTCCTGCATCTACTTCTTGTCTTAAGCTCAACAGTCCTTCATATTTTGGGGATATTCTGGTCTCCTACAATACAAAGCCAGCAGTTGTTAACTTTCAGTTTTGCCAGTAAGGGAGTTTACAAAAACCAAAAACAAGATGAAAAAAAATGAACTCCCATTTAGGATTACAATTATTTCATGAAAGAAATGACTTTCTAACACCAAAAATTAGGACAAATATAGTAGCAATTTTAAAAAATTTGAATAAGCCTAGTCTTATGAAAAATTAATTCAGTGTTTTTATTTTTAAGAATGTGCTCTGGACCGGGAAAACTATTAGTATGAGCTGGCACCTGTCTGTAGGCTGATGTTTGAGGACCACATCTTTGATGTGTATAAGGACTCAAAAAGTGTAAGAGAAAAGACATGAGTAGGGGATCCACTGTCTTTAGGAAAAAATGGGACTCTGTTCTTCATCTTGATTGTTATATTTTTAGTCTCCAGTTCTCACCACTTAATTAAAGTATTTCAGAATAACACACTTGAAATAGTAGAAGAAAGTGTTTTCCATTGATAAAAAGGCTAATGATTTTTCTTCTGTTTATAGCAGAATGATTTATTCCTAGCTCAGCTGGCCTCTGCAGTCCTTACAGAGAGAGTTCTTGCCCGTAGCCTGCTGGTGCCATTTGCATGCTAATCATTTCTGTAATTGATCTTCCCAGGTCCCTTCAAACCTTGTAGGAGGTAGCCTACTGCTGCTCTGAAATTAACTAAGGATTGCAGAGTGGGGCCTTGCTGGTGGGGGGCCGGTCATGTGGGGGCTGTGGAGCCAGCAGTCCCTCCCCACCAACTCTGCCCTGTGACCCCACTCTGGAGAGAGAATTCTGGTCAGCGTGCAGGTTAAATGGCCTTTATTATAACATCAAGCTCATGGTTTAGGTCAGCCAGGTTTATTTTCAACAAAGTGGAATAAGAGAAGTTTAAATTCCCCCCCCCCGCCGCCGTGTTAGTAGAAAAGTAAGAGTGGTGCTCGTGGTCAGGCAGCTGGCTTGGGATTATGTACTTAGAGGCTCTGGTCCACGGTGGGCCACTAACATATGGTGTGAAAGAGGAAAGAGAGGGAAAGTAAGAGAGAAGGATTCTAAATTTGGCCAAAGATCTGAACCTGTTTTATTTATTCATGGGTTGCAGAGTGAAACAACTCCAAAAAGCCATAAACATTTCTTATTTTCACTCTCAAGTTATCCAAAGTGGAAATGAAAACTCAGAGAGGTTTAACGATTTGCCCAAGGCCACATCCTTGCCACACTGCACTGCCCATTGTGGCAGTCATTAGCCACAGGTGGCTGTTTAAATTTAAATTAATTAAAATGGAAACATCAGCTCCTCACTCTCCCTAGCCACATCTCAAGTACTCAGTGGCCATCTGTGGCTAGTGGCTACCATGTTGGACAGCACAGATGTAGAACATTTTCATCACCAAAGAAAGTTCTTTTAGATAGCCCTGCCCTACAGGCTCTTGGTCCAGGGTTCTCTCCACTGTTACTGTAAGAGTCCCTTTTCTCCCTATACCTATAATATGTACCTATAATTGTTGTGTATAGTGGGAAAGACATATTTTGACAATAATTTAGAAACCTATCCAAAGTCTCTTATTTCCTGCCCTCCTGAGAGAGTGGGAGGAACTTAAATAAACTTCCTACCTATAATGCTTCTTACCTGTAAGCATTTTCTCATAACACAGAAATATTATAGTGTAGTTTAGCAACGCAGTTGCTTTGACTTCAGGGTGCAACTTTTTCTTTAAAGCTAATATTGATCTAACAGTGAATTCTTTACAAAACCCATATGACTCCTTGAGGAAAAATTGGCCAAGGTGGTATGGTGTCACTGATGTCTGAGGGCTTTAAATTAACACAGTAAATCTCAGGATTATGGGGGGAAAGCTAGCAACTTTATTGAATGCCTCCCATCTGGCTGTGCTTCAGGCAGCTGCATGATTGTAACAGGAATGGTAGGTATAAGACCAGATATTTTGGTATCAGAAAGTATTTAATAAAGAGTGAGTTTGGTAACTATACCTAGGGATCCCATTTCAAATTGAGTTTTCTAATTGAGATCAACAACAGGATATTATGCTCTTGGCAGAAATGGGACAGGACTAGCCCAGCCTATAAAGACCATTCCACTTAGCACAGGACTGGGATGGGGTGGGTGTGGGGTTTGGTGGATGTCACAAGTGGAGGGCATCCTGAGTTTGGGGATGTAATAGACTCCCCAGCAGGATGTGGCCTGGTGAGCAGGACTGTGTTCTGTTCCTATGGCAGTTAGGGTTTTGCTACTGCCTGCTGAGTATGGGCAGCCCTGAGTCTTTGGGTGTTTGTTGGTAATAACGGGAGGTGTTACTGTTCTGCAAGTAACTGAAATGATAGAACCATATTCTGTCAGACTGCCTTTATCCTGATCAGTTATCCTTTAGAGAGAATGGCCTGTCTAGGATGTTTGATAGTGTAACTGTCTCTCGATATCCACGGGGGAATGGTTCTGGAATGCCCCATGGAAAACAAAATCCAAGGATGCTCAAGTTCCTTATGTAAAATGGCATAGTATTTGCATATAAGCTATGCATATCCTCCTGTATACTTCAAGTCATCTCTAGATCACTTATAAGGCCTAATACAATGTAAATACAATATAAATAGTTGTTATGCTGTACTGTTTAGGGAATAACAACAAGAAGAAAAATATGTACATATAATGTACAAATGCAGCCATCCATTTTTTTCCAAATATTTTTTATTTGTGGTTGGTTGAATCTGAGGATATGAAACCTTTACATGTGGAAGGCCAGCTATATTTTGTTTATCTTTCATCAGTTCTTGGGTATTTGAGCTGTTTCCACTTTTTGGTTATTTTTAATAATGCCTCTGTGAATGTTCATGTGTAAGTTTTTATTTGCATGCATATTTTCATTTCTTTTGATAATATACTTAGGAGTAGAATTATTGGGTTATATGGTGATATGGTTTGGATGTTTGTCCCCTCCACATCTCATGTTGAAATGTGATCCCCAGTGTTGGAATTAGGGCCTCGTGGGAGGTGTTTTGGTCATGGGGGAGGATCCCTCATGGGTGCCTTGGTGCCCTCCCTGCTGTAATGAGCTCATGAGAGATCTGGTTGTTAAAGAGTCTGGAACCTCACCCCCAATCCCTGCCCTCTTGCTCCCTCTCTTGCCATGTGACATGTTGGCTCCCCGTTCCATTCCACTATGACTAAAAGCTTCTTGGGCCTCACCAGAAGCTGAGCAGTTGCTGGTGCCATGCTTGTACAATCGGCAGAACCGTGAGCTAAATAAACCTCTTTTCTTTATAGATTACCCAGCCTCAGGTATTCCTTTATAGCAATGCAAATGGACTAACACCTATGGTAACTCCATCTTTAATATTTTGAGGAAATATGCCCCTAAGCAGTTGTATCATTTTACATTCCTACCAGCAATGTATGAGGGTTCCGACCTGTCTTTTGGATTCTAGCCATTCTAGTACATGTGAAGTAGTATTTCATTATGATTTTGATTTGCACTTCCCTAATGGCTAATGATGTTGTTAAGCATCATTTTATCATTTCATCATTTCACATGCCTATTGGCTGTTTGTGTCTCTTTGGAGAAATGTCTGCTCAAATCCTTTGCCCATTTTCAATTAAGTTATTTGGTGATTTGTCTTATTGTTGAATTATGTGAGATGGCTTTATAGGTGGGGAATTCATTTCAGTAATACTAGATTTTATTTTATTTTTAACCAGAAAGCTGTGAATACAATTTCTACTTGTGTAGGGTTCTGATGGTTGGTTATATTTTCTGGGTATATAGTTCCTTCATTTAGGTAAATGTTTGAATGTATTATAGGATAAATGCCAGGGAATTCTGAGCCGAGGAAGAGGAAACCAGTGAAACATATTTGGAAACTTATGTTGGAGACCAGAATATGCCACCCAAAAATATGACTGTAGAAAATGGGAATATGCTATACCAAAATATGCCACTTTGGCATAAGGATTACTTTGAGAGACTACAGCCACAGGGAAAGCTCTAAAAATAAAGTAGAAGTTACCCTTTTGTAAGGAAAATTTACATCTATAAAGGAAACTTCCATTTGTAAGGCTGTCTCCCTCTCTGAACCAGGAAACGAGGATGACTGAAAAATCCCTGGAGACTCTTATCAGTGGAGAAGGCACCAACTTAAATCTGCAGAAAAAACCTTGCTCTTGTTTATTGTATTTTTCCCGAACCCCTCCCCATAACCTGCCTTCTCCCATACCCTTCTGTTTTTGTTTCAGAGAACTGTTAGCAGCAGCAAATCCATAAGGGTGGGTCTGCAGCAACCTCAATTCTTGCCTCCTCAGAAGAAACAATTCGAGTGAGGGGCATAAGGCAGAGTGACAGACTGAGGCAAGTTTTAAAGCAGGAGTGAAATTTATTGAAAAGCATTAGAGCAGGAATAAAAGGAAGTACACTTGGAAGAGGGCCAAGCAGGCGACTTGAGAGATCAAGTGGGTGGTTGAATCTTTGACTTGGGGTTTTATACGTTGGCATGTTTCCAGGGGCTGTGTCCCTTCTCCCTGAGTCTTCCTTTGGGGTGGGCTGTTCACATGCACAGTGGCCCGCCAGCACTTGGGAGGGGCTGCATGCATAGTGTGTTTACTGGAGTTGTATGCATGTTCATTTGAGGTGTTCTTCCCTTACCAGTTGAGCATTCTTAGAAGAAGGTCGTATACCAGTTAAACTCTGCCATTTTGCCTCTTAGTGTGCATGCTTGAGCCCAATGGCCTAACTCCTGAAATCTTATCGGAGCTGTTTATCATCAGTTTCAGGTGTTTCTATCTATTGAGAGACTGCCTTTCCCTGGTGCCAGCTGTGACTAACTATTATTTTGGAGAGCCAGTTTAGCAAACATCTGACCATCACCTGATAATTGTCTGATATTCCTGGTGGTGGTGGGGGGCCTCTCCTGCTCTGTTCAAGTCTGAATAGCTACCTACTGTAACAGAGCTATAGTTTTTAAGGCTGAACTCGAAGCCACCTCTTTGAGATTTACTCATTTTTTCCCTGGGTCTCTCCTTTGTATACAGGAGGTATCCATGTTACTAAACTTTTGTTGTTTTTCTCTTGTTAACCTGTCTTTTGATGAAAGAAACTGTCCTAACTAAGAAATATGTAGAGTAGAGAGAAAATTATTTTTCCTCCCCTATATTTACTCTCCAGTGAAGACTCCCCTATATTTACTCTCCAGTGAAGACTTTTGTCATTACGGAAGTTTTGGTGCTTTCTTTCTTTGTGTGACCCCACCTTTTATAGGGTGAGAATATACATATATATATATGTATATATATATATATATATACACTTATATATACTTAGTAGCTAAGTACCAGTTTGGTTGGGCTGCATTTGTGTTTATTGATCATATATATATATATATATATATATATATATATATATATATATATATATAAAGTGTTTTCCTCTCTTCCTCTATAAAACAGTTCTTGCTGTGGTTTTCTTACTTCCTTTAATTGCTGAACTCTGGACACAAGAGTTGAAGGTAGGCCGAATAAGTTGTTTACCTCCTGCTGAACAGATTCTACTTTTGTTATTTGGACCAAAGTAGAGAGCCTTTCCTCTCTGACTATGCAAATCTAAAGCAGATAAATGTGAGCTATCAGGAGCCAATTTGCTGGAAATCTTCCCCTTAGTAATTGGCTTCATATTTCAGCTCTTAGAAAAAGTCGGCTCTCATTACCACCCCTGCCTTCTCCCCTCAAGGCCAACAGAGAGAGAGGTAGGGTTCACTGGTGACAAGGAAAGGAGAGAAGGAAATTCCAGATGAGTTATTATTTTTTTCTCTTCACTGGCTTTACTTCCAGGTGCCCCCTCTCAGTCATGCTTCCTCAGAAAAGCAGCTCATCAGCCGGCCATGGCCTCCTTGCCAATGGTGATTGTGTCCTTCCCACCCGAGCTCACTTTACCAAGATAGGAAGTGACAGGCAGGGAGACCTCCTGCTCTTGGGTTCTTGGGAGGGGAATACAAAGCATTATATCAAACACTGCCACTAGGCCAGCTCTTTTGGGTTGCATTAGGCAGTCGAGCATTTTGCTGCCTGCTGAATGTCATCTCATTTAACATTTTGTTAAACAACTTCTAAAGGTCTTAACAATATGACAGATGGGCCATTGACTGGGTACTTAGTAGCTAAGTACCACTTTGGCTGGACTGGATTGTGTTTATTGTTCATTAAATGTTATTTAAAGAACTCAATCATTTATGCCTCCAACCCCCTGCCTACCCCTCAATGCACACTTTCTGCATGACCCCTGGGTGTCACATTAGAGGCTGGTGTCTATAGAAAAGCCCAGCAGAAAGGAAAGGGTGAAGAGAGGTGCAGAAAGAAGAAATGAGAAGACAAGTAGAAAGAAGTAGAGGAGGGCAGAAAAAAAAGAGTGTGTGTGAGGGGTGAGGGATGCCTGGAGGGGGATTATGGCACCCCTCACCCCTCACTCACACCTTATGTTAAAGGCAAACATAATGGCCAAATGAGACAGAGAAAAGTGGATTACTTCTGCAGATGGCAGGTCCTGTCCATCTTGGCTTTAGTTCTAGAGAGGGCCACCTTCCACCTTGATCCCAAATTCAGAGGAAGGAAAGAGGGTTCCCTGAAGTGGTTGCACAGATTGCAGCTGGCATTGCACTGTCCTGTATGTGTCTTGTGTCTTGTCTTCCCAGTTAACTGTGAATGGAGAGCAAGGATCCTCTTTTCCTTTGTTTACCCCAAGACCTGGATAACAATGTCTGACCTACAATAAGCACTAAGTAATTTGGTTTTGTGTGATCATGAAATATGCCAAGGCAGCACAGTCAGGTGTCTGCTCATCAGATTCTAGATGGACAAGTCAGGTCCACCAGGGCCAGTGCCATTTGATTGGCTGGAAGCATAACTGGAATAGGTCCATTGCCAGATGCACACAGCAAGTCAATATACCAAGACATGGTGTTGCAGCAGAAAGGGAGGTTTAACTGTAGGGCTGCCTAATGAGCAGGTGGGAGGAAACCTCAAATCTGTCTCCCCAAAGGAGTTCGAGGCTAGGGTTTTTAAGGGGTTCAAAGTAGAGATCATTGATCGATGGGAGGGTGCAGGGTGAAGTCATGAGACAGGCAGATGAAGAAATTCTATTTTCATGCAGATTCGGTTTCTCCAAGGGGGTGTTTAAACTGGTTGACATCAGCTGTTCTGCTGGAATTCAGGATTTGCTTAATCAATTCTTAAACAAAAGCCTTATGATTCTAACATCGGCGATTCTATCTAATGTCAGAAATCCTGTCTATAGGAACAACGGGGATGTGAACGGTCAGTATCCAGTGTTCCATGACTTTCAGTTACAAGGAAGTCAGCCGAAGTGAAGCCTGATTAATGCTTAATTATAACTCTATTTCTGTCCAGAATTGTTAACCCTATGAGGATGGCTTCAGAACTGAAGTTGTTTTAAATAACTTTCTTTCAGCCCAGTGGTGAGATGTCAAAGCCCCCCAGTGAGGGAATAAGAGCTTCACACTGTTCTGGTGTTGTCAAAAGCAAAACTACTACTGAAGACAAAAAAAAAAAAAAAAAAAAAAAAAAATTAAAAATGGCGCAAAAGCATTGATCATTATCACAATATGGCAGATCAGTTGTAGAATTATGTTTTAATTAGATTTAGCATTGCTCTAGAATGTCCAGTCTAGAGAGTGACTTAGAGAATGTCAGGGTGTTAAAAATGGAGTTTTGGTGCCACAAAAGACATAGCACTCGAATGTAAAATGTTCTTTTTAATTCTCAGCAAGGCAGTGTACTTCTATAGAAGGGTGCGCCCTTACAGATGGAGCAATGGTGAGCACACACTTGGACAAGGGAGGGGAAGGGGTTCTTATCCCTGACGCACGTAGCCCCTGCTGCTGTGTCGTTCCCTTATTGGCTAGGGTTAGACCGCACAGGCTAAACTAATTCCGATTGGTTAATTTAAAGAGAGTGACGGGGTGAGTGGTTTGGTGGGAAAAAATGGTTATGGCAGAACAGGAAATCAGAATGAGTCAGGGTGGAGAATGAGCAGGTTATTGGAATTAGTCAGGGTGGAGCAGGTAATCGGAAAAGGTTGCTTTACGAGGAAGTTAAGCTTAAAAGTAGAAGGCAAAGAATTGAACATACTGACATATTGATTCTTTGAAATTTAGAACTCATATCTAACAAGGGCTACTAGGAACTTTAGGAATCAGCCTGGTTCGATGGCTTCATGTAATCAGATGGAAAAGTCCCAGGAGCTTACCTGTGGTCACACAGTCAGACAGCAGGGAACAGCAAGCCGGCAGTCTGCCTCTCGGTGCAAAGTGGTTCCCATTGTTTCAGTCACAACTCTTGATTGTAAGTGAGAGAAACCTAGTGGCTTAAACAAACTAAAAAGAATATATAAGCTCATATTATTGGGAAGTCCAAGGGTGCACTGACTTCAGGCATGGAAGGATACAGCGACTTAGTGATAAGATAAGGACATTGCTTCTTTCACCACCTCTCAGCTCTGCTGTCTTCTGTCTTGCCTTCATTCTTAGGCCCTCCCCACATGCTAGAAAAAGTGAACAGCAAGAGCTCCAGCTTGGCAACCCAGTAGATGGAGAGCAGCTCTTTCTTACTGGTTTTGTTAGGTCCTTGACTTGACTTTCTCTGGGCAGCTCTGGCTTCAGGCCTGCTGACCCCTCCTGGATGCTGGGAGTAACAAAGAGTCTTTACTTGACCAAACTTTAGTCAGAATCCTCTGAATTTTCTTCTTCCCAACCAGGCCTTGACTTTTGTACTTTCATGTCTGTCTTTGTATCACCCAATTTTGACAAGAATTTTGTTAAGCTGATTTAGCCAGAATCCCCCACCTTTAGTATCTGATTGCCAAATATCTCACCAAATTCTTCACTCCCACCCTCCCCTAGGCAGCCTTCAGCAATAATCTTGTTAGTTTGGTTTAGGCAGAATCACCTCTCACCCCCGATGTTTCCTCTTAGTAATTTTTCATCCATCCACACCGTCCCCCTGCCCCCAACTGGCTAGAAATTTCTACTTTTCCTCATTGTATTCAGAGTTGAGCCCAATTTCTCTCCCCACTGCAAGGCCCCATTGCAGTAGTCCTTATAACTATCTTGATAGTTTCCCTCAGTAAAGTCTCCCTTACCATTCTTTAAAAAGTGTCATGAATAATTTTTTTCTTTACTCAGGGAGGGAGACAATGGTTGAACCTGAACCATGTGATGGGGGGAGAAAAGGGGAGAAATGAACATGTTCTGGCAAAAACAACAGAAGCCCAGTACATTTCTATACCATATGATGGCATTGTGGACATTTTTCTGCTGCCCAGAGGGAAAGTCTCTGTTGCTCTAGGTGCCCTTCTGGAGAAGCTAAATTCACCCCTCTTGAGGGACTCTGTGCCCTTCTTTTGGGCACAGCCAATCATTCTGGTCTTCACTGAGGCATGAAATAAGACTATGTGCTTCATCAGATCAGCCGTTTTGTGCTCTTGAGACAGGGTCTGACTCTGCCACCCAGGCTGGAGTGCAGTGGCCCAATGGTGGCTCACTGCAGTCTCCAACTTCTGGGCTCAAGAGATCCTCCTGCCTCAGCCTGCCAAGTAGCTGGGACTACAGGCGCATACCACTGAGTCTAGCTAATTTGTTATTTTTGGTAAAGATGGAGTCTTGGCTATGTTGCCCAGGCTTGTCTCAAACTCCTGGGCTCAAGCGATCCTCCCTCCTTGGCCTCTCAAAGTGATGAGATTACATGCCTGAGCCACTGTGCCTGGCTCCCATCAATTCTGGTGTTCTGCCTCTGGGAGAAGAATTCAAGTCTGGAGATGGAATCCCATTTTATTTCTTCCACTTCCAAGACCTCTCAGCCTGTTCATACCTTATAGAAGGATACAGTTCAGACCTAATAGAAGGATTCATTCATAAATATTTCTTGATCAGCTCTTTATGTAGCCATAGTGTTAGGTACCAAGTGTCATAACGATAAAGAAAATAGATAGCTCTGATTACTTTCTCATTCAAGTCTAATGCTCTAAGTGCCATGGATAAAGAAATAATGGTGGAGGAGGCCAGATGCGATGGCTCATGCCTATAATCCCAGCACTTTGGGAGGCTGAGGCGAGCAGATCACCTGAGGTTAGGAGTTCGAGACCAGCCTGGCCAACATGGCGAAACCCCGTCTCTACTAAAAATACAAAAAAATTATCTGGGCACGGCGACAGGTCCGTGTAATCCCAGCTACTCGGGAGGCTGAGGCAGGAGAATTGCTTGAACCGGGGAGGTGGAGGTTGCAGTGAGCCAAGATCGTACCACTGCACTCCAGCCTGGGTAATAAGAAGGAAACTCCGCCTAAAAAAAAAAAAAAAAATATGGTGGAGGAGAGAGACACATCTGAGGAGATTTTGAAATGATCAGGAATGTCTTCCTGAGGAAATGACTCATGTTGGAAGAATGGGATCATGGACTGGAGTGGAATATTGTAGGGGGGAAGAGAAGAAAGCATTATAGGAAGAGAAAATAGACTGAGCACAGTCATTAACCCAGAGAGGGTCAGGGCCTATCTAGGGAACTGTGAATATTTCAGCTTGACTGGAGCAAAGGTAAGAAAGTACCTTCCTTTGGAGATGTAGAGGAGCCCAGTTGGGAAGTTAGTAGAGTGACCAGGAGCAAGGGAAAGGGAGCTCAAGCCTGGGTGGTAGTGGAGAGAGGACAGC